>NC_000002.12:118114618-118739618 GCF_000001405.40 Homo sapiens
TTTTGTTATTTCTGTGGATTTAGGGTAGGTGGAAGAAGCTGCAGCATGCCTGCCCAGCTGACCTGATTCAGCTTTCCCCACCACTTTTTGATACCACAAAATCATGCTATCTCCCTGGTCATTTGTCTTTACCTTTCAAAAACTCGGTTTAATTAGGAGCTGAGATAAATAGGTTAAGTCAGTGGTTTCTTACTGGGCCTCAATAAAAATTGGGATGTAGAGGGGTTTTTTCTTCCTTGAAATACATATAGTTCATTCAGTTCATTGTGCCAGCAAGTATACTGGCATCTGCTCTTTTATGCCTCCCTTCTTTTTATCACTGATCAGATCTGTGAAACCTGTCATCTTTGTGATTTACAAGATAGACTTTTCCAGGCTATGTCAACTGTTCTGAAGACAATGTTGTTAAGTATCAGATTTGGCAGATCAGATAGATAATGATGTGCCTTGGAAAGACTGGGCTATTGATGAGCCTCGTGTCAAAACTGATTGCCATATATGGGCGATTTTTCCTTTTCACTGTTTCCCTGGTTTCAGTTTCTGTGAGGATTTTCTTGAACAAGGGCAGTTTTAATTCCAAATCAAAATTGTGCTCTAGTAACTGTGTCCTCTGCTGCTTTCACATGGCAGCATTTATGGCTGCTAATCATTCTGTGGCCTCCCCGAAGGTGGGCTTTAAAAGTAATGGGCACTTGGAAAACATATTGCCATTTAAAAACAATCATTTTTGATTGCCATTCCGAAAACCATAAATCCATCTACTGCTACTGTGCTTCCATGAGACTGTTTCATTTGCAAGATTTGCTTCTCTTTTAGAAACGCTTTTTGAGGAAACTTGCACAGAATGTGATCATGGACCAATTCATTGTGATGAGCAGTTGAGTAGACAAAGCAAAGAAATAACTCAAGTGCTGAAACTGTTTGTTTCAGAAGAAAAGTTTCTAAAATGCATTCACTGGGAATTTCTGCCATTGGATCAAACTCATTTCTATTCCCTTTATAGTCATCACATGTCACTCCTAGATCTTTTGGGAATGTCTGCTCCACCAAAGTATGACAGTGGCAGTTCTGTTTTGAAACGATTCTTTCTGCTTATATTAATAAAAAAGCTTGAGATTTTCTAGCAGGACATTACAGAGAGGCAGAGTGCTGGCCCATCACCTCAGGATCAGCTGGATGCACCTGGGGTGCATAGTCTCACACCCTGGGCTTGAGAAGCTTGCAGACTGACAAATTTAAGATGAAACTTAAAAGATGTTTATAAAGACAAATCTCTGTGGAATTTTCAAAGTCCCAGATCCTAGTGCATATCAAGATCCTGTCTGTCCTTGAGAAGGCACGTCAGGGCATGTTGAAGCGTGTCTTCCCAGAATGTGTGTAAAATTCATACTAGAGTTGAGTTTGGTTCAGCTTTTTTCCCCAGAAAGAATAAGTTAGTGATCCTTAAATATTGTTTGGTAATCTGATTTTGAAATGGCAGCTTGTTTTCATTGATTTGTAACTTGGCTTTACAATAACCGGGTTTATTTCCCACTTACGTGACATGTACAGTCTGGTTTGTGGGAGACTGTGCCCCACTGCAGACAGGCAGCCTCACTCGCTTGCCAAGGCAGGGGAAGAATGGGCATGGGTTCTCAAACTCACTCTTCTCTGCTTGGGCCTAGAAGGAATGTACTGCACTTCTGCTCCACACATTGGCCAGAACTAATCCTGTGGCCCTAACTGCAAGGGGGCTGGGATGTGTAACCCCTCCTCCAAAGGGAGAGGAGAACCAAATATTGGTGATCCCTGGTAATGTCTGCCACAGTTGTAAAACGTTTTGCGGTGCTCTGTTCACAATAGAATACTTTACTCCCTTAGTGATTGATAGTGAACATGACTATAAGAAAATAGTTTTTGGTGGCAAAGTTTAAAACAAAATTATGGTCTTTACCTAAAGTGTAAACTTTGTGTCTAAGTCTTGGAGTGGTGAGAAAGAAGGAAGGGATTCACTTTCATCTTTTCCTCTCGCCTAGAAGGAGAAATGTGTGGGAGGGAATGAACCAGGTGTCTTCCTGGTGCCTCCTGGGAATGTCCCCAGCACACGTCTGTGGGTATTGACGCCATTTTACGGCTGCCAACATCCACATTTTTCTGGGTGGCACAGCAGAGTTTCAAACCCTGGTTTGACTTCACTCCAATGACCAAAGACTTTCCTCATCACCACAGACCTGTCTGCTGTCCCTGAAAGTCCCTTCGCTGACGCTCCTGCCTCATGTTGCATATGCATTTCTGACGGAATTCCAATGCCGTCGCTTAGAATAAGTGACTTGGCATTGTGGGCATTGCTGATAGGAATGCAATCTTAGCTTTTTAGTAGAAAAGTGTAAGACTTTGTAGACGTATTCATGTTGAATGTGTTCCTCCACTCTGGAGTCTGAGTTTGTTTAGAAAGTTAATAAAAAGCATTTCTAGAAAGCCTGGGAATGACCTTGACTTGGACCTCAAGCCCCTTTCCATAGCAGATGTTCTGTCCTGCTGCAGCTTCCAGAGACCCAGACCCATGTGGAAATCTGACAGATAGGAAAGAGATAGGTTTTTTTTTTTTTTTTTTTTTTGAGAGATGGAGTCTTCCTCTGACACCCAGGCTGGAGTGCAGTGGTGCAGTGGTGTGATCATGGCTCACTACAGCCTCAACCTTCAGCCAGGGCAAGCAGTCCTCCCACCTCAGTCTCCCTAGTAGCTGGGACCTCAGGTGCGTGCCTGGCTAATTTTGTTTACTTTTGTTTACTTTTTGTAGAGACTGGGTCTCAGTATGTTGCCCAGGCTGGTCTCAAACTCCTGAGGTCAAGCAATCCTCCTACCTCAGCTTCCCAAAGTGCTGAGATTTCAGGAGTGAGCCACTGCACCCAGCTGAAAAGAGACAGTCTTCACAGGTTTTGACTTCTCACCTTGTTTAAAGGTTTAGTGTGAGAGAAGTCTGTATGAATGATTGTGCTGGAGTCATTTTTGATGTGACCCATACTATATAAGTGGCTAGCTTTGTGGGAGCCATGTGCCTGGGCTGTATTGATGGTACATTTTGTAAGAGGAAGAGCAGCATGTTGACACTGATCAGGAAAGCTCTGAAAGGTGTGGGCATAGGTACCGATGGGGTTCAAAGGAAGGAGCAGACCCAGCTGGAGGAGGCCAAGGCCTTTCTCCTTGGATGGTATGGACAGGAAACCCACGTGGACAGATTCGTGCATGTTCTCTCAAGAACCGAAAGTCTGGTCTGGTGGTAGTAAAGTCGCAGGTAGAGGAAGTGGGTGGAAGGGAGGACTTCTAAAACATAGGGATTGGCTTCTCTTTGAGGATTTAAATGGCTCCTGTACTCATGTTTCTTCTCAGGCAGGATCTACAGCTGTCCATGGGGGTTCCTTTTAGGAGGCCTGCAAGTAAGACTGCCACACCCACCACAGTTCCTGGTGTTCCCTTTATTAAAAAGCATCATTGCCAGGCTCTTATGTAAAAAGAAGGCCGGGCGCGTTGGCTCACGCCTGTAATCCCAGCACTTTGGGAGGCCGAGGCAGGCGGATCACCTGAGGTCGGGAATTTGAGACCAGCCTGACCAACATGGAGAAACCCTGTTTGTACTGAAAATACAAAATTAGCCAGGCATGGTGGCACATGCCTGTAATTCCAGCTACTCGGAAGGCTGAGGCAGGAGAATCACTTGAACCTGGGAGGCGAAGGTTGCGGTGAGCCAAGATCACGCCATTGCACTGCAGCCTGGGCAAAAAGAGTGAAACTGCGTCTCAAAAAAGAAAAAGAAAAAGAACATTCTGAGTCTGATCAAGGTGTGTGATCTTGGGTTGTGGTGGAGAGAGCCAGGGAAGAGTCAGCTGTGGGAGAGAGAGAACGCAGGCTTTAACTCTGGGTGAGTTACTCGCAGACTGGGACGCTGGGCATGTTCCTCATGCTTTCTAAACTTCAGGTTGCTACCTGTAAGATGGAGACACAATACCACTTTTGTCTGAGGGCTGTTAACATTAACTGTGATAACATTTCAAAGGCTTAGCTCATAAGGGCTTTCCAGTGAAGTATTGGTTCCTTTCCCTCTCTCCTCATTCACTTCAAAGCATGAGTGTGGAGCCAGCACATTGGCATTTACTTTGGATTAGGTTGCTTCCCTAATGTTTCTGTCAAAATGAGAGGAAGCATAGTACACGAATCACTGTGCTTGCTGACACCTTGCCACAGCTCCACTCATCGGTTAGTTAACAGGGAGCAAATTCTTAAGGACATAGGACAGAAACTGGCTGGTTGTTATTATACTGATTAATTGATTGATTGACGGCAGGGATGAGGGTTTGGCCAGTTCCGGCAGGGGCTGCTTCCATGGAGGGAAGCTTAGGTAGGGTGCCGCAGGATGGCATGAGTCTGCTGGAGAGCGAGGAAAGGAGATGGGAGGTAGGAGATAGATTTTGTCAGCATCTTATTTTCACCTAGGGATGATGGCTCTGTCCTCATACTTTATAGTGTCACCACCGTGAGAGTGCAGTCTCCTGAGGGAGGAGTTACATTTTAATTAGCCACAAGGTACCTGATTTCTGATGTATCAGTCCTTTTCTCTAGGCCTCATTGTTTCGGATTATTTTTGCCCATGTCCTCCACTTGCCTACTCCTTTCATTTGTATCAGAAGGAAACCACCAAGCAGCCTGGAAATCCTGTTACCAGACCTCAGGATATTAATTGTCAAGTTCTCCCCCACGGTTACACAAGTGCTGAAAAAGTGGTTCTCTTTCAGTAGTGTCTTGTCAAAATGCCAGGCACAGTTTGTTTTTGACGTTTGCTGCTATTGTTAAATAATAGTCTTGCTTCTGTCATAGCTAATGTTGACTTGAAGGCATTTGGAGGGCATTTCTCAACTCCAGCCTTAACAGCAAGACCTGGGTCTTGACATATTTTTCTTGCTTGCCCAGGGCAACTGAGTATAAGGGTTGCAACCTTTGCTTTTCTAAGCTCCAAGAAAATTTCAGCTGGGTATGCACCACCTTAAGCCATAGATCCAGTCGTATTCACACATGCACACACAGACATAAACCCACAGACACAAAGACACACACACACAGACAAGTTGAAGTTCTTGAAGTTTTGCCATCCTAGGAATCACATTTAAATAACTTAAACAGTATCCCATATTAGGACTCCTCAAATCCAGCTGTTCTGCCTTGGTAAACCTCTATCAGAATGTCATACTTAATTACACATCTGTTTAAAAATCAACATGCATTTTTATTGTTTCTGTATTTGCAATGGAGCAAGCCCCTGAACGCTGCTCATCTAGCTGCATGCATGGCGTACCATCTGTCAGAGAGAAGCTGGGTTCTTCATGCACAGCGCTTTCTTGTGTTGCTATGTCCATTAGAAATTTCATTTCTGCTCCCTTTCCCACTTTTATGTGAAGGCATCTTTTGAGTTTTTCCTCTCAAGCCTTACAGGCGACATGTAGAGACCTTCTTCTAATGGGATCGTTATTTCTGAAATGTTCACCATTTATGAGGTAATGGAGAGGGGGGCAAGAAAAAAATGGGCAGAGTGAGTGAGAACTGCTCAAGAATTCTGTGGAACTGCGTAGGCGTTGGCATTATTTGTATGTGAAGAGGCCAAGAAATGCACAGTTGGTTTCAAAATAAATACCAAAGGAATGGTTAATTACACAAGTCTGTTTTGCATTTCTAGAAAAATAGAAATATGTCAGTCATTCGGATTTCCAATAACTAAGGCAACATGGGTTTGGAGGCTTATTTATATATGGAGTTGCAGATTGTAGACCTAATGGTGTGTTCTGCTACATACTTTTCCGTGAGTATCTCTATGTCCCTAAATTCAATTTCACTTTCTACCTTTGAGAATAATTTTTAGAGATTTCCAAAATTACAAAATGTGAGCATATGAATTATTCTGTCATCACCTCTTACATCTCTCAATTTTTAGAGATTTCCCAAATTACAAAATCTGAGCATGAATTGTACTACCATCACTTCTTTTTCTTTCATGAGGTAATATTATTTGAGAGACTAATTTTAGATGTCAACAGTTTGTCTTCCTCCGAGAGGAGTTTGGGTTTCTTTACGATAAACATGCAATTATCCCATGATGACTCGTATATATTAAACAGCCATTTAACTGACATATAAGACTCAGAAGAATGGTAAAGTTGGAAGAGGCACTAAAATTCATTTAGAACAGCCCAATCTTGTCATTTTACAAACGCAGAAGCAAAGCCACAAATTGATTACGTTTGTCCCGAGTTCTACAACCAGTCAGTGGCAGAATCAGACATTTCAGTAGCTTTAGCGTGATGTTACATTTCAATTTATGAAAGATGGAAATTTAATTTTATAATTATGCAAGGTTTACAGCAACATAGCATGTATGTTGACAACTGGTAGGAAATGGACATTTATGAATTATGAATGTTTCTATTATGAAGGGCAATTATTACCTTAAGTAGTAGCTGGTAATGAACACTGAATGCCTACTATGTGCTTTACATACACCACCTCATTTCAAGTCCCCAATAAAGCCATAAAGTTGATATTACAATCTATAAAGTATAAGGTCAGTACTTCATATGTGAAGAAACAGAGGCTTAGAGAGATTATACACAACCTGCTAAGGCCACACAGCTAGTATGTACAGCTGGGCATAGAGCCAGGCCCTTGTTCTTTTTCCCAGGATGCAATCTGCACTGCCTGTGGGTGTCAACACAGAAAGTTGGTGGAATCTGGTTTATTCCTATACAATGTTAGATGTGGAACTTAAACATATATGTGGAAGTTATGCTCTTGCCCTTTCTAAACAAGTGTAAGTTTTAATTGAGGCAAGGAACAACTTCACTAGTATAATTCTTGGCAAAGAAAGGAGTTCTGAGCCTGAGATTTACTATTTTGTGGTGCAGTAAGTTGGATGTCTTGAAACAAGAGGTTTGGAGAAAGATTATTTGCGTCATGACTTATTAAAGTGGAAATATTTATAAATCAAAGAATTGGGTTATATGGTCTCATAATGAAGAAGCAGAATGTAAGGTACACCTTACCAGATGCAATTTAATTTATGACTTACATTTGAACCTCTAAGTCATTAAATATAGTCTTCAATTTTAAGACCGAGGTTGGCATGTCCAGAAGAGAATAACTATGAAATGCACACATCGTTTTCTCAATTTTCATTAGACTTGCATATGAAAAAAATCACAAGCATTATTTATGAAGTTTGAAGTGATTTCTGCATACTTTGATCTTTTATATTTTGACATTCATGACCTTAGTGAAGACAGGACAGTAAAAATATGATTAGGCTAATTGTCAGATCAAGGACTCTGATTAATGAAAATAAATGGAAGAGGTTGATTATTTTTTTCTTCCTCTGCCCCCCTTTACCCTGGAAAGAATATCCTAGAAACCACATTAAACTGCACTTCCCCTGAGCACATCCTTCCTAACTAGGCTAGTCGTGAAACTGGAGTGCAAGGCCAGGTGGAGGAATGGGGTTGACTCAATGGCAATCCAAGGCTGACAGCTGTGCTAATGGATGACTTAGGCAAGAAATACAGTGATTGACTCATGAAATGAAAAGCAGGACTGGTCTCACGGACAGCTGGGATTCAGACTTCAGAAAGCCTCCATCAGGACTTAGCTTCTTTCCAGCCCTTTGCCCTTTCTGCTGTGTTGGCCTTAGTCTTGTGCTTCACAGTGGCAGGATGGCTTTGGCAGCTCCATCCTCATGTCCTCTCCCCTCCACATCCCACCTCTCTGAAGTCTCAGCAAAAGTCTCATGATTTATTGGCTTTGGTCAGGTCAGGTGTCCATTGCTGAAAACCAATTCCCATGGCTGGTTCTCCACAGAAAAAAATAAAATATGACAAAAATGAGGGTAAACGTAAAAAACAGAAAACAAACAAAAAAAACTGTCCTATGTCAGAGCCAAAAAATCATAATGAAGTGGAAGCTGCAAAAGCAAGAGAAAGGCATGAGTTACAGAGAGAAGCAGAAGTTGGAGATGAGGAAAAGGGGAGGATGGGGGAGAGCGAGAGGGAGGGAGGGAGACAAAGCATCTGACATTTTTCTACTTCCCCTGAAACCTGTGCTTTCCTTCCAATAAACTCTTTAAAAATGATTTAAAAGTTGAGTGGTTTTCTGTTCTTTGTAACCAAATGACCATGACTAAGATATTTTGCTAATGTTCCCTTTACCAAGTAAGGCTGGATTCCATGTGACATGTAAGTTACAGAGGCCCTACAGTTGACTGTGTTCCTCTGTGGGAAGAGAAAACTGCTTGCCAAACAGATCAGAGATTTTTTCTTTTTGGAGCAATTAGATATATGGTTTGAAATAAATGATCTTGGAGGCCCATGAAATTTGAGGTTCTGGGGTTCTCTGGTTTTCAAACAATACCTACACTCAGTTTCATGCAAAACTAACCATTTTTCAGCCCAGCCCAACTTTCTCACTTGGTGTAGAGGAGGAGTTGCTGTAGTTAAGCATTAACCGGCTGCACTTCCTCTTAAGTGGAATCTTCTTTGCAAGTGAGAACATTTAGGCCAAGGGGGTTGGAGACACCATTGAAGCAGTTCTCTTGAGTCTGAGCTGAACCACAAGGAGACCATTTCAGAATCTTGTTTGAAATGAAAACTAGGAGAACTGGGAAAGGAAATTCTAGAATCTCTCCAAGAAATTCATCCCAAATTTTAGCTACTTTCATCTTCATCTGGCGTTTACCACATACTAATATTAGGTTAGAGGGCTCGTGAGTCAATTTTTTCTTTAAGATAATAGGAATGCATTTTATTCAGTTTCTGCTGTAGGGCCCAAAGTAGGCAGGTAGTGGGACTACTTTATAGTGCCACGATTTGAGATAAAGACCGCTGTTTCTGTTCCCATACCCCTCACAGAGATTCTGTGTCACTAGAGGGCCAGGTTTCTGGGGCTTGCTGTCGATCTCACCTTGCTGGCTCATCGTGAATGAATGCAGGTGGAACACCACCAGTCACAGCATCAGAATGCCTTTCTGAAAGCCTCTTGTGTGGATTGTCCAGGAGTGTCACCCTTAGTCATCTGGCTTAGGTCCCTGCCCCACCCAGCTAAACAACTTTGATTTTTGGCAAGTCAAGTAACTCCACTGGGATAGAATGTCTTTGGAATTTCCGAATGAAATTCTCTTATCTTGCCAAAACCATTATGTCCTTTCTTAGTAAAGTTGATACACTGGGTCAGTCTCCCCAGATATGTCATAACTCCTTTCTTTTTTCATAATTACTGGAATGAATGTGGAATGGAATGAAAAAATAATAAAAATCTCACCATCTGAAGCCAAGCTATGCAGGGAGATGTTAGATCACTTTTGGCAACAGAGAAAGGCTCTGCAAGCTGGACTTGGAGATAAATACCAGCAGCTCATCCCTTTATGTACTATATTTTAATGGCCATCCTCTCCCCTGAGGGCTGACTAGTATTCTCTCCTATTGGCTAACATTAGTTCTTACTTGTTCTGGGAAAATGCCTGTTTCCAAGGGTGACACCCACAATCTATAAACAAAGAATGAAGGTCATGTGCATGGGAATTGGAGAGAGAGGAGGTGCTTATAAAAAATACAAGTCTTCCCACCTAGAAGGATTTGGCCCTTGTGGAATTTTAGTTTTCTTTACTTCCAATCCCCCCAGTCCTAAATCATTTTATATATCCTAGTAATATTAAACATGAATGTATTCCACAGCTGGGTGATTTATTCAGGACTCAAAAAGTATACATTATTTAGATAATATTTGATTACATCATCTTTATTTCTCCTATGGTGCTGGCCCTGCAGTCCTGTGAGGTGAGGTAGGCAGGAGTTGCTATTAAACCATTAACCCATGTCATCCAGCAAATGACAACCTCTTGCTGCCACAAATACAGCTTCTGTGCATTGTGAGGGGCAGCGATGCACAGCAGGAAGGCTCTGGATAAAGGTCCAAATACCAGGGGTCTAGTTTTAGTTCTCCCGGCAGCTTGCTTAGCAGACTCAAGTTCCTGTTTCTTCACGCATGTAGTGAAGCCAGTGGGTGAGTTGGTCTCTAAAAGCGGCAACAGAGCACAGTGTCTCAGGCTGGGGCCCCGGCTCTGCTGCTCACTAGCAGTTTGAACCTGCGCAAGTTATTTTACGTCCACGTGCCTTGCTTTTTTTTTTTTTAATTTGTAAAATGGTGGCATTATAAATTGATGTAAGAGTTAAATAATCTAAAACATACAAAATATCTAGAAGAGAACTTGTCTCATAGTAAGTGCTTAGGTGTAATTATTAGCAACATCACCATTTAAAATCCCCCACCAAGCCATGAGTAGACCTTGTCCTACCCACCATGGAGATATAAAAGGAGGACTGAGTTTTCCAACTTGATTTGGGAAACAAAATTTATGTATAGGAAAGATAGAAAACAATAAAAAATTACCTGATTGAATAAAAAGTTGATTCTTCCTCCTTTCAAATAATACCAATAAAAATGAGAAAATATAGACCTTGTTGAATTTTGGGGCAGGGGCCTTTCTTTACAGCCAGAGTGATGTTTGATTGGAGATGATCTACAGACCCTGTGATTTCTCCATACTCTACCTTCCCGCAGGAACTGGCACCTCCTCGGCCTCTCTACATCTCAGTTTCGAAAAAGCAGCACATCCTCTCAAATCAATTTGACTGAAAATAAAGATATAAAAAGACCTAAGCGACATAATCACAAACGTAGATATGATGGATAGATGTCATACTATGTGCCCTGAAGTTAGGGAATATATTTTAGTTTCGAGTGCCCATGGAACAGCCACAGTAATTAATCCTACCATTGACCATTGCAAAGAAAATCTCGATGTCAAAAAGTAGCAATAACTTCAGGCTAACTTGGACTTGTTCTTGTGCAAACAGCCTACGCATGGGTTCTGATAAACCACATACCATCCCAGGCCCATAATGTTGGTCTAACGCTCACATTGGATAAAAGAGGAAAACAAAACCTTAAGTGATTTGCTCAAGTCCTTCTGGCAGAGCCTGGACCTCCAATCTTTCCGTTACTTTCCTCAAAAAGGAACTGCAAAGTGGTTAACTGGGCAGTATTGCCCAAGACCACCCAAAGGGTCCTGATGTATCCTTAGACATGTATTGCAGCATGCTGCAGCAATTCTACTGTGTTTATCGAGGATCTACTCTGAGCCCGAACTGGAGACATAGAGCCAGAAGATATGCCCCCTTCCTCCAGAGAGCTCAGACTTAGGGATAGACAGGCTGGGACACCTGCAAATACCTGTTACTACAGAACTGCACTCAAGATGCACAAGAAGCCCACAGGAAACCTGCAAAACTAGCCCTGGAGGTCAGGCCAACCTTCCCAGAGTTTTAAGGGATAAGTTGGAGTTTGCAAGATAAAGAGGTGAGGAGTGGTACAAACCCAGTGTGAGAAGAGAGACCTTTGCCAAGCTGCCTCTCTGTCCAAAGGGCCCTCCACCTCCCCTGCTGACCATTTTCACTCTCCAAGTGTCCCCTCCTCAGAGACAACCCAAGAAGACACCCTCTTGTTTCTCACCCACTGATTGGTTGGTTTGTTGTTTGTCCTTGTATCCCTGGCCCAGTTCAATGCTTGAATCTAGTAGGTGCTTGGTAAATATTTGTTAAGTGAATGAATGATTTATAAGTTGTGTTCTTGAAGGAAAGCTGGCCAGAATTTTTGCATCAGTATGTTCAGTTTCTCCTGTGGCTAGCATGAAAAGCCATTCAGGTGCTTATTGTTTTCTGAAAGAGCCTGTACTAAGTGTGTGAAGGCACAGCTAATGACTTCAAATATTGGGGTTGAGAACAGTCATTCCCTAACCTGGGTCCTCTTATCCCTCTTTGCTTTGCTCCGCCCCCACCCCCTCTCCGCGTTCCACACATAACTCATTCTCTGCTCACAAATCAGCAAGGATGGCAAGGAAGTCTTTTGGTGAAAATTTTGGGGGGCTGCCTGAGGGCTATATGCATATGTTCCATTGTTATTTATTATTTGCTGTGTGATATTCAGCTGCTCACTTAACTTCTCCAAGGCTTAGTTTCTCCCTCTGCAAAAGAGAAATGTCATCATGTCTACCTTGTTTATTGGCCATGTTTTTGCAACTCATAACAGAACACCTTGTATGTAATAGATGCTCAATAAATGGGGGCTGAGTCAGTTGCTACTATTATTGGTGATGGTGACAGTGTGTTTAGCGTTTCATTCATCAGTCTCAGCACATTGCAAATACCAATGAGCAGAACCTCCTCCTCCATCCCGTTATGTCTCTGTGTGCAGAGAGCAGTAATGAGTAGACAAAGATATTGAGAAATTAATTAATCAGTACTAAATGAGTGAGGCAGTGAAATGTGAAGTCTGGAAAGACAAAGACAAATACAAAAAATAAGACTAAAAACAAAGACTTTTTCTATCACAAGGAAAAATGCTCCTCTAGGTTAAGGACTCAGGACTCTTGTTGGAAGTAAATTCTTGGTATCTAACCTAAATTTGTCACCCTTCAACTTCCTTTGAATTCTTGGAGGATCCTCGCTTGTTTTCCTCTTTCTGTTCTGCTTGCTTGTGTCAGATTTCCCTGGGCTCTGCCTCCTTGGCCCTCCCTTAAATGTCAGCATTTCCCAGATCTTCACCTTCGGATCCTGCTGCCTGCCATCCTGACCCACCCAGTCACCCAGAACAGGGACCTCTTTTTTTTTGTTTGTTTAAGACAGGATCTCTCTCTGTCACCCAGGCTAGAGTGCAGTGGTGCGATCATAGCTCGTTGCAGCCTCTTCCTCCTGGGCTCAAATGATCCTCCCACCTTAGCCTCCTGAGTAGCTAGGACTACAGGCATGCGCCATGAATCCTGGCTAATTTATTTTTATATTTAGTAGAGACAAAGTCTTGTTATGTTGACTGGGCTTCAGTAGTCACTCTTGATTCCTCTTTCTCTTTCACCAATTGCTATATCTTAGCAGTTCTCAAACATTCCGTCCCCTATGCCACAACTCCACCTTCAGATACCAGTCCTAGCAGCTGGATTTTTGTGTCAGAACTTGAACTGTCTCTCTGCCTCCAGCTATTGCCCATAATCCCCTCTCCTGGTATGTCAACCACAGTGTAGTTGGAGTGAGCCTTCCAACACATGCTAAAGAACCCCAACTGTCTTCTGAGTGTTTTTCTACAGAGGTGGAGGTCAGGATGGGTACTGGGTGGTGGGAGGTATGTGCTTGTCTAGCTTCCCAGCAGAGGTGTTACGGGACCACCATGGGGAAAGGCTGAGAACCTATGGGAAGGCTTGACAAAAAATGCTCAGGAGCTTCATGGTGGGACCAGGCAGGAGGGAGGCACCCAGGGTTCCCCTCCACACACAGTGCGCCTCTGCACTCTGCTGCCCTCAGAAGACAGTTGGGGCTTCTTAGCATGGTGCCCCAGCCCTTCAGGACCTGGCTCCTGCCACATCTTCAGCCATACCCTGCCCCTTCTCTCTGTCCCTCCCACACTGAGGACAGCAGTTCTGCTCTCAGTTCTGGGGGCTTTGCTCATATTGCTCTTCTTGCAGGGCACAATTTGCTCCACCTTTTAGCCAGACCTCAGTTCAGGGACCATCTCCTCTAAGAAGACTTTGCTGACAACTCCCCCACCCCCTCACTCAACATATACCCCCTTATTATCCCAGGACATCGGGCACATTTACTGCATTGTAACAGGCTCACAACATTTATGACATCATATTGTGGTTGTCTCTTAGCTGACTGTCTACTTGTGTGGGGTAGTGGTGAAGGTGCATTCTCTGGAGCCACCATGTCTGGGTTCACATCTAGGCACTACCACCCATCAGCTGAGTGGCCTTCTACAAGTTCCTTAACCCCTCTGTGTCCCTGTTTCCTCCAACTGAAAAATGAAGATGACCATAGCACCTGCTTCTCAGGTGGGCATGAGGATGAAATGAGGTAATAGCCATAGAGTGCTGGGAACAGGACATGCATACAATAAGCCCTACAATAATGTGACATTATTATTAGACTGTGATCACCTTGAGGGCAGGGTGATCTGCTTTATCTGTCTCTGAATCCATAGTTTCCAACTAAGCCCCAAATTAATGATGAATAGTAATAGCACTAACAATGATAAGAGCAATGAACATCTGCAGAGGTTACACTTTATAGCCTATAAAATGTTTTCACAAACTGTATTTCATTTAGTTGTCAGCACACTGCTGTCAGGTACCTAAGATTATTCCCATTTCACAGATGAAGCAACTAAGGCTCAGAGAGTCCTGGATGAGTCCAGTATGTTGGAGGATTCTAGACAGCCATCTGAATTCAATACTCATGCTTTTGGAATATGGACATTTTAATAGCCAAGACTGAGTCAGCATCTTCTCTTTCTTTGGAAGTCTCTCTTCCAGATTCCGTCTGGTAAATTTCCACTTGTACTTCAACTCCTAGCTTCGAAGTCATCATTCCAGAGGATCTTACTGCCTCTTACATGCTGCCTTGGCTATTCAGTCTATGCCACCCAATCGCATTTCTCTTTTCCTTTCTGTTTTTTCCTGATGTTCCCACTACCCTGTAATCTCTTTAAAGGCAAGGACCATTTATGGTTCATCTTAGTATCTCCCATGCCTAACATGGCATTAGCAGATGAAGGTGCTGGAAACAAACTGAACTGAAGCTTGGTTCCTTCAGTATGTGATATGCACACAGGGTAGAGTATGATGTGGATTGTAGGCAGAAGCACAGTATGTGTGGAGGAAGGCCCTGGACTCCCTCCTGCCTGGTGCCACCATGAAGCTCCTGGAAATTTTTTCTCAACCCTCCCCATAGGTTCTCAGCCTTTCCCCAGGGCAGCCACAATAGTACATCTGCTGGGGAGCTGGACACAGCACCCCCTCCCACCTCCCAGGACCCATCCTGACCTCCACCTCTGTAGAAAAACCCCCAAAGTCTGAGGTGACTTCACTGTAGGAAGCCAAGAGTGGCCATCAATGCAACTACTTCACCCTAAAAGAGAGGGAAAAGAAAGAAAAACTTGTTTTGCCCTTTCAAAATGCTGCCAATCCTTTTGTGAGCCTTAGTGGAAGGTGCATATCCCAAAACTTTATCTATTGATAGAAGATAAGAGCAGCGCCTTGTATTCAAAATACTGTTTCCTTCTCCTTAAAGCCTGGTTCTCCATCAAATACAAGTCTCAATGGCCTCAGCCCAGAGCCGCGCACTCCCTGAAATCACAAGAATAATGCCTGGCTGAGATTTGGACCATTAAGAAGGTCCCTCCCTGGAATGGTTCGGGAACTTTAGCAACTGATAATGGTGCTGGAGTTCAATTTCAAGGGCTATCCAATGTGAAGGGACAGATGATTTTAAGTAGTTTATTTCTTCATGTTTTGGAAACTTGATATCCTCTTTTATAAGTTGGAGTCATGATATTGTTTTGCAAAGTGATTGAAAAGATGAAATAACATAAATAGATACAGTCATTGTCCTCAGGGAACCTCTTGGGCCCAACCAGTGAGCCAAGTCTTTTGCAGACTAGGTGTGACTGGAGCCGGTAACGGTCCCCATCTTCACCCTCACTATATTCATGTCCATTGCCATGCATCTGTGCAGCTCTTTCATACCCAGACTCTGGGCTCAAGTTGGTGGTTTATGTTGGTCAGTGGAATAAGGCAGACAAGATGGTGTGCCAGTCTGGAGACTAGGCCTCAAGAGCTCCTGCATGTTTCACTTTTCCTCTTGCACTGCTTCCATCGTCGTGAGAATGACATGACTGAGGTAGCCCGCTGATTCCAGAGGTGGGTGAGAGACACCCGGAGCAGAGCTGAGTCACTGCAGCCAAGGCTGGCCTAGACTGGCCAAGCGATAGCCAAGCCCCAGATGCCTCAGTGCTCCCAGCCGAGATCAGCAGAGCTGTCCAGTCAAGCCCACTGTAGAGCAGTGCTGGGCTCTGCAGACATGTGCCAAATAATGTTCGTTGTTTTAGTTTCTGAGGTTTTGTGCAACAAAAACTGCCTGAATTGAGATCAGTGGTGAAATAGAATGAGAGCATTGATATGAACATGGTTTACAAACTTTTAAGGACTATGAAGATTATTCCAAAGGAATGCAGGAACAAAGAGAGAATTGTGTCAACAAAGTCTGGCACATGGCAGGATTCCACTCACTTTCCACAAACTTCGAAGGAAGAAGTAGCTAATTGAATCTGAAGTTTCATTCACTAGAAACTAATATAGAGAATTTACAATAACTTCTCCTGGATGGAAAGTAAGATCCATCGTGTATATGTTAAACAAGAGAAGCATTTGATCCCTTATCTTCCTAGTTAACATTGATCTTTAACACTGATTATGTGATAGTCTTCCTAATACAAAAACTGCCTGATGCCTGATACCTTGTGCCTTAACACTTGGGAGGATAATGAACATGGGAGCCCACAGGCTGGTTAGGGCACAAGTGGTCCGAAAAACCCCAGGGCCTTATGAACAGTTTATAGTTCATAACCGCGTGTCTCTAGGTTTGACTTCTCTTGGTTTGAATCTTGCCTGAATATAGTCAGATTTTCAGATAAGCTTTGTGATTGTAGAGGTTTTCCTAGGTGACAGATGGTGGTGGAAAGGAAGTACATGCAAAAGCGTCTCTTTTTTTTTTTTTTTTGAGACAGAGTCTCGCTCTGTCGCCCAGGCTGGAGTGCAGTGGTGTGATCTCAGCTCACTGCAACCTCTGCCTCACTGGTTCAAGCGATTTACCTGCTTCAGCCTCACGAGTAGCTGGGACTACAAGCACACACTACCACGCCAAGCTAATTTTTGTATTTTTAGTAGAGACAGGGTTTTACCATGTTGGCCAGGCTGGTCTCAAACTCCTGACCTCAAGTGATCCGCCCGCCTCAGCCTCCCCAAGTGCTGGGATTACAGGTGTATTTTTATATCAACAAATTATCTCCTGTCTCCATAAAGCTCATCAAAACTTTTTTGTTATCTGTGTGCTCCCCAACCCCATCCCCCTTGCTATTTGTTTTAGGAAGACTATCACATAATCAGTGTTCAAGATGAATGTTAACTAGGAAGATAAGGGATCAAATGCTTCTCTTGTCTAACATGTACATGATGGATCTTACTTTCCATCCAGGATAAATTATTGTAAATTCTCTATTAGTTTCTAGTGAATGAAACTTCAGATTCAATTAGCTACTTCTTCCTTCAAAGTTTGTGGAAAGTGAGTGGAATCCTGCCATGTGCCAGTCTTTGTTGACACAATTCTCTCCTTGTTCCTTCATTCCTCTGGAATGATCTTCGTAGCCCTTAAAAGTGTATAAACCACGTTCATATCAATGCTCTCATTCTATTTCACCACTGGTCTCAATTCTAGCTGCCTGACTTAATGAGCTTGGCCATCCTTCAGCCTGGGTATATGTCTGGCCTGGCTAATTGCTGAGTGACCTAAATCGAGTTACTTAAATTCTCTGAACTCCTGTTGCTTTATTTCTAATGGGGTTAAACAGTACATAGCCAGAAGCGTTGTTGTATTAACAGCACCCAGCACAGTGTATGGCATACAATCACACTGAAGAAGTGTCAGCGTCTTCCTTCCTTTCAGTCTCCCATCCCTGCCTTTACTTCATTAGTTTAAACTCAACTCTCCCTCCTCCTTTGAAGCCACCGCACGTGTTGTCTCTCCCATTTCTTTGGCAGCCAATTGGCCTTCCATATCTCGGACTCCATATCCAGGATTTTAACTGTGAATCAAAAATATTTGAGAAAACAATACAATGAAAATAACAACCCAACAATAAAACATACAATAAATCTTTACATAGCATTTGCATTGCATTAGGTATTATAAGTGTTCTAGAAATGATTTAAAGTATATGGGAGGTTGTGTGCAGGTTACATGCAAATATTACGTCGTATTATATAAGGGACTTGAGAAACTGTTTATCTGGGTAGCCTCAGGGGGTCCTGGAACCAACTCCTCTGAATACTGAGGGACGACTGTATTACCACATAACAGTTCTGATATTAGGTCTTCTATTATTCATTCCATATTGTATTTATATTTATTTTTTGACAATATTTATTGAGCACCTGTTCTATGCCTAGTGCTAGGCATTAAGGTTAGTTTATGTTGTAAGTTACAGAAAACCTTAGCTGGGCATGGTGGCTCACGCCTGTAATCTCAGCACTTTGGGAGGCCGAGGCAGGTGACACCCTGAGGTCAGGCATTTGAGACCAGCCTGGCCAACATGGCAAAACCCCTTCTCTACTAAAAATACAAAAATTAATGGGGCGTGGTGGCAGGCACCTGTAATCCCAGCTACTCGGGAGGCTGAGGCAGGAGAATTGCTTGAACCCGGGAGGCGGGGGTTGTAGTGAGCCGAGATCGTGCCACTGCACTCCAGCCTGAGCAACAGAGTGAGACTCCAACTCCAAAAAAAAAGGAAAAAAAGAAAAAAAAAAGGAAAGAAAAGGAAACCCAACTCAAACAGGCTTCATCAATAAGGATCACCTAGTGGCACCCAGATGGAAGGCACATAGGCATGGAACTGTGGCTATGCAGGTTGATTGGGGTGATATTCCTCCTGTTTGATTTATCTATCTGTCCCTTTCAGGATTTTTGCAATGGTTTAATACCACTAGTGCTATTAGCAATATTTTCTTAAAGTGATTTACTGTTTCCCTAAATAAACTTACTTTAAAAATAAACTTTAAATCAATACTCTAAAGGAAAACAAATATCCCTGCCATAGGAGGTAATGACAAAATAAGTATAATGACAAAAATAAGTACAATAACAATGATCAAATTCTGACCAATGTTGTTGGCCCAAGCCCCTGAGTCTGAGGCCACCTTGTTCTTTATTGAAAAGGGAAATTAGAAAGAGTTGGAGTGGTGTTTTTAACCACCAGACTAGCATCAAACTAAGACTTTCTCTTTGATATAATCAGAATTGAAAAAATAATTATTTTCTCAATATAAGATTCAATGATGTCTAATATAATGTCCAAGCTCTACCTAAAATTCACTGCAGGTGAATTCTATCCATTCCATATAAAGGCACATACCATGTAATGAGAGTGTAGTCAGAGACTGCTAGGATTCATGCTAAGGGTCAAAGTGATAAGAGCTGCCCATGGTGAGGTGAATTTCACTGGCAGGGGCTGCTTGAAGGGGTAGACCATGGGGCAGACATGAGGCAGGCAGTAGGGATGGGCTTAATGAGAAAAGAAGACAGAAGATACTCAGGGATGATGTCTCCAGGGCTTGGAAACCAGAAATTAGGTTCTGAGGGGAAAGTGGGTACTTAGAGGTGTCTCAAAGAGAATCTCTAACATAGAGGTAAAATAACTGAAGCCAGGCCCAATGAAGAGGGCAAAAGATAACTGGAGCAATTACACTGCCTAAAACATAATGGCCTCTGAATCATGGTAAAACAGTGGGCAGAGGGTGGGAGTCATGGGTCACTGGGCTAGGATTCTGAAAAGCTGTGAGCAATCTGGTGTGATTTCTCACCGCCTAGGCAGATGTACACATTAAGTTAGAGATTTCAAGTTCAAATACCTGCATGTGTCAGGCAGGTAATAGGAACAACTAGTTTTCATGGGTGTAAGATAATAGTGGGTAGTGGGGGTTGGGGCAGAACACACACCACACGTAAAGACACTCAGATTCTGTGAAAGCAAACTAAAAGAAAACACTGGACCTGCCAAACAAGCTGCATCCAAGAAACCTGCCCCTGCACCCCCCCATGTCGTTAGACTCTGGCCTGGATTATTTCTGTGTGTTCCCACATATTGGAGTCACTACTCAAGATCCAGATGAGTTGTGTTGGTTCTGGTCTTCCAGAAAGTGGACCCTAAGACATGATTAGACTTGTGGGAGAGTTACTGGGGGAAATGCCTGTGAAGGAAAAAGGAGAGGAAGCCAGAATGGCAGGGAGAGCTTTTAAGTACAGGTACAGGTGTAAGACCTGGGAAATGGGGCATGGGAAGAGAGAGTGTGTAGGGGTGTCTCAGGCTGCAGGAAGGTCTTAGACGGGCCATCGAGTAGTCCTCAAGCCAAAGATGTCTTCAAAGGGGCCCATGTCTGCGGGAGGGGGCATGCCTCTTAATATCCCTGCTGCCCTCAGTCGCTTGCTGGAAGCAACAGGGCAACGGTGGTGTGAACTCAAGGATGGATCAGGAAGGCAGCAGCTGGAGCTGTCAATCATACCCCCAGAGCAGGAGATCTGAGTGGTGCCTTTCATAACCACAGCATGGCTGAGGGGGATCTGATGCCCCCCAAGTAGCAGGCTTCTTGGCTACTATTCAGCTTCTGTGCTGGGGAGAAAGATCCAACCTTCCTGTCTCCTTTGGGATCCCCCATCCCAAATAAGGAGAATGATTGGATCTTGGAAGTCGACAAATGATAAATGTCCATTATCAAAAGAGCTCTGTGAATTGATATTGTAACCCTTCCCATTAAGAAAAGAAGTTTCTTAGCCAAAAATGTTTGAGAAACACCTATTTTTAAACAAACATTAAATAGATTTCCAGGATTTCCCAGAGCTGTTACTAGGCTGATGTATATCTTGAGTGTCCATGAGAATGAAACAGTATGTACAGTTTGTCACATTTATTCGACCATTGACACACACTCCCAAACTCCAGTTTTTTATTATATTTTAATAGAGCATCTTGCAAGATGCATTTCAATGTGCTGTACATGCTGCACATCTTCTGTTTGTCCCCCCAGATCCACTCACCATCCTTCTCCTTTTCCTCTGTGCCCCAGAGGATAAGCTTCATGAACAAGGTCTTGACCCTCTTTTACCCTTTATTAGCTTTGCCCAGTAGAACGTTTACTGATGATGAACATGTCCTATGTCTACCCTGTCCAGGATGGCAGCCACTAGCCACCAGTTATTGAGCACTGAGGAACTAAATTTTTAACCTTATTTAATTTTGATTAACTTAGATAGCTAAGTGTGGCTAGTGGCTCTCTTACTGGGCAGCACAGTTCTGGCTTCTGGTTGGGTCTGGCCAGTAAGAAGCAACAAGAGAATCCTGGGGAGGAAAAGCAGGGTGAAGAAGATTATTTATTTCCCTGGGACCTCTCCCTGTGTGGTTACCATGGGTCATCATGTCCTCTGCAAAGGCCTCAGCTCTTGTCAGACATCCCTTGCCATACAGCCACTCTCTTGCCAAATTCAGCAGAGACTTCCTTTTCCTGGCCTTTGAGGACGAGGGGTGGTCAATGCAACCTAATGCTGGTGGCTACTGTGCCAGCCTTGTAGGTTTCCCTACCCTAGCCTGCCCACACAATTGCAAATGGTCCTGTTAAAATTCTGCTCAGTTACTTGGGTTGAGAATATAATCTGTTTCCTATCAGAACCCTGCCTAGTCTAAAGCAGTGAAATAAAACTTGTTTTTAATTTTGAAAAATATTTTCTTGTAGTAATAGTAAAAACATCAGAAAGGACTTATGACAAGAATCACCAATCATTTTCCCCTAAACACTCTTTGTCCCTCCTCCCGATGCCTATAGGCAAGAACTTTTAATTCTCTTCAGTTTTACCTTTGAAGGTTACCTCCATACCTCAAAATAATAGGCTAAGGCCACTCTTAGTGCTATGTCAACTGGAGACATTATCCATTTCTCCCAATGGGCTACATGAGGATTTCCCTCACTTGCACCACCCCTACCTTCCCTTCCTCTCTCCTCCCAATTTTTGATAGCTATATTAGTATTTTAAACTTCCTCTACTGCTTACCACATACATTTAAAGAATAGATATAAACTACTATTTCTTGTTCTGTTGCTTTCAACTGCATCTCTTGACCCCCCGTTTTGCAAAATGAAGGTATTTCCTTCCCAACCTGTTTTTCTTCCCTTTTCATCTCCCTGTTTCTGTCAAGCTAAACCTTTATTTTTTACACGGTGAGTGTGGAGAACATGTACATTTTGTTTTGTAGCCACTCAGTTTTCTATGCTTTGTCTATGAGAGTTTCTAAAAATTAAGAGCCAGAAATGAACATCTATGTTATGTTGATATTGTTTAGTACAGGACTAAGGAGCGTGCATTTTCTTTTCTCCAGGCCTAATATCACAATCCCTTTGCTAGTCAAAGAGAACATTTCTAGCATCAGAGCCAAATGTACTTCCCCCGACTCCTCTAATTGCTCAAAATTATACCATATTTTAGTTCTTCCTAAAGAACTAAAGATCTTTTGTTCTTTCTTTCTATTTATTTATTTATTTTAAATTTTAGATTTATGGGGGTATATGTGCAGATTTGTTATATGAGTATATTGTGTAATGGTGAGATCTGGGCTTCTTATGAACACTTCACCCAAATAGTGAACATTGTAACCAATAGGTAATTTTTTTTTATTATACTTTTAAGTTTTAGGGTACATGTGCACATTGTGCAGGTTAGTTACATATGTATACATGTGCCATGCTGGTGCGCTGCACCCACTAACTCGTCATCTAGCATTAGGTATATCTCCCGATGCTATCCCTCCCCCCTCCCCCCACCCCACAACAGTCCCCAGAGTGTGATATTCCCCTTCCTGTGTCCATGTGATCTCATTGTTCAGTTCCCACCTGTGAGTGAGAATATGCAGTGTTTGGTTTTTCGTTCTTGTGATAGTTTACTGAGAATGATGATTTCCAATTTCATCCATGTCCCTACAAAGGACATGAACTCATCATTTTTTATGGCTGCATAGTATTCCATGGTGTATATGTGCCACATTTTCTTAATCCAGTCTATCATTGTTGGACATTTGGGTTGGTTCCAAGTCTTTGCTATTGTGAATAATGCCGCAGTAAACATACGTGTGCATGTGTCTTTATAGCAGCATGATTTATAGTCCTTTGGGTATATACCCAGTAATGGGATGGCAGGGTCAAATGGTATTTCCAGTTCTAGATCCCTGAGGAGTCGCCACACTGACTTCCACAATGGTTGAACTAGTTTACAGTCCCACCAACAGTGTAAAAGTGTTCCTATTTCTCCACATCCTCTCCAGCACCTGTTGTTTCCTGACTTTTTAATGATTGCCATTCTAACTGGTGTGAGATGGTATCTCATTGTGGTTTTGATTTGCATTTCTCTGATGGCCAGTGATGATGAGCATTTTTTCATGTGTTTTTTGGCTG
This sequence comes from Homo sapiens, assembly GCF_000001405.40. Classification (NCBI taxonomy): domain Eukaryota; kingdom Metazoa; phylum Chordata; class Mammalia; order Primates; family Hominidae; genus Homo; species Homo sapiens. The sequence continues at coordinate 118,137,780 of NC_000002.12, forward strand.
CATAAATGTCTTCTTTTGAGAAGTGTCTGTTCATATCCTTCGCCCACTTTTTGATGGGGTTGTTTGTTTTTTTCTTGTAAATTTGTTTGAGTTCATTGTAGATTCTGGATATTAGCCCTTTGTCAGATGAGTAGGTTGTGAAAATTTTCTCCCATTTTGTAGGTTGCCTGTTCACTCTGATCGTAGTTTCTTTTGCTGTGCAGAAGCTCTTTAGTTTAATTAGATCCCATTTGTCAATTTTGGCTTTTGTTGCCATTGCTTTTGGTGTTTTAGACATGAAGCCCTTGCCCATGCCTATGTCCTGAATGGTAATGCCTAGGTTTTCTTCTAGGGTTTTTATGGTTTTAGGTCTAACATTTAAGTCTTTAATCCATCTTGAATTGATTTTTGTATAAAGTGTAAGGAAGGGATCCAGTTTCAGCTTTCTACATATGGCTAGCCAGTTTTCCCAGCACCATTTATTAAATAGGGAATCCTTTCCCCATTGCTTGTTTTTCTCAGGTTTGTCAAAGATCAGATAGTTGTAGATATGCGGCGTTATTTCTGAGGGCTCTGTTCTGTTCCATTGATCTATATCTCTGTTTTGGTACCAGTACCATGCTGTTTTGGTTACTGTAGCCTTGTAGTATAGTTTGAAGTCAGGTAGTGTGATGCCTCCAGCTTTTTTCTTTTGGCTTAGGATTGACTTGGTGATGCAGGCTCTTTTTTGGTTCCATATGAACTTTAAAGTAGATTTTTCCAATTCTGTGAAGAAAGTCATTGGTAGCTTGATGGGGATGGCAATGAATCTACAAATTACCTTGGGCAGTAGGGCCATTTTCACGATATTGATTCTTCCTACCCATGAACATGGAATGTTCTTCCATTTGTTTGTATCCTCTTTTATTTCCTTGAGCAGTGGTTTGTAGTTCTCCTTGAAGAGGTCCTTCACATCCCTTGTAAGTTGGATTCCTAGGTATTTTATTCTCTTTGAAGCAATTGTGAATGGGAGTTCACTCATGATTTGGCTCTCTGTTTGTCTGTTGTTGGTGTATAAGAATGCTTGTGATTTTTGTACATTGATTTTGTATCCTGAGACTGCTGAAGTTGCTTATCAGCTTAAGGAGATTTTGGGCTGAGACAATGGGGTTTTCTAGATATACAATCATGTCGTCTGCAAACAGGGACAGTTTGACTTCCTCTTTTCCTAATTGAATACCCTTTATTTCCTTCTCCTGCCTAATTGCCCTGGCCAGAACTTCCAACACTATGTTGAATAGGAGTGGTGAGAGAGGGCATCCCTGTCTTGTGCCAGTTTTCAAAGGGAATGCTTCCAGTTTTTGCCCATTCAGTATGATATTGGCTGTGGGTTTGTCATAGATAGCTCTTATTATTTTGAAATATGTCCCATCAATACCTAATTTATTGAGAGTTTTTAGCATGAAGGGTTGTTGAATTTTGTCAAAGGCTTTTTCTGCATCTATTGAGATAATCATGTGGTTTTTGTCTTTGGCTCTGTTTATATGCTGGATTACATTTATTGATTTGCGTATATTGAACCAGCCTTGCATCCCAGGGATGAAGCCCACTTGATCATGGTGGATAAGCTTTTTGATGTGCTGCTGGATTCGGTTTGCCAGTATTTTATTGAGGATTTTCGCATCAATGTTCATCAAGGATATTGGTCTAAAATTCTCTTTTTTTGGTGTGTCTCTGCCTGGCTTTGGTATCAGAATGATGCTGGCCTCATAAAATGAGTTAGGGAGGATTCCCTCTTTTTCTATTGATTGGAATAGTTTCAGAAGGAATGGTACCAGTTCCTCCTTGTACCTCTGGTAGAATTCGGCTGTGAATCCATCTGGTCCTGGACTCTTTTTGATTGGTAAGCTATTGATTATTGCCACAATTTCAGCTCCTGTTATTGGTCTATTCAGAGATTCAACTTCTTCCTGGTTTAGTCTTGGGAGAGTGTATGTGTCCAGGAATTTATCCATTTCTTCTAGATTTTCTAGTTTATTTGCGTAGAGGTGTTTGTAGTATTCCCTGATGGTAGTTTGTATTTCTGTGGGATCGGTGGTGATATCCCCTTTATCATTTTTTATTGCGTCTATTTGATTCTTCTCTCTTTTTTTCTTTATTAGTCTTGCTAGCGGTCTATCAATTTTGTTGATCCTTTCAAAAAACCAGCTCCTGGATTCATTAATTTTTTGAAGGGTTTTTTGTGTCTCTATTTCCTTCAGTTCTGCTCTGATTTTAGTTATTTCTTGCCTTCTGCTAGCTTTTGAATGTGTTTGCTCTTGCTTTTCTAGTTCTTTCAATTGTGATGTTAGGGTGTCAATTTTGGATCTTTCCTGCTTTCTGTTGTGGGCATTTAGTGCTATAAATTTCCCTCTACACACTGCTTTGAATGCGTCCCAGAGATTCTGGTATGTTGTGTCTTTGTTCTCGTTGGGTTCAAAGAACATCTTTATTTCTGCCTTCATTTCGTTATGTACCCAGTAGTCATTCAGGAGCAGGTTGTTCAGTTTCCATGTAGTTGAGCGGTTTTGAGTGAGATTCTTAATCCTGAGTTCTAGTTTGATTGCACTGTGGTCTGAGAGATAGTTGGTTATAATTTCTGTTCTTTTACATTTGCTGAGGAGAGCTTTACTTCCAACTATGTGGTCAATTTTGGAATAGGTGTGTTGTGGTGCTGAAAAAAATGTATATTCTGTTGATTTGGGGTGGAGAGTTCTGTAGATGTCTATTAGGTCCACTTGGTGCAGAGCTGAGTTCAATTCCTGGGTATCCTTGTTGACTTTCTGTCTCGTTGATCTGTCTAATGTTGACAGTGGGGTGTTAAAGTCTCCCATTATTAATGTGTGGGAGTCTAAGTCTCTTTGTAGGTCACTCAGGACTTGCTTTATGAATCTGGGTGCTCCTGTATTAGGTGCATATATATTTAGGACAGTTAGCTCTTCTTGTTGAATTGATCCCTTTACCATTATGTAATGGCCTTGTCTCTTTTGATCTTTGTTGGTTTAAAGTCTGTTTTATCAGAGACTAGGATTGCAACCCCTGCCTTTTTTTGTTTTCCATTTGCTTGGTAGATCTTCCTCCATCCTTTTATTTTGAGCCTATGTGTGTCTCTGCACGTGAGATGGGTTTCCTGAATACAGCACACTGATGGGTCTTGACTCTTTATCCAATTTGCCAGTCTGTGTCTTTTAATTGGAGCATTTAGTCCATTTACATTTAAAGTTAATATTGTTATGTGTGAATTTGATCCTGTCATTATGATGTTAGCTGGTTATTTTGCTCGTTAGTTGATGCAATTTCTTCCTAGTCTTGATGGTCTTTACATTTTGGCATGATTTTGCAGCGGCTGGTACCAGTTGTTCCTTTCCATGTTTAGTGCTTCCTTCAGGAGCTCTTTTAGGGCAGGCCTGGTGGTGACAAAATCTCTCAGCATTTGCTTGTCTGTAAAGGATTTTATTTCTCCTTCACTTATGAAGCTTAGTTTGGCTGGATATGAAATTCTGGGTTGAAAATTCTTTTCTTTAAGAGTGTTGAATATTGGCCCCTACTCTCTTCTGGCTTGTAGGGTTTCTGCCGAGAGATCTGCTGTTAGTCTGATGGGCTTCCCTTTGAGGGTAACCCGACCTTTCTCTCTGGCTGCCCTTAACATTTTTTCCTTCATTTCAACTTTGGTGAATCTGACAATTATGTGTCTTGGAGTTGCTCTTCTCGAGGAGTATCTTTGTGGCGTTCTCTGTATTTCCTGAATCTGAACGTTGGCCTGTCTTGCTAGATTGGGGAAGTTCTCCTGGATAATATCCTGCAGAGTGTTTTCCAACTTGGTTCCATTCTCCCCATCACTTTCAGGTACACCAATCAGACGTAGATTTGGTCTTTTCACATAGTCCCATATTTCTTGGAGGCTTTGCTCATTTCTTTTTATTCTTTTTTCTCTAGACTTCCCTTCTCGCTTCATTTCATTCATTTCATCTTCCATCGCTGATACCCTTTCTTCCAGTTGATCGCATCGGCTCCTGAGGCTTCTGCATTCTTCACGTAGTTCTCGAGCCTTGGTTTTCAGCTCCATCAGCTACTTTAAGCACTTCTCTGTATTGGTTATTCTAGTTATACATTCTTCTAAATTTTTTTCAAAGTTTTCAACTTCTTTGCCTTTGGTTTGAATGTCCTCCCGTAGCTCAGAGTAATTTGATCGTCTGAAGCCTTCTTCTCTCAGCTCGTCAAAGTCATTCTCCATCCAGCTTTGTTCCGTTGCTGGTGAGGAACTGCGTTCCTTTGGAGGAGGAGAGGCGCTCTGCTTTTTAGAGTTTCCAGTTTTTCTGTTCTGTTTTTTCCCCATCTTTGTGGTTTTTATCTACTTTTGGTCTTTGATGATGGTGATGTGCAGATGGGTTTTTCCTGTGGATGTCCTTTCTGTTTGTTAGTTTTCCTTCTAACAGAGAGGACCCTCAGCTGCAGGTCTGTTGGAATACCCTGCCGTGTGAGGTGTCAGTGTGCCCCTGCTGGGGGGTGCCTCCCAGTTAGGCTGCTCGGGGGTCAGGGGTCAGGGACCCACTTGAGGAGGCAGTCTGCCCCTTCTCAGATCTCCAGCTGCGTGCTGGGAGAACCACTGCTCTCTTCAAAGCTGTCAGACAGGGACATTTAAGTCTGCAGAGGTTACTGCTGTCTTTTTGTTTGTCTGTGCCCTGCCCCCAGAGGTGGAGCCTACAGAGGCAGGCAGGCCTCCTTGAGCTGTGGTGGGCTCCACCCAGTTCGAGCTTCCTGGCTGCTTTGTTTACCTAATCAAGCCTGGGCAATGGCGGGCGCCCCTCCCCCAGCCTCGCTGCCGCCTTGCAGTTTGATCTCAGACTGCTGTGCTAGCAATCAGCGAGACTCCGTGGGCGTAGGACCCTCCGAGCCAGGTGCGGGATATGATCTCGTGGTGCACCGTTTTTTTAAGCCCGTCGGAAACGCGCAGTATTCGGGTGGGAGTGACCCGATTTTCCAGGTGCCGTCCGTCACCCGTTTCTTTGACTCAGACAGGGAACTCCCTGACCCCTTGCGCTTCCCAAGTGAGGCAATGCCTCGCCCTGCTTGGGCTCGCGCATGGTGCGCTCACCCACTGACCTGCACCCACTGTCTGGCACTCCCTAGTGAGATGAACCCGGTACCTCAGATGGAAATGCTGAAATCACCCGTCTTCTTCGTTGCTCACGCTGGGAGCTGTAGACAGGAGCTGTTCATATTCGGCCATCTTGGCTCCTCCCCGCACCAATAGGTAATTTTTTAACCCTCACCTCTCTCTCCCTCCCCCAATTTGGAGTCCCCAGTGTCTATTTTTTTTTTTTTTTTTGAGATGGAGTCTCGCTCTGTTGGGCAGGCTGCAATGCAGTGATCTCAGCTCACTGCAACCTCCGCCTCCCAGCTTCAAGTGATTCTCCTGCCTTAGCCTCCTGAGTAGCTGGGATTACAGGCACCTGCCACCACTGCTGGCTAATTTTTATATTTTTAGGAGAGATGGGGTTTCACCATGTTGGCCAGGCTGGTCTCCAACTCCTGACCTCAAGTGATCTGCCTGCCTCAGCCTCCCAAAATGCTGGTATTACAGGTAGTGTCTATTATTTTAGTCTTTATGTCCTCGTGTACCCATTGTTTAGCTCCCACTTACAAGTGAGAATACGCGGTATCTGATATTCTGTTTCTGAGTTTGTTCACTTAGAATAATGGCCCCCAGCTCCATCCACATTGGTTCAAAAGACATGATTTCATTCTTTTTATGGCTGCATAGTATTCTATGGTGTACATACACCACATTGTCTTTATCTAATTATCTGTTGCCGATTAGGTTGATTCCATGGTTTTGCTATTGTGACTAGTGCTGCAATAAACATGAGTACAGGTGTATTTTTGATATAATAATTTATCTTCCTTTGGTATTCTATTTATATAATAATGCTCTTGTACAAATTTTATTTCCATGAGTTTTGATTCTTTCCATATTTTCTTGTAGAAGAAAGAACATACATCTCTCTGACTATATTCCAAATATCATCCAGCTCTGTAGAAATTTTATTAATTTCTCAGACTTGTTCTCCTTAAGACAATCTTCTTGAAACTCAGTAGTTTTCTATAATTGCTTTCAAGACTTTTAGTAGACTTCCTATCCAGGGAATTCTTTTCATCAACATTCTGGTTGGCTGTACACTTTTCTATAATTCATAGTTCTGTCTTTCTTGGTTTTTGCCAATTTTTCCCTCCCACCTCCTTTTGAGGGAGTACATCCTCAGGAAATTTATATATATGTAAATAGATTCTATGTATATAGATAGATCGATAGATAGATATAGATATATATAGATATAGATAGATATAGATATACATATAGATTTTTTTTTTTTTGAGACAGGATCTTGTTTTGTCACCCAGGCTGGAGTGCAGTGGCACAATCTCGGCTCACTGCAGCCTCAACCTCTCAGGCCCAAGCAATCCTCCTACCTCGGCCTCTTAAGTAGCTAGGACTACAGGCATGCACCACTGTGTCCAGCTGATTTTCTTATTTTTTGTAGAAACGGGGGTCTCACTATATTGCCCAGGCTTGTCTTGAACCCTTGGGCTCAAGTGATTGTCCCATCTTGGCCCTCCAAGGTGCTGGGATTATAGGCGTGAGCTATCATGCCTAGCCCAGGTAAATTCTTTAGAAAATGTATGGGTGAGGTAAATATTCTGAACCCTTGATTGTCTGAAAATTATGGTTTTTTTTCTTATTTTATGGTTCTTTCTCTGTTTCTTTCTTTCTTTCTCTGTCTCTCTCTTTCTTTTTCTTCCTTTCTTCCTTTCTTCCTTCTTTCTTTTTTGCAACCATAAGATGTTGAAGATGTATTTTTCTCATTCTTAAGCTGGATATAGAATTCTAGGTCCAAAATAATTTTACTTTCATATTTTGAAGCCTGTATTCTAGTGTCTTCTAGCATCCTTCATTGCTGATGAGAAGTCCAGTCCTGTTAGATTCAAATTTCTTTACAGTTACCTGTTTATTTCCCCATGGCCACCCAGTATCTCAGGGGTGCTATCTTGGGTGATTTGCTATTTAACCATGGCATGGCAAGGTCTTAGTCTTCTTTTAATTAATTCTGATCAATATTTGTGTTTCTCTTCAGCCCCTGGAATTATGTTAATTGTTACTTTGCTAAATTCCTTCCCTAATTTCTCTCTTACTGCTTTCTGAACGTCTCTGAAATTGCTATTGAAACTCTCACAGAAGGTTGTAGGCTGTGAATAAAAACCACAAGAGAGGATCTCCTTTTTTTATTTTTAAATTTTACTTTAAGTTCTGGGATACATGTGCAGAATGTGCAGGTTTGTTACATAGGTATACATGTGCCATGGTGGTTTGCTGTACCTATCAACACGTCATCTAGGTTTTAAGCCCTGCATGCATTAGGTATTTGTCCTAATGCTCTCCCTCCCCTTGCCCCCAACCCCACGACAGGTCCTGGTGTGTGATGTTCCCCTCCCTGTGTCCATGTATTCTCATTGTTCAACTCTCACTTATGAGTGAGAACATGTGATGTTTGGTTTTCTGTTCTTGTGGAGGATCTCCTTTTTTTTTTTTTTTGGTGAGTAATGGCAGCATCATTTGAAGTGTCTGCTTTCCCAAGGTGTGCACTGTAAAAGGGAAGACACTCAAGTCAATGTACAAAATGAGCCTCACTGTTTTATAATCACCCAGCCTGCATTACCTTTTTTGCTGTTTATAAAAATTATCACTGTGAGGTAGATAATGAAAGTTGTCATTAACAGTACCTACTTTGTAAAGCCAGTAACTTTATATATATGATTTATTGTGTTTTCTTATAACCTCCACTTTTAGATGAAGAAACTGTGGCTCAGAAATTACAAAAAGTGTCTAAGATACTAAGCTAGGAAATGGCAAAGCTTAAGTGCAAAGCAGGTCTACCAAACCCCAACGCTGAGCTCTTTTCACTGCACAATCCTTTTTGGACAAGTACTACTTTCATTTGTGAGGAAACTGAGACCCAGCAAAGCAAGGCATCGACCAGGGTGATAAACTCAGTGATCTGCTTCCTGGTCCCCAACTGTTGCTCCAAACTTTCTCCTCCTTCCTATTTTCTGACAAAATCTTTCTAGGCGATGGTGGTCTCCACAGATGATGCCTATCTGTCTGCGTGTGTGGCAGGCACAGCTCTCATGAATGCTCTTGGATAAGGATGCACAGTCATCTGCATGCCTGTCCCTTGCTCAATGCAGCCTCTGGCAGGAAGGTAAGAAGTAGGAGCTCCAGGGCCGTGCTTGTGCAGGGAGCCCTTGGTGTCCTTGTGTCCTGGCTTTTACCTTGTTCTTATATTTCTTGGTCCTAGTCTAATGCGAGTTGTCCATTTAAGCCTCTGACTCTAGATTTTCTCTTTCGCTTCTGAGTTAGACTTTCTTTCTTCCTACTGAAGCCCAGAAGGGACAAAGTCTCTTGGGCTTTTCCTCTTTTTGGAGGTTTGTTCATCCCGTTGGGGCTGTCAAAACTTTAAGCAAGTGGAATGTGGAGGCAGAGCTTTCTCCCACAAAAGACTGTGGTTCAACCAGTCTGGTTCCTGAAAAGTGGGGCATAAGATGACACCCAAGGGGATACATCTGATAAGGGAGGGGACAAAAGTCCAGAAAAAATGATTCCAGGCACATACGAATGTTTTGTGTGTGGGTGTGTGCATGCGTCGGGGGTGCTGGTAGCTTTAATAGAGAACCTGAGGACTAAGACTGGCAAATAAATGCTGACCAAAGTCCCCAGTTGTATAAAAGTCATGCGTATTTCCACAGGTAGCCAGTGCCCTGGATGACAGGTCTGGATGACCCAAGAAAATGAGAACAGGAGGGCCTGGCTACACCTGACATTACTGCAGGGGCATGCTGGAACCTCGGCCCTTGGGCATAGGTCAACCAAAACGTACTGCAAAACACAGCTGGTTTGTGAACTTGTGGCTCTTTATAGTCTGCCCTATTTGATTCCCATTGGTTCCAGAAGGCAGCGTAGGCAGCCCTCAGATGGATGCTTATTGTGAACACCAGTGGTGTCACAGAAAGGGGTGAAGCCAGTCGGCACTGTCAAATGTCTGTGAAAGCCCTAGGCAGTGCCTGGCTAGTGTTCAGTAAGAGTTTGTTACACACAGAAACTAGCTGTGGCAGGAGATTATACATCTGTATAAATATTGAAATATATCTATGTCTTTCTGTGTGATCAGATCGTGCATAAAGGGATTATGATCAGCTGTAGATGTGTGGTTTTCCCTGATGGACTGTGGATCCATTCCCTTATCTATGACTCATCCCTGTTCTCTAACACAGCAAAAGGTCTCAGGCTTCATTTTTCTATAAAAGGTTTGCTTATCCCAGCACTTTGGGAGGCCGAGGCAGATGGATCATGAGGTCAGGAGTTCAAGACCAGCCTGACCAATATGGTGAAACCCCGTCTCTACTGAAAATACAAAAGTTAGCCAGGCATGATGGCACATGCCTGTAATCCCAGATACTCAGGAGGCTGAGACAGGAGAATTGCTTGAGCCTGGGAGGTGGAGGTTACAGTGAGCCGAGGTGATGCCATTGCACTCCAGCCTGGGTGACAGAGCGAGACTGCATCTCAAAAAACAAACAAACAAACAAACGGTTTACTTAGCTGAGCTGCGGATATTGTTTAAATGCTTACATTATTACGTTGTGTTATGATCTGTTTATCATGTTGAGGCATGTGGTTTGAGAATCTTCGTTGTGGAAGGTTTGAATTTTTAAATGAAGAATTAAGAGTTTCTCCCTAGGTTATGTGGGCCATGACATATTTCTGGGTGAGGAAACAGCATGATGAAAGCCATCCTTGGAACCCAGCTTCCTACATTTCTTATCCTTAAAAGGCATTCTGATCCCTGTGGCTGACTTTTGCCCCCTGCCTTCGTCTTGGACATTTGGTCTTAGTTTTTGCTTATTACTGTATTATTTGCGTAGGGCTGCTGTAACAAACAACCACAAACTGGATAGCTTAAAGCAACAGGAAATTATTCTTTCACAGTTCTGGAGGCCATAAGTACAAAGTCAAGGTGTCTGCAGGGCCATGTTCTCTCTTAAGGCTCTAGGAGTCCTTCTTTGCCTCTTCCTAGTTTCTGGTTGCTGGCTGGCAATTCTTGGCAATCCTTGGCTTGTAGCTGTGTCACTGCAATTTTGGCTTCTGTCTTCACATGTCTGTCTTCAATTATGTTTATGTGTTCATGTGGATTTCTTATAAGGGCACCAGTCACTGTATATAGGGCCCACTCTACTCCAGTATGACTTCGTCTTAATTAATTACATTTATGATGAGCCTATTTTTAAATAAGGTCACATGCTGAGGTTCTGGGTGGACATGAATTTTGGAGGGACATCATTCAACCCAGTACACTTACAGGTCTCTGGAATATGGATCTATTACTTTTTGTAGGGACTCATATCTCTGCTCCCTAACTCAGGTTTTACAAGAATAAAGTTTTACAGAAGTACATCCCCCAGTCTGAAATCTGGAGGAGTTCAGAATTTGAGTAACTGGGTCTGTCCCTGGTATTGCTATAATTAGGTTACCTTTATTCCTTTATGAATCATTAACTTTGAAAACTGCTGGTTCTATCTGTGACAACCAGTGATACATCATCTTTAACCAGTCTGTACCACCATAAAAAAAAATGTTGCTTAAGTCCTAATTTATTGCTCCACGACACAAATGGTGCATCTCTTACAAACTCAGCCAATTTTAAGGGTGATTTCTGGGCTGCTTAAAAAGGCTTCTACTTGGGAGGCTGAGGCGGGAGAATGGCGTGAACCCGGGAGGCGGAGCTTGCAGTGAGCCGAGATCCCGCCACTGCACTCCAGCCTGGGCGACAGAGCGAGACTCCGTCTCAAAAAAAAAAAAAAAAAAAAAAAAAAAAAAAAAAGGCTTCTACTGCCAGCTTTTGGAAAATCTTGCTTTAGAGATTATTATTTTCTGTTTCAGGACAAATCCACGAATTTGGCCTATTCATGTTAGCTATAGTGAGATGATGCCTCTCTTGTCCATAAAACTTGAATACCCGGGTGTCATAAGTGATTTTTCTGAAGTTAATTTTTCCCATACTTTGAGTTATCAGTTTCTGACGTGCTGGTGTGCATTTCAGTTGAGGTTTTATTACATTGTGTTGGCAGCACATTATGTTTTTTACACATGGATTTGATTGAGAAATGAAACTGGAATAAGAATGAGGTAGCAGCAGCATCTGCTGGAAGACTCAACTATTGCTGTTGTCAATCAGCCTGATTGATTAAATATGGTGATACACATCTTTATTAAAATGAAATACTTCTTTTGAAAAAATACCATTATGCCAATAAATTATATGATTTTCCTGAAGAATGTGTCTGAGGAAGTGGTCTGTTGGTGGAGCACGATAACTCTAGATAGCTGTGACAAATAGGAGAGTTCAGATTAGATCTGGCTGATTTTGCAAATGGAATTTGTTTTTTTTTTTTTGTTTTTTTTTTTTGCATATGGAAGAAGTGAACCAGCATTTTGGGAGACTAAACCGTGTGGGAAGGTTGGAGTTTGACTGGATCCCCAAACATTGTCCCTTAATTTCTTGATATCCTGTGGTCTACTTGGTTTTAAGTCATCTGGTGTCACCCAGACCTTCTTTGAAATAAGAGAAAACATCCCGATAAACTGAAGTTTCATTGCTTTCATTTTTAACTCAAACCCATTTTAGTTAGCTGCCATTTTACAAATCTGGAAAACTGAAATCCAGAGATGAGAACAGGGATTCTTGAGAATAAGAGTGGATGGATTATTTCACTGACGTGGATCAGTACCCAGCAAACATTATCCCTGCCTGCAAAACTCTGAAATTTGTAGGAACTTCAAAGAGGAGGTGGTGAGAAGTCGAGTATTTGATCATTATGAGCCCAAAGAGGTAAAACAGAAAATCTGGACTGCTTCTTGGAGGGAAAAACCAATGACTTCATTGGTCCAGTTCAATTTTAATTTGGATGATTTTTAGTCTTGTTATGGTCACTCTGGTCTCCTTGGCTGGGGCTGAGTCTTCTCAGAGTGTTGATGATTCACATTGGCTCAGGTCAGCCAAAATTCCAGGGACACCCCTGGCTCCAACCGAAAAAAATGTCTCCTGTTAGAATCCAAAAAGGTGTTGCATTGATGTAAAATGCAGAGTTTCAAAAGAGGGCTTTTCAAGCAAGTAAGTGGACAATAAGAAAGGAAAAGCATTTTAGAGTAATTCCTTCAGCACACAGAATGCTTCTACCGCAGGACTTGTGTCAAGACTCGTCTTGTAGGATTGAGATATTTTCAGCTGTATCTAATTTAAGTTTCAGCTTTTCCTTACAGATGGATTGCTCCTGAAACAATCTTTCTCACTGCCCTCCCCATCCCTGTCTTCTAAAGCCTGTTTGTAGATTTGGGGATTGCTAACAGATTTTAAGAAGAGCCAGAAATCTCTGAAATACCATACAGCTGAAAGCCAAAACTAGGAACATTTGAGAACTTGATTTAATTTTTTTTCAAGGGGTGGTCTCAAGCTCTCAGCCAGATTTCTTCTCTGGACTCAGCCATGAAGGTTGAAAACTCCACAGAGATTTGCAGGTTGAAAGTTGGAGTTTCTGTAGTATACAAAGGCTTCCTTTCAGGGGGTGACCTTTTCTCTTTATTCATTTTCTTCATTTTCTTCTTGGCATCTTGTCAATGCCAGATCCATGAACAGGGCCCACTAGATGAATAGCAGGAGCAGAATATTCAGCACACAGTCATCCTGGTTTTCCAGCCAGGAGTCTAGAGCTGTGCTGTCATTGGAGATCAGGAAAAGGCAGAGCATCAGTACTAGATGGGCAGTATGCAGGCAGACATGTGGGCAAAAAGCAAACCAAAGTTCAGGAGTCCTGCAAGCCATGCAAGTTGGGTCAGACTTCATCAATCCAAACACTTCTGGGACCTGATTCAAGACAAAAAGTCTAGTGGGTAAGCGCATGAATCAGTCCCACCTCTAATGCAAAGTTCTAATTCAGTATCTCTACCTTTGCGCAAATAGCTTAATCTTTCCATGTATTACTTTCTTCATTGGTAGTGGAGATTACACGTCTTATAGAGTTATTGGGAAGGTACAATGAAGTAATGCTCTCTTCTCATCAAAATTCCTACCCTACGAGTAGCCACTATTCTGACTTCTAGCAGCAGAGATTAAATTTGTTTGCTTTTGGGCTGTATGTAAGTGTAACCATGTACCACATGCTCCTTTGTGTCTGGCTTCTTTCAGTCAGCATTTGTTTATGAGGTTCATTCATACTGAGTCCTGTACATGGAGTTTATTCACTCTCACTTCCTATAGTATTTCATCATGTGACTACATCACTATGTTCATTGTTGGAGGATATTCAGGTTGTTTCCCATTTAGGGATATTGTGAATAGTGCTTCTGTGAACACCCTTGGACATGTCTCTTCATGGACCTGTGTAGTTTTTTCTCTCGAGCATATCCCTAAGAATGGCATTGCTGGGTCAGCTATGGAAGAGGCTGTCAGTTTTTCGAAAGTGATGACCAGTTACTCTACCAGTAATGTTTGTGAATTTCAGTTGCTCTACATCTTCCCCATCACTTGATATTGCCTCTGTTGTTTTAATCTTTCTAGTAGTTCTAGTATACTGCACTATGGATTTAAATTTGTACTTCCTTGGTGACAAATAGAGTTGGGCATATTTTTTGCTTGGAAATCTATAGCTCAGAAAAGCTAAAGTTCTCTCCAAAGATGTACAGTTATAAATGGCGGTTCTTATGACACCCTATGCCAACACTGCTTTTGTAAACTGAGGTGTGGGTTTAGGTCATAATGATTAGTGTGGGGGAGGCAAGTGTTCTTCACACTCTGTATCACCTCTTTGCATCTTGAGCAGTACTTTTCTATTCTGGGCCCTGCATTTTAAGAGGGATGTGGGTGAACAAGGTGATGTTCACCGGGGAGTGATCAGGTCAGCAGTCAGACCGCTAAGGTCTGACCATCTGATCACCAACCTCAGAAGTGGGTGAAGACAAAGGGGAAAAATTGTTGTCTGATTTGTGGAGGGCTACCTTCTGAAAGAGGGGACAGGCTAGTTCTGTGGGGTCCATGAGGCAAAATAAAACCTACAGGAGTGAAGTTTACAGGATAGCAAAGTTCAGCCCTTTGCTATCACACTCTTGGTCTGGGGTTGGCCTAGACAATAAAACCAGGGCAGTTTCCCTGGAAGGCCACAAAATGCTCTCATGCTCATCTAATTTGCATAGATTCATTAGGTTCTGTAAATAGTGGTTATCTGAGAATACAAATGTCACTCACTTCATAATGTTATCCCTCCCAGTAAATATTTATGGAAACTTCTCAAGACGCAGGGCCTAGACCTGAGTTGCTCACAAAGGACAGACATAACTAGAGGTCTCCACGTATTCACTGATGAATTCCTGCAAAATTAGGACTTGTAAAACAGAACTAACTGGGGCCAGAACAGGCAATCAAACAAGGATAGTTTAAGAAAACCTCTTCTTATGCTCAATGGACTCAGGGTGAGTGAGAGATGCTGACAGCCAGGAGTCAGGCCAAGGCTGCACAAGGCTAAGGAAGTTTGAGAGGCCTCCGAAAGGACACAGGGAACAATTTGATTTCAAAGGAAGGGATGGCTAAGCAATGGCTATTGGAAAGGAGCAGGAAAGGCAGGCCAGGCAAAAAAGGGAGAAGAGGTCTGATATTTTTTAGAGGCCGAAAAGAATCAGGTTCAAATGCAAGGGAGATGAAGTCCTTCAGGAAGAGTGCCACAGGATGAAGGAAGTGTGAGCAAAGGGGATGGAGGGAGAGAATAAGGAACAAAGGATGGGAGTTATTTCAAGGGATCTGAAAATCCATTTAAACATCAAATATTGTCTGTATGCTTGATATATAATGTCACACACAGATATTTATGCTAATTTTTAAATATGTGCAGATGATACTCCGGTTTATATATCTTAAAAATGTGACACTAGATTCATAGTTGATTTTGTCATGTGTTTTCTCAATCAGTGGATTTTAAAAGTCCAGCTAACAACGTGTATGTCCAACAGGAATTTTTTTGTCATGAAAAATGAGCCTTATAGTTGCAACCATTGGTAATCATTAGCCTGGAATATGGTTGTTGGTGTCAATCTACAGAGAACTGGAAATATGCAGAATTAAGTAGGGGAAAGATAGATGAAGTCCGAAAGGGATTTTGGGTGTCTCACTTATCTCTTCCAGGGCTGAAAATTATCCAGAGAGCTCATGTGATACCTTCCCCTCCTTCTGGCCAGGGTCAAATCCCATCCATCCAAGGCAGATGACAATCTTTCTAGTTCTCTATCATTATTTGAATTTGTTTCCCAACTTTTTGTGTGTGGAAATCACTGCAGTGGATACCATGGAAATACAAAAATAAATAAAATATGTTCCTTGCTCCCTGAAAAGAGAAATGCAGCTATGTACCTGGATCCTTCATTTTGAAGTGAGTGTCCCTCTCTAGGATGTCTTTACTGAACCTGTGTTTGACCTTTGCAAGACTGTCATGGAGTGGTCTCAGGATTTACATTTTCTTCTCTAGGGGAACCACGAAAAGACACTTGATGCTTAAAAGACAGGACAGACAAGAGGCTAGATTCTCTCTACACTCTATTGTATTACTATCCATAATATTATTCCAATACCAGTGGAGAAATGTAGTAAGGGCACTGAAGGAGCCTAGCTAGAGTCACAACTATGAGAATGACAATGTCTTTCCCCGTTCCCCCCCCAAGCACATGTGCACACACACATGCACACGTGCATGTACACATGGACACACACATGCACACGTGCATGTACACATGGACACACACACACACACCTTGCAAATTATGCACTTGTAAAACAAGCTAATCAGTACTCGAATGGGCAAGCAATCAAACAACAACAAAAAGACATTTAAAGGAAAGCTCCTATTTCCTCAGTGACAGGACACACATTAACTAAACTTAGCAACAGCTGCTCTGGTAGGAAGATATTTTTCTTTGGGCTGTCAAGAAGTTTTGATTTCCTTTTCCCCCATTCTCCTAGTATATATCTAGAAAAATTTCTACATGATATCACTATCTCAGCATTAGAGGAGAAGGTTAGGGTAATGCAGGAAATATTCTCCATCACTTTCTGGATGGAATAAGGAGGTCATTTAACTTTTCTTATCAGCCTATAAACTCTGGGTACAGGAACACTACCATTCCAAAGAATAGCAGACCTGGAAAGAAATTTTCCAAAGGTAATAATCTTTGAGCTGAGCTTCGAAGAATAAAATCTGCCATACCTTCCATCACAGCCTGGTCTATATTACTAGCTCAATTTGTGGTTATTCACCGATTGAATTAATATGACCAAAAAAGACACACACATATGTATATTTAACAGAAAGATAGTGCCATGCATATATGAAAATAAAAGGGGAAGCATGAAGGATATTCAAGGTTGGTAGCAGGCTTAGTGATGCTTTGTACTGATTAAGCCAAGGAAAGTGAGAAGTTAAATTGGCCTCAGAGGATCAAAAGGCCATATGTGCTGGGATGGATCCAAAAGCTATTCCATGGAATTGAAAAGGGAGAAAGGTCTGTTGTTTGGGAAGAGTGAGAAAGACAGCCCAACTGGAGAGATGGTTTCTCGCTAAAGAGCAGTATGATATATTCAAAATAATTTATTAAATACTTACAAGATACAACAAAAAATGAGATGACTCCTGTCCACAAGGAACTCCTAGTCTGATGTAAGAGATAAGTGCAAAAGCACACAAATTAGAATACAGGGAGATAAATGCTGAAATAGGATAGACATAATGTTTTATGAGCTTATGTAGAATGGCCACTAACCCCATCTGTCCTTAGGTAAGAAAAGGCTCCTCTAGAAGTCAGTCAAGCAGAGAATGTAAAATGGTTTTCCTGGCAGAGGAAATTGCATGTGTATGAGAGAGTACGATAAGTTATGGTAGAGTTTCTTAATTATGATTACATATTACAGCCAACTGGGGGACTTTAAAAATAACCAATCAACTTCTACTTCTGGCTATGATAAAATAGCTTCTATGAGAATATATTTCCCCTTGAGAACAACTATAAAAGCTTTATAAAAATAAAAAAGCAAACTACTCCTTGAAGGCATTGGAGAACAACCAAAGCAGCCAGGCCTTGAGGGGCCATGATCCTGAAGAAAAGTCAAGCTCAATATTTTCTGATGCTTTCATTTTTGAGGTATTGGCTGATTTACAAGCAGAACAAGGCCAAGAGATTGAGAGAGAAGCAATGAATCAGAATTTTTGGCAATCTCGTGGGCAAAATTTGGAGTTCAGGGCTACTAAGGCAGATGTGGACTTGGAAAATTAGGATCCCAGAGAAAAGAGAACCTCAGAGAAGTGACCCCTCTATTCTGCCTTGCTTTCACCTGAGGTATTTGCCAGTTTCTAAGTTGCATGGGCCAACATAAAGAGACTATAAGCAACAAAGCAACACAGGACTTTCTGCAATCTCATGGTACTGCAGGGAGATGTAGAAATCAGTGGAGTTCAGGATACAACAAGTAAGAGTAACCCTGTAAAAACTAAGGCCTTCACTTGAGATGTCTAAAGGATATACCTCAGAATTAAGGGCAGACCTAGTATAGATGAGCCCTTATGAAAACCAAAATCAAGTCTTGAATCATCTCAATCATTGCTCAGGCAGGTGATTTTTTTTCAACTTTCACTGCCAGCCAGAAGAAAATTAAAATTTCTCTGGAGAAAGATAACATCACCCAAATCTACAATTTCTTATACATAATGCTCAGCATTCAGTTAAAAATCACTAAACATGCCAGAAAGGGAAGCAAGAGAAAGAAACAGACAATAGAAGCAGCCAATCTCAAGCATTACTCAGGCAGGTGGTTTTTTTTCTAGTTTAACTGCCAGCCAGAAGAAAATTAAAATTTCTCTGGAGAAAGATAACATCACCCAAATCTACAATTTCTTATACATAATGTTCAGCATTCAGTTAAAAATCACTAGACATGCCAGAAAGAGAAGCAAGAGAAAGAAATACACAATAGAAGCAGCCCCACAGGCAATTCAGATACAAAGGTATTGGACACAGTCTTTAACTATAATTAATATAATTAAAAATTATATTAATTATAAAAATTAATGGAATACTATGAATTAATATGCAAAAATTAAATGACAACAGAGAATTTCACCAGAGATCTGGAATCTATAAATAAGAATTAAATGAAATTTCTACAACTGAAAACTACAGCAACTGAAATATGTAACTCAGATGAACTTGACAGAAAAATAGACATACCGGGAAAAATTATTAGAGAACTTAAGTGTAGACCAGTTGAAGATGTCACAATGAAACACAAAGGAAAAAAAGTTTGGAAACCACCAAAAAAAAGGGCATAAGAGACATATGGGACATGGTGAAAAATTTTAATATACCTCTAAGTGTAAACTATGAAAGAGAAGAGAGGATGAGACAGAGGCAACATTCTCAGAGATACTCTCTGAGGGTTTTCCAAAACTGATGAAAATTATTCAGCCACAAATTCAGTAAACACTGCAAACTTCAAGTAGAATGAATATACATAAAACCATATGAGGAACACCCTAGTCAAATGGCTTAAAATCAAAGACAAGAGAAAATCTTAAAAGAGGCCATATTGAAAAGTTACATTAACCTTTAAGAAGCAGCGATAAGACTGACAGTTAACTTTTCAACAGAAATACTGAAAGCCAAAAGGACAACTGGGTGAGATGTTTAACATGCAGAAAGAAAATATTTTCTATTCTAGATTTTTATACCCACCAAAACATCCTTCAAATATGAAGGCAAAATGAAGACATTTTTAAACAAACAAAAGTTGAGAGAATTTGCTACCAGCTGATACACTAAAGTAAAAACTGAAAGGAGTTCTTTAGCTAACAGAAAAGATCTCAGATGGAAGCACAGAAATGTCAGAGGAAATGACGGCAGTACAAAAGGTAAATACATGTATAAATTAAATGAATATTTACTGGGATATTATCACTAAGATAAAGAAAAAAACTAAATGAATATTTACTATGTATTATAACAACCACAAAATAATGTCTTTGGAGTTTAAAAGTATGTAGAATTTAAAATGCCTGAAAATGATAGCATGAAAGTAGAAACAAACATAAACAGTGTTAAAGTAGTTTAAGATTGTTGCATTATTAAGAAATAGTAAAAGTATCAATCTATAGTAGATTAATAAATACAAAATAGAACCAATGCACTTCCATTAAAAATCCCATGGATTTTAATAAATTGGCAGGCTGATTCTAAAATGTATATAACTTCCTATGGCGTAAAAATAAGAAAGACAATCTGTAAGAAGGACAAAGCTGGAAGACTTACATTGTATTAAAACTTACTGTAAAGCTACAGTAAATATGTTAGATGGTATTGGTACAACGATAGACAAATAAACCATTGAAAAGAATAAAGAATTTATAAACAAACTTACACATACATTATCACTTGACTTGTGAGAAAGAAAGAATTGTCTTATCAACAATTGGTTCTACAATAGTTAAATATCCATTTGGAGGAAAAATTAATTCTTACCTTATATCACATGCAAAAATTCTATTCATGTAGATTGTAGATCCAAATATGAAAGATAGACAATAAATACAACAGAAAATAATATGGCAGAATATTACCTTGTGTAGAAAATATTTTAAAAATAGGATATAAAACCATAACAAAATATTGACAAATTAGACTCCATTAAAATCATTACAATTAAGAACTAAAAAGCATCAGAAAGATGCTCACTGAGGGCAAGGAAACAATGCATGAACAAAGTGAGAATTTCAAAAAAGAAATAGAAAATATTTTTTTAAATACCATACAGAAATCAGGGAGCTAAAAAATACAATAACTAAACTGAAAACTTACTATAGGGGTTAGAGAGCAGACTAGATTAAATAGAAGAAAGGATCAGTGAACTGAAAGACAGGTCATTAGAAATGATTCAGTCAGAAGAGCAAAAAGAGAAAAATGAAAAAGAATGAAGAAAGTTTAAGGGACATAGAGGACACCATCAAGTGTACCAATACATACATTATGGGAGTCAAGAAGAAGAAGAAAATTAAAAAGTGCAAAAACTCTTATTCAAAGAAATAATGGCTATAAACTTCCCAAATCTGGGGAAGGAAATGGACAGCCAGATCAAAGAAGGCATAAGGAGACCAAATAAGATGAATCCAAAGAAATCCACACCTGGACAAATTATAAGCAAACTGTCAAAAGTCAAAGGCAAAGGCAGAATTTTGAAAGCAAGAGAAAAGCTACTTGTCACACGTAAGGGAAACTCCATAAGATTATCAGATTTTTCAGCAGAAACCCTGCAGCCAGAAGAGAAGGGAAATAATATATTCAAAGTGCTGAAAGAAAAAAAATCCTGCCAATCAGAAATACTATACTCAGTAAAACTGTCATTCAGGCATGAAAGAGAGATCATTTTTTCAATGAGGCAAAACCTAGGGAGTTCATCATTAGAACTGTCTTACAAGAGAAGCTAAAAGGACTTTTCAAGTTGAAATAAAATGATGCTACATGGCAACATAATAGCATAAAAAAGTATGAAACTTATGTAACTTAATGATAAAGGTAAATACAAAGACAAATGCAGAATACTGTATTACCATAATAGTGATATGTAAATCACTTTTAATTCTAGTATCCAAGTTAAAAGACAAAAGTATTAAGTATAACTATAACCAAAAAAGTTAAAAGATATGCAGTATGACTACATGTAAATTATAACAAGAGTAGCCTAAAGTGTATGTGTGGAGGGAAAATGTTAAAATGTAGAGTTTTTGTGTGTGTCATTGAACTTAAGTGATTATCATCTTAAAATAGACCATTATAACCACAACATATTTTATGTAAATCTCAAGGTTACCATACCAAAAACTACCTATAGAGGTATATAAAAAAAGACAAAGCAATAAAAACATATCAATACAAAAATATCAATAAAACACAAAGGAAGATAGCAAAAGAGGAAAAGACAATGAAAACTATAAGACTAACAGAAAACAAAAGTGGCAATAGAATATTCTTCCCTACTAATAATTACAGGTAAATTAAACTCTCCAATCAAAAGACAGAGAGTGGCTAAGTAGATAAATAGAATAAGACCCAACTATGTACTGCCTACAAGAAACTCGCTTTATATTTATGGATATACATGATCTGAGAGTGAAGAAATGGAAAAAGATATTCTGTGAAAACCAAAAGAGAACAGGGGTGGCTATGTTTACATCAGACAAAATAGACTGCAAGTCAAAAAAGTGTCACAGGTGACAAAGAAGAATATTATGTAATGACAAAAGAGTCAATTCACTAGGAATATACAACAATTATGAATATACATGTACCCAACATTAGAATACCTAAATATATAAAGCAAACATTGACAGAACTGAAGAGAGAAATAGATAGCAATACGATAATAGCAGGAGACTTAAATATCCCACTTTTAATAACAGACTGAAGATCCATACAGAAGACCAATAAGGAAGCAGAGAACATGAACAACGCTATAGGCCAAATGGGCCTAATAGATATATACAGAATATTTCACCCAGCAGCAGCAGAATACACATTCTTCTCAAGCACACATAGATCTTTCCCTAGGATAGATCACATTTTAGGTCACAAAACAAGTCTTAACAAACTTAAAAAGACTGGAATTATACCAAGTATCTTTTCTGACTACAATGGAATAAAACTAGAAATCAAGAGCTTAAAGAAAACAGTAAAACCCACAAACATGTGAAAATTAAACAATACTCTTGAACAACTATTGAGTCAAAATAGAAATCAAAAAGAAAATTGGAAAATAAGGCAAATGGAAATGAAAACACAACATACCAAAACTTGTGTGATGTGGCAAAACCAGTTTTAACAGGGAAGTTAATGCTGATAAATGTCTACATTAACCAAAGAAAGATTTCAATAAAAAGCCAATTTTATACCTCAAGGATATAGAAAAAAAAAAAAAAAGAACAAACCAAGCCCAAAGTTGGCAGAAGGAAAGAAATGATAAAGATTGGAGCAGAAATAAACAAAATAGAAAATAGAAAGACAATAGCAAAAAAATCAATAAACTAAGAGTTTGTTTTTTTGGAAAGATAAACAAAATTGCAAACTCCTGCTACACTGAAAAAAAGAAAGAAGACTAAAATACAATTAGAAATAAAATAAGAGACATTGCAACTGATATCACAGGAATTCAAAGGAACATAACATATCTGTTTTGAACAATAACATACCATCAAACAGGATAACTTAGGAGCAATGGATAATTCCTAGAAATACACAACCTACAAAGACTAAATTATGAAGAAGTAGAAAGTCTGAACAGATCTATGACTAGTATGGAGATTGAACCAGTAACCAAAAATCTCCCAACAAGGGAAAGCTCAGGACCAGATGGCTTCACTGGTGGATTCTACCAAACATTTAAGGAATTAATG
Organism: Homo sapiens; assembly: GCF_000001405.40. Lineage (NCBI taxonomy): Eukaryota > Metazoa > Chordata > Mammalia > Primates > Hominidae > Homo > Homo sapiens. Next base: position 118,160,358 of record NC_000002.12, read on the forward strand.
CCAATTCTTCTCAAACTCTTCCAAAAAATTGAAGAGGAGGGAACACTTCCAAACTCATTACATGAGGACAGCATTACCTTGATACCAAAGCCACACAAAGACACCACAAGAAAAGAAAATTACAGGCCAATATCCCTCATGAAAATAGATGCAACAAAATACTAGCAAACTGAATTAAACATTAAAAGGATCATACATCATAACCAAGTGGGATTCATCCCTAAGATGCAAGGATATAAAATCAATTTATGTGATACACCACATTAACAGAATATAGGATATAAATCACATGATTGTCTCAATTGATGCAGAAAAAGCATTTGACAAAATTCAACACCCCTTCATGATAAAAACTCTCAACAAACTAGGAACAGAAGTAAAATATCTCAGCATAATGAAGACCATCTATAAAAAGCCTACAGCTAACATCGCACTCAATAGTAAAAAACTAAAAGCTTTTCCTCTAAGATTAGGAATAAGGCAAGGATGCTTACTTTCACCTTTTCTATTGTAGGGGCCAAGGGAAAATTACTCTTTATCTTCAGATGGTTCACTGAAAAATCAACTGATAAAGGTGGATTAATTGGAGAAAAGGCATACAAATTTATTAACTTGTATATGGGAGAGAACCACAGCATAATTACCCCAATCACCCAGTAGGTTTCAGAACCTTATGTGCCATCTTGAGGTTACAGAAGGAATGGGGGTTGGATATCAGCAAAACAGATTATGGGAGGGGGAGAAGAGGAAGCCTGGCTAACAAAGGTGGTCCTGCTATGTAAGTGAAACCTCACAGGTAGTAGCCTTCAGAGAGAATGAATAATGAATGAATGTTTTCTTCAGATCTTTTTTTTTTTTTTTTTTTTTTTTTTTTTTTTTGCATGTGTGTGGAGACAGGGTCTTGCTCTATTGACCAGACTGGAGTTCAGTGGCACAACCATGGCTGTCTGCAGCCTTGAACTCCTCGTCCCAAGCAATCCTCCAGCCTCAGCCTCTCAAGTAGCTGGGACTACAGGTACACGCCGTCACACCTGGCTAACCGTTTTTTTTTGTTTTGTTTTTTGAGATGGAGTCTCACTAGATTGCCCATGCTGATTTTGAACTCCTGGACTCCAGTGATCCTCCTGCCTTGGCTTCCCAAAGTGCTTGGATTGGAGACATGAACCACTGCACCTGGACTTTCAGACCTTTAAATGTATTATACTCTCAGTTAATCTTTTGTAGATAGGACGAGGGAGAGCCCCAGAGAAAGCCTGGCAGCATCAATGAAGATTTCGTACAAATGCAAATCTCCCCTCCAAAGACAGCTTTGCAGGGCTACCTCTGTTTGCAGACTTGCTGAACAGCCACCTCAAAATATGTCAAGGAAGTATATTTGGGGATGAAATACTTTGATTTCCCTCACTCTTCAATGCAACATCGGAATTCCTATCCAGAGCAATTAGGCCAAAAAACAAACAAAAAGGTACTTAAATCACAAAGAAGTAAAATTGCTCCTATTTGCAGATGACATGATCTTACGTATAGAAAACCCTAAAGACTTCATAAAAATTTTCGTTGGAACTAATAAACATATTCAGTAAAGTTTCAGAATACAACATTAACATACAAATATCACTTGCACACACATTAACAATGAATATGAAATGGAAATTAGGAAAACATTCCCATTTACACTAGCACCAAAAAGAATAAAATACCTAGAAATAAACTTAACTAAGGAAGCAAAAATCTTGTATACCAAACACTACAAAGCATTGTTGAAAGAAATTAAACAAGACACAAGCAAATGGAAAGTCATCTGTGTGTTCATGGATTGGAAGACTTAATATTGTTAAAATGTGCATACTTTTTAAGACAATCTGCAGATTCAATGCAATTCCTAAAAAAAATTTCGTTAGTATTTTTTACCAAAATAGAAAAACAAAATTCTACTATGCAGCCACAAAAAAGAACAAGAACACATCTTTTGTAGGAACATAGATGGAACTGAAGGCTATTATCCTTAGCAAGCTAAAGCAGGAACAGAAAACCAAATACCACATGTTGTCACTTATAAGTGGGAGCTAAATGATAAGAACTTATGAACACAAAGAATAAAACAACAGACAGGTCTACTTGAGGGTGGAGGTTGGGGGGAGGGAGAGGAGCAGAAAAGATAGTTATTGGGTACTCTGCTTAATATCTGGGTGATGAAATAATCTTTACAACAAACCCCCATGGCACTTGTTTTCCTATGTAACATGTACCCCTGAACCTAAAAGTTAAAAAAAGAAAAAAATTCTAAAAATAATTTGGAACCACAAAAGACCAATAGCCAAATAAATCTTGAGAAAGAATGACAAGGCAGTCATCACACTCTCTGACATCAAAATATAGGACAAAGCTATAATAATTAAAACAGAATTGTCATGGATAGATATATAGAAAAATGAAACAGAATAGAGAGCCCAGAAAAAAATAACTATGCATATATGTTTAATTGATCTTCAATAAGGGTGCCAAGGATATACAGTTGGAAAAAGATCATCTCTTCAACAAATGGTGATAAGAAAACTAGATATCCACATGTAAAAGAATGAAATTGGCCCTTTATCTGACACCATACGCAAAAATCAACTCAGAATGGTTTAAATGATTGAATGTAAGACACAAACCTATAAAACGCCTAGAAGAAGACATTGGGGGAAAGTGCCATGACAATAGTCTTGGCAATGATTTTGTGGATATGACAGCAAAAGCAGAGGCAACGACAACAAAATAAACAAGTGGGACTACATCCAACTAATAAGCTTCTGCACAGCAAAGAACACAATCAAGAGTGAAAAGACAACATATAGAATAGTAGAAAATTCATATGATTTGGCTGTGTCCCCACCGAAATCTCACCGTGAATTGTAACTCCCACAATTCCCATGTTCCATGGCAGGAACCCAGTGGGAGGTGATTGAACTATGGGGGCAAGTCTTTCTTGAGCTGTTCTCGTGATAGTGAATCAGGCTCACGAGATCTGATGGTTTTAAAAAGGGGAGTTTCCCTGCACAAACTCTCTTCATTTGTCTGCTGCCATGTGAGATGTGCCTTTCACCTTCCACCATGATTGTGAAACCTCCCCAGCCATGTGGAACTCTGAGTTCAGTAAACCTCTTTCTTTTGTAAATTGCCCAGTCTTGGGTGTGCCTTTTTTTTTTTTTTTTTTTTGAGATGGAGTCTCGCTCTGTCACCCAGGCTGGAGTGCAGTGGCATGATCTCCACTCACTGCAAGCTCACCCAGGCTGGAGTGCAGTGGCGTGATCTCCACTCACTGCAAGCTCTGCCTCCTGAGTTCACGCCATTCTCCTGCCTCAGCCTCCTAAGTAGCTGGGACTACAGGCACCCACCACCATGCCCGGCTATTTTTTTTGTATTTTTAGTAGAGACAGGGCTTCACCATGTTAGCCAGGATGGTCTTGAACTCCCGACCTCAGGTGATCCACCCGCCTTGGCCTCCCAAAGTGCTGGGATTACAGGCGTGAGCCACTGCGCCCGGCCGGGTATGTCTTTATCAGCAGCGTGAAGACGGACTAATACAGTAAATTGGTAGCAGTAAAGTGGGGTGTTGCCAAAAAGATACCTGAAAATGTAGAAACAACCTTGTAACTAGGTAACAGGCAGAGGTTGGAACAGTTTGGAGGGCTCAGAAGAAGGCAGGAAAATGTGGGAAAGTTTAGAACTTCCTAGAGACTTGTTGAATGGCTTTGACAAAAATGCTGATAGTGATATGAACAATAAGGTTCAGGGTGAGGTGGTCTCAGATGGAAATTAGGAACTTGTTGGGAACTGGAGCAAAGGTGACTCTTGTTACGTTTTAGCAAAGAGACTGGTGGCATTTTGCTCCTGCCCTAGAGATTTGTGGAACTTTGAACTTGAGTGAGATGACTTAAGGTATCTGGTGGAAGAAATTTCTAAGCAGCAAAGCATTCAAGAGGTGACTTGGATGCTGTTAAAGGCATTCTAGTTTCAAAAAGGAAACAAAGCATAAAAGTTTGGAAAATTTGCAGCCTGACAATGCAGTAGAAAAGAAAATCCCATTTTCTGGGGGAGAAATTCAAGCTGGCTGCAGAAATTTGCATAAGTAATGAGGAGGCAAATGTTAATCACCAAGACAATGGGGAAAATGTCCCCAGGGCATGTCAAACACATCTGTGGCAGTCCCTCCCATGACAGGCCCTGAGACCTAGGAGGAAAAAGTGGTTTTGTGGGCCGGGCCCAGAATCTCCATGCTGTGTGCAGCTTAGGGACTTGGTGCCCTGTGTCCCAGCCGCTGCAGCTGCGGCTGAAAGGGGTCAATGTAGAGCTTGGGCTGTGACTTCAGAGTGTGCAAACCTCAAGTCTTGGCAGCTTCCACATAGTGTTGACCCTGTGAGTGCACAGAAGTCAAGAATTGAGGTTTGGGAACCTCTGCCTAGATTTCAGATGTATGGAAACATCTGGATGTCCAGGCAGAAGTTTGCTGTAGGGGCAGGATACTCATGGAGAACCTCTGCTAGTATGGTGCAAAAGGGAAATGTGGGGTGGGAGCCCCCACACAGAGTCCCTACTGGACCACCACCTAGTGGAGCTGTGAGAAGAAGGCCACCATCCTCCAGATCCCAGAGTGGTAGATCCACTGACAGCTTGCACTGTGTGCCTGGAAATGCCACAGACACTCAATGCCGGCCCATGAAGGCAGCTGGGAGGGAGGTTTTACCAGCAAAGCCACAGGGACGGAGCTGCCCCAGACCATGGGAACCCACCTCTTGCATCAGCGTGACTTGAATGTGAGACATGGAGTCAAAGGAGATCATTTAGGAGCTTTAAGATTTGACTGCCCTGCTGGATTTTGGACTTGCATGGGGCCTGTAGCCACTTTGTTTTGGCCAATTTCTCCCATTTGGAATGGCTGTATTTACCCAATGACTGTACCCCCATTGTAACTAGGAAGTAAGTAACCTGCTTTTGATTTTAGAGGCTTATAGGCAGAAGGGACTTTCCTTGTCTCAGATGAGACTTTGGACTGTGGACTTTTGAGTTAATGCTGAAATGAGTTGAGTCTTTGGGGGACTGTTGGGAAGAAATGATTGGTATTGAAATGTGAAGAAATGAGATTTGGGAGGGAACAGGGGAAGAATGATATGATTTGGCTTCGTGTCCCCACCCAAATCTTGTCTTGTAGCTCCCATAATTCCCACATTTTGTGGTGGGACCCTGTAGGAGATGACTGAATCATGGGGGCAGCTCTTTCCGGTGCTCTTCCTGTGATAGTGAATGGGTCTCATGAGATCTGATGATTTTAAAAATGGGAGTTTCTCTGTACAGGCTCTCTCTGTCTTTGCCTGCTGCCATCCATGTAAGATGTGACTTGCTCCTCCTTGCTTTCCACTATGATTGTGAGGCCTCCCCAGCCATGTGGAACTGTAAGTCCAATAAACTTTTTTATTTGTTAAATTGCCCAATCTTGGGTATGTCTTTATCGGCAGCATGATGGACTAATACAGTAAATATTTGTAAACCAAACATTTGATAAAGGGGCTCCTATACCTCAATAGTAAAAAACCAAATAACCTGATTAAAAAATAGCTGAAGGACTTGAATAGATATTTCTCCAAAGAAGACTTACAAGCAACCAACCCATACATGAAAAAGTGCTTAAAGTAACTAATCATCAGAGAAATGCAAGTCAAAACTACAATGAGATATCACCTCACACCTCTCAGGATGGTTATTATCAAAAAACCAAAAGACCACAAGTGTTGGCAAGGATGTGAAAAAGTTGGAACACTTTCACCCTGTTGGTAGGAATGCAAAATAGTGCAGCCACTATGGAAAACTGCATGAAGGCTCTTAAAAAAATAGAACTGCCATTTAATTTAGCAATCCCAATTCTGAGTATTTATCAAAACAGTTAAAACAAGGATCTCAAAGTGATATTGATGCCCCAATGTTCACTATAGCACTTTTCACAATAGCTAAGATGTGGAAACAACTTAAATGTTCATGGATAGATGAATGAAGGATATGTGTTATATACATTGGATATGATACTATTCAGCTTTCAAAAAGAAGGATATTGTGCAATATGTAACAACATGGATTAACCTTGAGGACATTATGCTTAGTGAAATAAGCTAGTAACAGAAAGACAAATGTTACATGATTCTACTTATAGGAGATATTTAAAATAGTCAAATTCATAGGATCAGAGTAGAATGATGATTCCCAGACTCTGGAGTAGAATGATGATTCCCAGACTCTGGGGGAGGAGGAAATGGAGAGTTACTGATCATTGGGCATAAAGTTTCAGTTAAGCAAGATAAATAAGCTCTGGAGAGCTGCTGTATAACATTGCATCTATAGTTAACAATAAGGCACTGTATACTTGCCATTTGTTAAGGGGGTACATCTCATGTTCTATTCTTACCACAATAAAATGTAGTGAAAAACAAAAACAAAAAAGCCCTAAAAGACACCAAAGAATGGACAGATAAGCCACAGGATGAGAAAAGATATTTGCAATACATATATCCAACGAAGGACTTTCACACAATATACAAAGATCTTCTACAGATCAATACACAAAAACAGACAACAACTTTACAAAAGAGGGAATGGTTCAAGTGGCCAATAAATATATTAAAAGATCCTCATATTTATTAGTTATGAAGAAAATTATAACAACAGTGACATAGCAACACAGCCATTAGAATAGCTAAAATTATAAAGAAACTCAAAATACCAATTTTTGGAAGTTGTGGAGCAGATGAAACTTTTACACATTGTTGGTGGGAATGTTAATACAACGTTTTGGAAGACTGGCATTACCTAGTAAAAATGAGCAATTATGTTTCTTAATGATTCAGCAATTTTATCTCTAGGTATACATATTCAAGTGTGTGGCCACCCATTAGATGTTAAGAATGTTCAGCTGGGCATGATGGCTCACACCTGTAATCCCAGCACTTTGGGAGGCAGAGGAGGGAAAATCTCCTGAGCCCAGGAGGTTGTGGTGAGCCGTGATTGCACCATTGCATGCCAGCCTTGGTGACTGAGTGAGACTCCGTCTCAAAAAAACAGCAAAACAAAATAATGTTTGTAGCAGTAGTATTCATAATATTCCTAAATGGAATATTCCTCAAATGTTCATAAATAATAGAATGGATACATAAATTGTAATACACTCACCCAGTAGAATCCTATATAGCAATGGGAATGAGCAAGTTACTATTAGGCACAAAAACATGAATGGATCTCATAAATTATTGAGCTGAAGAAATCAGATGCCAAAGAATACATACTATGTGACTCCATTTATATGTTGTTCAAAAACATGCAAAATTTAAACTTTAGCAATAGAAGGAAGAACAGTGGTTACCTGGAGGTAAGGGGTGGGTGCGTAATGACTTGGAGAGAGCACGGAGGAGATTTCTGGGGCGCTAGCATACTCGATGTCCAGATATGGTGGTAACACAAGCATGTTCACTTTGGGGTTGGCTGACCTGAGCTTGAATCCTGGCTCTTGGGGAGTATGACCCCAACTTACGTAACCTCTCCAGGACTCAGTTTCTTTATTTGCAAAGTTCAGATAGTGAAACCCAGAAAGATTAATGACACGACAACAGGTAAAGCTCCTAGCCCAGGCCCTGGCATGAGCTGGGGCTCTGCAGTTATTCATTTCTTTCCCCTCACTCTGTGGTTATAAATGCACTGCCTGACCTAGTTAAACAAGATACCACCCCTTGTCCCCTCTTCCTCCTCTACCATCCACACACATCAGTGAGGCCTTCTTTTTATTTTTTATTTATTTTTATTTTTATTTTTTTTTAGATGAAGTCTCACTGTGTTGCTGTTGCCCAGGCTGGAGGGCAGGGGCCCGATTTCAGATCACTGGCTAACTGTAACCTCCACCTTCCTGGTTCAAGTGATTCTTGTGCCCCAGCCTCCCAAGAAGCTGGGATTACAGGCGCATGCCACCATGCCCAGCTAATTTTTGTATTTTTAGTAGAGATGGGGTTTTACCATGTTGGCTGGTCTTGAACCCCTGACCTCAGGTGATCCATCTGCCTGGGCCCCACAAAGTTCTGGGATTACAGTTGTGAGCCACTGCACCCAGGCAGTGAGGCATTCTTTATGAAATGATTTATCTTTTATGAAAGGGTAGAGGCAAGGGCAGCCATCTATGCAATAGGGACTCTGTCTATGGCTATTCAGCAGAGTAAAGATATGTAACTGGCCTAGATGCCAAATCTATAGGCTTGGCTTTCTCAGGCTGGGCTGCAGGCTGTATGTATAGTATGTATTCCTCAAATGTAAGGATCTTTCCTAGTTCCAACTCTCTTCATGGGGAGGGCATGGCCTCTCACATGCAGATAGATGCCTGTCACTTGATTCATTCAGTCTCTTAGAATAAAGGATGAGGCAATGGCGTGGAGGGTATCCCAAGCTTTGGCAGAATCCCAATTCTCAGGATTAACTTTTACCTCCCTGACCTCTCCCTGCAATTCCTTTTGGATCGGGTGTCCTTAGCTTCCTGTCCTAAACTGTTGGAGGGTGGTTGCCGGGCAGCTGTGAAACATCTGCCACCACATTCCACCTTCATTGGAGAGGTGGGCAAAGTGATATATGTGTGAATTTTCCAAATATTGTGTGTGTGTGTGTGTGCACTTGTATAAAATTTCATTTTTAAGGCCCTTCACAGAGTCTCAGGGATGAAAGCATGGAGTTGGTGCTATCATTATTACCGTGAGGCCCTCGTATTGCTTTGGCATATATAATGTTTCCCAGGCATATAACATTTTTCATTTAAAGAGGCAGCCTAGAGCACATTCCAACTTCAAAGATTTTCCTTTCTGGATGGTGGTTTTCTGCCCTAAGTCCTTGGGAAAATGTTGCCACATTTTTTTTTCTTTTTCTTTTTCTTTTTTAACCCAAGTGATTGACTTCCTTGAAAGGAGGAGATAGAGCTCTTGTAAAGATTTAATTTTTATGAGTTCTCTAATTCTCTCCGGGAAAAAACAGATTACTCCTCAAAGTTACTCTATGGGGTGTAGAGCCCCAGTGGCAAGGCAGAGGCCGGCCCATGGGTGTGACTTCCTGTTTGGTGCCGGTGGTGCACTGCAGGCTGTGGAGCTCAGGGTCAGAGGGAAGAATGCAGTCTCTGGCAGAGCCGGCTTCAATTCCGGTTCCATTTCTTCTCAGCTATGTGTCCTTGGGCTTTTAACCTCATCCTCAAAAACAGAAACACCATCTCTGCTCTGAAGGACTAAATAAGATAGTGTACATAGGTGGTTTTCAACTGGGATGATTTTGCCTCCTCCCACCATGGGGTACTGGGCAATGCCTGGAGACATTTTTGGTAGTCAGGATTGGAAGTGGGGTTTGCTACTGGCATCTAGTGGGTAGAGGCAAGGGATGCTGCCAACATGCTACAGTGCCCAGGACAGCCCTGCAACAAGTAATTAATCAGCCCAGAATGCCAACAGTGCGAGGCAGGGAAACCCTGGTGTACATGGCCACTTGGGGCAGAGCTGTCCTTTAGTGGATCTTCCCTTCCTTTCTTTTTTCCTTTGGTCTGTAATTTCTTCCCCAATCATTTTCCCCATGGAGGACCTTCTTGGAATTTTTGATGTTTTTTTTTTTCCAGTGAGTTCACCCCCTGCTTCTCTGCTGTGGTTATTTTAGATCTCTTCACTCCCATCAGAACTCACACCCACAACCCCTTCCCTCTCACTCTTAGCAGATGACAAACTTAGAGGGAAAATTGACATTTCCAGAGAATTCATTCATTTTTTCTGCTCCCAAGCCCACTGACCTACTTCATCTGTACCTTTGAGGCAGACATGGCTATTTCTAACCCAGAGTTGCCCCTTTCTTCTTTCTCACTGAAGCACTGATTCTGTTCGTGTGCTGGGTGGGAACTGGGCCCAGCCTTGGTCTGTGCGTGACTGTTAAGTCCCAATTTTACATAATGAGATGTGTCAAGAAGTCTTGTGAAGTGCTTCTGAAAAATGTTTTTCTTTCTTCTAAGAGAAAAGTGCATGAAGAGAATTATGCCCTTTACGGACACATGGTTCCTGGTTATGAATGGGGTATGTAAGGATGTGATGCTTAGAGCTGCTGCAGCCATCCTGCAACCATGAGGCAAAGGTGAAACAAATTACAGAGCTGTTGATTCTGAGCCCTGCCAACATTGAACAGTTTAATTAAGGGTAGCAAAAAGCTACTGTTTGACTTTCAAATGTCCAAGCTACTTTCCAAGTTACAATCCCAGAGGGTGTACTGTTACCTGAACCCGACAGAGTTTCTAACATATACAGCATCTTCTTTCATTCTTGTCCCAGTGAAATACCTCCTGGATCCAATCTCCATCCATCTCCTCAGAGATTTGCCTCTACTATTATTATTATTTCCTCCCTCTCTTCTACATCTTTAAAACTTTTCGTTTCTTGTATTGGCTTTTTCTTAGATGTATTAAGACATGATCAAATCTCTCCCATATTACACAACAAACAAAAAGCATCATTCCCAAAACTCAGCCTATAGGTATTTCTTTCCAGGTACTTTCCTATCTTTCATCTTAATGTTTACAGTAAGTGCCTCCTAAGCTTTGCCTGCACTTGCTGTCTCCTCCTTCCTACCTCCTACATTCTCCTCCTTCATCTTGACAATCTGGATTCCACTCCTACCACTCCACTGAAACTTGCCAAGGTCACTGAGACTTCCACTTTGGACTATCCAATAAGTACTTCTCAAGTCAGATATCATCATAGCAAAATCAATTTACCCCACCCTGTTGATATCCTCTTTTTCCTTGGCTTCTGTAACACTGCTCTCTCTGTGGGGTTCCCTCCCATCTCTCTAGCTAATTTCCAGGCTCTTGTAATGACACATCCTCTTCTGCCCTGTTAGAGGGGCTTTGCTGGCTGTCCTCTCTTCCTTGTTGCCCCTGCTCTCTGTAGAACGTCATCAGCAGCCCAGCAAACATTCATTATCTGGGGGCTGACATAATGCCAAACTTCTGTCTCCAATCCAAAATTTCCTGGTTTGGAGTCCACGTACTCATCTGTTCTTAGACAACTCCACTTGGATATCTCTCAGGAACCCCGATCTTGATATATCCAAAGCTAAACTCAAGATCTTTCTCCAAAACCTCATATTAGTCAATGGTCCCACCATTTACCTAGCTGCCTCAGCCAGACACCTGGGGGCCACCATTGACTGCCTCCTCACCCTACCTTTAACTCCGATCTCTCATGAGCACTTTGAGTAATATTCTGCTTTCTGTAGTGTCCAATGCTCTCTACCTTTCTTTATTTCCTGCAACTCTCTCCTTACTTGTCTCCCTGGCTATCTTGCCCTGCTCCACCCAAATCTGCTACTGAAATGCAAATCTGACCATGTGTGTCACTCTCCCACTTGAAACCTTATGGTGATTATTACCATGTGGGTCAGACTCATGATCATGGCTTATGAGGCTGTCTTCTGGTCACTTCTTTCCCTCACTCTCTGGGGGAGCGCAGGCCTGAGATGCAAGCCTTCCTACAAAGCTCAAATCCCATCTCCTCTTCCCCACCCCACCAACCTGGATGACTCTACTTGCTTCTGAAAGCTGAGATGTCACTGGCCTCTAACAAGTCTCTCTACACCCACCTGTCTGAATGAGGAGCCACTCCCATGTCCCAACTCTCCCTCGTGTCTCAGAGCACTGAGCTGAATTCACATCATTTCTTTAAGCATCTGTATCCCTGTTAAACTGTCAGCTCCATGACATGTCCCAACTCTCCCTCGTGTCTCAGAGCACTGAGCTGAATTCACATCATTTCTTTAAGCATCTGTATCCCTGTTAAACTGTCAGCTCCATGAGGGCAGACCTTGTGTCTGACTTGTTCCCCATTTGTATATGCTCCCTGAATATTTGTGGAGTGACAAGAATAACAGGATGAATGAACAATTATGGATATGTCAAGTGTGCTCCCTTGCACCGCCAGACGACCTCTCCCTCTGGCTCCTTCGGACTTCTCTCTTTCTGTGCCCCATTTCCAGCCCAGCACCTTCTACAGTCCACGTGCATTTTCTGCCCACCTTTGCATACATAATCTCATTACATTTCTTTTTATCCTTACACATGACACATATGGGGTGGCATTTTTATTTCCATTGCAGAGATAAAGTTTAGTGAGGTGAAGTAAACTGCCAGAGGTCACGTGGCTGAGAAGCTAGCATTCAAATGTTTTGTTCTTTGGTGTCCGTGCTTCTTCTACCACAAGAATCTTGTATGAACATTTTATAGAGGCGTTTCATTTACAGTATTGTTTTGATGTTCATGTAAATGTGTTTGTATGTTGCTAAGAAGAGTGTTGAGATATGGTCCAGGTCTTTTTTTAACTCATAGGTTCTTAGGAAATAGTTGTAGGTGGATTGGCTGATAATTCCAATTTAGAGCTGGGTGCAGTTTCTGGGTGGGAAGGGCGGGAAAGACGAGTGTTCTTCAGGGCTGATTTCAGGACTCCTCTCTTCCTCTCTGCTAGAGGACAAGTTCATCTTTAACTTCAAACTCTATTTCTGGCACAAATGGGAGCACAGAAATGTTAATTCTCTTCCTTCTGCCCCTCAATAACTTTTCTGAAATCTCTCTAAGAACCCTTCCTGGCACCTGATTTCATGGAGTTTGCACGGCCTTGACGCCTAGCTTCCAACTTTGTGTTTCTGAATGTTCTATCATGATTAGGTGCTTCATAAATGGAGCCCTAGGGATGTTAAACACAGCAAGTGGTAGCCCTGTCAGCATCCCAGGGATCTTGGGAGAAACTCTCCTTGTATTTAGATTCTACAAGGTCCCCTTGAGAAATTTGACACTATTCTGTCATCACTGTCTTTTAAGAAAAGGTTGGCCAGGCGTGGTGGCTCACGCCTGTAATCCCAGCACTTTGGGAGGACGAGGCTGGTGGATCATGAGGTCAGGAGATCGAGACCATCCTGGCTAACACGGTGAAACCCTGTCTCTATTAAAAAATACAAAAAAATTAGCTGGGTGTGGTGGTGGGTGCCTGTAGTCCCAGCTACTCGGGAGGCTGAGGCAGGAGAATGGTGTGAACCCGGGAGGTGGAGCTTGAAGTGAGCCGAGATCGCACCACTGCACTCCAGCCTGGGCGACAGAGCGAGACTCCGTCTCAAAAAAAAAAAAAGTGTGTTCCTCATTTATTTGTTTATTTACTCACCAAATAAGTATATGTTTTTGAAAACTAGTGGTAGGCTTTGCATGAGCAATGAAGAATACAGATCACAGAGAGACAATTACAATAACTGGAGAAATTCTGGGGGCGAGGTGTTAGGAAAGGCTGTCTGGAAGAAGTGCTGAGCTCACCGAGGGCTCAAAGATAAGGACGTACTCTGTGGGGGCAGTGTGGGTGGCACCATGGCAGGCACTGGAAAGGGGTGCACGAGAAAACCAAGCCTTGGTCTCTGCCTTTCAGAAACTCAAAATTAAGTTAAAAGGCAAAGTTAAGTCAAAATTGAATTAAAAACCACGTCCTATGAGATGGTTAAGAAACAATGTCAAGTGTTCGCTATTCAGTGTCCAAATGGATGAAATAGATTTTAAAAGCTAAAGAATTCCCACAGTGTTCAGGATGAGGGTCTCATCATCTAAAAGCTTCCCTTTTAAATATATTTATTCCTCCTCCTGAGGAAGTGAGTTCCCCATTACTAGAGGTATTCAAGCAGGTCTGGAGGGCCACTTATTAATAAGGTTGGGTGGTCAGGAGAGCAGGCAGAATCATAAACAAGACAGAACAGTGTTTCCTAAGTTGGTAGTTTTTTTTTCCTAAAATTTCTATATGAACTTCAATGGCCAAATACCTTTCTCACGATTGTTGCTATGCCATAACTCCAACGGTGTTGTTATTTATACACTGTTTTAATTAAATAGATAGATTTAAAAGGGAAGCTGGTGCAGATCTATGTCTATGATATAACCTCTAATATTTAAGTGAAAATAGTAAGTTGTAAAAAAGTGTGATGGATCCCATCATTTGTGTGAAAAGTTGCATTTATATTCATATATACTTGTTAGTGAATGAACTATTGCTAGAAAGTACAAAACAAGCTGATAACATTGGTTGCCACTGGGGCGGGATGCTGACAGACTAGGGCACATACATGTTATTTATTGAAAAAATAGAATGAAAATCATTTAAAAAATCAGTATCAATTCCACACCTATTTTGTAAATTTGCATGTATGCCATATGTCCCGAAAAGAAGGCTTGAGTAGTAAACACCTGCCTTTCTTTATTTTCCTGTATTCTCCAAAATTTCTACAGGGAACATGTACATGATTTTTAATTTAAAAATTGCATTAAATGATACTATCAGATAATAGAGAATAAAGCAGTCAGGGTTAAGAGGTGGGAGGAGGCAGCAAGAGCTATACACAGCTTAGAGAGCAGGGATGGGGAAAACACTAAGGCTGGGATGAGGGAAGATATCTGGGGTTTGTGATCTGGAAGGGAGGTTTGACCTGATGGAGAAAGGTTGGACCAGCGATCAGGAGGAAAGAATCCCAGGGGGATCGGAGATTGACTTAGATTCCTCCAGTGAGGGGATGAGAGCTTGGGAAGGGCTTTGGCTAGAGGAGTCCTGGAGACTGAGAGCAGGTTCATACCTGAGCAAAGGGAACCAGCAAGCTGGAGGAGGCCCAGGGTGTAGAACCAAGATGGAGCCAAGCTGGTGGTGATGAGTGCCAAAGGGTTATCTGGGCCACCGAGTTGCACAATCCTGGGAGGCACCTTCTACTTGCAATTGTACATACAACTGAATGGGGGAACATGGCTACCATGGCTGGGACCCGGGAGGGGTGCTGGGTGGGTTGAGGGAAGGCAGGCTCAGTTGGGGGACTACCAGAGGTGAGAGTTGAGAAAAGGCAGGATGGAGGTAGAGGATTAGGAAGGGCTCTACACTGGGATGAGCTGCAGTCTAGGAGATGTAGGGGCAGGCGGCTAGTCAGGGAAGATCTGGTTTGGGCAATCTTGTGTCCCAACTGCAGTAGGTTAGGTGGGCTGCCTTCCTGATGTGGAACATGACCATGGTGTGCCTGCAGGCAAACTCTTAGCAAATGAAGTCGGGGTGTTATCTGAGAATTGCTTAATCATCTCCATTCCAGTGGGGGCAGGCAAGTCACGCCTTAGGAAATGTTGGCTGGGGTTAAGGTAGGACTAGATAGCCTCATTGGTCATACAGCACCAGTAGATGCAGGATTCTAAGCAGCTGAGAAGCCCTAACTTGCTGGAGTGGTTGAGGTAGAGGGAGGGCTCATGGTTTCTGGGGAGAGGGCCCATGGTTTCTGGAGGCAGAGGTGACAAAAGTGAAAGAGAGCTATGGAAGGGAGGGTAACCTCTAAAAATTGATGCATTGAATCCATGCATGATGTTCTCATAGGAAGGGTGGTGGGCAGCAGGGAGGAAGCAAACATAGTCATCATTTTCCTTGACCTCATGGTCATTCAACGGGTCCTGCTAGGTGGAATTTAATATAATCAACTTGGCCTTCCACCTTGTCCCATACTAATGAAAATTCCAGTTCATATAAAGCATTTCTCCAAGACAGCCTTATTGGTCTTCTTGGAAAGGAATATCAGGCCTCTTAGAAACCTTAAATTTAAGATTATAAAAACATTCTTTTCCATAGTTCTGAAACTCTACCACTGTATTTATTTCTCTCTTTGTTTAGGAATCCATCAGAGACATGTATTTCCTTCCCCTTTCAGACTAGGCAAGAAGGAGACACGCTTTTCTTTTCCCTAATTTCCCTTAGAAGAAAATGACATTTGCCTATACAGTTCTATTTTTTTTCTTTTGGTTTTTAATTATAAAAAGCTTCTAGTAGCTGATTTATTATATAGGGAACAAATTGTGTCTTTGAGACCCACTGCTCTGTAATTACTTGAGTTAGCACTGCAGATATCTACACAGGGGCCAGCAGTCAATTTTGACTCAGAGTAGATAATACACGGACTGCTATTAAGTTTAATGTAGATTAATGTGAGTTGCTTCCCTTTGCACGTATGTGTGCAGGTACCAATAATTAAGATTAATTTCTGCTAGGTAGAATGGCCTTCGTTGTGCACAGTGCCAGAAAATGCTTCTTTAATAGCTGCTAATTGGATATATTTGCTTTGATGGTGAAATCCTGATTAGTCTTGTTACCCTGAAAACTCCCCTCCTTGCTCCTTCTCCCCACCCCCACCTACTGTTTAGGGGAAGAATAGATTGACAGTCTTCTTCCCCTAAAGCAGAGTCAGAGCTTTGGAGGTGATGAGCTCTTTTGCACTCTTCTATGTAAAGCCATGTTGTGCAGTCCATTTTCCAGCAAATCAGTCATAGCTGCTTCTACTTACTGAGAGCCGACTACATGCTCGCTGCTTTATTTTCATGTTCATTCTGAACAACACCACTGTGGGGTGGAAATCACCACTCTGTTTGTTCAAATGAAGATATTGAGTTTCAGCAATGTTAAGGCAGTTGTTCAAGGCCACAAGCTGGGAAATGATAGAATGGAAATTTCAGTCCAACCACTTTCTGGTAAATACATCAGAATTTTAAAAATTGCCAAGATGAGCCATTATCTTATCGGCACTGTTCTTTTTCATTTTCCTGTTTTTCTGCAGGTCTCAGAGCCCACACTGAAGTGCCATTTCCCCTCCCTACCCCAGATCTCTCCTCACTATAATTCCCCTCCCTGCTGTCCTGATGGTTCAAAGCCACTTAGAAATAAAGTGGAAGGCTTCAGAGTTGGTCAGAAGCACAAAGCCACACCTGGAAATTTCCTCAACAGGTCCCAAAGGCTAGCTTATGGAAGGGAAAGTTGTAAAATGGTGATAGTTGTAGAAAGGTTTTCTCCTTAGCAGTAATGCCCTTCCCCACTCCCGTTCCACCACAGGAACTTCCTTTCTTATATATTCAAGTTTTTTTGCATCAAAAGCAAAGCTCCTGGCAGCAGCAATCGAGAACCAGGTTCTACTGGCCAAGTCAGGTGGTAAAGGGATGAAGCTGAGGGAACCACATGAGGAGAGAAGGCTCTCAGATGAACTTTGCCTCTCTTCATTTTGCTCCAGGTTGGCAGAGCCTTCAGAAGACCTGAGGCGTGGTTTGAGGCACCCAGTGGGTGTTGGCTGACCTCACAGGGCTCCATGGAAGGACTGTGCGATTTTCTGCCTGGGACAGCTGAGTTGGCATCTTGCCTCTGTCACAGATGAGCTGTGTGACCTTAGTCAGCTTACTCAACCCCTCTGAGCCTCAGTTTCCTTTCTTCCATTGCCATCTGATTCACAGATTTTTCATTTTCCCAGAGGAAATGAGATTGTCTTTATTATATTTAATGCAGGATTTGATAACTTTAATGAATACCATTTCCCTTTCTATTTGTAGAAGCTGCAGCCCTCTTGATGAGTTTAAGAGGAAGTAACAACCTTCATAAAATGTTTTCCTGGAGGAGCTGAATTTGCACTGACAACACTGGGTAGAAAAAATTTTCTCTAGATCTCTTCCAGGAGATTCACTGAAATCCTTCCTCATCTATAAATTTAGAAAAGAGACTCAGTCATCGGGGTCCCAGTGGCATTTTGAATGGGCAATTCATCATTGCATGGGACTGTCCCACACATTAGAATACACTTAGAACTTTCCCTGCCCACTAACTACCCACAGCACCCTCAGTCATTGCAACAACTCACTGTCACATGTCTGAATGCCCTCCAGGGAGATCCTATGCCCCACCCCAGCTGATAACCACTAGCTGAGTCTCCTAGTTCTAACATTCCTCCTGGCACCCTGCACCCCTTTCCCTGGAGTGTAAGGGCACCATAAGTCAGGCTCGTCCTCTTGGCCACAGCTTCTGGTGGTTTGAAGAGGTCACCCATGAACGAGGCCCTGCTGTGCAGCAGTCTCCTGCAGCAGTCTCCTGCTGTGCAGGCTTCCAGGGCTGGTTTAGCCACCCATCTTCCTTCCTCACCATTGGGTGGTTAATTTCAGCATGGTTCCCAAATCCTTGCTGGCCAAAGAGCATGTGGACCAGAAGAGGTGAAATGCTCTGATCCCTTTCTTGATGCTCTGTTCTTCTGTGGCTCTGAGTTGAAAGAAGAGATTTAAGTCTTGTGTCCCTTTTGCACAATGACTTACTTATAGGCTAACTGACTCCTTTCATCAGGAGTTTAAAGTGCAATTAGAAAAACTATTGTCGATATTTAGATAACAGGACATGATCTGGGGGCTAAGTCAGGTAAAGGTAATTAATAGCTGTGAAGATTTTTAATGAGGCCTGGATTCTGCTTCCAGAACTCTGTATGTAGATCTCACTACAATTGTAAGGTGAATATATTTAACTCTATTTTTTTTCCTGATAAAAATATAGCCTAGTATTAGTAGCTCTGCTGATGGAGTCTGGCCAGAGTTTGCGCCTCCTTCTGTCATTTATTAGCTGTATGATATCATGTGGATTACTAAACCTCTCATGGTTCTAGTTTCTCATTTCAAAATGGAGAAAATAAAATCTATCTTGCAAAAGGCTGCTATGAGAACTAAATAAAATAATCTCACAAGGTAACCAATATGATGCCTCACAAATGGTAGGTATATAACTAAGAGTGTTATTATTAAGAAGAAGAGTTCATAAAGAAGCAAAAATTAGGCCAGGCGTGGTGGCTCACACCTGTAATCCTGGTAAGTTGGGAGGCTGAGGCGGGTGGATCACCTGAGGTCAGGAGTTCGAGACCAGCCTGACCAACATGATGAAACCCGGTCTCTACTAAAAATACAAAAATTAACCAGGCATGGTGACATGCACCTGTAATCCCAGCTACTCAGGAGGCTGAGACAGGAGGATCACTTGAACCCGGGAGGCAGAGGTTGTAATGAGCTGAGATGGCGCCATTGCACTCCAGCCTGGGAAATAAGAGCAAAACTCTGTCTCAAATAAATAAATAAATAAATAAGCAAAAATTGTAAGCCCCTAGGATGGGCTTTAATTACAGCAAGATGGGCCAAAGTTGGCTCTGAAAGAAACTTTTGAGAGGTGTATACTGTTTGATCTTGGGACAAAGAGTGAGAGAATATCTGGAATACCGGGAAATCTTTAGGAATGTGTAACCTATTCCATCAGAAGTAGTTCTGCTTATGCCTGAGCAGAGAGAGGGAGAGGGATTAGGTTAGTGGTTTTCAGACCTCAGACTGTATGTGTGTGTGTATGTGATTGCTGCATGCTCAGCTGCTAGTACACATCAGATGGGCACAGGCATGTGCCAGGCAGGTGTGCTTGTGTCTTGGCTGACCTCTAATTGAGTATGGCTCAAGCAGCCCCTGGTCAAGGGTGAGCTTGTGCAATTTTACCTGAATGGATGTGTATAGAACTGACTTTTGAAAAGAACTAGTGCAGAATTTTTTCTCCCTAATTAGGCCACATTTACAAGAAGAAATTTGTATATGTCCAAGTATGACCAAAGACACTGGATTCAGAGGTCTACAAACAGACAAGAAACCTAGCAGCAAAAATGGGCATTTTGAGATATTAACATTTGGAACATGATACCTCAGCAATAAGTGGGATTTGGAAGAGTCAGACCTGAGTAGGGCCCACAAGATTAACCTCAGTGCCACAGAGTAATCGCAGAACTAGGCAACCAGGCAAAGCAGGCACTAGTAATTTTGGAGTGCGTGAATAGTGGGAATAGTTGAGAGACCATGGTATGCCCTGAGATCCTGGAGTGGATATTAGCCTGCTCACAGGGGCTTTATGCTGATGTCTGCAGATCATTGCTGAAGGTGCACAATAGCTGCCTCAACAGGTGCTGAGGCTGACCTTGCTCTTAGAGCTGGACTTCATTTCATCCTATTATTAAGGTGCATTATTCAAATACAAAGTATAGATTGGCATTTCTGCCTTGATTGGGATATTTGTGATGGAAAAACAGGTGGATGGAGAAAAATGGTTAGGAAGAGCAAAGAATGAAAAGAAAGAAATAGATGAATGAAAACTGAATATAAAATTTAATTGGAAATGCTCGGAGCAGTTATAGGTTTCACACTCAAAAACAGAACTGTAGAGACAGCAAGACCCCAAAGAGTGCAAGGACCAGGGTGAGGTCCATGAAAGAGAGAGAAAAAACAAAAACAGAAACAAAACTCTTTCACCACACTCAATATGAGCTGGGATGTGCTCAAAGCTAACATAGAAAGACATGCATAATGCCAACTTGGGCACAGTCACAGACCTCTTATATTCTAGTGAAATCATCAAAATGCTTCAAGAAGATAGTTTGAACACAAATTAAAGGGAACATTTCTTTTCATTCTATTAAATTATGTGGAACATGAGGTGGTTATGGATTGGAGTTATTACTGGGACTAAAGGATAGAATTTACATGGAGGCAGGTTTAGCAGGAAATTTATCATTAAGAAACTGTCCAGCAATGAGGCAGACTTATTTAGACATCTTGAGCTCCTGGTCATTGAAAATGACCCATCAGGCAGGTGCTGGAAGTGATTTCTGCACCGGGTCAATGGTTGAACCAAAGACCTTGCAATTCTCTGTTTAATTCTTAGGTTTAATATTTCTAGAATCAAGAAAGACTTAGATAAATTCTTATGTGGCAGATCCCATTACAGGTTGTTACTGGAGACTGAAATATGGTATAATACACATTTATGAAATAAGGTCAGGGAGGAAGGAAGGGAAAAAGAAAGGGCACTAACCTGGATTGTGCTTGGACCTGTGCTGAAATTTGTATTGTCTTATTTAATCCTTGCAATTATCTTTTGACGTAGGTGCAATTAGCTTCAGTGTTACAGATAAGGAAAAAGGCAGTCAGAGAGGCTAAGTGGCTTGTCTGAGATGACACAGGAGCACAGATGGATTTTTTTGCCTAATCTTTCTAAAGCCTAGTCCAAGCTCTCTCTGCCATGCCATGTGCCTCCTGAGTGCCCTAGGCTGGTATTCTCCTGCGTGCTGCTGTCCAACTTGGCTCTGGTCATATGGCTTTTGGGCTTGAAGTGGTGCGACCTACCTTATTTTCTATTGTTATCTAAAGGAACGCCCATCTCCAGGCAGGATGGCATAGTAGTCAGTGAACTGAAATGGAAGTAAGAATGCACTGGCCGTTTTCCTGTTCTGTAAACTGCAAAATGAATACAACTCTCTCCACTCATCCCCTCAACAAATATGAAACCAAAAAAATCATAATTGTGTAATGTTCTATTACTTATAATTCTTTGGTAAAGCATTTTGACTTGGGAATCAGAAAACAAGATTCTTGTCCCTGGACCAGCTTTTTAGTCCTGCTGAGCCTCCATTGCTTTATTTTAAAAGCATAGAAAAAAAGGAAAAGCTAAATTATCTCTAAGATCTTTTAAGTTATATATATTTATGTGACATACAATAATTATATATAAATTATGTGTGTAAGTCTGTACGTATATGTATATGTACTTATGTTAATAGTTAAATCGACATCTACTTATCTACACTAATATCAGCAACAGTGAAGTAATTGCCCAATAATCCCAAAACAGAAAATAGTTTAAAATCCAGTGTTTCGTTTTGGAGTGCATAATTTAGTGATCTTACTGTAGATTTACTTAAAATAAGGATAGAATAAAATTCTGTTTCCTAGTAACACCATAGTTGGTTGATGCAAGTAAGACATCCAGGAGCATTAAAGGAAATTCACTTGGGTTGAAACAAAATCATCTGCAGATTAATGGCCACCAGCTGAGATCTGACTACAGTTCAATGTGGAGGCTGGCATCAGACAGGCCTAAGTTTGTGTCCTGACTCTTACTTTCCCTGACTAGAATAATCTTAGGCAGGTTATTTAACTTTTTTGAGTCTCAGTTTCCTTACTGGAAAGTGGAGATAATAGTACCTATCTCTCAGGATTGTTAAGGGCAAGAATTGTGCAAGTATGGGGCCTGACATAGGTTGGTGCTTCACAGATGGTAGCCATATTGGCATGCAAGACCTTCCTGGTCATCCACACTCCTGCCCTCAAGGGCAAGGTCAGTCTTGCTTCTCTTGGGTCAGCATGCTGCCTGGGAGTGCAGAGGCTTTTGCCAACCATTTGCATGAGGGGCAAGGACATCTTGACTATAGAAATGAAAGTCTCTAAAATGTGGCCCCTGGAAGAGCCATTCCCATTTGCTTTCCACCATGCTCATGAGGAGTCAGGGGATTTTCGTCATCCCTGTAAATTAGCCTCCAGTTACCAAACTTTAGCTGCCTCTTGCTATAGCAGGCCGATGCCTGGAGTACCCTGGCCAGCTCTCCAGCTAGGAGGGGGTTAAAACCAACATTTGCAGATAAAGAGGTAAACATATTTACATTCCTCTCTTCACACTTTATGCATATGTCATGCAGTGAATAGTTTTAGAGGTCTGTTTGTACTATCTCTCCAGAATTTTTACAGTCTGGAGGACACAAAATCTCTATAAAGTGACTTATTGAAATAGAAGCAGATTGGTAAAACCGTTTCCCTCTTATGAACTGTGAAGAATGATCCTCTAAATGAAATCAGGAAGGAACTGGACAGAATCTTGTTTAATGGTCTGACAAAATGAATCACAACGATTCCAGACATCCATCACTGCTAAAAGGGAACCACAAATGATCTGTGAACCACTATATATTGATTACCCATGTAGTACAAGTGTCGGATTTAATGTTCACACACCATAGAGAGGCGGCAGGGACAGATGGTGCCTTAACTCTTCTTTGATAGATTTTAATGGTGAAATATTGATTTCTGTCTGGCCAAGACCTGCTGTTAGGGGCCAAAGTCATTTGTTGGGTATTGCCGGACACCCAGTTGGCCCAGCGTAATCAATCATTTTTGGCAAGGCAGGTGAAAATCCAGAGAGAAGCACCTTGGAACCCAAACTGGAGCGTGATGTGTCTGAGTCCAGCCACCTAGAGAAAGAGGGAGAGAGAGAGGACTCTTGGAGATTGTGCTTGTAAAGAATTATTAATGATAAGACATGTTTACTGAGGAGAGTCGCAGCGAATCAGAGCTGACATGAAATAGTCCGGGAGCCTCGTGGAGAAAATGAGCCTCTTGCTAAGAGCGACTATATTTTATTTAAACATCCTTCTAAGGCTGAGAACTCAGGTAATCTGTTGTGTTACAAGCCACTGGCTGTTGTTGCTATCCAGAGAGATAACACTGAGGCGCTAATAGGAACACATCAATCACAATCAGGCTGCAATTCCAGCGGTGTCTTGTCCTCCCAGCTCCTCTTTAAGCTCCTTAATAATGGTGATAACATAGTTCGGGGGCTGCTGAGAGGGGCTCTCCCCTCTGAGGGTCATATTCATAAAGTGAATAGCTTGCCAAGTCAGCATCCAGGGAACGGGATCTATGCTGGGGGACTTGTGTGCAGGAGAGGGAGGGGCATGGACCAGCTGGGGAGGGTTGGACTCCAACAGGAGAATTTTCTATCATCTGTTGGTCCCTGGGTTTTGTGATGTCACTTCTGCCTCCTTCCTAAGAAAGGGGTGTGAGTGTGCATATTATATGTAATTATTAAATAACAAGAATCATTTTCTTGGGCAGCTTATAAAATGGTTTAGAAGGCAATTCCCAAAGGGAACCCTCAACATGTTCTGAGTGATGACAACCTCATGGGAATAAGTGTGTGGCTTCCCTGGAAGATTCTGGTGCAAGATATGTCAGGAGGGTGGGGATGGGTGGGGGAAGGGGCCATCCTAGTCTCTGCAGCTCTGTGTCAGCCTCTAACCTATCACCCTCAAGGTTAAGCATCTATTTACTTGTTTGACTCCCCCATAGGTGATGAGTTCTTGAGGGTGGCCATTGTGTCTAATTAATTATTGTATCCTCAGTACCCCAGCACATGGCTTAGGGACTCACAAGATGCTCAATACATGAATATGGCTGAATATACAAGTGCAGGCAGGTGTTTATGTTAAAAAGAAGTCAGACATACTTCCTTGCACCTTTTGACAGTTCACACGAACATGTGTGTGTTATGCATGTACATAAATATATAAATTCATAATAGAATGCACTGACCTTATGAAGACATGCAACACATTTTATATCTACTTGTGTGCTTTACTTTTTATGAAACAGCATAACTTAATGGATAATACACTGGACTCTAGAGCCAGACTGCTTGGATTCAAATCCTGGCTCCACCACTTATTAGAAGATGACTTTGGGCAAGCTGCTTCAAACTTTTGTGCCTCAGTTATCTCATCTGTAAAGTGGGGATAATAACAGTACCTACAATTTGAGGATTAAATGAGTTATTAGATGTGAAGCATTAATAGCAGTTCCCTGCAAACATAAGTATAAATATTTTATGTTATATATTATGCTTAAATTATATGTCTAGCCATGGCATTATATTCAAAATATTTACATAAATGAACGCATATATATGCATTCCTTTAGATAACAATAGAAAATAAGGTAGGTCGCACCATTTCAAGCCCAAAAGCCATATGACCAGAGCCAAGTTGGACAACGGCACGCAGGAGAATACCAGCCTAGGGCACTCAGGGGGCATATATATATGCATCAAAAGCCTTTACATGGTTGGTATTAGGAATCCCAACAAGTATTTGCCTTGTTCTCTTTGATATAGCAAACCCGCGCTTAGAGCCGTACGTTTATCTTGGTGGAGCTTCGGTGGGATGGTGGATATTTTGATTCATGGTAAATTTGTGTACTCTTAACGCTATTTCATGTTGGGGCGTCAGTGGTCGGTACACTTGCCTGACTGTATTTATCTACCAAAACCTGTAAGTGTGTGTCTCTAGCTAAACAAGTGTATATATTGGTATTCATATACAAAGGCGCTGCAGGACAGGAGGAGCCCAGCTTTGTGGACGGCCCAGCTGTGCAACCTGCCCCCAGATGTGAGCCTGCAGGCGGCAGATTCCGCTTAGATTATCTTGCTTACCTAATGATGTTTGCTTCACTGCCTTGCTCGATTGTGTTCACCAGGACGGCAGGCTATTAAAATGTCAAGGCACATTGAATTGTTGTTATCCGGGAGAGAGACCTTTCCAATCAACCTGTGTTGTGGGGGTTGCAAAAACTCCCTCCGAGAAAGCGATTGGAGAGAGGCTTTATGGCTTTTTTACATAGATGGGGGTGAGCGGGGAGGTTGAGAGAGGGCACGGCGGGGGAGGGGGGAGGAGGGGGCGGGGGGAGAGGTGGGGCAGGAGCCCGGGTTTATGGCAGCCGGAGTGTGCTAATTAAAATGCCATCTTCTCAAACAGGTATTGGTGGCTTCTTGCTTTTCCATTTATGGATAACTGCAATATGGCCTTGCCGTTTGGTTTAAAAAAGGGAGAGGGGGAGGTGACTCACAGCGGGCAGTGGCAGTGGGAGCTGCAGTGCTGAGGATCTGGGTGGGGTATAAGGAGCGATTGTAAGGCAGAAACACCAAGGAGTTATATCCCTGATGTATTGGCAGGAAGGGCTAGAGAAAGAAACAAAAACAAAGACTTCCTTGGCCCTGCGCCTGTCCAGGCTCTGCTAAGAGCCACGTTCCCTGCATACAGACGTCGGCGGGCCTTTCTGGGTGACAGTGCTGAGCCGCGGCTGCAGTGTCACCAAGCGGCACCTCGGCCCCGGCCCCGCCCGCGCCAGCTGGGACAGTCTGGAGACCTTCTTTTCATGCCGTCAAGTCTCATTTTGCCAAGGATTTATTTTTCTTCGGGGAGAGAGGGAGAGCGGGGGCAAAGGATGTTCTCTTAAAGTATCCAGCGATCAGAGCCGCTGAAGCCTCCAACCAGAAACTCAAACTTCCCTGGATTGACTTTTCCCCCTTTGTTCACATCATCTCACAAATATTTGGCTTTCCCCGGCCACGTCTGTTCTATTTCTGCTCCGGAGAGATGGCTTTGTTTTTGCTTTCGTGCGGTTCTGCGAGGCGCTCCACGATCCCGCCCCCTGGCATGGCAGCACCTACCGGCGGCGCGAACTCGGCTGCTGTGGGCTGCTGCGCGCTCTCGCCTTTGTCAGTTTCATCAGCCGGCGTTTCAGCTGCGCGCGCGCATGCGCCTGCCCACCCCTCCGCCAGTTCCGGGCTTGCGTCCCCGCCAGGCTCCCGCGCCCGTGGTTCTCAAGTTTCCCGCCCTTCTAGCCCGCGCTACACCCTTCCCAGCTCGCCACTTTATTTTCTCGTTGTTGGCGCAGCCCGTTCTTCCGGCCTAAACCAAATCTCATTTTCGTTCCTCGCCTCCTCCCTCCTTCTCGTGACTGGATTTTGGCAGAGTATCTCTGTGGGGCTACCCCAGATCCCTCAGCCTTGGATCCTTCCATGGGCCATGCTCCTGGAGTGTCACTGGCCAGCGAGACTTGCTTTGGTCTGTTTTCCCCATCTTTTATCTGAAGACTTCTACCCCCACAGCCGCAGCACGCAGTCCGGCGCCGCTTGGGAAGCTTTGGACGGGATGCTCCCTCCTTCTGCTTCCCTAGTAGGGGTGAGGGCCGCATATTTGAGTTCCCAGGCCACTTTTCTCTCCCCTATAGCTTTAAAATGCTTCCTTGAAAGTGTCCGTTTACTTGTCTTGAATTAAATTGGTTTATTTATTTAATCAACACATATTTATTGAGAATCTACTATATTTAAGTATTAACCTGTTGTTAAATGTTGGGGATATACTGGGAAGAAAAACAGACACCTCTCAGCCTCCCATGGCCTATAAGAGATTTTCTCTGGGTCGAGGACCATGCAGTATTTGTTTCTGTAACCTGGAACATATAGATGCTCAATAAGTTTCAAATGGACGAAGGAAAGAAACAAATTCTCTCCCTGCCCTGAGCCACCCCCCATTTTCTATGTGCTGTATCATAATGCCGAAACACAAGCTCACTGTGATAACGTTGGTAGATTTTTCTCAAATTCCTGTATTTTCATTTTCTCCCCCTCTCCTGCTGAAGGTCTTCAGAGCCACCAGGTGGCTTTGGTCCAGTTCTAGCACTCCATTTTATTAAGGCACAGATAGGACAGCGTCAAATATCAAGTGGTTAATTGGTGATGGAGCCCAGAACAGATTTGACCTTGGGCCTCCACAGTCCTAGTCCGTGGCTCCGTAAATGACACATAGACTTGCATGTCCTTGTCTCCTGTGCCTGTCACATGTCCCCCAGCCAGAATGTCAAGAAAATGTTAAAGCAGGCTGGTACCTAGTTTCCATTAAATTCTCTTCTAGGTTCTTCCTGGACTCTCTCTGGCACTGCTTAAGAGGGAGATTAACTTAATGGATATTAAGACATGATTTCCTTTCTTAGCTTCCCCTTAGCCCCTACCCTTGCCCTCAATTAACTGTATGCAGCACAGTAGGCTCAGCTCTATCTTAATTGGATTTTCTGACAATCACCAGTAACTTGGAGCTGAGTGCTGTGCCCATCACCTGGGTCAGTTTATTTCCATGATTAGATTTATTTAATCAACATAACCCCCATGTACCTGGGCTGAGAGGGACAGATAGCTGCCCAAATGTTCCCTGGACATTGTGCTAATGGCAGACTTGATTTCATGCCAGCAACCTTAGCCTCAGCCAGAGCTGGCATTTGAAATCGTCACTGTGGTGGTGAGGCCATGGCTTCGGGGCTCCAGGGGGTGCTGCAGTGATCCAATAGCCTGACACAGGGGGAAGACGAAGAGGGGCATTGGAGGGACTGAGTCACCAGCAGCAAAGGACAGCTCTGCCTCTCCTGTGGTACACTGGGGGCAGCGTGGATTCCATCATATATCAGCTGGGTCTTTTGGCTTCCATCTAAGTTCCTTATCTGTAAAATGGGAATAGTAATGATCACAAGATTGCTATAAGGACTCAATGAGATAAGGTCTATAAAGTGACCATCTCAATGCCTTGCGCAGAGTGTACCCCACCCCTATATTTCTCTGTCTGGTGTAAGTGCACACACGCATGCACACACACACACACACACACACACACACTCACAAGCTTCTTCATACTGGCTGGGATCCTCTTCATTCTTTCACTTTCATCTCATCTTTTGCAATATTTCTTTATTCTCTTCTTCCTTTCCCTGCATTTCCTTTCCTCTTGCTCCCTCTCATTCCCTCTTTTCATTTGGCTGCATTTCCTTATCTTTCTGATGAAGATTTCTCCTCTGCGCCCTGCCCATAATGGGTCCTGTGATCTGGGCAGTTGCTCCTCTGTCTCTCCAGAAGCACTTGTCCTAGCTGGGTTATCCTGTCCTGCAGTCATTTACTTCCAAGTCTGTCCCATCATCAGACTCTGGGCCCCTCGAGGCAGGGACTGTGGCTTGGTCGGCTAGCAAATAGGGGAGACTTGGTAAGGTTGGTGGAAGGAGGCAAAGACTCTTTTTGTGATTCAAAGTCAGTCTTAAAAACTCCAAAGAAGCACCTGGCCACCACTAGTTCCTATGCGGTTTATAAAAATTCGAGAGGCACCTCCTTCCTCCAGCCAGGGAGTCTGGCTAGCTGCATGGAGGATGGGCTGGGCTTTGGCCCTCATTTGCTCCCTTGGTTCAGGGCCTGTGCGTAGGGCGCACTCCATAGCTGTATGAGTTATGCTGTAGAGTAGCCAAGGATGCAGACATGGGCTGCCTGGGCACTGGCCACTTGCTCCTTGAAGTGGACCAGGCTTCTGCTTTTAAAGAAGTCCCTGCCATCAAGCTCCTCCTCGGTCATGTAGCTATTTCCCACTGAGCCTCAGTGGGATGTGGGTAGCTGCCACCCAGTGCGACATAGCTGCCTGCACCCCCATGGACATGCAGTCATTTGGCAGTGGTTGCTACCTTCAAGGCAGTAGAAGGGAAGAGTGCCTCCTTCCTCATTTGCCCTGAAGCTGCCCCCATAGAATGACTTTTCTGCTTTAGTATTTCCCTTGAGGTGATTGTGGAGAAAGGCAATCATCTGTCCAGCTTCTTTTATTAAGTGCCTACTACATCAGGTACTGTGCAAAAGTTCTTTGTTCCTCACAAATCTCCAGGAAGTAGGCAGAGTCTCCTCATTTCAGATATGGAAATCAAGGCTCAGAGGAAAAAAGTAAGAATGGAAGATTCTTTCCAGCACTCTGTTCTCCTCGTTTCCAGGGATGGCACCCGACCTCTGGCGTCTCTGAAGATCCTCTTTGGTATCTGTCAGGCCTCAGCAGTTAGGTTGGAAGGGGCACCTCTGAGTTGGGTAAGAGATATGGTTTGAGAGACTGGCTGGGTTACGACTTTGTTTGGCCAAAGTTTGGGCCATATCAAAACCATATAGACACTGGCCTGCTAGAAAAGCGTCCCTTTTCTCCATGCCAAAGAACAGCCAAAAAAAGATAGATCAAAACATCAAGCTCCCGGGAGGCCACACACATTTGAAGTCGCTTCTGTTAATATAGCTTGTAAAAATATAAAACACATTTGTCACTATTTTGGAAGCAAGGAGGCAGAAAAGGTCATATTTTCATCTCTTCAGGTTTCCAATAATAGAATGAACGTTTGGAGTATTTTTGTTTTGTTTTGTTTCCTGCTCTTTCAATGTGTCTCAATGCTCTCAAATTACTAGTATTTCCACGATTTCCTGAAATTTCAGTCTTTCACCCCCCACCAAGGGCTGGTGTTTACCACAGCCTCAAGCTGGGCTCTATCAGTTTGCTGGCAAGTGACTACTTAGAGAACTTTAAAAAATCCATTAGGAATGGCAGGCTTGTAGGGATTGAGGAATGGGGGAGGTGAGCATACTCCACAGAAAACACAGGATGGACCCAGGTTTGAAAGACTGTCCTGCCACTTATGAGGCAATTCTGAATCTCTCCCAGCCTCGGTTTTTCCATCTGTAAAATGGCCCTGACTGTGAGTGCGTCACAGGGACACTTTGAGGAATGAATGATATCACACAGGTGAAGAGCATGGGGCATTACTTGGACCATATTGGGCTTTCCCTAGATGTTGTTTAACTTTCCTTTCCAGTTATTCTAGTCACATTGATCCTCTCTCTAGGGTGCTCCTATGTGACACTTGCTTGACTTAGTTCCAGGAAATTACTAGTTCTATGCTTAATGACTAGATTTTCATTTACATGCATTTGTCTTAGACTCCCCACTTCAAGTGGGATTCCATCAAGGATTTAAATTGGCTTTGAATTTCCCCCACTGGGCTGGACATCCTGGGTATTGCCTCTGTCTTTGAAGTGTCTTTTTGAAGTGGCTGCAGATCACAGGGAATGAAGGCTCTTTATTTGTATTTGATGCCATATGGCCACTAGATGCCCTTGTCTCTTAATTACATAGGACCACTGTAAACCTTTGACAAAAGGCAGTTTTGCTTGGTGGTTACAAGCAGTGAAATCTGATCTCAGCCTAGCCTCTCTCACTAAATGTTTACTCATTGATGAGTTGCTCAACCTCTGAGACTCAATATTTCCACTGGTACAATGGGGATAATGAAAATCATCTCCCAGGATTGTTTAGAGGAGACCACAGGATCAGAGATGCAAATAATTAGCCCAGGGTCTGGTACAGAGCCGCTGCTCAGTCAACGATAGTTATTATTATTTGTGGTTGATATATTTATCCCTAATGTGCGAAAGGTCTATCTATCTATCTATCTATCTATCTATCTATCTATCTATAATCTATCTAGCTATTTATCATCTACCTACCTACCTTGTTAAATATCACTAGCCATTTCCATTATAATCCTCCTAAGAGACCATTTATGAAACAATGCCTCCAACAACTGAGCAAAAGTCGTGCTGCAGCCAAATCAAGGACCATTATCTCCCGTGCCAGTTGTAGACCAAATTCATTTAATTTGCTAATTTCACCCTTAGAAGTTGTTTAATGCCAGCCAACATTTGGAATTTTTATCTGCACTTTGCAAAGCAAATGACATAGTAAAATACATTAATATAGGCAAATATCTAATTAGGCTTAAAAAGTTAGATTCTACATGTAACAAAGATTTGCACTCTTAAGAACAAAGTAGCTGTTGCTCCTTTAGAAATTTTATTAACTGTCTTCCCTCATTGTGTGAAGGAATACTTTAATGAGGTTCTCATCTGTTTATGAAATAAATATTTGTTGAGTCACAGAGGATATGAAGACATGGTCCCTGTCCTCACAAAAGTCTCAGTCTAGTGGGGAGACCAACCTGGGTCAATACACCTGTGCTATGGGACAGGTTTATAGAAGTGTTGTGGAGGCAGAGGGGAGGGCTTCTTATCACACTTGGAAGAAAAGGGAGGTCAGGGAAGGCTTTCTGGAGCAACAGAGATAACCCTGCAGTTTTACAGAGGAGGAAGAAACACACTGGGTATGTTGAGGGATAGTAAATGGTATTATGGGTGGGGGGCGGGTGAAGGAGGCAAAGCAGAAAAAGGCTGAGGTCCCAGACAAGTGGCTAGAGTCAGTCCAAGAAGTGTGGACAGGATCCCAGGAGGTGCAAGAGGGGAAGCGATGTGATCGATCTTGTGCGTTAGATTACTGGGAGGATGGAGGGTGGGCTTGGGAGTGCGGGGTTCTGCTGAAGCAGGAGATAGGGAATTGCTTTTCAAAATGTGGTCCAGGGACCGGGAACATCTGCATTACCTGGGAGCTTGTTAGAAATTCAGACCCTTTCTCCCCACCCTGGACCAACTGAATCAGAATCTGCATTTTAACAAGGTCCCCAGGTAATATATATCCAAACTGCACTGTAAGGCTCTTGAAAGGTTGGACTAAACCAGGATGGGCAGTGGCTTTGGAGACAGACAGAAGGGGAAGAGTTAGAGTCCTGTCTGAGCCTCTGGTTCCACTGAAAGTGGAAGGACCTAGCAGGGAGTAATGGAAGAATTTCTTGGCAAGTTCTCTCTAGAAGCTACTGTGTAAATGGGCATGTTGTGCCATCAGATCTGTAAATTAGTTAGCTGTCCAGAGTTTATTAGGAAGTCCTAAAATGTACTAAAAGAGAATGTGACAGGTGAATTATTTATGCAGGGCTTTGCTCAGATAGAGTACTAGGTAAACACCATTTGAAGTGAGTGGGATCTTCCTTAGCTTGTTCTACTAGCTTTAAGGGTATGTAATGTGCTTGGGGGTGGGGGATGGGGTGGGGCTATGGATGGATAAAGGATATTGGACGAGTGGAATGTCTGGCAAGGCCATGGGGTTGGGGGAGCGGCAGTGGTGGTGGTAGGTGGTGACCTTTCTTTTAGAATAGCTCCATTCATCCAGACATTCATATGTGGAGTATTATACCAGGCATTGGGAACATAGAGATGGGCTAGAACGAATATAAAATGTGCCACAGACTTAAGATGTTTGAACAGCCACACACATAGACATGATGTGTGCAGCAGGGATAGGAGCTCAGCACCTACTCAAGCTTTGGTAGCAGTTAGTGCTCACACACATAGTTTCTGAGCCAAGGCACCCAGATTCCAAACTCTTCCTCCTGGGATACCTTGGGCAAGTCCCACAACCTCTTTATGCTTCAGCTTCCACGTTAGCAAAATGAGGATGATAATACTTCTCAGGGTAGTATCAGAATTAGATGAACATATGTATTTGAAATGTTCAGGAAAGGTAGCAATCATCATCATATCATTATTATTGTTGCTATTATTATATTATTAACTTTGTTTTTATTCTTGTGAGACATATAGAAGAAATACAAAGCATTCTCAGCTCTCAAAAAATCTCCTAGTTAGTTGGAGAGAGGACACACCCATTGGTATCACCATGCAACAGAAGCTAAATGTGGGGCGGGTAGGGGGCATCAGTTTGGAGGTGCTCTGAGGAAGGTACTGCCCATGGGCTGGGATACCCAGGAAAGGCTTCTCAGGAGAGCTGCTGTTGAGGTGGGAACATGAATGAGGGGCAAATGTGTCCTACAGTCATACTAGAAGGAGAGCAATAGCAGGGGAACCCTGCAGATTGGAGGACGGAAGGATCTACAGCAGCCTTTTGGCCCAGGGCTTTCATTCTGCACATGGGGAGCAGGCCAGAGGGCCTCCTTCTTGCTCAAGGTCACACAACAGGTTAGAGGTTATGCTGGGGCAAGCACCCAGTCTGCTGGCTCCTGAGCTAGTGCTGTTTCCACCTCAGCAACAGTGTGTCTGCATAGAAAACCATGCATATCCACATGCGAAAAATGACAACAGACCTTACACCCTTCACAAACATTAACTCAAAATGGATCACAGACTTAAACGTAAAACGCAAAGCTACAGTATTTTCAGAATGTGACATAGGAGAGAATCTAGATGACCTTGGATTTGATGATGACTTATTTTATTTTATTATTATTATTTTTTTAGATGGAGTCTTGCTGTGTTGCCTAGGCGGGAGTGCAGTGGTGCAGTCTCGGCTAACTGTTAACCTCCGTCTCTAGGTTCAAGCAATTCTCCTGCCTCAGCCTCCCTAGAAGCTGGGATTACAGGCATGTGCCACCATGCCCGGCTAATTTTTGTATTTTTAGTAGAGACGGGGTTTCACTATGTTGGCCAGACTCCTCTTGAACTCCTGACCTCAGGTGATCCTCCCGCCTCAGCCTCCCAAAGTGCTGGGATTACAGGCGTAAGCCACTGTGCCTGGCCCTGATTATGAGTTTTGAGATGCAACACCAAAGGCATGCTCCACGAAGGAAGTAATTGATAAGCTGGACCTTATTAAAATTAAAAAGTTATGCTCTGCAAGACACTGGCAATAGAATAAAAAGAGAAGCCACAGACTGGGAGAAAATATTTGGGAAAAAATATCTGATAAAGGACTGTTATCCAAAATATAGATAAAAACTTAAAACTCAACAGTAAGAACACAAACAACCAGATTAAAAAATGGGCCAAAAACCTTAACAGACTTCTCACCAAAGAAGATACACAGATGGCAAATAAGCATATGAAAAGATGCTCCACATCGTATATCATCAGAGAAATGCAAATTAAAACAACGATGAGACACCGTTATACTCCTATTAGAGTGATCCAAATCCAGAACACTGTCAACACCAAATGCTGGCAAGGAGAAGGAGCAACAGAAATTATTCTTCGTTGCTGGTGGGAATACAAAATGGTACGGCCACTTTGGAAAAGTTTGGTGGTTTCTCACAAACTAAACATACGCTTATCATATAATTCAGAAATCACACTCCTTGGTATTTACCCATAAGAACTGAAAACTTACACGCCCATGAAAACCTGCATGTGGATGTTTATAGCAACTTAATTCCAATTGCCAAAACTTGGAAGCTACCAAGGTGTCCTTAATTAGGTGAAAGGATAAATTAACTGTAGTATATGTAGACAATGGACTATTATTCAGCACTAAAAAGAAATGAGCTATAAAGCCATGAGAAGACATGGAGAAAATTCAAATGCATATTACTAAGTGAAAGAAGTCAATCTGAAAAGAAGCTATATATTGTGATTACAAATATATGACACTGTGGAAAAGGCAAAACTGTGAAGGCAGTAAAAAGATCCATGATTGTCAGGGGCTGGGGGTAGGGAGGGATTAATAGGTGGACACAGAGGAGTTTGAGGGCAGGGAAAGGGGTCTGTATGGTAACGTAATTGTGGATGCATAACATCACATTTGTCCAAACCCATAGAATGTACAACACCAAGACTGAACCATAAACTATGAACTCTCGGGGGCCGGGATGTGTCAGTGTAAGTTCATCAATTGTAACTAATGGACCACTCGGTGGGGACATATTGACTATGGGGAGGCTATGAATGTGGGAAGGCAGGGAGTGTCAATTTTTCTGTGACCCTACAACTATTCTAAAAAAATAAAGTCTGTTAAAAAAAAAAAAAAGTCCTTGCAGGAGCTCACTAGTTCTTGGGGGTGGTGATATTCTCAGGCCAACTGCAGCAAGGTAGATGGAGAGGAGCCTTAGGTTCTGAGTCTGGTGAGAGATCGAATCCAACCTCTCCACAAACAACTGGGGACCCCTTTAACCTAATTCTTTTAATGGCTCTTCTTGTCCCCTCCCTCTCTTTCTTTTTTCCCTCTTCAAATGTGTTCCAAGGCTCTACTGTATGCAAAGTCTCATGTTAAGTGTTGGAAACATAGACCTGAATGAGACTTAGTCTCTGTCCTCAAAAAGCAGAGTAGAAAATGTCTGTCCTTCCTTCCTTCCTTCCTTCCTTCCTTCCTTCCTTCCTTCCTTCCTCCCCTCCTTCGTTTTTTGTTTGTTTGTTTTGGTTGACAGAGTCTCACTCTGTTGTCCAGGCTGGAGTGCAGTGGCACGATCACAGCCCACTGCAGCCTTGAGCTCCTGGGTTCAGGTGATCTCCCACCCCAGCCTCCCAAGTAGCTGGGACTGCAAGCAAACACCACCATGCCTGGCTAAGTTTTGTATTTTTTGGAGAGACAAAGTTTTGCCATGTTGCCCAGGCTGGTTTTGAACTCTTGGGCTCAAGTGATCCACCCGCCTTGGCCTCTCAAAGTTCTAGAATTACAGGCAGAAGACATCGCTCCTGGCCAGAAAATGTATTTCAGTATAAGAAATCAATTTCATTTGATTGGCAGTGGCAGCCTTAGTGCTGTATGAAGGGATCTGCTGCTCCACCAGGACCCTGTGGCAAAGCATGCGATGGATGATTGATTAGCAATGTATGGCAAGCGTGCAGGTAGGTGCAGGTAGAGAAGACTGGTTGCTTCTGGTTTGTGCATATTTTCCCAGAAACAAATCCTGGACTTGGAGAATGTTTGCATTTGGGCCTCACAACCATAAATGGTAATGTTCACTAGTTAGCGCAATCAATGACTAGACTAGCACTAGAGAAAAAAAAAATCCATCAGCTAGCCAACCAAAAACAAACAAAAAAATCCCACCTCATAAACAAACAACCTTTCTTTTCTCTTAAGAATCTCTGGGATTATAAGAGGCCTAGACTCTCCAAAGGGTAGCCGCATATAAGATACTCTCTATGCAGGCCTTTAGAGGTGTTTCTTTCCTTGATCCCTCCTGATTTGACCAATGGGTTGTATATGTTGTGTTTAAAAAAAATAAATCCCAAGTTTTACATAATTTGTACATAGAACCCCGTTGCATTGCACTCAATGCTGCCACATGTCCTGATCCAGCTTCTGCCTTCTGGAGTAACAGGTGATAGGCCAAAGCCTCTGCTCCTCCCCAAACCTGATAGGAGACCATTGAGTCGGTCTGCGGCTTGAGAAGAGAGCATTCTATGTAATGTAGCAGTTACAACATATGATGAACATGATGAATGGTCTTCCTGGTCTGGGCATATTCAGGCACAGAAGCAGTACTCTCTGTAAGCCAGCAATAGTAGGAGGAAGACCTGGGTTTACTTTGCTGGAAGTGGGGATGGCTTTTACAGACTCATTCACACTCTCTGGGCCTGGTTTCTCTTTGTGACCACAAGTATATGGCTGTGATGTTCCAGGATGCTGTTACTGTCTAGCCTTGACTCTGTTTTAGAGCAAAGACACCTGTAGGCCTTGGTAGGGAACCAAACAGAGGTCTTATTGACCAAGTGCATGAACCATGTCAGCAAATTGTGAAAAGCAACATAACTATAAATTCACAGTGCTCACAGTGCTTAAGGATTCCCAAGTGCAGAGGCAGAATTAATATAGAGGAAAGGACACAGGCTTTGGAGCCAGGCAGACCTGAGTTCATATCTTCAGGGTGGTGTGATGTTGGATGAGTTATTCTCCTAACCTTTGTTACTTCATAAACTGGGATATTAAGTCCTGCTCATTTCATTGTTGGGAAAATGAGAAAGCCAGTAGTGTGATGGTTAGGATTAGGTTTGCTATGAGTAACAGAGACACCACATAGCAGTGCTTACACAGATAGTAGTTATCTCTTGCTTCAAAGTCCACAGATGTATAGCCTAGGGCTGGCCTGGAAGCTCCTCTCTGAAAAGTCCTCTGGGATCCACTTTCTTTCTGCTCACTTCACCATTCATCAGGTTTGTCCTTATTCCCAGGGTCTAGTATGATCACAACCACATCCACATTTTCCAGCAGAAGACCAGACAAATGCCTGAAAAAGAAAGGGACAAAGGGTGTGGACCAACCATTCTTTAAGAAAGGTACCAGTGCTTTCATAGCCCTTCTGCTTACATCCCACTGGACAGAACCAAGTCACGTGGTCACACTCAGCTGCACAGGACCCTGGGAAATGTAGTCTTTATTCTTGGTGCTCACGTGACCTGCTAAAAGTTTATTTATGGAAGATGGGAAAGAATAGACTTTGGGGGTCAACAAATCTTTGTCCCAACTTATGAAGCCCTTAGCACTGTGGTTGGCTACATGATAACTGGTGTGGGGCTGTGGGCTTTCATTTCAGTCTAGTTGCCACCTGCACGTGACACTCTGGCACTATTTTCTAAATTTACCTAGAGAAGTTGTGGCAGAAAAAATTCGTTTTACTCCCTCCTTGCCGAGGAGCTGGTGGACACTTGGTGAGCGTAGGTTTCTTGTCCCTAAGCTGTGTATCCAGGCATGCTCCCTACAAAATCAGAAATTGTTTGGTAATTTACATGGTCACCTTTGCTTACCAGGAGTAATTCTATGAGAGGAGTAGAGCTCTGACATAGCACACTACAGTGGTTGCTGATCCCAGCCTACAGTTCTTTCAAGAATAAAAACATATTTAAATGACACTCCTACACCCTTTTCTTTTGTGTTCTGTGGCATAAAGACAGGTGGCAGCAACTCATTTTCACCAATATTTACCCAGTGGACTCTAAAGCCAGGCAATATGCAAAACATATATGTGGAAATATCCACATATATTGTGAGGATACAAACACTGCCTCTGACCTCATGGAGTGTTCTGTAATTGGGAAAATGGATAGAAAACACATGATTACCCCAATACTTTTTAAACTATAATAATATCTAGATGTAATCACCATTAATACCCGAGGAGCCATTTTCCAAGGACAGATGTTCCTGCTTCCTTCTCACCTGCCATATCTGACCAGAAACCAGGTCTTGGACTTTTTTCTTGGAAATGTCTCTTACATTATTTTTCCCTTTTCACCTTTCACCATTGCTGGCCTGGCTCAGGCCCTGTGACTTCCTGTGATGGCTGGATTTATGCAGAGGTTGCACCTGTGGGCTGTTGAGCGAGGCACTCTGCACCAACCAAGTCCCACCAGTTACTGGCTTAGTAATTTGGGGTTACTTAACCTTTTGTGTCTCAGTTTCCTTCTCTCTAGTGTGTGACAATAACAGACAGACTGTATTGATTTGTTAGGGCTTTTGTAACAAAGTACTGCAAACCAAGTGGCTTCAACAACAGGAATTTACTGTGCCACCATTCTGGAGGCTACAAGTCCAAGATGAAAGGGTTGGCAGTGCAGGGTTTATTCCTTCTAAGGGCCATGAGGGAGGATCTTTTCCACGCCTCCCTCCTAGCTTCTGGTGGTTTGCTGGTAATCTTTGGTATTCCTTGCCTTTAGATGTCTTACCCTAATCTCTGTCTTCATCTTCACACGATGTTCTCCCTGTGTGAATCTGTGTCCAAAGTTTGCCTTTTTATAAAGATGTCAGTCACATTGGATAAAGAGCCTTCTCTACTCGAGGATGACCTTATCTTAACTAATTACATCTGCAGAGACCCTATTTCCAAATTAGTTCACATTCTGAGGTACTGGGGTTTAGGATTTCAACATATGAAGTTTAGAGGACACAGTTCAGCCCATAATGCTGCAAACCCTGTGGATGCAAATGTGCTACATATATATATATATATGTAAAGCACTTAGAAGAGGGCCTGGCGTACAGCAAGTGCTTAGTAAAGGTTAGGAACTATCATTTTTTAAATGTGATGTCTTTCTAACTGGTCCTCCGGCTCTGATCTCCACCCTCCAATCTTGCCTAAATGATATATCTTTCTGGGGCTGGGTGCAGTGGCTCACCCCTGTAATCCCAACACATTGGGAGGTCGAGATTGGTGGATCACTTGAGGCCAGGAGTTCAAAACCATCCTGTCCAACATGGTGAAACCCCACCTCTACTAAAAATACAAAAAAAAAAAAAAATTATCTGGGGGTGGTGGTGCATGACTGTAATCCCAGGTACTTGGGAGGCTGAGGCAAGAGAATCGTTTGAACCCAGGAGGTGGAGGTTGCAGTGAGCCAAGATCGTGCCACTGCACTCCAGCCTGGGTGATAGAGTGAGACTGTAAAAAAAAAAAAAAAAAAAAAAAATTGGGTGTTTCTTCAGTATAGATTGATTGCATTATGTCTTTGCTCAGACCACAAGTCTGGCTGTGACATTCAGGCTTCTACATAATCTGGCACAAATTAATCTAGCTCTTCTCTGTATTCCCACATTACATTATTTATAGTGTTATTGCATGATCTGCTTTGAACTGTGATTGGCTGTGAATGCCAGCAGCCTCCGTGGTGATGGCCTTAGGGCCAGGACCATGCTTATTTAATCTATTCTCAAGTATAGGTCTGTTCTCATTCCTTTTTTTTTTTTTTTAATTTTTCTATTGATATATCCTAGTTGTACATATTGTTGGGGCACATGTGATATTTTGATACATGTATACAGCATGTAATAATCAAATCAGAGTAATTGGGATACCCATCCCCTCAAACATGTATCTTTTCCTTGTGTTGGGAACATTACAATTCTTCTAGTTATTTTGAAATATACAGTAAATTATTGTTAACTATAATTTCCTTACTGTAGTATTGAATGCTACAATTTATACATTCTAACTGTATTTTTGTATCCATTAGCCAACCTCTCTTCACCCCTGCATTCCCCCTTTTTCTTCCCAACCTCTCATATCTATTATTCTACTCTCTACTTTCATAATATCCACTTTTTAAGCTCTCATCTATGAGTGAGAACATGCAATACTCATCTTTCTGTGTCTGGCTTATTTCACTTAATATAATGCATTCCAATTTCATTCATGTTGCTGAAAATAGCCAAGATATGGAATCAGCCTGACTGTCCATCAATGGATGAATGGATAAAGAAAATGTTATATATATATATATACACACATATATATACACACACATATATATATACACACATATATATACACATATATACACACATATATATACACATATATACACACATATATATACACACACATATATATACATATATATGCACACACACACATACACACAAGGATGTCATTCTTTTTTGTGGATGAATAATATTCCATTGTGTGTATGTATTACATTTTCTTTATCCATTCATCCACGGATAGACACTTAGGGTGATTCCGTATCTTGGCTATTGTGAATAGTGCTGCGATGGACAGGGGAGTGCAGGTACCTCTCTATATACTGCTTTCCTTTCTTTTGGATATATACCCAGTAGTGGGATTGCTGGATCATATGGTAGTTTGTTCTATTTTTAATTTTTTGAGGAACCTCCATACTGTTTTCCAAAATGGCTGTTCTGCTTTACATTTCCACCAACAGTGTATGAGGGTTCCCGTTTCTCTGCATCCTCTCCAGATGATATCTCATTGTCGTTTTGATATGTATTTCCCTGATGATTGGCAATGTTGGGCATTTTTTCATCTACCTGTTGGCCA
Source organism: Homo sapiens (assembly GCF_000001405.40). Lineage (NCBI taxonomy): Eukaryota > Metazoa > Chordata > Mammalia > Primates > Hominidae > Homo > Homo sapiens. Next base: position 118,200,913 of record NC_000002.12, read on the forward strand.
TTTGTGTTTCTCCTTTTGAGAAATGCCTATTCAGGTTTTTGCTCATTTTTAATCAAATTATTATTATTTTGCTATTGAATTGAGTTACTTATCTATTCTGGTTATTAGTTCCTTATTGAATGGATAGTTTACAAATCTTTTCTCTCATTATGTGGGTTGGTTCTTCACTTCGTTGTTTCCTTTGCTGTGCAGAAACATTTTTGCAGGATGTGATCCCATTTGTCTATCTTTGCTTTTGCTGTCTTGTTTCCATTCATTTTTGCAGCTCCTGTGTCCACAGTGGTGCCAGGCTTCCACCAGATTTTGTGCAATGCTGACTAGTGTTTGCTATTGGGTGTGTGTTTGTGTGCATCCATCTGTCTTTCTAGGCATTCCCTCAGAAGGGGCGGCAACACGTGGTAGGGAGTCAGGCTCTATCTGCCCTGGAGGGCTTTGCTCTCTCCCTTATACCCAACCTCTGCTCCTGATCTGGCAAGCCGGCCTTCATCACACCAGCCTCTGCTCCTTTCTCAACCCTGGACCCTGCTAATTTCCATCCTGTCGTCTCCCAGAACCTCCCCATCCCCCAGGTGAAGTCTAAAGTTGCTTATGGATAGTGAGGAAGTTGACTATCAGGAGTAGCTGATGTCTGGAAGGAGAAAAAATCTTCATGGTAGAGGAGCATGAAACTGCATGGTGGAGTGACAGTGGCTGGGAGGGGCTTTTCCAACCTCCGTGTGCTCTTTCTTTTTCTTTTTTTAAGTCTTGTTTCCATAAGTGGTTCCTTTGTCCTTTCTCAGATACTTCACATCTTCATGCTCCCTGGCCTGTATCTAAATATGCTCTTGAGAAAGAAGACATTATCCATTTTTTATCTATCAATAAGAAAAGAAGCCACAAGGTTTCACCTTCCCAGTCTGGTCTCTGATTAGGGCCTGGAAGGCTTTTCCTTATGGATATTTCTGATGTCTGATGTCGGGGAGGTTGGCATGCGAGTGGGGGTAATATATACCCCTGCATGGCTGAAAATCCTCCCTGGATAGAGCTCCTTCACGCCCAGCTCGTTGGCACCCATCCTACAACTTCTCATCTATACATTGATCTCCTTCATTAGTGGACCACAAATGGTTCACTAATGGACCATTAGTGGTCTGTTAGTCACTGGCAGCTATATGAAATTGCAAAGCGACAGATTTTGTGGCCCTCCGTAGGTGTTTCCATGTGAATGATGGGCTGAGCACACACGAGAAACCTGAGTGACTGAAATGCAAGGATGCACATGCCCCCTGCATGCAGGACACATGCATGAACATGGACTTGCCTGGACCAAGAGAAGGATTGAATGAGGGCAGTAATTCGTCCTTGTGGGGGATTCTGGAGAGGCTGTCTTGAGGAGACAAAGGAGCAGACCATAGCTAGAAGACAAGAATGGTTAGGAGTGCTCTAAGAAGGGAGCAATACCTCAGAATCTCAGTAGGGAGCCCAACTTGGAAATGGGGAGAAGTCCAGACCAAGAAGAATTGATGGCCGGGCATGGTGGCTCTTACCGGTAATCCCAGCACTTTGGGAGGCTGAGGTGGGTGGATCACCTGAGGTCAGGAGTTCGAGACCAGCCTGACCAACACAGTGAAAGCCCGTCTCTACTAAAAAAAATTTAAAAAGTAGCCGGGCTTGGTGGCGGGCACCTGCAATCCCAGCTACTTGGGAGACTGAGGCAGGAGAAGGGCTTGAACCTGGGAGGTGGAGGTTGCAGTGAGTTAAGACGGCATCATTGCACTCCAGCCTGGGCAATAAGAGTGAAACTCCATCTCAAAAAAAAAAAAAAAAAAGAATTGATGGTGAAACATTCACTTTTCTGCCCAGAGAAATTTCCTTTGCTTTCTGGATCCCATCTGCCTTCCCAGCTAGTTCTGCCTACACAAGCCTGCTCTAGCCCATAGGGACCCTCAGTTAAAGTAGAAAAATATGCTTCAACTGGGCTGACCTGGCCCTGCAGGCACACAGGTTGGCCAGCAGATGGCATCTTTGTGTGAATTGGAAAAACCATGGCACAAGGCTTCGTCAGCCCCGTGCTGAATTTTAGATTCCCCTGGTGCCTTCAGCAGAGCATCCTTGTTCAGGGTGGACCTGCGCAATTATACAGAACAGTCTTGTCTACACCCCTGAGACCCACCTTGTAAACCTTCTCCCCATTCTCTGGACACATCAGCCCCCTTCACAACTCCATAATCTTAATACGTTCTGTTCTTGTCTTCCTCTTTGCAAATTTCAACTCATATCTCCAGAGTCAGCTCAAGTGTCCCGCCGTCGGCAACACTTCTGGGCTTGATGAGGTAGAGTGGAGGCTCTGAGTTCCTGCATCACAGCAGTGAGGGGCACTGCTCATCCACCAACACACACACACACGCACACACACATGTCTTTTTCTGAAACTAAACTTTTTCAAAGCAGTGTCTTCACTAACAATGTGCAATACACTAATACTTTCTATTCAATTCCATTCTGCTTTTATTAATTTCTTTTTAAATTTTATTTTAAGTCCCTAGGTACATGTGCAGGATGTGCAGGTTTGTTACATAGGTAAACATGTGCCATGGTGGTTTGCTGCACCTATCAGCCCATCACCGAAGTATTAAGCCCAGAATGCATTAGCTGTTTTTCCTGATGCTTTCTCTCCCCCTGCACACCACCCCACCTCCCAACGGGCCCCAGTGTGTGTTGTTCCCCTCCCTGTGTCCATGTGTTCTCATTGTTCAGCTCCCACTTATGAATGAGAACATGTGGTGTTTGGTCTTCTGTTCCTGCGTTAGTTTGCTGAAGATAATGGCTTCCAGCTCTATCCATGTCTCTGCAAAGGACATGATCTTGTTTCTTTTTATGGCTAAATAGTATTCCATGGTGAATATGTACCACATTTTCTTTATCCAGCCTATCATTGATGGGCATTTGGGTTGATTCCATGTCTTCGCTATTGTGAATAGTGCCGCAGTGAACATATATGTGAATGTATCTTTATAATAGAAGGATTTATGGTTCTCTGGGTAATTGCCCAGTAATGGGATTGCTGGGTAAAATGGTATTTCTGGTTCTATGTCTTTGAGGGATCACTACACCGTCTTCCACAATGGTTGAACTAATTTACATTCCCATCAACAATGTAAAAGCGCTCCTGTCTCTTCACAGCCTCACCAGCATCTTTTGTTTCTTGACTTTTTAATAATCGTCATTCTGACTGGCATGAAATAGTATCTCGTTATCTTTTTGATTTGCATTTATCTAATGTTCAGTGATGTTGAGCTTTTTTTCATGTTTGTTGGCCGCATAAATGTCTTCTTTTGAGAAGTGTCTGTTCATGTCCTTTGCCCACTTTTTAATGGGGTTGTTTATTTTTTTCTTGTAAATTTGCTTATGTTCCTTGTAGGCTCTGGATATTAGACCTTTGTCAGGATTCCATCCTGCTTTTAAAATGCTGGTTGTGACCTATTAAATTGATTTCCCAACGCATGAGAGTCGCAGCTCTCAGTGTGAAAGACACTAATTGAAACCACCAAGAGGTAGGAGTCTGAGAAAGTGCTGGCCAGTGAGTGCACCTGAGGGTTCTGTCTTTGGATAGGCATGGGAGGGAATGGATAGTGTCTGGGGTCAGTGAGGAGGTGGTCAGGCCTGTACTCAGATGTTTTCCTTTCCATGGCCATGAGCAGCAATGTCGCCAATGCCCAGACATATTTCCACCTCCCATTTTGAGCCCTGTCTGGCACCTAGGACCTTCCTGCTGCCTCCTGGGAACCCCCTCGTGGTGGCTAACGATGGCACTATCCCTTCTCTCTGTCTCTCCACATCTGAGGCACTCTTTCTACTATCCCAGTCTTGTCACCCAAGGCCGTGGAAGTGAGGGGATATGTCTTATCCATTCTTACATCCTCAGTACTTGCAGAGTGCGAGGCCTTCGGGTACTCAATGAACACTGGCTGAATAAATGAATGAGTAAATAAATAAGTGGGTGACCGTAGCACCAGAGTTCTGCTGAGCGAGGAGTTGCAGGGACTGCCAACTCAAATGCCTTCAGGGATCAACAGGCAGGTAACATCATTCCATGAAACAGGCCAGGTGGGAGACATAGGAGACAGCCACGAAACCTCTGGAAGGCCAGTGTCTCTGTATGACATGTTCCTCTTGCAGCTGTAACAAATCACCACAAATATAATGGCTAACAACAGAAATGTATTTTCCTACAGTTCTGAAGACCAGATGTCTGATCTGAGTCTTACAGAGCTAAAATCAAGGTGTCAGCAGGGCTAGATTCTTCTTGAGATCCCAGGGCAGAGTCTATTCCTTCTCTCTTCTACCTTGTGGTGGCTGCCCATGTTGCTTCACCGGTGGCTACATCACTCCAGTCTTGCTCTGCCATCACTGTCTCTGCTCTTTTGTGTCAGATATCTCTGTATCTTCCCCTTATAGGATCCTTGTGGTCATAATTAGGGCCCATTCAGATTATCTAGTATAATCACTGCTTCTCAAAATCCTCAATCATATCTTCAAAGTCCTTTTTGCCATATAAGGTCACATTCATAGATCTGGGATTAGCACCAGGAAACCTTGGGGATTATTTTTCAGTCTACTGTATCATGGCTAGGCAGAGTCAAGGGCAGGGACGGAGCTGAGAGTCTCCTGGGCCAATCTTCTTACTGTAGATGCAAGAAAGTGGAGACTGGAGAGGGGAAGGGACTTGCCCATGGCCACTCTCCAGTTAGGAGCAACGCCATGATTGCATTCCAGGTCTCTGCGGTTTCCACAATAGCCTCTTCTCAGAGGTGGCCTGTGGCCCTGATATACTTTTCTGCAATGTATCGTCAACAGTGATACCGAAAATGTCAGACAAAGGCTCTACACTTGTATTTTTCACCCTAGAACTCAGACACATTCCCAGTTATTTCAGGACTTTTGGAGTTGAACTAATACATGAAAAGCTGGTGTGACTTTCCACAGAGATGAGGCATCCTTAAAGTCTTAAGGATTTTTAAAACCCCTCTGAGCTGTCAGGGGCACCTTAAAATAAATGTAGGTACTCTCTCTCTTAATCCCATTAATTATTCATGTCTTACTTTCCATTCAAACTACTCATCTCCCAAGTACTCCATACATTTTTTTTTCCTAGTTGTAATCATGCAGTTCAATAAATCCAAAGAAGTTTGCAGTGCTGATGATCAGAGGCCCAAATCCTTTCAGTTCTGCCTAGGAAGGGATTAGGAGGTTTAACCTTTTTCTTCTACACTGAGCCAGTATCAGAAAAAAATGTAAGAACTAACTTAGGAAAAAGCACCAAGGAAGAGGTGCTGTCAGTCAGCATCCCATGGTATAGCCAGCCAATGTGTCCCTGGATATTTTGTGAGGGGGCATGTCCTTCCTAATGGTGTCTCTGAACATTCCCAAATATCCTAACGTGTACTTAGGGAACTGATATGGTTTAATCAATTTCTATGGATAGATCGATTGATAGGACTCTTTATACACACAGATACATATCAATATATGTACATATACACATACATACATCTACACACATATATAGACATGTATATTAATCTATGCACGCACATGTGTGTGTGCATGTATGTGTTCTTGCAGACCTTTTCAAAATAATGCATCCCATAATGTTAATCACCATGTAGAATAGAATTTAGAGATGCTGGTTTTCCAATACCCAAAGACGACGGATGCAAGCAGGAAGAATCCGTTCTAATATTTTAGAATATTAATGTGGGTGTGGGAAATTGTCCTTGTTTTCCTTTGTGATTTTTATTCTTAGGCCCATTAATTGGCAAAGAAGATGAAGGCTGGATGTACCTCATGGAAAATGCCTGGATGGGAAAGGGGACATCCTCACCAAAACTCCAGGTTTAAAACTGTGGCTGGGCACCCCATCAATGAGTCAGTCACCCTGAGGAGGACTGAAATAAAATGTTTGCTCTACAAGCCTCACAGATAGCAGGACCAACCATGTCCTTAAAGTATGCATTCAAATACTTGAATGCATACTTCAGCGGAAATTTTCCTATTCTGAGGGGTTTTGCTTTATCTGTTACAGTAGCCAAATTTTGGTGCTTTCTATAGCAAAGAATTCTAAATAAATGCCCACAAAAGCCAGCAGCATAGCCAGTAGACATCAGTAAGGAAGATGGTGAAAGAACTGAGAGGGCTGGAGTCTAGGACATGGAGTGCGCTCATCCATGCTGAAAGGGGCAGGACTCAGCTCCAGCAATTGTGGGCATTTGTGGGTATGGATTCAATATTTACAGGTCATTCTATTTTATAAGAGAGGCTAGAAAATACCAATTTTAATACCAAGGAAACCATCTGGGCTGCATTAGGTCCACAGTACACCAGCTTGAGACCTTTCCTGTCTAGGGCTACTCTTTGGCTAACCAGTCAGTACCGTGCAACTAACAGGCTAGCACAATAAGCAGCGTGACCATTCTCTCTCTCTCCCCCATACCCTCAAAAACAGTATTTTGTTCTAGCAATGTTACATTATGAAATGATCATTTGGGAGAATAAATTCAAATAAAATTAGAGATAACTCATATTATTCTGCAATTAACTTGATCAAATTTAACCAATATTAGTTGTTTGCTACTGTTTAGCAGATTCTGTGCAGGCCCAATGACACGTTAAAGCATTCTTTCTTTTCTCCATAACTAGTACTGCCCCCGGATTCAGGTAAGAGGGCCCCACCTGGTCCTGTACGCCGGCCAGCACTGCTTAGACTTTGTGTGCACCCAGATGTCCCAGGGGTCTTGTTAAAGTGCTGATTCTGATTTAGGAGGCCTGGGGTGGGGTCTGAGATTTTGCCTTTCTAACGAGCTCCAGAGCAATGCAGATACTGCTGGGGCCCAGCTGCATTTTGAATAGCAAGGCTTAGAGACCCAGCTCTGGCTGCTTCTGGCTGTGCCCTGCTGATGGGGTGAGGAGTCTTGAGGGTGAAAGGGTAGTGCCCATATGGAGGCCATGCCCTCCACCTTCTTGGCCACACTCTGGGTTCTGGGACCCTGAGATTCCCTTCTTGAATGGCTCCCAGCCCTCAATCAGGACCTGCATGGACCTCTTTTGTGGACCATCCTTCCCGAGGCTCACTAGTCAGCTGAAGCATTGGCATAGGTGTATACGGGAGGGGCAGAAGCAGCTTGGCCTGAGGCCCAAGGCATCCACATACTTGTGCGTAGTGTCCAGCAATCAGCTGACCAAGCTCTGCACGTGATTGTGCTGCACACTCAAGTTGAGAGCCACCTATGTAGACAAAGCAGGACCAACAGTAAATATCAGTTTCTTGGAAACCATCCCAAATAATCTGAGATCAGTAATCTAGGAGTAGTGTCGTTTCTCTTCCTCTGACAACATTGCAAGGCAGCCTCCCCTCTCTTTCCTCTTAGCTCTACTACTAGGTTTTGAGTTTGGACAAGACAGCTCCCCTCTCCAAGCTTCCAAGTTTTTAGCCACAAAGTAGGAGCTGGGCTACCAATCATGAGCATGTTGCCAGAGTCTCTTGTAGACTGTAAAGTCAGTGAATCTGAATAGATCTCCCTTAAAATCTATGACATGTCTTCAGCTTCACTTATTCACATTAAAATCTCACTGATTAGTGTCATAAATTTTCTCTTTGAGCACACATATACCCCTGGGTGGGATAAGGGTCAAAGAGCTGCATGGGACAGCACTTCTCAAATGCTGACATGCACATGAATGGGGGTCTTGCTAACGTGCACATTCTGATACAGGAAGTCTGGGGTGGGGCCTGAGAGTCTGCATTCATAGCAACCTCCCGGGTTATGCCAGGCTGCTGGTCTGGGAGCAGACTTCGATAGCAAGTGTCTGTGGTGGCAATAAGTTTGATCAGATTGCTTCCTTTTGAAGACCTTTGATAAATCTGAGAGGAAAACAGTGTTTTATGGAGGCAGAGAAAAGAGGAGGAATTAATTGATAGCAGGGTACACAAAAGTGTATCTTTTGTTAGGTAATCAGTGAACTGTGACTATTCATAAGAGAGAGCAGTGGGGACTGTAGCAAACTGGAGAGAATGGGCCTCAGTGACGGAGTGGGTGCCACTCAGCTCTAGTACCTTGGCACCATGAAGCCACATGACCCCTAGTGCCAGATCTTCCAGCTTTTTGAGATAATCCAGTCACTGAATTCTATGAACTTTTTTGATTTTTATATGTCAATTACTTCACATCAAACTAACTGGCCAACTAAAAACCAACTAGTATCATGTGAGCCAAACAGAACGTGTATGAAGAACAAATGGTGTGTGAGTGAACAAATTCTAGATGGGAAAGAAGTCCTTCCTGGGCCCTGGAGGTTACAAGGGTAGGGAGAGGACACTTCCTGAGTATAATAGGGGTTGGGTAATAAAAAGAAAGTGGGAGGCCTTGGAAGACCAACATGGCTACTTCCAAAGATGTTGCCTACTTACTCCGTCTCTCCCTCCTAGAGATGCTGCAGAATTTCTCCCTCTGGAGCTTGAGGTAGGAGGAAATAAAGAACAAGGGGCTCACAGCTGAATCTGGATTATGAGTGAAGTGTTTCTACTCAGGGGTAGGGAGGGGACCCAGGCCCCCTGTCTCCCTTGTGGTAGCACTGCTGTCCAGTGACCCTTGGGGAGTGTTTTCTCTATCCATCTGCTGAACTGGCTCTTTGCTCTTCATGGGAGGCTCTGTGGACACAGGATGTTTAGGTCCCTGTAGGTAGCCTTGTGGATGGTAAGATTCCAGAGAGTATCCCTGAGGGCAAGTTGGATACAATGAGTTGGAGAGACTTCATCTAGTCCACTCTCATTTTGTGACAATCTGAATCTCACTGAAGGTCTAGATGGAAACCAAATTCTGGAGGTCAGGTTTTGGCGTCCCCTTCAACTTCACCTCTAGGTTATCAGGAGAACTAAATGTGAGCATGTGTGAAACATGCTTTGTAAACTATAAAGCACCACAAATATGTCAGTGATTGTTAGGAGGTAGCAGGAAGTCAGCAAGCTCAGTTAGTATCCCAGCTCTTACTAACTCTGTAAACATAGTCAAGTGACTTAACTTTGCCAGACTTGTCTCTCCACCTGTAAAATGGGGTGCATAAAGCCTATCTTACCTCTGTGAAGATTAAATGAAATAGTGCATATAAACTACTCAGTATTTCATCTGACCCAAAATAGCTGCTGCTCAATAAACAGTAGCTAATATTATAGTTATTTCTAATATATATAAATACTTCATTTCATTTATACTTTTAAATGCTTTTTAAAATTATGCAAGTGCTTTTCAAGTCAAAAATCAGAAAATTCTGATGAAAAGAAAATAAAAATCAGTTATGATCCCCATATCTGGAAGTTAGTCACTGATACCAACTCCGGACACTTTTCTAGACTTTTGTATACACATTCTACTGTAAAGATATAATTACAGTGTTTTACAACTTGACTTAGCAACATATTACGAGAAAAATTCCACATCAATAATTATATTTTATGTCATTTAAAAGAACTGCAGACTCTCCCACTTCTGGGGAGATGGAGTAGATAAAATTTTCCTTATTCCTTCCTCTGAGTACAACTAGAAACCTTGAATATTATATATAAAACACGTATAAGAAGACTGAAAAATGGATAGAAAAAGGCAGACTGGATAGAGGCTTCAGGACCTAAACAATGACTCACTGATGAGTTTCCTGGTTACTCTGTTGTTGTTGTTGTTCTAACCTTATATATCCCAATGTTAGAGCTGAAGAAGCTGAGAACCTGGAAACTCCAAGAGGCACAGACCGAAAAATAAATAAATAAACAAACAAACAAACAAATAAATAAAGGCTTTCTAGTAAAGTTTCAGTAAAGGGGAAGCCTAGCAAGGTAGAATATATTTACACGATAATTATTACACTCTGGCCAAACGCCACAGGATAAACTGTGGACCAGTCCTACACATGCTAGCAAAGCCTGTCATGAGGTGCTTCAACACCCACACACAGGAGCAGTGTTAGAGAAGGCCAAATAGGGAGCCAAGACTCTCAGCTCTGCCTGATATCAAGTTCTCCTTGCACCCCAACATCACGATGTTAGTGGGGAGCAAAAACTCACCCTGCCCAGCAGTAAGGATGAGATTCCTTCCATGGGGAGTGGCTGAGTGGGGAGCTTGGACTTCTACCATCACGGAAAATAATGAAGTAGTATCTCTCCTCTTCCTGCTGGAGTGATGTCAGACAAAGCTAACTATAATAGAAGACTTAAATAAGATCTAGAGGTTCTTAACGATATAAAAATATGCAGGTTTCAAACAAAGATCACTTGTCATACCAAGAACCAGGTAGGTCTCAAACTAATGAAAAGACCATCAATAGAGGTGAACACAGAAATGGCAGAGATGTAAGAATAATTTGACAAGCATTTTAAAGTAGTCTTCATAAAAATGCTTCCATGAGCAATTATGAACACCCTGGAAGCCAATTTAAAAATAGCAAGCCTCAGAAAAGAAACAGGAGATCTCAGCAAAGGAATAGAGGATATGAAGAAGAACCAAATGAGAGTTTTAGAACTGAAAAATACAATAACCAGAATAAGAAGCTCAGTGGATGAGCTCCACAGCAGAATGGAGGAAACAAAGGAAAGAATCAGTGAAGTCAAAGAAAGAACAATTGCAATTTTACCAAATTTAAGCAGCAGAAAGAAAATAGACTGAAAAAAAAAGAATAGAGGCTCAGAGACCATGAACTGTAACAAAAGATCTAATGTTGTGTTACTAAAATCTTGAAGGAAGAAAAAAAGGGTGAGGCTGAAAAAGTACTTGAAAAAATAATGGCTAAAAATTTCCAAGCTTTGGCAAGAAACAGAAACCAACAGATTCAAGAAGTGGAGCAAATCTCCAACAGGATAAACCAAAGAAATCTACACCAAGGTATGTCATAATTAAGCTTCTAAAAACTAAAAACAAAGAAAAAATCTTGCAAGCAGCCATAAAAAAAAGAAAATAAAAAGATGCCTTGCTTCCAAGAAAAAAACAATTAGAATGGCAACAGATTTCTCATCAGAAACCTTGAAGGCCAGAAGAAAGTGGCACGGTATTTTTCATGTGCTGCAAGAAGAAATCAAGACATTCGAGATGAAGGAAAGCTAAGTGAACTTGTTGCCAGCAGATCTACCCTAAAAGAGTAGCTAAAGGAAATGCTGCAAACAGAAAGGTCATGATAAAAGAAGGAACCTCAGAACATTAGGAAAGAAGAAAGAATAGGATAAGCAAAAATAGAGGTAAATACAATAGGTTTTCTTTGTCTTGAGTTTTCCAAATTATGTTTGATGATGGAAGAAAAATTGTAACACTATCTGATGTGGTTCTAAATGTCATGGAAAAATATTCAAGATAATTATTTTATAAATGGGTGGAGGGTATAGAGGTTAAGTGAAGGTAAGATTTTTATATTTCACCCAAACTGGTAAAATGTTATCACTAGTAGACTGTGATAAGTTATGGATATATAATACAGCAATCAGTACAAATCTATACAAGGAAATATACTCAGAAACATAGATAAATCAAAGTGGAAGTCTATAGTGTTCAAGTAATCCACAGGAAGGCAGAAAAGAGAAAATAACAGTGAAAACAGAAGAAGGTGAAAACAAAAAATTATATGGTAGACTTAAGCTCTAATATATTAATGTATAAATTCAATGTAAAAGATCATAAAATATTAATTAAAAGTAACTGACAGAGTGGATGAAAAAGCATGGCCCAGGTGACTGCTAACTAAAAACAATTCACTTCAAATATGTTATTGGCAAGTTGGAAGTAAAAAAATTGAAAAAGATATATGATACATTTATCAATCAAAGGAAGACAGAAGTGGCTATATTAATTTCAGATAAAGTAGAATTCGGAATAAAGAAAATTGATAGACAGGGACATTATACAATGATGAAAGGATAAATCTAACAAAATATAACAATTCTAAATGTATAACAAACAACAGATCTGAAAATATGCAAAGCCAAAACTGATAGCAATTAAAGGAGAAATAGACAAATTCATAAATAGGTGAAGATTTCATCTTTCTCTAAACAATTGATAGAACAATTGATAGAAAATTAGCAACAATATAGAAGACTCAACACTATCAACCAAAAGAATGAAATGAATATTTATAGAGCACTCCACTCAACAACAGTGGAACAGATACTCTTTCTAAGTGCCCTTGGAACAGCCATCAAAATAGATTGTACTCTGGGTCATGGAACAAACCTCAACACATTTAAAACAACTGAAATCCTGCAAAGTGTGTTCTCCAACCACTATGAAATCAAGCTAGCAATCAATAGCATAAAGGTAATATAAAAATCTCTAAGCACTTGGAAACTAAACAACACAATTATTCTAAATAATCCACGGATCAAAGTCAAAGTCTCAAGAGTAATAAATAATACATTGAACTGAATGAAAATAAAATTATATCACAATTTGTGGGATACTGAGAAATCATTGTTGAGAGGGAAATTTATATTACTAAATCTGTATATTAGAAAAGAGGAAAAGTCTCAAATCAATAACATAAGCTCCCACCTCAAGAATCTATAAAAGAAGAGCAAACTTAAAACCAAAGCAGGCAAAAAGAAGGAAATAAAAATGATAAGAATAGAAATCAATGAGATAGAAACAGAAAATAGAAAAAAACAATGAAACAAAGAGTTGGTTCTTTGAAAAGGTCAATAAAATGGATAAATCTGTGGCAAGAAAAAAAACGACACATTACCAGTATCAGGAGATATCACTACAAACCCTGAAGGCATTCAGAGGATAATAAGAGAGTACTATGAGCAACTCTACACACGTACATTTTACAAGAAGATGAAGTGACTGGCATTCTTGAAAAATGCAAACTACCACAACTCATCCAGTATGAAATAGATAATTTCAATAGGCCTATGGCTGTTAAGAAAATGGAATTCATAATTTTAAAACTCCCATAAAAAACTCTTGGCCCATATGGTTTCACTAGATAATTCTACCAAATATTTAAAGAAAAATTAGTACCAATTTTACATAATCTCTCTGAGAAGACAAAAGAGGGACCGCTTTCTAATTTATTTTATGAGGCTGATATTACTTTGACACCAAAACCAAAGACAATACAAAAAAAGAAAAGTATAGACTCTTACGAATATAGGTACAAAAATCCTTAACAAAATATTAGAAAATAGAAATTAGAAAAACATACAAAGATTTATACCAACATGGTCAAGTGACCTTTGTTCCAGCAATGCAAGATTGGTTCAATATTCAAAAATCAATCAATGTAATCCACCATTTTACAAGCTAAATAAGAAAATTACATTAACATATAAATTGATACAGAGAATCATTTGAGAAAATTCAACACCCATTTATGACAAAACTTATAGAAAAGTAGAAATAGAGGAAATTTCAACTTAATAAAAAACATTTATTTTTAAACCCCTAGAGTTAAAATTCTGCTTAGTTGTGAAAGACTTAATGCCTGCTCTCTAAAATTGGGACTAGAATAAGGATGTCAACTCTCACCACTTTCATTCCAAGTAGTACTGAACGTTCTAGTTAATTACAATAAGACAAGAAGAGGAAAAGACATACAAATTAGAAAGGAACAAATAAAACTGTCCCTGTTTGCAGATGACATAATTGTCTATGCAGAAAATTTCAAGAAATACACATACAAAACAGATCGAAACTATTTTGTTTGTAACTAATAAGTGAGTTCAGCGAGGTTACTGAGGGCAAATCAACACAAATCAATTGCATTTCTATATATTAGCAATAAGCATGTTGAAATGGAAATATAAAATACAATACCATTTACAATCACTCAAAAAACACAAATGCTTAGATATAAATCTAAGAAAACGTGTATTACTCATATGCTAAAGACTACACAACGATAATGAAAGTTTACAAAGTTCCAAATAAAGAGAGAGACGTACTATGTTCATGGATTGGGAGATTCATCATACTAAAAGTGTCAGTTCTCCCTAAATTGATATACAGGTTTTATGCAATTCCTATAAAATCCTAGCAAGGATTTTTTTTTTTTTGTATATATAGACAAAATTATTCTAAAATTTAGCTGGAAGGGCAAAGGAACTAGAATGACTAAGACAATCTTGGAAAAGAAAATAAAGTTGGAGAAATCAGTCTATGTAATTTCAAGACTTATTATATAAGAATTCTACAGATTTCAAGGCTGTGTAGTATTGATGGAGGGGCAGACATATTGATCAATGGGACGGAATAAAGAACTCAAAAATCAGATCCAATATGCTCATCTGATATTTGAGAAGGATGCAAAGGTAATTCAATGGAAGAAGAATAGCCACTTCAATAAGCAGTGCTGGAACAATGGACACAAAATTAACTTTGACCTATGTCTTACACCTTATGCAAAAATTAACTCAAAATTAATTATGGACTCACATGTAAAACATAAAACCATAAAACTTTTGTTTGAAAAACAGGATAGGCCGGGCGTGGTGGCTCATGCCTGTAATCCCAGCACTTTGGGAGGCCGAGATGGGTGGATCACCAGGTCAAGAATTCAAGACCAGCCTGGCCAAGATGGCAAAACCTCAACTAAAGACTACAAAAATTAGCCAGGCATGGTGGCAGGTGCCTGTAATCCCAGCTACTCGGGAGGCTGAAGTAGGAGAATTGCTTGAACCTAGGCAGCAGAGCTTCCAGTGAGCTAAGATTGCACCCCTGCCCTCCAGCCTAGGCAACAGAGTGAGACTGTATCTAAAAAACAACAAAAAACAAACAAACAAGAAGGATATTGGGAGGCTGAGGTGGGTGGATCACCTGAGGTCAGGAGTTTGAGATCAGCCTGGCCAACATGGTGAAACCCTGTCTCTACTAATAAAATAAAATAAAATAAAATAAAATAAAATAAAATAAAATAAAATAAATAATTAGTTGGGCGTGGTGATGCGTGCCTGTAATTCCAGCTACTTGGGAGGCTGAGGCAGGAGAATCACTTGAACCCAGGAGGTGGAGGTTGCAGTGAGCTGAGATTGCACCATTGCGCTCCAGCCTGGGTGATGGAGCAAGACTCTGCCTCAAAAAAAAAAAAAAAAAAAAAAAAAAAAAAAACACACACAAACACAAAAAACAGGATAGTTTTTCTGGATCTAGGGCTAGGTGAAATACTCTTAGACTTGACACCAAAAACTTAATTCATAAAATAAAAAATAAATTGTGGTTCAAAATTAAAAACTTCTGTTCTGTGACTCTGTTAATAAGAAAAAAAGACAAGTTACAGAGTGAAAGAAAATATTTACAAGTCACACATCTGACAGAGGGCTAATATGTAGAATGTATAAAAACTCTCAAAACTCAACAAGGAAATGACCCAATTAGAAAATGAACAAAAGACATAAAAAAACATTTCACCAGAGAAGTTATACCGATGGCAAAAAAGAACATTAAAGGTGTTCAACTTCATTAGCCATCAAGGAATGCAAATTAAAACCACGTGACATAGCACTACTATCAGACTAGCTGAAATAAAAATTGGTGTCAACACCAAATTCTGATGAGAATGCAGAGAAAATGGAGCATTCATATATTGCTAGTGAGAATGTAAAATGGTACAGCCACTCTGGATACAAGCTGGCTGTTCCTAAAAAACTAATCATGAAACCACCATACAACCTAGCAATTCACTCCTGCGCATTTATCCCAGAGAAATGAAGACCTATGTTCCCACAAATCCTGCAAAGAAATGATTATAGTAGCTTTATTTGTAATTGCTCTCAAAGTGAATAGAATCTGGCTGTCCTTCAGTAGCTGAATGGTTAAACAAATGTGGTACTTCCATGCCATGGAATACTATTCAGCAATAAAAAGCAGTGATCTGCATAAATATCCAGAGAATTACGCTGAGTAAAAAAAAAAAAAAAAAAAAAAAAGCCAAAGAGTTGCATACTGTATAATTTCACTTATATGACATTCTTGAAATGATACAATTATAGAAATGAAGAAAAAGATTAGTGGTCACTAGAAGTTAAGGAGAGAGAGAAAGTAAGAGGCAAGTGGGTATGGTTATAAAAAGGCAACACCTTTTATAAAACACCCTGATGGTGTTGGAAACTTTCTGAATCTTGTGATATTGTTCTATAGTTTTCCAAGATATTACCATTGAGGGAAACTGGGTAAAGAGTACATGAGCTCTGTCTGTATTATTTCTTACAACTGCTCATGCATCTATAAATGTCTCAAAATAAATGTTTGATTAAAAAGTTTGATCTGGAAGTAGACTCTAGGATGAATAAATAAAAACAACAACAACAAAAACAATTTGATGAGCTTAAAAAAGGATTGCAGACAATTGCCTCCTATGAATATACTTCTTCAACCAATTTCTTATTGTTTGGACATTTTAGTTACTATAATTTTCTTATTTCAGCAATCACAGGGATGACTGTCCTTGTAGCTAAATTTTGACATATATTCTTTCACTTCCTTGTAAACATCCCTAGAAATTGAATAGCTGGTCAATGGCTTATATATTTTTTCACATTTTTCGGACCCCTTTGAGCCCAAGGTATAGAAAGAATCAATATTTGGAAGCATTGTATTTATGGGACAATTCAATATACGAACAAGAAGAAAATTTTTAAAAGATGACAGCCCTCTCTGAATTTATCTTGAACAATTTAGGCGTAAGAAGTTGCTAATGTGGCATAATAAGCACAATTTGAAGGCTTTAAATACATGTTTCAATGTTTTATCCATTTGAAAAATGTAGATAATACGAATTCCTGCCTTCTGAAGTTGTTGTGGGGATTAAATACATGTAAAGCACTTGGAGGAAAACTTAGTACATTATAAAGTCTCAATAAATGTTAGCTACTATTATGATTTTGATTATGATTGAAATCCAAAAATATCGCAATAATTGACACTGGCCTATAGGAGGAAACCCATTGCCTCATTCCCTTGCCAACACCATGCATTACCAACCATTTCTATCTTTGCTATGTTTTATTGTTATTTTAATTTTCATTTCTTAGATTAATAATGAATGGGGCTGGGTGTGATGGCTCACGCCTGTAATCCCAGCACTTCAGGAGACTGAGGAGGGAGGATCATTTGAGCTCAGGAGTTCGAGACCAGCTTGGGCAACATAGTGAGACCTCATCTCTATCTTTAAAGTAATTTGTTCCTTTTTAAAATAAAATAAAATAATGAATTGGAACACATTTTTCATGTATTTATGGGCCATTATATATATTCTTTTGTGCCTTGCCTGTTTGTATTTCTTGTCCATTTCTCACTTAGGATGTCTTTGTTGCTTCGAAGGAATTTTTTTTTTTTTTGAAATGGAGTCTCGCTCTGTCACCCAGGCTGGAGTGCAGTGGCACGATCTTGACTCACTGCAACCTCTGCCTCCCCGGTTCGTGCCATTCTCCTGCCTCAGCCTCCCGAGTAGCTGGGACTACAGGCACCCGCCACCATGCCCAGCTAATTTTTTGTAATTTTTTTAGTGGAGACGGGGTTTCACTGTGTTAGGCAGGATGGTCTTGATCTCCTGACCTCATGATCCGCCCGCCTCGGCCTCCCACAGTGCTGGGATTACAGGCGTGAGCCACCGTGCCCCGCCAGGAATTTTTATACAGTAAAGTAATTAACCCTTTTGCACTTATAGTGAATATATATATGTGTGTGTGTGTGTATATTATATACATATATATATATATATGCATATTTTAGAGACAGGATCTCACTCTGTCACCCAGGCTAGAGTGCAGTGGCGTGATCATAGCTCACTGCAGCCTTTAACTCCTGGGCTTAAGCAGTACTCCCATCTCAGCCTCTCAAGTGGTTGGGACTGCAAGAACACACCGTAACACCCAGCTAATTTTTTTTTTTTTTTTTTACTTTTTGTAGAGACAGGGTTTCCTGTGTTGCCTATGCTGGTCTTGAACTCCTAGCCTAAAGTGATCCTCCTGCCTCAGCCTCCCTAAGTGCCACAACACTCAGATTTAAAATATTTCTATTAATTTGTTCAGCTTTTAATACTTTAAATTATGTTTTTTGATATGAAAAGTTTTAAAAATTTTAGGTAGTCATAGTTTAGGTGACAATAATATCTTTATGCTTTTTGCAATTGTTGTTTTGTTCATAAGAACCTTCCTCATAGGAAAATTGACCACCTTTATATTTTTCGTGTTTTATATTATTTAATTTTTACTGAATCTTGGGTGCAAAGAATTGCTTATTTGTGACACACTGTCACCACTGGTGCACACATGGTCCATGTGTAGTCAATCTCATGATTTTAAAATGTGGTAAGCATCCATGAACCCATCATTTAATAGAATAACTAGGATCTTGAAATAATTTATACTCTTCCATGTGATCTGTACACCTCCTATCCTCCTGCCTCCTTCTACTTGAGAAAAATATTCAGAAGTCTGTGTTTATCTTTTTCTTTTAGATATATAGTTTCATCTTATCTATGCGCTTTCCTAGGAAGTACATATTTTATTCAAGTTGTTTTTATTTGTATAAAAAGCCTGTCATGCTGCATGTAATCTTCTGGCACTAGCTTTTCTCCACTTAATATTATTCTGCTCAGGCTAATTGCTATTTACCTGTGTCTACCATATTTCAACTGCTGCACATATTCAGTTGTGTCTATATACCACAGTTTTTCAAACACTGCCCCATTTATAGACATTCAGGTCACTATTATGCCTATTACTGTTCTGAATGCATTTACATATTTTTTTTTCTGGTGTGCAGGTGAAAAGATTTCTGTCGGGTCTATACTCAGGAATAGAATTGCTGGGTTATATGGTATGTGCCAAACTGTTTGCCAAGGGACTATATATATCTTTCCTTTCCAGAAACCTTGTTTAAAAAGATCCCAGGGGACCACATCCTCTCCAACACTTGGTATTGCTAGATTTTTTAAATTTTTGTCAGTTGAATAGTGTTATGGTCTCTAAAATATGGTCTCTAAAATATGGTCTCTAAAATGTGTGTGGGTGCTGGATATTAAATGGTGCCTCACTATGTTCTTGGTTACCATGTCCCCAATCTATTCTTTTAATTATTGGCTTGGTTTTTTTTCTGCTGTCAGATGACGATTGTGACTATTGCTGATTTTCTTTTTACAATGTAATATTTGAAGGTAACTCTTCAGCAATATGAAATTTATTTTTGGTTAAGGTATGTATTCCTTTTAACAAATGGATAGTACATTTTTCCAACAATGTTTAGTAAACAATCTGCAATTCAGGCCTTTGATTTGAGATGTCAACTTTATCTTACACTGAATTTTTATAAATACATAAAATATGTCCTTTAATAAAATACATCCTTTCTGTACTCTTTATTTGTTTAATTGCTTGGTCTGATTTTCACACCAGTACCATCCTGTTAAAGTTGTAGTTTTATAGAACATATCATTAGGTCAAATTTTATTCGTTTTCCAAATATGTCTTCACTGTTTTCATTGCATTATTCTCTTAAGTGAAGTTTAGAATTACTTTGCCAAATTCCCTTCTATCCCACACTTCTAACTCACTCATCCTATTGATTTCATTTATATACACAGTCATCCCTCGGTATCTGTGGGGGATTGGTCCCAGGACCTTGCTCAGATACCAAAATCCCCAAATACTCAAGTACCTGATATAAAATAGTGTAGTATTTGCATATAACATACACATTTCTTCCTGTATACTTTAAATCATCTCTAAATTAATTATAATTCCAAATATAGTGTAAATGCCATGTAAATAGTTGTTATAATGTACTGTTTAGGAAATGATGACAAGAAAAAAGTCTGTACATGTTCAGTACAGACTCAACTTTTTTTCTGATTATTTTTCATCTGAGATTGGTTGAATCCATGAATGTGGAATCCATGGATATGGAAGGCCGTCTGTATGTAAATTTGAGAATTGATGTCTTCACAACATTAAGTCTCTGCATTTAAGAAAACAGTCTTTTTCACCTTTATTTGAATCTTATCTTGGAATATTCATCAAGAAAGTTTGTAGGTTTCTCCATGTACTTTCTTCACAATCTTCTTAAGTTTGTAATAAAGACTTTTGAGTAAGGTGATGACAAAATAATTATTGATCTTTCTTGTTTGGGTTGTCTTAACATCATGCAAGTAACAAACAGCCTTGTGTAGGTAGATCCCTTTAACACAATTAGCTGGAAAGCCCCTGCTGATTCAGGTGTAGACAATTGCAACTAGCCCACGACAGCCAGCATGGCTGTTTCAGCTTCACAGACCTGGCACCTATCAGGGGCTCAGTTGGTTAACATAAGATTAATAATTCATCAAATGATTTCACTAATTTAACCCAATTGAGAATCATTCTCTCTCTGAGCTCAGTTTTGCAGGCAAAGCATTTGGGGCTCTATGTTACTAGAACATGGTCTTCATTTTTCCTCATATTCTGTAGTGCACACCATCAAGTTTATTGTCTCCTTGAATAAGAGACCTTCACATAAGATAGATGTAACACACACATATATGCATACTGCATTTTACTGGGTATATATTCCATTTTTTAAAATCTAGCTTGGCTTTGAGAAAGAAGTATCAACCTTTGCACCCTGTGGTCTTTATCACCAGGCAGGAAGGCCATGAAAAAACGTTCCTCATTTGAAGTCTGGGAAACCCTCCACACTCTAGTGCTGACCAGCACTTTTGAGAGAAACCGCAGATCCAGGGGCTAGTAATGTGTACTAACAAGCTTTGTATCCTGAAATCCATACTGCAGAGGGGATTGAAATCTACAGAAAGCCACATCTGTGTGTTCCTCGCAGTCCCCAGCAAGGAGCCTGAATACAGCATGTCATTATGATTAATTGTGGGTAATGAGGGTCTTATGAAACCAAGAAAGAGAAGCGTTTATTTCTCTGCTGCTACAGTTATAGCCTCCGATTTGTTTTCAAGCACTCTACAGAGGACAGCCAAAATAGAATAGGAAATGACTATTCTCCAGCCATCCTTTACTTCCCTGCCAGGCATTTCAGTAAATTAACAGGCAGGGACCGGTTGGGGATTTTGTGAGCCTTCTCAAGGATATGATAAAGAAAAGACTTCCCAGTTCAAAGAATCTGTATAAAACCAGGCTATAGGAGAGATCAGCTGTGAGTTCTGAGAAGCTAAGTGGTGCTCTGAGTTCAGCTACAAATCGGACAACAGACCACAGTGAATAAAAGAATTCTTTTATGGAAGCAGCGGGTGTTTTCGTCATTCTCTAACCTACCAGAAGGTGGTGCAAATTCACTGCTGATACAGTAAAGGAGGACGTGGCTTTCTTTTCCAGCCCTACCCTGTCCAAGTACAGTAAAACAGAGAGAGAGAGAGAGATTTAAAAATAAATTAGACAGGAATATTTAATCTTTTTAAAAACAAATAACTCCCCTTCAAGTTGTCTAACATCTGTCAACTTATTTCTTGCTGAGACTCAGTTGATGTGAGTCAAGCTAATAAAGAAACATGACACAAAGATTTGAAGAAGATAATTTTGAATATCTTAATGTAATAAAATTAAGATGGAGTATTTAATGGCTTAGGACAAACACTACATTAAGGAACTGGCCTATGTTCCTAGAGATTCTAACAAATAGCAAAGAAGTGGTTAATTGGACAAACATTTTATTCCATTAAAGCATCATTATAGTATTTTAATATTTGGACATAAAAAAATCTTTAGGATGAAGCACTATGAGTTTTGTGCAGCAGCACACGCATTTTTGAAATGAAAATTAACCTTTCTCCTAGGAAGATAATATAGGATGTAGAAGACCCAACAAGAGTGTTTAAAAACAAACAAAAACAAAACAAAAAACAAAACAGAAACCTTTCACTAACAACAACCAACATAACAAAACCCTCTTCATTTGGTGTGAGGGGAGTTGCTGGAAGCAAGCCCTGGCTTAGAGCAGCTCATCAGCTGTGTGTACTGGTGCCCACGTTTCCAATAGTCAAGAGTATTTTTAGAGATGGGACATCTACCTAGAAAGAAGAAAGTTTTAAAAAACAATTTGTTATTTCAGTAACATATCAACTGAGGGCACCATCAAAAATATTTTCCTAAATTCTCTTAATCTCCAAGACCACTCTATTATATCTAAACAGAGAAGGAGTATTTTTGAATAAAAAGAAAACAAAACAAACAAAAGCAAAACACCCCAAACCTTTTTATACAGAAAACAAAACAAAGCTCCAAATGAAGGCTTGAACATTTTCGAATTAGAATTTCTAAAGAAAACGCATCCAGAGAGTGACCTCAGAGTTCTGGGTAACTACTGATTTTTCAGCCCGAAATCGAGCATAGGTTTAGCAAACGTTACCAGGGAGAACAATGTATTTTTGTTTCTAACTCAAATCTATCTTTTAAAAAATTAATTTTCTCTCTCTATTGCCGGATTACATTTTCATTTAACTTTGGTGCCGTGCCTTGTAATTAGTTTTTCTTGATCTGTTTCTTGGAAGGAAAAAAAAAAGTTAGGGGAAAAAAAGATAAAAAACAAGCTTGTAGGTTGCAGTTAAAATATTTTGCTTTATCACGCCTGGCGTGAAAAGAACCAAGAACACTGAACCCAGGGCAGCAGCGAATCCCACGCCCCACGCTCCCTCTTCCCAAACCTCAATATCGTTGCTTAAAATCTTCCGGGCTTATTGTGAAGCCAAGGGCGCTTGGCATGGGAAGAGAGCCGCTCGTGATTTATTTGGGAGAGGGATGGGGTTTTGGAAAGGAAATTGGGGGGTTTACAAGGAGGACGGGTGGGTTTTACTCAACAACTTATTCTTGGGCGTTTTCGTGGACTGGAGAGGAGTTTCGATCCCGTCTCGGGCTCACCTGGGAAGCCCCCTCCTGGCGCCCGCTTTGTTTGGCGTTCCTTTAAAGCCCGGTGTTGGCAGAGCGACCCACAATGAAACAAATTCTCATTTTATGACGTCTTTCCCCCCGTAGGAGTCCGAACAATGTCTGGGGGCTTGGCACGCATGAAGATAAAAGAATTTTATTTTAAATGCGATACATGTCAGGATTAGACAGCGTTTCCTTTCAGCTAAACTACAGAGCGAATCTTCATTTCCTGTTTCACTGCTTCCCCCGAAAGAAACTTTTCTTTTTCTTTTTCTTTTTCTTTTTTTTTCTTTTCTTTCTCTCCCCCAGCAGAGAGTCCGAGAGAAAAGTGCTGGGCACAGAGCTCCCCACGAGGTCCCCGGAAAGCAGACTTAGCTCCTGATCGTTGTCAATCTTTGGGCAACCCGGGGCCTCGCAACGGCTCGGGTTTAGTGTGATCTGGGGAGGCTGCAGCCCAGTTCCGGCTACCGTGGGCGCCTGAGCAGAGCCGGGGCGAGTTGTAAACCTCAGAGAAAGGCACTTGTCCCCAGCAAAACGCTTGGAGAGGACCGTGCACGCTGTGCTGCCCCCGCCCCGAGACGCGCCGGGCCGCCGGGTCACCGGTTTTCCGAAAGGGACCCGGCAGAGACAAAGTGCCTTCGCCGCTGCGATAGGTTGGTTTTACTTTGCAATAAACAGCCCCTAATGGGACCGGGCGCCGGGCGGAGAGCTCGGCCCGGGGCGCGGCCTTTGCCGCCTGGCTCTGCGGGCCGCCCCGCCGGGCGCCAGGTTTTGGGGGGTGGCCCGGCCCCGCGTCCGCCACTGCAGGCCGCTCTCCTCCTTCCCGCGCACACAGCGGAGAAAAAAGGACGCAAACAGCATTTTACACTTTTCCCACTTTAGCGGGAATCGGAGGAGCCGGGCGAGAAAGCCCGAAAAGGGAGGCGGTTATTTACGACCGGCGGGTTGGAGTCTGGCACCAGATGGTGGGGGTCTGTCAGGCCCGGCCGCCCCGCCCAGCGCCCCGCAAACAGCGCCCGGTTGGCAGCGTCGCCTGAGCAGCCCCCATCTTCGCTTCCAGCCCCTCCCGTATATTTTCTCCCGTCCAAGTCGATCAAAGACGGACTTTAAAAATTACTCGCAATTAGACCCAAAAAAGTCATTCGTGATCTTTGGGTATTAGCACTTAACGGCCAGTGGTCTCTCCTTTCCCTCTGGAGGAGGTCGGGGTGGGGGCGACTGGGACCAGGTGGAAGGTAGTGTAGGGTTAAGAAGCGTCAGACCTCGGAGAAGGGCCTCACTTCCTCTTCGTTTTGTCGCCCTTTGTGTTACATACGGGGCAAGCAAGGTCTGCCAATCACTACCATTTCTCTTTCTTGTTCTATAAAGACAGGGTCGTCACAGCAACAGGGACATGACAGGCTGGTATCTCTCTCGAGCTCCAGGGGGCCCCTAATAGGATTGAAGCGAAAGATCAAGCGAATGGTTTCCTATTTTAGGCCCGTAATAACTCCCAACTGCTTGCATATACATGGGCCTTACAGTATTGAGGCAACTTTTAATCCCAGAAAAGAGCAGCCTGTTTTCTAGCAGGGTCTATTTTTGAATACCCTGTGGGATCCTCCCTCTCTCACCATCCTCCATCCTCCCCTTGATTTTGGGGAGTCAGGGTAAGAAGGAATCCCCTCCTCTGATTTTACTTATCACTCCTTCCCCAGAAGCTGAAGGTGTCCTTTCTTTTCATTAATTCATTTTACCAGCTCAAAGTAAATACTCCATTTGGAGGAAACAAAGACACCCCTTTTTGGTATTCTGTTGAAGTCCCTGGGTGAGATCAGAAGTTTCCACATCTTTTGGAGAAACTGGCCTTGGATGTACTTTGGCCAGACCTCTCCCCCCACCTCTCCAACACACATACCTACAAAACCAAAAAGCAACCTAAGGAGGAGTGAAAAGGTTTCTCTCCCCCAGGCCATTTATGTTCAAAACGAAACGTGAGGCCACGTGGGTGTGGGGAGTGCGTGTGCTGGGTGGGTGTCCTTTATCTGTGTGTTTCTGGAGTAGAGAGAGGAAATAAATGAAATGCGTGCGGCAAGAGGAGCGGTTTGTTTTCACCCCCAAGACCTGGGAAAACCCATCAAAAGAGATTGACTTCAGAAAACCGAGAATGCCTGGGAAATCTGAATGCAAACAGCCCTGGAATAATCAGCACCACCAACATCTGTCACCACAGCTGTTTCTTTTCTGGTTGGTGAGAGAACCCGTCTCTCTTCTGTGGGTTGGCAATGAACTCCAAGTAAGGGGCCCATCGTCTTTCTCTTCCAAACAGAATCCTCCAGGTCTCTGTTTATTTAGCCTGCTTAAAAGTAGAACACAATACAAAACAAAACAAGCATAATATTGCCACCTTTTAGGTGAAAATAAGTAGCCTGGTAAAGTAGGTTAGGAAGAATTATTCTTGACCTGTGGTCACAGATGAGGAAACTGAGGCATGGGGACAGCCTTTGATTTTCAAATTGATATCCAGTAAAAAATCAGAATTAATAAATCCAATCCTCAGCTCTTGGAAGGCACTCCGTTAAAAACAAAAAAAGCCCCCCAAAACAGGTGAGTAGTTGTATTATGTTTTTTCTTTTCATTCAATTCACAAATAATTATTAAGCTTATGGAACGTGGAAAACAAAATGCTTTGTTTTGCTGGGGGGAGAGAATGAAATATCTTCCTTGCCCTAAGAGAATATGTCTTCTGGGAGGGGCACTGTGACAAGCAAAGACATAGATACCAGGAAGTGCATGGTTACAGCAATGTGGTGGCTTGATCTGAGGTTATGGGAGGGAAGCCTGACAAGGGAACAAGGACACGTGATGTCTGGCTGGAGTAAGGAGCAGAGAATTCATGAAAGAAGCAGTAGCATTTGCCTAGGAGTTGAAGATTGGTTGAGATTTCGATGAGTTGAGGTGGGAGAAAGGCATTCAAATGCAGGGAACAGCATGCAATCCGGAGGGAACAACAAATTAGTTTTTGTTTCAGAGGATGGAGGGAGATAGAGCAGGAATGAAAGAGGAGAGAGATAAAGGCAGGCTAAGACTTGCCTGTGGATGAGGGGAGCCCCAGAGTGACAGACCTAGGGGGCATTTGTAAAAGGTGAATCAGGGGCTGTGCCCAGGAAGGATTTGGGGTTGGGCAGAAGGCCTGGATTCTGAGATCCCAGTGGGAGGCTATGGTGGTCATAAGGAATGAGGGCTGCTACAGGCCAGTGTTATGGGGATGGAGAGAAAGAATGATTTGGTAAGATTTGATGGCCAAAGCACATGGAGCTCAAAGCAGAGAGGCAGGTCAGAGGTGACTGGGCTTTCAAACCTGGGTAACCAGAGAATAAAAGACAGCCTCGTTATATGCAAGAAATTAAAATAGCATTTAAGGCTGGGCGCGGTGGCTCATGCCTGTAATCCTAGCACTTTGGAAGGCCAAGGCAGGTGGATCACGAGGTCAGGAGATTGAGATCATCCTGGCTAACACAGCGAAACCTCATCTTTACCAAAAAAAAAATACAAAAAATTAGCCGGGTGTGGTGGCACGTTCCTGCAGTCCCAGCTACTCGGGAGGCTGAGGCAGAAGAATCACTTGAACCCAGGAGACGGAGGTTACAGTGAGCCAAGATTGCACCACTGCACACCAGCCTGGGCAACAGAGCAAGACTCCATCTCAATTTAAAAAAAAAAAAAGCTTTTAAATCTACCATTACATTCATTGCAGCAGTGTTTAAAACATTGAACACTTCATTATAACAGAGAAACTCAGACACCAACATTGACGATCTTTCTTCCAGTGTTGAAGAGCTTTCTTTGTCAAAGCTGGGCACTTGGCCTCATGGTTGAGCTTCAGCCAGACTTAGAAAGCCAGCATCCCAGAGCTCAGTGACTTTGTAGGGTGGACGGAAAACCAGCTTGTAGAAGCTAAATTTTCCCCAAGACACATTACTCCTCCTTAGCATTCGTTACCATTTTTATACCATTATTGAGAAAGAAAATTAGAGAAAGATACCCCAGAGGCATTTTCTCCGCAACTGCCAGGAAGTGAGGAAATGTTCCAACGATGAAACTGATCTGGCATTTGTTTACTTTTCAGTTGCATCCAGTGTCTGCTTAAGAATGTTCTGATGGGCAGATACCTAGATTATCACACAGCAAATGCAAGCCAGAAAGGTGATAAATAGTGAAAAGGGCACCAGACTGGGCATGTGGGTTGGGAGTTCCCTTCCTGGTCCTGCCTGCTAGCTTGTGTGGCCTCATCCATGCAGCGGCACTCTCTGCCCTAGTTCCCTTCCTGAAAAACGAGGTGAATTGGGTGATTTTAAAGGTTCTTTCCAGCTCTGTGTGAGTGGATCAGTGATGTGCCTCTTGCTTTGGGTTTTCCCCAACTCTTTTTTCTCACATTCTGCATTCTGCTTTGCATGTGCAAACAGAAGGGATATTTATGTCAGATGATTTAGACCTTACTCTGGTTTTTAATAACTTTATTGACATTGAACTTTATTAATATTTTTAAAGCATCATTCTGTCTATTCTCCCTTGATCCACAAAACTGCCATGTAAAGTAAGTAAGCCAGGAGTTTTATTCCCAAATGTGCAGCTAATGATAACAATGATGATTTCTATTTACAGAGTGCCTGCCACATGTCAACATATGCCTTATATTGAATGTCTCACTTAATCACCACAATCTTCTAGGTACTGTTACTCCCACTTTACAGATAAGGAAGCTGAGACTTGTAGGGGCTGGGCCTCACCGAATGCCTCCAGCTTCCTGATGGCTGAGTCAGGATTTCAATCCTGGTCTATCAACTCCAACTCTGTGCTCTCTAAGACCTTTGGAGGTTATGTAAGGGTTGTCAACTGTCTTCCTCTACTACCCAATATTTTTTGTGGACATTTACCTCTGTACCATCAGAGAAAACCGTTGGCCAATGTGACCCTCCATTTGCTTTGTGGGCTTCCATGGCCTCCCCATGTGAAATATAAGGCCCAGATTTAAATCAGGCAAGCTGTTGACAAATGTCTATCAAGCACCCAGTATGTGTCTTACAGTCTACCACAGGCTTTGGAACCCTGAAGAAGTATTAGAAATGTCTCCTTCCATCCAGATTTTACAATCTGAGATGAAGAAACTAATTGAGCGAGTACAACATCAGTGAACGAGCAGTGTCCTGTGTTATCATGGAGACCACCAAACTTTATGGAAAGCTCATTCTGCTCCCACTGCAGCCTGGACTGTTTGGCTTAATTCTCATGAAAAGCTTATTTGATGGCTGCTACACAGTGAGAGCTTGTTGACAAAATCTACAACCAACATGCTGGTCCAAAGCAAAGACAGTTGGGGAACTTGTTCTTTGTGCAGTGGCGTCTTTGTCCTGGCCTTTGATTTGTTTCCTGGTATTTTAGCCCTGGAATTAATAGGTAAGCCAAACAGACCCAGTTCTGGCCATTATTGCATACTAATAATGGCTCAAAACAGTGGCTTGAAGCAACACACATTTATTCTGCTTTTGAATCCGAGGGTCAACTGGGCTCCGTGAGGCAGTTCTTGCTTAGGGTTCCTCAGACACTTGTAGTCAGGTGGTTCTGGGGCTGAGGTCATCTGGGAAGCTTCTTCACTCATGTGTCTGGAGCCTGGGCTGGGAAGACTCAGACAGCTGGGACCCCTTGGGCATGTCTCTCTAGGTGGCCTCCTCATGTGGTCTCTCTGTAAAACCATGAGAAGGCCCAGGAAGGCTCTCAGTGGCCTCCTTTGGGTCCTGTGCCCATTCTTGAACTCATCACTGTGGCCAGAGGGAGTTGTGCTTTGATTCTTATCTTGTTCTTACCTTGGGTCAACTCCACCCAAACTACTTAGACTGAATGTGGAAAAATGATGACTCCCAAGGGAAAATTGAAGTGAGGATGGATGATGGAAAATTAAGGCTAGCTGAGGTCCACTGGAGTTACTTGTTTCTTGCTGGTACTCATAGATGTTTGTTGATCATGGTATTGGATGGGGATAGGTCTCATACCCCTTTCCCTGAGATGCTGAGACCAGTGGCTTCTCTGCCTGGACTGGAAGCTACACATAGCTACACATAGCCTAGGGGTTGGAGCAGTGGGCAGCTTGGGGTTTTTATGAACCTACACTTCGGCTGAAGTTGCATTTTCCTACATATGTACCTTTGCTTATGCCATCTTCGCCACTCAGCATGGCCTTTCTACCCATGTCCACCATTTTAAATTAAATTGTCCAATTTGTAAGGCCGGATGTAAGAGCACACTAGCCAAAGATGAACTTTTTGTCCTCCGATCTCTGTGGCCTTGCTGTTCGAAGTGGAGCCCAAGCGCCAGCAGCATCAGCATCCCTTGGAAACTTGTCAGCAGTGTGGTCTTACTATGTACCTCAGAGCTACTGAATTAGAACCTGCATTTTAGCATGATTCCAGGTGTCATGTGGGCACAGCAAAGTCTGGGCAGCGCAATGCCAGAGCAGCAGTTCTCAGAGTGTGGTCCGGGAAAAGCTGAAGGTCTCTGAGACCCCTTCAGGGGGTTGGAAAGGTCAAACAATTTCCATACTAACATACTAATTTCTGCTGTGATAAATATAGCCGGGTGCAGTTATTCACACCTGTAAGCCCAGTACTTTGGGAGGCCGAACAAGTGGATCACTGGAATTTAGAAGTTCAAAACCAGCCTGTGCAAAATGGTGAAACTCTATCTCTACAAAAAAATTCAAAAATTAGCCGGACATGGGAGTGTATACCTGTAGTGCCAGCTACTTGGGAGGCTGAGGTGGGAGAATTGCTTGAGCTGGGAGGTTGAGGCTGCAGTGAGCCATGATTGTGCCACTGTACTCCAGCCTGGGAGACAGAGTGAGACCCTGTTTCAAAAAAATTAATGATAAATAAATAAATACAAATAGACATATGGCCAGGCGTGGTGGCTCACGCCTGTAATCCCAGCACTTTGGGGGGTCAAGGCTGGCAAATCACTTGAGCCCAGGAGTTCAAGACCAGCCTGGGCAACATGACGAAGCCCCGTCTCTACAAAGATTACAAAAATTAGCTAGGCATTGTGGCATGTGCCTGTAGTCCCAGTGACTTGGAAGGCTGAGGTGGGAGGATTGCTTGAGCCTGGGAGGAGGAGTCGCAGTGAGTCAAGATCGTGTCACTGCACTCCAGCCTGGGCGAAAGAGCAAGACCCTGTCTCAAACAAATAAACTCTCTCTCTCTCTATATATATATATATTTATATTTATGTATGTCTATATATTATGTATTTATATGTTTGCATATAAACATATAATATATATTATATATTTATATAAGTATATAGTTGATTTATATAATATATAACCTATTTTATATATAAACATTATATTTTATGTATTATGTTTATATATGTATATATGATATATTTATATATGTAAACATATAATTATATTGTATAATAAAGTATATTTATATATTTTTATATGTATTATAGGTAGACATAAACCACATAAGTTTTAAGAGTGTAAAGGGATTCTGAGACCAAAACATTTGAGAACTGCAGCTCTTGATCCTTCTGTCTCTGGCTAGGGAAAGTGTTGACCTTCCCTCCGCACTCTGGCTTCCGGCACTGAGCACAGCCCGCTAAGGGCATTGAAAGAGATCAACCTATACCTCCTTAGCCTTGAGGACAAGGAGAGGCTCCAGGGGTCACCCCCACCCACCCTGGGCATCAGGCTCTATGTAATCCACTTGCCAGGCTCATGGCTAGACACACAGCTCCTGAATATATATTTGCTGAAAACTGACAATTATAAAGATTTTGGGGGGTAATTAAAAAGAATTCAGATCCCCTAGCCCCTTGCCTTTGTCCTTTAATTTATGACACTTTTCAATGTTCAATTCACACTGCTCAAAGAGGAGCTCTTGCTCCCATTTAAAGAAAAGCAACACAGGTTAAGAAAGGGCCTCTCAACATCATGGAGTAAGCCAGTGCCATTTAGGAGCTGCGTTTCAAAATCCCCAGTGCAACTCCTTGTTGCCACACTATGGGTCTAGGAAAGGCCATAGATGAGCCCAGGGTGTTCCGATGCCTCGCTGCTGAGAATGGCTGAAACATCAAGTGGTGGTGGAGCCAGCCAGCCACTCAGGGGCCAGGAATGGAGTGCAGGGAATGTGGGTGTGGCTCGGACTTGCCTGCTCCTTCTGGACTCTACTCATCCCTACCATGCTTTCCACGAGTCCCATACTGGGCTGGTCCTGTACTTGGGAATCTCAGTTCTTTCCCTCAGCAGCGTGAAGAAATCTTCACTCTTGTTATCCTGACTGTTCCTATGAGGAAATGGAGGCTTTGAGAATAACTTGCCCAAAGTCCCAGTGGATAAATGGCAGATCTTGCCTTTAAAGACCTGCTTCTCTCCTTCTGCCAGAATGCCTCTGGCCCTCTTTCCTGATGGCTTTACTCCCCTGAGGATCTAGATTTATGATCTCCATAGTGCTTATTCATCAGTCTGATCAGAATATTGAGAAGGACTATTCTAGAACTGTCTTGGAATCAAAAGCCTATTCAGGTTGGACTGAAGCCTCCCTTCCTCCCTCCCTCTTCCTTCCTCTTCTCCTTTCTCTCCTTCTTCTCCTCCTTGTCTCTCTCCCTCTTACCCCTCCTCCTCCTCAGTAGCTCTTGGAACCCCAGGAAATGCCCTGTAAGAGGATGGACTATCCCCATTCTAGGGCTAAGAGCCTGGCGATTGTGTAGGGCAGAGAGGTTCTTGTAAAAGGCAGTGTCTCCCACCCCCCATGCCTGCCCTGACACACTCAGCAAAGAAGCAATGAGGAGATTGATTCTCCAGGGTCTCCCACCCTGTAAAGGGCAACTTCACACTCCTGGACCCAAGGCCCTTGAAATATCACATTCAAAATCCACTGGGCTGTTTCTAGGGCCCACTCCATCCAAGGTAAACTGTTCATTACCCAGCGATAGGGGCTCAGGTGGGGGGCGAGGGGGCTATGGAGAAGTGAGCTCATTGAAATCCGGATAATCCCCAAACCTCATTTTCCCTACTGCATACGACTGCCTCTGCCCTGCCCCCTTTTACCAGAGCGGCCAAGAAGCCACTGGACCGCTTTGCCTGGTGCTCCTTTTATCTTCCTGGCCCGAGGGGTCCATGGGCTAATGATCAGTGAAATCAGGAAAGGCCGAGAGGCCCAGCTAATCCACAAATTGGATCATCCGCCCCTGAATAATCAAGAGCTGCTGGCACAAAAGTTGGTTTCTCTCTTTGATCATCAGCACGCAGAGGACACACCTACATTTGCTTCCTGTGGGAGTCCTCTGGGGAATTCGAGGCTGGTTCTGTTTGGCCAGATACAATTCAAATGCAGGACTAAAAAATCCCAGTGTCCCAGTGTCCCTGGGTACTGTTTTAATGTGACAGCGAGGAGAGAATTGAAATTCTAAAGAGGTCGTGTAAACTCTCGAGATTTGATGAGCCAGTTCCATTCTGTGTTGTAGACACTTCTCCACCAAGGGGGGGATTTAATCATATGTAAACCTTATCATGCCATATCTAATGTTGTATATCTTAATAATAGTGATATATCGCAGTGATGCTGACAAGAATAGTTCAGGCATCCACTGCTTTAAGAAAACCTGAGGTACAGAAACCATACTTCTGGAAGAAGAAAGAAGAATGGTTTGTCATTATTTGTGTTCCAAGATGGTTTTTTCCCTCCCCTTAACTAAGGCTTTCTTTTAGATTCTTTTAGGTAGCAAGCATATCGGTGACTTTCAAGTGATTTAACTGATAAAAACTGCATTTACATACAAGCTGTCATGTATGGGTTCATGTGGTACATGCAACTGTGTTCACAATTTTTCATGATCATTAAGGAGCATCCACCTACACTTGATCTTGGCCAACAAGCTGAACCTGATAGATGTCCTCTTCTCGGGCTAGGAAATTCCCATGCACTGTGGTGTTATAAGAGTGGGTTCCAAAGTGAAGGGAAACTGAGAATTTCGTTGGGAAATTTTTTAAAAGAAGAAACATTTTAAAAGAAGGGAAATGTTCCCATGTTATGCCTTTGCAATGGCATGGACCCTAGACTCTCTTTGGACTCAGATAGACATGGGACTGAATTCCGACTCTGCCACTTATGGACAATGTTATTTACTGTCTCAGAGCTTCAGTTTCTACCTATGCTTCCACATCCTTCTCAAAATCCTCTAATACTTTTTCTTCTCACCCAGAATAACATCTGCAAGGCCTCATCACAGCCTGTAGGACCCATATGATCTGGCTGCTGATCTCTTCATTCTCTTGTTCACCAAGCTTTCACAACCCAGCCCAGCAAAGCTCACTTCTGCCCCAGGAACTTTGCACATGCTCTTTCTGATCCAGGGAAGCTATTTCTCCAGACCTTTGCATGGCTCCCACTCTTACCTCATTCAGTTCTTTGCTCAAATGTTATCTTCTGAAATATTGTCTTCCTGGCCACACATCCTCAGGTCCCTCTCTGGGCCCTCTGCAAGCTTGATTTCACTTCACAGCACTTATTGCCTGACATATATCATATTTATTCCTTTGTCGATTAATTTCATGTTTGTATTTGTTGACAAAAATGTGAGGTCATGAGGCAGGGGCTTTGTCTTATTTGTCCTTGTGTTCCCACTACCTAGGACTTTGCCTGCACCTGGCATAGACACCTAGTGATAGTAGACTGAATCACTTTGGGAACTGGTGATCATGAGATGTCGCCAGGATTAGTAACCATGTGGGTAAAGCCTGGCAAGAGCAAGTAAATGATAAGTACTATTATTGTCACTAATATTATGAGCCCAAGGCCTAGTAAACATTGTTTGTAAATACTTGCTGAATCTGTTGGACTTGAAGGGCTCAAGGGACCTATAATGGATGGCAGGTCAATTCCTCTTAATGAACACAGCCTCAGGAACCTGTGTTTCTGAAGCACCTGTCAAGACCCCCTCCTCCTGTTCAAGGGTCTAAAACTCAAAAGCTTGCAGGGGCTAGACAGATAATATAAACAACTGAAGCTGTTTGAGTGGGAGCTGTTGAACTGGAAAGGCCATGTTCAACTCCAGGTAAAGACCTAGGGTTGCCAGAACTCTTACTTTTTCAAGACAAATTGGAAATCCAGACTTTTATATAAAATCTCCTAATTTTAAAATGTTGTTTACTGACATATTTTGGATGTTTATTCCCTCCAAATCTCATGTTGAAATGTGATTTCCAATGTTGGAGGAGGAGCCTAATGAGAGGTGTTTTGGTCATGGGGGCAGATCCCTCATGAATGGCTTGGTGCCCTCCCTTCAGCAATGAGTGAATTCTTGCTCTATTAGTTCACATGAGAACCGATTGTTAAAAAAAGGCTGGTACCTTCCCTTTCTCTCTCTTGCTCCTTCTCTTCCAAGTGACACACTGGCTCCCCTTGCCTTCCACCATGATTAAATGCTTCCTCAGGCCTCACCAGAAGTGGACGCTGGTGCTATGCTTCATGTACAGCCTGCAAAGCCATGAGCCCTCTTTTATTTGTAAATTACCTAGTCTCAGGTATTCCTTTATAGCAACATAAAATGGACTAATACAGTTATTATGTTGGGGGTTGACAAGACCACCTCCATGTTTGGAGATCCACTAGAAGGACTCACAGAACTCAGCATTTGTTTGTCACCACTTCTAAGTTTTAGTACAATGTGGTAGGGGTACACAGGCAGATCACAGGGGGAAAGACATAAGCAGAGCCTGGGGGAATCCATGCACAGCCTTCCTTATGTTCACTCCCTCCTAGAGGGCTCACACACTGCCCACTTTTCCCCAAGCAGCAAAAATGCAGCAACATGTGTGTGATGTTTCAGCCCAACGAAGCCCATTAGATTCCTTGCCCAAGCTTTTTTATTGGGGGCTGGTCACTCTGCCAGCATGTACTGAAATTCCAGACTCCCAGGAGGAAAGCAGATGTCCAGCATAAACCCCATTGTGATAAGAATGTCACAGTGAGCCACTCTTACCAGTTACAGAATGTTTCACTTCCATGTAAGGAACTGTTTACCAGCCAGGTTTCAAGATGCCAGTCAAGGGCCACCCTTGCAAGTAGACCTTTCTAAGGAGAGCAGTTTCAGGCTTTCTATGTCAACTCTTTACACAGTTACTAAATAAAAAATTGTAAGCTTTTTATTAAGAAATATTTCCAACACATACACACAAAAAGAAAGCGCTATCATGAACCTCCATGTACCCATCACTTAGCCGTGTCAACGAACATGCACCTGCATTGACTCATCTGTGTCCCCATCTGCTTCCCTTGAATTATTTTGAAGCAAATTCCAGAAATTGTGTTCCATCTGTAATAGTTCGGCAGGTATCTCTAAATGATGAGGACTCTTTACAAACGATTTGGAGTGCATGCTGTCAGAATGTAACCTCTGCCCTAGCCCCATGTCAGGAATCATTTCCAAATGACAATTCTCATTCCCTGGCTACTCTGTCAGACTTTTCTCCTGCCATCAATTCCTTAAAGACTTGAGCCTGAGGGGAAAGTGAGAGAGCACATTTTCTGGAGCAGCCCTGTGCTCCAGGTGATCAGGGATGGACAGCCTGGCACTAGGTGCCTGCAAGATGTTTGCTTTACCAGGATGATACTAGTGGCTGTTGGAGTGACTGATATGGGTTTCTTTGGCTTGATCATAAGCTGCTGGAGGGCAATTATTGTACCTGCTTTTATTTAGCTGTCTTCAGTGGGGCCCAAAAGAGGCTCCATGTTTACAGAACCCAGAAAACAAGTGACATCTGGGCCTCAGCAGAGGGACAGAGAACCGGAGGTGAGAGCAGCCACTTCCTGTGAACTAAGCTTTTCTTTCTGAATATTGCTGCCATTTGTGCCAAGAGATACAGCAAACAGAGAGGTGAGCACTGGACAGGAAGTCAGTGCTCACCTGACTAGATAAGTGTCCTTGGCCCAATCACTTCATTTCTCCAGCCTTAGTTTTCTCAGTCGTAAAGGTATGGGGTCAGTCATTCCTTCACTCACTCTACAAGCATTTATCATATGTTAGCTTCTGTGCTAGGTACTGTGGATATGAAGATTTAAAAAAATTTTAAAGTTCCTGCCCTCAAGAAGCTTACATTCCAGTGTAGGAAAGATATGCAGACACACACAGATAAATATATCAAGAATCCGACGTGATAAGTTATGTAAGAAATGCAGTGTTTTAAGACTTAGGTATTCATTACCTACTGAGCTCCCACTATGTATCAGCCCTGACTATAAACACATTGTGCCTACCCAAGCCTCACAATGAACTTGCAAGGGAGATATTACTATTCCTGCCCTTTCTGGCCCTTTCCCCACACCAATTTTGGATGAGACAGTTGAATCTTGGAGAAGTTCAATAAACTTCCTGAGGTCACATGGCTAGTAAGAGTCTAAACTCCCATTTCGCACCCAGATTTTTCTATCAGACCCCTTGGTATTTGGTGGTACCTTCCCTGGAGGGATGAACCTGGATGCCCTGTTGACTTCAACAACCTGTGATTCTGACTCTTTGTATGTTAGATATGAGTTAGGAAGTGTCTTGGGTTGGGTTCCCAAGAGGCAGACCCTGAGATTTGATTGTTAGTGATCGGTTAAGGAAATGCTCCCAGGAGAAACTGGGAAGGGAGTTTTGGGAAGCAGGACAGGGAAGGGGAAGAAATTTAGCAAGGGTATGATTTCAGAAAATTCTGCAAAGGGTAGCTGCAGCCTGATCCCACAGGGGACATCTGGAGCATATTGGACCTCAAAGTCATACCA
Source organism: Homo sapiens (assembly GCF_000001405.40). NCBI lineage: Eukaryota > Metazoa > Chordata > Mammalia > Primates > Hominidae > Homo > Homo sapiens. The sequence continues at coordinate 118,237,588 of NC_000002.12, forward strand.
AACAGAGGCCAGGGTTCTGGGCTTTCAGTCTCTGCACCTGTCAGTCACTGGCTAAAGGCTGCCCCCAAGGGGACATTTTCAGCTCTCTGGGTGCTCAGGCAGTGTGGCTCTGGTACCCAGGATAGTCCTCTGAAGAAAAGCCATAGGTACAGGAAGTTAGAAAAGTACACTGAAGCTCAGGAAAAGGGTGCACAGAAAAAGGGGGTACAAGAGGATCTAGGCAGAGCTACTCACAGTGTCCAGTACAAAGGGAGAAGGAGGCTTCTTGGGCCATCAAAGCACACAAGATAGTTATTGCAAATATGGAGAAGGTTTGACATTGTCTCACTTTTCTCTTGCTTTCTCAACATTCAACTCTTCTGCAGGACTTCTAAGAGGTATGGGTGGCCTCAAAAACACCTATGGAGAAATGAAATGAGGAATTTTGGGCTTTCTTCTTGGCTGGTTGGAGTCTTCAAAGGAACCCTGGGCTGAGAGTTCTGGGTCCAGTGCTAGCTGTCACTCTGGCTGTGTGTGTGACCCTGAACAGATCACATTATGCCTCCCATCTCACCAGTCGGGATAATAATCCTGTCTATCCTTTCCCAGGCATGCAGTGAGGGAAAAATGAGGTCACAGATGAAAGAATGCTCTGGGAAGTAAAAAGGATTAAATGAGGACAAAGTGTTGTCTTAATGATATGACAACTGGGCTGTGAAGGGAAACATATAAATGCCAGGTGTTTATTATCTCAACTAGCATTCGTATTAGTGTTATTATTTGTACCAACTGTAAGCCTGATTGTCAATGATGGAGAAGTCTCACCACCCCAGTATGTGAGACCTCAGGGGTTAAGAACTGCAAGGGGCCGGGCGCGGTGGCTCACGCCTGTAATCCCAGCACTTTGGGAGGCCGAGGCGGGCGGATCACGAGGTCAGGAGATCGAGACCATCCTGGCTAACACGGTGAAACCCCGTCTCTACTAAAAATACAAAAAATTAGCCGGGCGTGGTAGCGGGCGCCTGTAGTCCCAGCTACTCGGGAGGCTGAGGCAGGAGAATGGCGTGAACCCGGGAGGCGGAGCTTGCAGTGAGCCGAGATCGCGCCACTGCACTCCAGCCTGGGCGACAGAGCTAGACTCCTTCTCAAAAAAAAAAAAAAAAAAAAAAAGAACTGCAAGGATCCAACTTATAAAGTTGGAAGGAAGGGTCCACACAAGACCACACTCATTTCTGTGTGTGTGTGTGTGTGTGTGTGTGTGTGTGTGTGTGTGTGTGTGTGTATGTGAGATAGGGTCTCTCCCTGTCAAAGGCTGGAGTGCAGTGGTATGATTGTGGCTCGCTGAAGCCTTGAACTCGTGGACTCGAGCAATCTTCCCACTTCAGCCTCTCGAGTAGCTGGTACCATAGGTGTATGCCATCACGTCTGCTAATTTTTTGATTTTTTGTAGAGATGGGATCTCACTATGTTGTTCAGGCTGGTCTTGAACTCCTGGGCTCAAACAATCTTCCCACCTCAGCTTCCCAAAGTGTTGGGATTATAGGCATAAGCCACTGTGCTCAGCCCACTCTCACTTCTGACATCAACTTCAAGTTCAGAGGTTTCCCAAAACCATCCTCAGGTTTGATTTACTAAACACACTCATAGCACTCACAGAAATGCTGTTATACTCCTGGTTGCAGTCTATTACAGGGAATGGGCACAGTTTAAAGCCAGCCAAAGGAATACACGCATAGGGCAGGCTCTAGAAGGGATACAAATGCGAAGCTGTCTTGTCTTCAGGACATTCTCCCAGCATCCATGTGGCGATTCACAGAGTATTGACAACTTGGGAAGATGACCCCTGCCTCAGTGTCCAGAGTATTTGTTAAGGTTTCATGATACAAGTGTGAATGACTATATGCCTTTGTGGTTGAACTAAATCTCCAGCCCTCCTTCCCCAGATGTCCGGCTGATATCATATGGCCCAAGGAACACATGAGTCACTTCATTAGCAGAAACTATCCGGTGTGATCCAAGGGGTCCCCTTGAATAGCAAAGAGTTTATGGGTTACCTCCTAGGAGCTAGGGACATAGCCAGATCTCTCACTGGGCAAATCCAAATTCTTTCTTACACACCTCCACTCCCTCTAAGTTATCTTTCCAGACATAGCTCCAGTTCTTCCTTCCAGGGCTTTATTAGCCTCTCTTTTCTCTAATCTTCCATGGCACTGATTGTTGCTAATACACAGAGAGGAATGGTTGTTAAGTTGAGTAGTTAAGTTGTTAAGTTGCTCTAGCCTTTGGGCAGATACTTGGGTTCAAGTTCAAACTATGTTACTTCCCAGGCTGTGTGACCTTGGGCAAATTACTTAACCTTTCAGAGTCTCCATGAATGTTAGTTATTATTTTTATTTTTCTAATTAATCACATGCTGTTTACAACTTACTTGGTATTTGTATGATGGATTGACCCTTATTTTGTACTATTGTTTAAACCTCTTTAGGTCTTAATTTCTATGTTGCAATCTCTTTGAGTGAAGGGATTTTAGCACATTTTAAGGCTGAGACTAAGGCATTGAGGATACAGAGATGAACACTTTCATCCTCCAGGAGCTTTTGATTTTCTGGGGGAAGGAAGGAGACAGGTGGACGGTTAATTACAGTGCAGTGTGATTTGTACTGAGACAGAGGTAAACAGAAGGTACTTTGGGATCAAGGAGGAGGACTGGGGAGGATTGGTGGGAGAGGAAGGTCAGAAAGTCTCCCTGAAGGAGGTCACACTTAAGCTGGACTCTTATTATATTATTGGGCTTCTCAAGTCTTGGTGTGTTTTATAAGCATTTTGGGAGCTTGTTAAAATTATAGAAATTAGGGCCCAGCCCAACCTACTGACTCAGAGTGTACTCAGAGGGATGGGGCCCAGTCATCTGTTTTCATGTTGTTTGGTTGTTTGTTTTGAATTTGCCTGACTCTTGTAGGTACTTGTGTTTTCAAGGTCAGTAAGGAATGGCAAACTTTGTTTTGATACTTGTTAGAAAATAAACTACTGACTTTAGCGAGCTCATTTCATTATTAAAATCGGCAACATTTGGGAGGTTTAAATGAGGAGTCCAATTTGGGAAAGGGTTTTTGGCAAATGGTGAGAAAGATTAGTGACCACAAGGCTTCACAATCTGACTTTAGAATGTCAAGGAGGAAAGGGTTGTTAGGGATTGTCTGGCACAACATTGTGTAAACTCTGTTCTGTGGAGTCCTGTGGGGTCCCATGGAGCTGCCTTAAGGGTTACCTAGCTGTGTGGGGTAGAATTTTAGACCTCTTTCATAGCCCATGGCCCCTTTCAACCAGAGGAACTCTGCTGCTTTTGGCTTTATTTGTTGTCCTTCTTGGGATTGTTTTCTTTTGCAGAAAATGTTCTGAGACTAAAAGAACAACTTGATAGCCGCTGATCTTATTGAACACCTTCATGTTGCAAATGGAGACAGTGGGACTCAGCAGGAAGTCTCTTGCCCAATAGACACAGAGAGACTCAGTGGGAAGTTTCTCACCCAGTGGACACAGGGAGACTCAGTGGGAAATGTCTCACACAGTGGACACAGGGAGACTCAACAGGCAGTGTCTCACCCAAGTTGTTCAACTCCTGCTGCCTCAGTGTGTGCTGGAACTTGGGTCTGACGCCCATGTGTTGCTCTCGCTGCAGTGCTGTCCAGTCTCTCAGCTGCGTCGGGAGTGACCCGGCATAGGTGCTGCTCAGCATTGCAGACGTGATGTGTGTAAAGGCAGGAAAGACGCCTGGTCTGAATATGCTCCTGAGCCACTGCATCCTCAACCTGATAGGCCAAACTCACAAAATCTTATATATTTGCTTCCTGGAGAAAAGTCCTTAGAATCGTTTCATGGTTGCCTTCCTGTAGGGACAGGGCATGTAACAGAGGTTCCTGAAGCATCACAGGAGCCCAAGCTAATTCAGGAGGGAAGTCTCTCAGGTACTTCAGTGCATCTTGCTGGAATGCTGGGTTGACAGCTAAAATGACCTACAAATGGCTATGAGATACTAATGAAGTTGACAAGCATTTGGGCCTTAAAACACCTGCTCAGGTGACGTGGGCCCTGGGGCCATGGAGGGTGGGTGGTAATTTGTTAAGTTTTTAATCATGTTATGCAGTGGCTGTTGTTTTAAAGAAATGGGGCTAAAAATTAGCAGTCCTAGGACGTGAGTGAGTCTGGCTTGGCTCTTCCTCACCTCCCAACCTGGAACAAGTCTCCTGAGCTCTGTGAGGTGAGCTCTATAGTGAGCTCCACAAGGCAAGGACTAAGTTTTAATCATAGCATCCGGCACAGTGCCCAGCAAGTTAAGTGTTCAAAGTCTTGAGTAAACAGGGTTTAGGGGTACCTTTGGGCCACTGCTCAGTATGGGAATAACCCCCTGCTTTGCTCCTTCTTGAACTGCCTCTCCCAGTCACTGGAACTCCCCTTTCTCTCCTCTTACCCCCTCACTGAAAATACACCTTCTCGCTCACCTTTTCAGCCTTCCTCTTCTCCCTACTGAGGATGTGATTGTTATGTGAATGAAAAAAGTATGGGTTATGGGGGAGAGTGAAGGGCTGCCTGGATTCTATCCAGTTATACATGCTGCTGCTGGGAAGAACACGATGCGTGTGTCCTGCATGTTCACCAATGTGCTGTGCCTGGACAAAGGTGCATAAGCTCCAGCCCGAGGGCCATGTAATACTTGACAAACAGACCCTCAACACCTCTGGTATGCTAAACACCTTGGGGCAATGGATAGAGAAATGTGATACCTTTTCCTCCAAAGGAACACAGGCACTAGAAGAGCTATTCTATCATAGAGACAACAGTATAAGAAGTGCCATGTGGTGGAACATGAGTCATTAGGCATACAGAGGGTGGCCTGACTGTCTGAGACCACATCCTGAAAGAGAAGTGTCCTCTTTTTGGTTAGGTTGGCAGTGGAACTGCAGCTTCCCAGGGCTACTATGTACCATGGAGCAGGTCGTTCACTGGACATGCTGTCCAGCTGGGGGATAATGAATGCTGTAATCTAGCCCATGCTCCTTCTGGAGAGTTATGCACTCTAGCAGGGCTGCACAGGTCACTGTGGGCTCACAAGACATTAGCTGTCAGCCACAGTATGTGTGCCACCTTCTGCAGAATTGAGAGGCAGAGCTGGGCTCTCTGGCCTTTCATCCTCTACCCCTCACTCCTGGGCAAGTATCAGGGGCAACAGACCCTCATGTTTCCATGTAGGGTGGCTCTAAAATATGTTTGGGTCATGAATCCCTTCAAGAATCTGATGAAGGCTTTTAACCTTCCCCATCACCCACAAAGGCACATTCCCACATTAGCTTGCATGAAATGGCAAGATAATTTATTTATCTGAAGTCCATCAATAGAGTCTTTTCCAGAGATTACTCCCTATGGTCAAAGACCTTGGTACTAAAGTAGTAGTGGTCTTCTGCTCTGACTCATGTGAGAGGAATGAATCACCTGACTAATGGAGGATTCCCACCGATCAGTGTTTCTTGTTGAGTGGAGCTAATTTATTGAAAGGCTGGAGCAATGGGCATTTGACCTCTTCCTTCTCTTTGCACACTGGGCAGTCTGAGGTAGCCATCGTGGGTGTGGATGTGTGTCTTTGGCAATTCCAAGCTCTCCCTCTGGTTGGCTGTTCCTCAAAACACAAGAGGTGGGAAGTAGAGTGGGCAGGGAGGCTTATCAAGCCATTTTATGCAAAGATCTAGAATCAGGCTTTCCAAGTGACTTCATGGGTGGTCACCTGTGCTTGGGGAAGGCAGGAAGAGTAATGGAAAGGAGCACATAGACACAGTATTGCCAGTGTTAGTTCTTGCATGGGTGGTGAGTTTGCAATAAACACAAATAAATGAAAACAGAAAGAGGTCATACATGGACCAATTCTGAAATTGTGACATAAACCAAAGATCATGATTAACTGAGTTCCATGCATTGAGGCTGGACAAGAGGCAGGGTCTAGGTCATGGAGAGTCCCTAGGGATGTGCTAAGGAACATGGCCTTTGTGGTGGGCTATGAGGAATCCGACTCCAAGGTTGCCAGCTTGAATGAAAGGGTGGATTTTAAGGCTACCAACTGAGATATGAGAATAAGAGGAGAGGCCAGATTCATTATAACAGCTAACATTTATTGAGCACCAACTATGTGCCAAACATGTAGTTGAGTGCTAACACCTCAACAGGGATAACTATATTTAATTTTCATAGGAATGCTTTGCTATGTTTTTGTTATTTTACGGATAGTAAAACTGAGGCTTTGAAAAGTGAAGCCGCTTTGAAAAGTGAAGCCGCTTTGAAAAGTGAAGCCACTTTGAAAAGTTAAGTCACTTGTCCAAAGTCGCAAAAAATACACATGGTTGTGGTGGCTTTGAACTGTGTTAGTGTGGCTAGGCTAAGATAATTTCTCAAAACTCCCTTTCTTGTGTGTTTTTGGTTGTCATGGGCCACGGAGTGATTCCTGTGGGAGACTTGGAGGGCAGAGGTGAGGCAGTCACTGCTTTGCAGCTCCCATGCATGGACATGGCTCTCCTGGTGCTGCTAATCTGCTGGCTTGCCTCGTTGGTGTGAGGCAGCAGTTGGATCTGCTTCACCTTTTCCCTGAATCCTCCTTCAGCTTTCCCAACTCCTGGGCCAGGTGTGTGTTTAAGTCCGAAACAAAGATTCTGGCTTCTTCAGGAGACCCACATTACAAGGGTCAGAGGCAAAAGGACTGACCTGGGTCTTAGTCCATCTTCATGGGCCCTAGCTTGTACTCGTAGGGCCTAGCTGGCTCTTGCTCTCCAACGTCCCTTCCCAACGGTCTGCCCTGCACATTTAAAGCTCCAACACGTGATGCAAAGACACGTCTTACAGAGACCAGCTCCCACAATTGTGTAAGGTCAAATCCTTACAAAAAAAAGTTCCTTTATATATCCAAATTATCTATATCGAATCTGCATCTATGTATGTATCTGTATCTATATTTATCTATACCTATATCTATACCCACATCTATATCTGTATCTATATCTATAATGTGTTTCACACACATACTTGAAGTATACACACAAACATATACGTATATGTCTGTCTATCTATCTATCTATCTATCTATCTATCTATCTATCTATCTATCTATCTATCCATCCATCCCTTAGTGGCTGTGCTTCTGTGAGTGAACCCTGACTGATGACTGATGCTGATGCAGTGCTGTAACAAAGATCTGATCTCAGGCTGTTTCACCGCAGGACCTGCACACTTTAGTACTCAGATCACACAGCAGTCAGGTGGGGGTCCACTTTAGACAGGCTGAAACTGAGGTGCCTATGGGATGTTTGGGTGGCTGAGTCACAGGCAGTTGAAGATATCAGAGAAGCCTCATGCACAGTGGATGATCAGAGAAGGGGAAATGTGGGCAGGCTGGAATTGGAAACAAGTTTTATGGTGGTAGACTTGATTTAAGTCTCAAAGGCTGGTAGGAGCTGGTTAAATGGATGGGGGTGAGGGAGAGCAATGTCAATGGGGAAATAGCATGAGAAAAGCCTACAGCAGGAATAGGCAGCCAGAATGGCCTACAGCAATCAGCCCAAATGGCCTAGGAGGGGCCTATTGATTATATGGCCATTGCTATCTGTTCAGTTCTGGGAATTATATCTCCCCAAGGATATGCTGGGCTCTGGGTGTTGCGTATTGCACCTGTTAAGTTTCTAGTTTGAGTAAGTTCAATTTGTCTCAAACATTTTGTGAGCACCTACTATATGGCAGCATTGCATTGAACATAAATATGAATAAAACATGAACTATATCCTGGAGAAATTTGTGTTCAGGTTACAGATATTCAACACATTTCAGTGAAATTGGATTGAATGGAAATCTTGAGCCAATAGTAGGGCTAACTCTGGACTTCTGATTCCATTTTGGGGTTAATTGCTTGGACACAATGATAAAATAGGTCAGTCTACCCATCCACCCATACCTCCATCCATTCACCCAAAGCTAGCTTGTTTTCCCTACCTATTGATCTATCATTCGTCTATCTCTACTTATCAATCATCTATTACCTCTTGTTTTATTAAATGGAAGGCAGAATTTGAGCAGTCTGCAAAATTAGCCATATATAAAATGACAATTAAAAGATAAAAACAGGCCAGGCGTGGTGGCTCACGCCTGTAATCCCAGCACCTTGGGAGGCTGAGGGGGGTGGATCATGAGGTCAGGAGATCCATACCATCCTGGCTAACACGGTGAAACCCCATCTCTACTAAAAAAATACAAAAAAAATTAGCCGGGTGTGGTGGCGGACGCATGTAGTCCCAGCTACTCAGGAGGCTGAGGCAGGAGAATGGTGTGAACCCAGGAGGTGGAGCTTGCAGTAAGCCGAGTTCGTGCCACTGCACTCCAGCCTGGGTGACAGAGCGAGACTCCGTCTCCAAAAAAAAAAAAAAAAGAAGATAAAAACAGATAAAAAAATGAAGAAAAACATGTTGATAGTGATGGTGACTGAATAATTGTTATTGATTATTGCAATAACCAGTTACTGTAGCTGAGTGTTGCATTTAATGCTGAGTTTATTAGAAATGAAGGCAAAAAGAAAAAAAAAAAAAGATGCACACTGGGTTACCCAGTCCATAACAATTGAAGAGAAAAGGAATACAAGTTGGAAGAGATGGACATTCCCCGGCATTGTGTAGAAAGAAGATTTATTGTGTCAGGACTAAGTCAGGAGACCAGTTAGCATAATGGACGCAGTCTTCACTGCACTTCTGCAAAGGCAAAGGAATGCTCCTCAAATGTTTCTCCTATCGATCCTCTATAAAGGCCAAGGGAATAACATTAAACCTTATTTCAGCTCAGGCTTTTCTGTGGCAAACTAAGATAATAACGTCCAGCCACATTAAATTCAGATGATCAGGCTCAGAACAGGGAGAGAGCCCAGAGCACTTAGAGGAAGGGCTGGTTAGCTGGCTATTAGGCTCTATCTTTCAAATTTCAGTTGTCTCCAGAGAGTCTTTGGGTCAGGGGACTTTAATCTCCATACAAGGAAGATCTCTCCAACTCAAAAATACATTGTTATCAATTCACAACTTGTTCTATTCCAGGAGTAAGAGACCTGTAGACTTGGTCACCTTGCCCTCTGTCCATTTCTAAAGCAAGGAGCTAAAACACTGCATCAGGATCCTTCAGCTTAAAAAGAATTCACATGATGACCTCCTTCCCTTGAACACAGAATGACTTGTGAGCCCTTTGGAGAACAGTGCCTCCAGTTACCACGTCCAAGGCTGACACATTTCCTCACCACCGTGGCTTGCTCTCAGTGGGGCTGGCCCAGGGCATGGCCAGTTTCCAGGTTGGCATCCACCTCATTCTAGTTGGCCGCTCCACTGTGTCAGTGTGTCAGAGCATCAGCTGGAGTGGTTCCCAGAATTCATCCCGTGCTCACAGCAAAACCTTGAAGACTTAGGTCAGCCCTGAAGGCCAGCTGGGATTGTGAATGTTGAAGCCAGCGTCCCCAGTGTGAAGGTCCAGCATTCCATGAGGATTCATTGAGCACATGTTGGGTAAAGCATCTCGAGGTGCTTCAGTGTGTTGTGAAGAGGGGAATTGGAAAGAGGAGGAGCATGAAGGATGCAAAGGAAATAAATGGGATGGACCTGGACTTTTAGGATTATTCAGAGGGTTTAGAGAAAGGATGGATAATATCTGAAATGATACAACTCAATAAAAAGACGCCCCAGTTACCAGTTACCATGGCTGAGAGGCATGCCTCAGGTTACATACGTGGCTTTGGAAAAATCATAGAACCCCTCTGCTCTCAGGTTGCTCATCTTTGTAAAGAAGGAAAAGTAATAAATCTGCAGCTTTACTGAATTGAGGTGAGAGAACAAGAAAGATCACAGTATAAAAATGCACTGAGAAAGTAAAAAAGGGCTACGTAGAAATGTAAGTTGATGTGATGGTTAATATAATAATTATTGATTTTTAAATATCATCTGTGAAATCAATCTGCTTTGGTGTCCACAGTTACCAGTGTCAATAATGCCAGGCTTACCATGGAAGTCCACTCCAAGTGATGCAAGCATTTCCTACCTTTCCTCCTCAGCAGGCTCCATCAGCCAATGCTGTCTTCCATTGTCCTTCCCTTTGTGCCTCTCTAGACTTTCATACATGATTTGTCAGACACCCACACTTAAGCACACACCACACAAGTCATCTGACCCCCTGCTTCTCTCTAGGTAGCTTGCTACTGCTTCCATGTGTATTAGAGGTCAAAGCTCCTTCCTTCCATTCTCCTGCCCCATAGACACTGCCCAGCTCCCTGCTGCTGCCAGAGAAATCCTACTTGTCCAGCTCCGCTCAGCTCTCTTTTCCATTTCAGTAGACAAGATATTCTCTTTTACATGCACCACTTAAAGGAACATATAATAATATGCTATAACCATAGTATATCATATATAGTATATAACATAATATACTATATTATATAATATAACATGTGTGTTATATATATAATCATGTATAATATACTATATACCATATATTATTCTATATCTGTATTATATGTCCTATGTATAAATATATAATACTACATACTATATTACACATATAGCATGTATATCACTATATATTATAAATTATACAGTATAATTTCTTATTCAGTTTTCAGAAAGAACTCACTGAGGTATGTACTGTTGTCATCTCTGTTTTATACAGGTGAAGATACTGAGAGTCAGAGTGGTTTGGATAATTTGCCCAAAGCCATTTAGCTAGTTGTGTGTGAGCCGTAATTCTGACCTGGACACTCCTCTTTTAGCTACTGTTCTTTACTGTTTCCCACTGATTCTTGCATTCTCTAACAATAGATTATGATTTTCTTTATTGCTAATGCTGTTATTTGGTGGTGGGATGGTTGTGCCAAGGGATGTGTGTGCGTGTGTGTGTGTGAATGTGCCTGTGTACATGTGATGACTTTTCAATTTGATTGTCAGTTTCTTGAGTCCGTTCCTGCCCTAGAACCTTCCCTGTCACATGCTGAATAAGGCACAAGCTCACACTCCAGAAACTAAGCCTTTCCCCAGAGAGGCCCTAAACTTCCTTTCAGTCCTTCTTTGTGCTTTCTCTCCAGTGACCCAAACTAAACCCTTGACTCATTTAAGAGCCAAGCCTCTGACTTAGGCTGGGAACTCCTAAAGGTCACATGTGCACCGTTAGATTGGACACCTCAGTAGACAATGCTTAACGCAACAATGTAAAAAAAATCTGCTGGAGTGGCTATGGGCATATTCAAGACCACCCTGAGCCTTCAGCTCTTGTTGTCTCATCCACTGATGCCCAGGGACCTTCCCACAGCTTTAAACAGTGTGGCAGTTCCCTCTCTTGGAGGCCAATGTGAAAAACAAAGCATTTACAAGAGATGGTAGAAGACACCTTAGCATCTAATTGAAAACGTTGCCTGCTGTGACAAAAGAATTGAATGTTAGTTGCAGAAGGGGCGCTATTGTGTATGCACCCTCACAATCTTGTGAAAATGGGCAACATCTAAAACTCAGACTTTGTATTAATGGTGATTTGCCAATATTTTATTTGTGAGTTTGATTTCCTGTGTCTCTCTGGACCAACCCCTCCACCTCTGTGTGTTTTTGCTTTCTCCAGGGAAGATACAGAAATACCACTTCTTTTCTCTTCTTACGGTTACTGCACCTGACAAATTAAAATTGCTTTACAGGCAGTAGGCATTTTATGGGCCATCCCTGCAAGAAATAAATGTTAGAAGGCGCCGCCTCCCCATTCTTGCCAACCAAGGAACAGAGTTATGGGCGGAAAAGCAGCCCCACCTTTCCTTGCAACCTCTGCCCTCATCCTGCCCACCCCGCACTGCCCCTGCCAGCTCCAGGCGCTTCCCGCCTCATGCTCTCCTAACTTACTGCTCTAACTCTCATTCTCCCCACTCACATCCATCCTACACTCCCTAATCAGCATCCTCTTCTCAAAGTGCAGCTCTGCTCAAGTCCATTCCTGCCCCAGAAGCTTCCCTGTCACATGCTGAATAAGGCACAAGCTCACACCCCAGAAACAGCCTTTCCCCAGGAGGCCGCAAACTTCCTTTCACACCTTCTCTCCGTGCTTTCTCTCCAGTGACCCAAACTGAACCCTTGACTCATTTAACAAATATTTTGAGGAACTTACCATATGTTAGGCATTGTGGTGGGATCGCACACACAAGAAGTTTTAAAATGACCTGAACTGCCTTCACGTTGTTCAGGGTTTAGTGGGGCAGATATGAGACAGCAATATTCTGTGCTAAGTGCCGTCGGGGGTGAATGCCTAGGGTGCTGGGGGAGTATGAGGAGGGGTAGTTAACCAGCCCAGAGCAGTCTGGGAAGGCTTCCTGGAAGAATCCTGAAGAAATCAGCACTCACCACCTCCCAAGTAGCACTCTCTGCCTTCTTGTTCATGTGTTTTCTTCTGGATTGAGTGTCCCTGGCATATCTACGCCTTCTGAAGTTTATTCTTTGTTCAGGACTCATTCAAACCACCTCCTCATCCAAGAGTCATCTCTGGATTGCTCAACTTGAAGACAGCTTCCTTTATTGACTCCTGGTGGTATATTGTACATAGTCTTGCCTCTCGTGGTTCTTTGCCTTGTCTCACTCTGCTTTTTTTATAGTTTATTGACGTCATTATCTCAATATCTTCAACCTTATGTTTTATTCAGTATCCTTTTCCAAGCATAGAGCTTTATATAGCTGCCCTGATGCTGCCTGAATTAACTGCTTTGCGCATATGTCCCCCTAAAGAGGACCAGGAGCTGCCCAGGATGGATTTGAAGGGAAAGTGGAGTCAGGCTTGCTGAGCCTGGTACACGGTGTCAGAGAGCTCAGAGCCTGAACTTCATCAGGCCGAGGTCATGCATGGTCACCATATGACCCAGTGATCTTGGCCAGGAGTCCTGGTCTCAGTCTGGGTCCCAACGTTCATCTTTCAAGTGCAGGCCCTTGGTCACAAAACCATCATCTGTAGGAAAATGCAGAGGGCCCACAGTACAGGAGAGACGAGGTCGGGAAACCAGGATTCCAGTGCCACCTGTCACTTCCTGTTGAGTCACAGCATAGATCTTCACCTTTGTTTCCCTAGTTGCAAAATGTCAGTTTTGAATTAAGGGTTTTTTCCAACTCAGAATTGTGCAAACTAGGATGAAAACAGTTGAAATCACTCATTTTTTTGGGGGGGGGGTACAATGGGCAAATCCTAATTTAAGAAGTGGTTGCCCCGTGTTCACATGACATAGTCCAGCGTTCTCTGTCCTTTGATCCAGACTGGAAATATGTTTTCACTTGTTGACTGGAATTGTGCTGTTTTGGTATAAAAACAGGAAGAACATCAATATGAAATGCCACATTTTGCAGCTTCGATGACTTAACTGAAAGTTCATTCCTGCCCACTGGTCATTTGGTTCTGAGAATAGGCTGTAAAAGGTTTCCATTTGATATATTTCAGGCTATTTCACCCAAAAAGAGTTTGTAAGCAGGGAAGACATGAATTTTGAAGAGCATTAAGAGCTTCTGAAATTGTCATTAACAGTTCTCCTCGGTGCTCCACTTCAATGAAATGAGTGGCAGTGACATAAGAAAAAAAATAACAGCCCAATCTTTGTGTTTTGTAATGAATAATAAAGTATTTTAACCTCTTTAGGGACTTAGCACCACGTTAATCCTTTAATCCCTAGAAAAACCAATTTTGTTGACATAAAAAGGGGATATTTAACTTCATCCAATTAATTTTCTACCTTAGAGATGCCATGATTATGAAGATTAGATTGAATAGATTCATTAAAACTACTATATTGTGTATTAAGTAGAGGCTTTGACATCAAAAAGTAGCATCAGACAAGAAATTCTATGTCACAATTTTGTTTACGTATGCCCACTCTGAGGTGCCAGGGCTTTGAGGCCTTCATGTCTGGGCACTGTTGCTTAGACTGAACTGCTGACATCTGCAACTACTCAGCCACCATGCAGCCATTAAACCAGTGACTAGACTGACATTCCTGCAATACCAGCTCCCTCTGTCTGTTTGAGCTCCAAATTAGAACTGTGCTTGTGAGGAGGCTGAATTGCGTGCCACAGAAACATTCCTAACAGTAAAAAGTTAGCTAAGTGTGAACTCAATTTTAAATTACATAGCATGGGGAAGCACACCATTCAAATCGTTCTCAGAACAATGGATTGGAATTGGAGATGGAAGATAAATGGTTGGAGATTTAATTATTTTTGCACTGGACTTCAGCAGGCAGACATGGAAAGGTTTTAATTCCACTCCAACACCCAATCTCCAGCCAGAATTGAATTTACAGGGATGAAAGAGAAGAGATGATGGAAAGTGAGGGTTATGGGAGGGCCACAAGTATTTTAATGATGCAGTGCAAAGCCCCTGGACTCTCTTGGCTGAAGATGGCATCCTGAAGAAAGAAAAGTGGGACATGGAAAATGTCAGGGTGACCTATCACTCTTATCCCAGCAGTCACTTTCAGTAGATGTCACTGAGCCAGCCTGCCACCTAAGCTGGAGGGCAAGGGCATAGATTGTATGTGTTGGCATCCCTTGCATCCCTTATGTGTCTTGCATGGCTTCTGGCATGCAAGTAGCATTGTCTAGTATGGTGCTTTCTATGAGGAATAGCATTATACAACTACAAAAAAACAATACTGATGTTCTTTATGTGGCTTGTGAGGGAGCACAGTACCATGGGGGAATGGGAAGTTTTGGAAACAGCATCTGGAATCTGAATCTTTGTCTTACCACCCTCCAGCTCTCTAGCCTAGGATATGCTACTTGACTTATTTAAGACTTGGCTATCTCATCTGTTCAATGGGAAGAACTGTGTCAACCTCTTAGAGTTTTCGTAGAATTAAATTCTGTAAAGCAACTGGATAATGAAAACCCCAGAACAAGAGGTGCCAGGTTGACATTAGTTTACTTCGCTCTCACCATGTAGCAATTAATCTCATTTTTGTTTCCTTAGGCATGAATAATAGAAGTTTAAGGCACTACCAATGTCACCTAATTTTTCCCTTAATTTTGCACATGAGAAGTGCAATGATTTGCTTAATTCTTAAATGATTTGCTAATTGATTTTAGAATGTACCAGAATCGAGAATCCTGACTCCCAATTCAGATCTATTTCCATGAACTCCTATAGCATGATTTGATTGACTGACTCTAGCTTTAGGGGGAAGCATTTCTCATCCAGCCCATATTTTCTCAGGTGACTGAATTCAGCCCTCTATCCTTTGATCTTCCATCCCTCAGGGCCTCCTTCTAATCAGAAGCATTCCCAACTCCTTAAATTATCTGTTTGGGTCCCATGCTAACTGTGCCTCAACTCTAGAACTTCCATTAGGTTTTTTTCTGGGAAATAATATTGGTTTTCTCTTAGAAGCTGTTCTTTGCTGAACTTTTGTCCCTAAGTGCTTTTCAGAGTGTTTCAGTCCCTGAATAATAACATACATTTCTTTCAACCTCCAGTCTTCTTTAGCAGCCAGACCAGAGCTAAAGGCCAGGCCTCACATGGAAAGGAATCGAGGGGGCAGGGTTTGAGTCTTCAGATGGAGCTCTGAGCTGAGAACTGCAGAAGCCAAGTCCAGCTGTGTGTTGCAGTGGCTTTGCTTAGCCCTCTTCTTTTTTTTTTCTTTTTGAGACGTAGTCTTGCTCTGTCACCCAGGCTGGAGTGCAATGGCATGATCTCGGCTCACTGCAACCTCCGCCTCCCAGGTTCAAGTGATTCTCTTGCCTCAGCCTCCTGAGTAGTTGGGATTACAGGTGCGTGCCACCGCACCCGGCTAATGTTTTGTATTTTTAGTAGAGACGGGGTTTCACCATCTTAGCCAGGATGGTCTTGAGCTCCTGACCTTGTAATCCGCCTGCCTTGGCCTCCCAAAGTGCTGGGATTACAGGCGTGAGCCAAGCCCTCTTCCTTTAAGTCTGCTCTGATTATTTCCAGAATACCAGTGGTAAGGTTAAGTTAGGGTGCCCTTGGGGTTGGTACAGCAGACAGGGAGGGAGACCAAGGCAGGAACTTCTCCACACTTGGCTCAGGCAAGGGCAATAGCCACAGGAAATTGTCTGCTACATTTCCTGGAAGAGTATTGGGTTTGTTCCTGCCAAAGACCAACGTTCCAGGTTTGTCTCTTATCTTCCTGAAACTCCACAGTCTTCAGAAAAATGGTAACATTCAGCAGAACCATTTGTTTGTAATGGAATTTTCCAGAAGGATACTGGCAGCAGACAAATCTTCAGGGACTAAATGTAGCCTGATTGGCAGAGGGAAAGGAAAAGAAAAACATCTGGCACCAAAGACAGCAAATGAGAAGGTAGTCCATGTACTGTGGGCCAGTTACTGCTACTGCTGCTGCTGCTCCTGAATTTACTCATTCATTCAACAAAAAGTTTATTGCATACCTTTTCTGTACCAGACACTAGAGATACCATAGGGAGAAAACCAGAAATGTCACCTGCCTTTATGAAGCCTTCATTGTTCTTTCCTTTTCCTAAATGTGTTTGTTAGAGTCCTAAGATTTCACCATAAGAAATATCCTTGCTATTTATAAAACACTTTACGACTTATTAACCATTGATGAACTACCCTCTTAACAACCCTGTGAATGTATTCCCAATTTATTAGACAGGAAACATAAGGTTAAGTGTTACCTTAAGTTGCACAATAGTTGGCTCTCAGTCTCCATATCTCAGAGTGACTTTGCCCTAAACTGGAAAATTATTGCAAGTTCCAGAGCTTATCATAAGACCAAGGGCTGGCATGCTGGTTCCTTACTATTAATCCCAACAGAGTCACACAGCTCAACAAGGACCTCCTTGTGGGCTAATGTGTCCCCAGTTGCATATGGCTGGAGTCGTCCCCATCTTTATCCTTTCTAAGTGAGCATGATTTTCTAACAAGACCCTCTTTGGCCACCACACCACACTACACTGTCCTCTCAGAACAGTGAAAGGCCACAGTCCCTAGCTACAAAATTTGCCAATGCAAAGCCACACAGTAGAGTAGACTGACTTTAGGTGCCAATGTTGTTCGAAATGCAAGTGGGTTTTAGTTGCATATTTTTAAAAGTTTAATAGGTTGTTTTCATGAGGACCCCCTAACCCCCAAATGTCTAACCACCTCCATGTGGTTGAGGGAGACTCAAACCCTGTCCCTTCAGTTCATTCCCAGAGAAGCAGGGCATGCCTCTAACTCTGGACTGGCTGCCTGGGACCACTGGAGATGGAAAGAAGGGCATGTTCTTATTCAGGGACTGAGACATTCTCAGACGTCATTGTCAGCATGAGACCTGCTCCAACTACAGTGGGAAGGAACTGACCCTACACCATTCTTGGCTACAGTTTTTCTGCCTTCCTTCCCCCTGGGTCTCAAGAGGATGAGGGGTCTTTGGGTTTGAATGGAGCTCCTTCAAGCTTATTTATGATTTAATCCATCTCTGTGAAGATCCGTTGAGCTGGAGGAGGAGTCTGCTTTGCTGACCCCTGTTGCTAGAAAATTAGCCCCTCATGAGGTGTCAGTGCTTCTGTGGACTCTGGTTCCTGATAAACTATAATCTGATGGACACAGAAGTGTCAGATGTCTGCCCATTTGCAGTTTAGGAAGGGAGGAGGAAAACCTGAGTATCTAAACCAAAAATCACCCTGAAGGCAGAATTAAACAAAGGCTGGGCTCCAGGCCATTTAAAAAATTACACAGAATTTACTCTTTCTCATTCCTATGTCCACTTATAAATGTGCCACATTATCCCATCAGCCCATCCTCTTTGGAGTTTCCATCTGTGACTGGCACCCAGAGGTTCTCTGAGGCATATTCTCCTGTCTGTCGCTAAGTGGGGCTCTTTGCTGTGTCTCTTCCTTTAGAATGTGCCTCCTCCTCTTTCTTGGTCTTCCCAGGTTCCCACAGCCGGGCCATGTAAATGTGGAGGGCTGTTCTTACCCAGCAGGTAGGCCACTGCTCTTGGCCCTTAGCTGGGGACCAGCTCCTAGGCCTTAGCAGATTAATTAACAATTAGTAATTATTATCTCAGTGGTAAGATTTTCTCTCCACCACCCCCTCCTCCTCTCACTCCCCCCAGCTATGGTATAATTTCAGACATAAAACCCTGTGAGCCACAGTTTAGGCTGCAGCCTGGGCAGCAAGCCTGAGGACAGACCTGGGAGGAGCCTGCAGATGCTTGCCCTTGAAAGGCCTGGACCAATTGGGAAGGGAGAAAGCCGGGGCTGGGGCTCGTCCTCCTTAGGCTGGTTCTCCTGGGCCTGACCCAATGCCAGATAAGGGCTTTGGAGGAGCCCTCACATTCCACCCTGTCTAACGTTTGCAGACTAAGTCTCCTCAAATAGGCCCACATGCTGCAGACTCTCAGCACTCACCCTGCTCTCTCTGTCAAGAATCCATCAATTAAGGGCTGCTAATAATATGCATTGACACAGCAGATTAGGCAGCCGTGGTCCTGTTGGCCTGCTCTTCAAGTCAATGGTTGTAGGATTATCAACCCTGCCATTGACGTTTGCTTCATTCTTCCCTCTCCAGTCCCTGGTGAGATTTGAGAGAGAGAGCTCCATTCAAACCCAAAGGCTCAAAAACAAAAGAGTAATCTCAGCATGAGGGCCTGAAAAGCAATTCAGATCAAGAGAATACAGAGGCAACCCATTGCTTTCCTCTCTCTCATCACTGCTTTCTCCCTGCTTTGTGCTGAAATTGTCATTTGTGGAGAGTTCAGCTCAGAGGACAGGGGTGTCAGAACCCTCTAATCCTTTAAACCCAATGGGCACAGGGAACCAGGCAAGCTGCCATTGGAAAGGTGCTTATTTTCCAGGCATAAGGCAAGGCTGTGACTGCCACACCACATTTTTCTCTACTCTGGTGGGTAAACACATGGCTGCAGGTGGAGAACAAAGGTTTGGCATAAATCTGGCCTTGGGAAAATGGGAGATACTCACTTGTCAGGGGAGATAATCAGCACCTTATCTGGTCTTTTCCTCTTGGCCCTTTCCTCTCTACCAGGCTTTAATTCCTCTTTAGGGGCAGCATTAGTGTGTTGGATAGTAGGGTAAGCAATGGTGGGTCTACAGCCCCACAGTGGGAGGTGAGCAAGGCTGGTGCAAGACTGACCCTGGGGGCAGGGCTCTGTGATGAAGCCATCCAGGGAGCCAGCCCAGTTCAAGAGAGAAAGTGGAGGCAGGTCTAACGCCTGAATATTGTGTGTCTTGCAGGTGACGGAAGGTGAGGAGAGAGCACTGAGACCAAGCAAATGGAGGCACTCAGGGAATGAGAGGCTAAAGATGAGAAGGTAAGAGTATTCACGTGAGCTGGATTCCATCCAGCAGTTGAGGTGGGATGGGACAAGGATGCCCCACTATAAATTCACAATGATTCCAGTCCTAATCAGCTCAGGATGCCATAATAAATACCACAGAGTGGACAGCTTCGACAACCAACATTTATTTTCTCACAGCCCTGGAGGGTGGAAGTCAGCGATCAAGGCATCAGCAGGTTGGGCTGATGAATTGAGATGTTTTCTTTGAATGTGGTCAAAGTTATTTGTTTCCTTTTGAAGTTTATAATTTCTGTGTCTTGTCTAAGAAATCCTTCCTCTACTCCCAAGTTCAAGAGGATATTCACCTATCTAAAACTTTTAAATCATTTATTTTGTCATTTAAGTCTGTAGATCATCTCAGGGCAATTTTTGTGAGTGGTATGGATAGGGATTCAATTTGTTTCCTCATAGTAAGGATGACCACATTGCCAAGTTCCAATCATTGAATGATCCCTCCATTCCCGCCTTTCCATGCTAGATCTTACAGGGCTCTCTTTTCTATCCCTTTGGTCAGTTAGTCTGTCCTCTTCCAATACCATGCTATCTTGATTACCCTGGCTTTATATCACGCTTTGATATTTATTACAGTAAGTACCTCCTCCCTCTTATTCTTGTTTTTGTCCTAGTGTGCTTTTATTTTAGAATCACCTTGTCGTGTTCCATAAAAAAAAACCTGTTGGGAATTTGATTGGAATTACATTAAATTATTGATCACTTGGGGAAGATTTGACATTTTCACAGTGTTAAGTCTTCCTTTTCACAAGCATGAAATCGCTCTCCATTTATTTACATCTTCTTTAATGTCTCCTTGCTGTGAAGTTTGATAATTTTCTGTGTGTAGGTCTTGCACATCTTCGGTTAAGATAAATCTCAGGCACTTTAAAGGTCTCATTGTTATTGTAAAAGGTCTTCTAAAAAAAACCCTATATTTTTTAGTTATTTTTTGCTGATGTAGAGAAATGAAATTAACTTTAGAAAACTGATCTAATATCCAGTCAACTTGAAAATATTTTATATTATTTTTAATTATTTGCCTATAGATCTCTTTTTAATACTTTCAAATAATAGTATTTTTTCTACTTTTCAATATATTTTTATTCAACTGTCTTTGAGGTATACCTCACACACAATAACATACACCTTTTATATGTATAGTTTTGACAAATGAAGATACCTGTATAATCACCACTCCAATCAAGATATAGAGTATTCCCTATCACCCTGGGAATTTTCCTGCTCATTTGCATCTAATTATCCTTTGCTCCTGCCTAAGGCATTCACTAATCTGATTTTTATCACCATAAATATTTGGCCGGTTCTAAAACTTTACATAAATGGAATCATATAATATGCACTCTTTTGTTTTTGGCTTCTTTCGCTCAATATTGTGAGATTAAATCATGATTCTGTGTATTTGCTGTTTGCACATTTTTAGTGCTGAGAAGTATCCCATTGAATGAATATATTACAATTTGTGTGTCCATTCAGCTGTTGACAATCATTTGGATTGTTTCTAATTTGGAGTAAATATTTTTGAGGGCATTTATCTTCAACTCTTGTGGGAAAATACTTGGGAATGGCATTGCTAGATCAGAGAGTTAAGTCTGTGTTTAACTTTATAAAAAACAACCAAACAATAAACTAAATGGTTTTCCAAAGTTATTATGCCCTTTTGCATTTCCACCAGCAACACATGAAGTGTTTCAGTTATCATACATCCTCTTCAACTCTTGGTATGGTCATTTTTTAAACCATTCAGTGTAGTTTACAAACAATAAAATGCATCCCTTTAAGTGGACAGTTTGATGAGTTTTCACAGATGGGTACACCCATGTAACTACCCATCATAATCAGGGTATAGAGCATTGTCATCATCCCAAAAGTTGTTATATGCCCCTTTACAGTCAATCTTCTCACCCCTAGTGCTTTAAAATTACTATTTTGCTTTCTGTCACTACAGATTACTTTTGTCTTTTATCTGCTTTTTTACTTCTAGTCATTCCAGTGAATGAGAAATGGTGTCTAATTATGATTTTAATTTTCTTTTCCCTTATGGCTAATGACGTTGATTATCTTTTTATGCACTTGTTGGACATTTCTGTATCTTCTTTGGAAGTATCTGTTTAAATATTTTGTCCATTAAAAATAGAATGCTTGTCTTTTTTTCAAAATTTTTTTGGCATTTCTAGCTCCTTCATATTTTTGTACAAACTTTAGAGTCAGCTTAACCATTTCTAAAAAGAAGCCTGCTGGGATTTTGATTTGCATTTTGCATTATAGATCAATTCAGGGAGAATGAAAACATTAACATTTATTGAGATGTCCAATCCATGAACATAGTATACTCTTCTTTTATTTCTTTCAGCAGTAAAAGAAATCGTTTTTAGTCTAAAGGTCTTGCATTTTTTAATTGATTTTATTTCTAAGTATGTTTTTATGCTATTTAAGTGGTATTATTTTTAAATTTTTATTTTCCAAATGTTCACTGTATATAGAAATGTAACTTGGTTTTGTGTATTGGCTTTATTTTCCACAACCTTCCTAAGTTAATTTGTTAATTCCAGGTTTTGCACCGATTCCTTAGGATTTTTCCATGTAGTTAATCATGTCTTTAAATAAAGACAGTTTTACACTTTTATTCACAACCTTAATGTATTTCAAGTCCTATAATATGCTCTCTCTGTGTCTTTCATCAAAATGAAATAGACTTAGAAGTGGGCACCCTTGTATTGTTCCTAATTTTAAAGGGGATGTTTCTAATGTTCTCCCATATATCAGTTTTATACAGCATTAGATTTGGTATGTTTATACTTTAAAAACATACTTGTATTGATATTTATAAATTAAACTTGTAATTTTTCTTTCTCATATTATCCTTTTCCTTATATCAAGGCAATAATGGCCTCATAGAATGAATTGAGAAATTCTCTGGGAGACCTTGTATATCATTAGAATAATTTTTTTTTTTTTTGCATTTACATGGTAAATAGTAGTAAAACTCTTTGATGTTCTCTGTGTGGGGAACTGTGTGTGAAGTAGTTAATCACTGCTTTGATATCTATATTTTGTATCAGGCTACTCAAGCATGCTACATATGTTAGATTTGGAACATCCTATTTTTCTAGAAATATGTTCATTTATTCAATTGTTCAAATATATTGGCATAAATTAGTTGATAATATTATCATATCTTTTAAAATTTGTGCATTAACTCTGGCTATGTTTCCATCACTTATTTCTGAAGTTGCCATTAAGTAGGAAAAATACTGCCTCTTTTAGGACCTACTGTGATATTCCTGAATTAAGGATTTAACAGGATCTCTAAGCAAAACAGAATCTTGGGGTGGGCAAATCACAGAACTCACCAGGGGGAACAAACAGGAATAGGAGGGGTGTGTGTGTGTGTGTGTGTGTGTGTGTGTGTGTGCACATGCATGATCCAAGGGGATTTGAATCCAAATAATCTGAATATAGACAGAGTACTTAGTCATTACACTAATGGCTATATGAAGAATGACAGAAGGAAAAACAAAGGATTTATAAGTTACATACACACACACCTCTGTGTGTGTGAGAGAGAGAGAGAGAGAGAGAGAAAGAATTAAGTGTGGAAGGTACATGATACCTCTTTCAAAATACATGCCATGCTTTTAGTGGAAGGGGATTCAGCTTGGATCCAAAGCAGTAGAACAGACCCAACCAGTGTTGAATATACTGGGAGATAAATTTTGACTCAGTGTAACACCTGGAGGTACTCAAGGACAGCATGGGTTGTTCCACAGGTAATAAGTTTATTGCCATTGGAGGTACTGAAGTAGAGATTTAAAACTGGTTCTCAGGGTTGTTTACTCAGTCTCTAAACATTTATTAAGGATCCGTTATATGCCAAGCATTCTGCTAGGCATTAGGAATGTCACCATCTCAACATCTCACAAGAGATGGTTCTCGCTTGAGAACAGCTAAGGAGTCATGGAAAATGAGAGTCATGAGCTCTAAAAATGATATGGTTCAAGCCCTCAATGAATGTACAGTCTAGTTCACAGGAGCTGGTTAAATATATACAACTCTACAACATACTTATGTATTTTTCATGTCATATACCTGTATACATGTGCATATATCTGCTAATGTTTTACAGTGTCAGGATCCAGTTGGATCTAAGAGTCAGGAAGAAAAATGGATTATTAGCAATAATATTGGATTAGAGCTCAGAGACCTGGGTTCCAGTTCTAGTTCTGTGACCTTCAGTAAGGAACTTACCTTCTCTTTATTTCTATTTCCCTATCTATAGAAAGAGAATAATGTACAATAAGGGAGCATGTCCAGCTTTAGCTTATTATCATTATCATTATTTTTATCTGAGCTACAGTGCCCTCTTTCAAATAAAAGGTAATAAAAGAAGTCTAATATGTAAAGTGTAAATATGTAGCAAGTAACATGTAAAGTGCTGTAGCATTGTGTGGGGGTGTGAATTCCCACCCCTGGGTATGCCTTCACTCACTCCTAGCCCCCTTCCCTAGTGGCTCCAGAGTGAACCTCTAGGACTTCTCAAAACACAGTTGAAACCAGTGACCAAGATAAGCCATAAGATTTGTGTGAACTCTGACGTTTTAATTCTATATGCCTTTTCTTTTGTCTTATGTAGTCCAGAAAATCTTCCTGAAGGCAGAGGGGTCCGAGCTAAACACTGGCAGGTGAAAGAAACACAGGCCACCTGGCAATAAAAGACAGTAATCCCAGGCCTGGGACGTATATAGTTATTTGTCTTTGCTCTATAAGTCTGTGGCTTCCAAGGGAAGACCCTGTGCCTGAGAATCACATGTGGTTTTTCACCTCAGCCTCTATGATTTAGTAACTGTGTGACTTTTAGTAAGTTACTTAACCTTTCTGAGCTTCAGTTTCTTCTTCTGTGAAATAATGCTGTTAATATCATGGTGGGTTGTTATGAGGGTAAGGAAGATGAGAGGATATGTTTCTCATCAAACCTCACAGTGCAGTTCAAATGGGTCCAATGCCCAGAATGTAGTAACTGATTACAAATATCAGTTTTTCTGGAGGATTCCCATGAAGGCTTGTTTTCACCCCTTCCCCTGACATTTGACAACTAGAGAATCTCTGTGGCATTTCTGCAGCCTCCAAACTCCCCACACTGGTTGCAGTCTGCCCTTCGTCTGTGCCATATTTGATAAACACACATACTTAGGCCATGTGCCTTCTGCCTTAAAGTAGAAACACTTCTACATTATTCACAAAAAGTATTATCTCGCAAGATCAGCCATAAAAAGTCCTTCACATCCATTCATACAAACAGGTTTTTGAACCCTTTCCAGAAATAGAAATGCAGAGGCAGCTCTGGAACTGCAGGGGCAGAGGTGTGTTATTGTGTGTAGGCCTTTAAATATTGCCTCCCAAAACCACTTTTCATCTCGTTCTCGAAGGGATTAACTTCTGGCCAGTTCGGATTAACTGATGTCAGGTTAGAAAAGCAGCCAACACCAGGGTCGACGAGCCTGACAAGATTAGTCCCTAAATAAAGAATTTACTATCTGTTTTAAGACTGCATAACTGTAATTTTCTCTGAAAGCTTTCAGTACCTTGAGAAAGGAAGCAAGTTTCTGAAGCCAGGTGACCATATGGCTCACAGGCAGGCCTTAAAGTGAGAAGGGAAAGCTAGTGAGGTGGGTGGACCCTCCCCTCCCTGACTGCCTTGGAAGGGGGCCACAGTTGGGCACCACATCTGTGGAGGGACAAGGACATGGTGTGCCCCATCTATAGAGGAGCCTTTGCAAGATGGTGCAGAGTGAAAGCTTCCATCGGTAGGAGCAAGCCAACAAATGGTCCTGGAAATATTTAGTGGGATGGGCTGCCTCATGTTGAAACTATGCCTATCCCCTGTCCTTCCATCCTAACACTTACCCACACTCTCCATCTTCCCATCTTAACTCCTGCCTGGATGCCCAGTTTCAGATACCTCCTTGTCCACATTGCAGTGGTCCCTTCTGACCCCTATTACGGGCTGCTCTGGGATGGTGGCCTTCCACTGACCTCAGTCAGAAGGCTCTCTTCAGGCCCCCTGGCTCCTTTCTCTATGTGTTCTGCTAACACATAGGGTTGGCAAAGCTGGGCATGAAGCCAGAGTGCAGTTCTTAGAGTCTGAAAGCCTGGACTGAGATCCCAGCCACATCTTGAGTTATAAGACCTGTCTAAGCCTCAGCCTCCTCATATGTAAAATGAAAACAATAGTAGCACCAACGTCATAAAATTGTAAAAGACTTAAATGAGATACTGCTTGTGACACACTTAGTAAGTGTTCAATTGAGGAAAGAAAAGCAAGGCAATAATCATATACAAGTCACATAGCAGATGCTTAATAACTGCGTGCCGAACACATGTATAAATAAATGGTCCCTATTATGCATTGAGTTGTGACTTCTCTCCTGAAAGATAAGTTGAAGTCTTAACCCCCAGTACCTCAGAACGTGATCTTATTTGGAAATAGGGTCATTGCAGATGTTATTAGCTAAGATGAGGTCATACTGGAGTACAGTGGGCCCCTAATCCAAACTGACTTATGTCCTTATAAAAAGAATGCCATGTGAAGAGACAGAGACACAGGAAGAATGCCATGGGAAGACAGAGACCGAGATTGGAGTGAGGCAGCTGCAAGTTAAGGAAGGCCAAAAATTGCCAGCAAACACCAGAAGCGAGCGAGAGGGAGGGAAATATCTTAACTAGAGCTTCCTTAGGGAGAGTGGCTCTGTGGATGTCTTAAGTTTGGATTTGTAGCTTCCAGAACTGTGTGACAACACACTTCTGTTGTTTCAAGCCACCCAGTTTGTGGCACTTTGTTACAGCAGCCCTAGGAAACTAATGAAGTTCCCACCAACCTACACACAGCGCACGTCTTGCTGACGCCTGCTCCCATTTTCCTGCATTCTCTTCCTCTCTGTCTTCTTTATCTCTGTGGGGCCCAGACCCAGTCTTGCATCCACCATCAAAGGCCTGTAGCAGGAGAAACAAGGCATGGTTGGTTAATTTAGCTGAGTTGAGTGGGAACATATTCATTTTTCTGTCGTTGTCCCAGGTATGTGTCAGAGGCACAGGGCAGGCTTGTGGAAAAGAGGTTTTCATGAGGGCCGGCCTCTCTCCATCCTCCTGATTCCAATGAACAGGCACTTGACTCCAGAAGCTCTCTCCACATCTGTCACCTCTGTTCCGTCTCTGACTTGCTCTTGCAGCCCTTCACCCAGTGAATCCAGAGTCAGCATTAAAGATGATGGGGCTCAAACACTGACGGTCCAATAAGCAAATATTTTATCATCTAAGCAGATGATAGCATTACTAAAAAACCATCTGCAAGCCCCTGACTTACTATACCCTCGGTTGGGGAGAATGTATTTCCTTTTCTCCTCTTTGCATGTATATTTTCCTCCTGAACACAAACAACAATCCAGTTGCCCCATAATTAGATTGGATTATGGAATAATTACAACCTTGTTTGCTCTCGGCAGATTACATGGTAATTATACTTGGCATTACCATGAAGAACCAAGAAATTCCAACGATGTCATTACATGGTTATTTGTACAGTACAATACAGCAGTGTAATTATATATGCAACATTTGTTCTCCAATAGAAGAATGATTAAAACAATGCTAATGCTTCAAAGTGTTGATTAGGCACCAACATGATATGACATTTATAATGTGAGTAGGGTGTCTGGTTTTTATAATTTTTTCTCTAACATAGCAATATTTATTTTCCTCTGGGTTCCCCTCTGACCGCGTCAGTAGGCTGTGCTGTGGTCAATAAGGTATGTGTGACCACATACTCTACTCTCTGCCCTCATTGTGCACTCCTGCTCACAGCAGCCAGCGGACCTCAGTCCATCTTAAAAACCAGAGCTAGCTGGCCACTTACCCCTCAGCAGGAGAACTGCTTACTCATCTACCACTGCTTTATGAGGCTACCTTTCTTAAAATCTTTGGAGAGAGCTAGGGATAGAGTATTAGACACCAAAGTTCTGGTTGGAACCTGGCTTTAACACTGCACCACAGGGCAAATGTTTGCCCACACAGGACCCCAATTTCTTCATCTTTACAACCAGTGTCCTGGAGATAAGCTGTAAGGGCCCATGTAAGTCTAGGAAAGCATGACAATCCATGGCATGATAGCACTGGCTATTTAGTTTTCATATATTTCAGACAATACTTTTCAATAATGATGCTGTTTTTATGGGAAAGGACTTCTTTTTCTTTAAATTCCCATAGAGTCCAACCGGTATTGGTTGAATACATAAAAGAATGGCTTTTCTCTCTAGTTTTAGATAATGAGAGTAGTTAACCTTATTAGTGGGTTAGATTTCAGCTATGATGTTCAGCATTGTCATTGTGGGGAGGGCGGTGATGTACGTGGTGTAAGGGAAAGAATGGGATTTGGGAGCCCAATCACCTAGATTTGAATCCCACCTTCAAGATCCTGACTACTTAGTTTTTTTAACCTCTTTGAGCCTGAGTTTCCTCACTACTAATATGATATGAGGACAATAATGCAACTTTAGAGGGTTGGGAAGCTGAGAAATAATGTGTACAAAGCTCCTGGCACCTTAACTTGTGTGAGTGGATATCACTCAATAAATGGTGGCTGTTTGTATAAGCATGAGGCATTAAAGGTGGTTTCTGGGTATGAACCGTGGAGCTCCTGTCACTGAGATATTTCTCCTGCATGGGGATAAGCTGCCTGCATTATGTGCTTTCTGGGCAAGTCAGACTTAGGGTCCAGAGCCTGCTTGTTGTGCATCAGCAGCGTGCCTGGAGGAGCAAGCATCTAGGCAGCACCGTGTGTGCAGGCTGCTTTCTACATGATCATTCATTCATTCTTCCTAACAACCTTCTGAGGATCCCAATGCATGTT
Source organism: Homo sapiens (assembly GCF_000001405.40). Taxonomy (NCBI): domain Eukaryota; kingdom Metazoa; phylum Chordata; class Mammalia; order Primates; family Hominidae; genus Homo; species Homo sapiens. The sequence goes on from NC_000002.12 coordinate 118,265,859, forward strand.
CTCACCAGTGACATGTGCAGCTGTGGAGTCCACAAACACCTGACTAGTGTTAAAAAAAATTCCTGAGTGTTCTCTCTTTTGTTTTCCCTTGGCCTGAATAAAGCTATGAGGGTCAGGAGACAGAAGCGAATGCGGCCTCTGCTCTTCTCCCTCTGCTTAGAAATGCATGGAAATCAGCGTGTGTGTGTCTGTGTACACTGCATACTCATGCAGAAAAAGATGCATTCTTCAGGCTGGTGCTAGGTGTCATTCTGTCTAGTGAGGTGGAGAAAAGAAAAGGAGGCAGGGGTGGATAGTGATGGGTAGGGTTGAAGGAGAGGACTCTGGGAAATGTAGCTTGTTCTGTGAGCAGTTTACCAGCCAAATGATATTTTTGCAACCTACTGATCTCTAAAAGCTATTTGGAAGACTGCCAACATCTCAGTCCATGTGTGCAGATGATTGCAAGATGCAAACATCACTCATCAAAAATCTGGAAAACCAGAGAAGTTGGGTCAGTTGGGAGTACAGAAGGCTGGATGAGGAGGTCAGCTTTAATCAAAGGCACTGGGTTTATGGGGAGCCCACAGGAGAGGAGGCATTCCTCAAGGGACCAAAACTTCAGAATTGTAAGCCTTATGGGCCTTGGGAAGACAAAGCTCCTACTTGACCCAAGATTTCCTGCTGCCTGGGACTAAAAATCATGGTGGGAAGAGAACAAGGACTTCTCCAGCCTACTGGTATTTTGAAAATTATTTTTTTTCTGGAAAACATTGAAATAAATAATTAAATATATATTATTCATTTCATATAGATTACATATATATAGGGAGAAAACATTACATCTACATTCGTATATATGTACGACGTATATGTATATGCTACTCTCTCTTTGCTTCCTAGACACTGTGCTATGCGTTCTGTAGCAGGAAATTAAAATGAGTCAACCCCGTTTCACATTCAGGTAGCATGAAGGATGAGAATAAAAGGCCTGAGTGGAAGGTGCAGATGTATAGATGGTTTCTAGGGAAAACTGCTGACCGTAAACTCCGTGTAAAAATTCCCAGTTTCGGCATTTCACATGGGAACATTATGGTCTCTGCGGCTAGCCTGGGCTGGTGGATCTGCCAATGGTAGAGTCCCACCAGGATGGAGACATGGAAGGAAAGTAGGAGAGGCAGCTACTGGAGCTTATGCACCACCTGGGGAGGGACGTGCAGAAGTGAGTGTCTGATGTCTTGTCAGCATTGAATGAGGACATCTCACCAAAATGCACACCTCCTAGTCTTGGCATCTCCTGGATGACTTTTGCATCTATCCTTTCAACCTCGTTTTATTCTCAGTTCTTCTATTGGAGAGGCAGTGTCACTGTGGCCAGGTAGCAATATGGGCCCTGCCACCGGACAGACCAGAGTTCAAATCCTGGCTCTGTCCCCTTGACTGTGTGATCTTGTGTAAATTACTTAGACTCTCTGAGCCTCCGTATTCTCACCTGTAGAACCAGGCACAGCACACCTACCTGCTAGTGTTGTGGTTAGAACTGTGGGCAATAATTTATGTAAAGTACTTGCCACAGTTTCTGGAACACACCACAGGGCTTAAGAAATGGTAACCATTATCTTCCATGAGGGTTACCAGTGGGGTTAAGCACAATTTAGAGGGACACAGGGAAAGGACCTAGAACAAAGGCACTTGGGACGTGGACACAAGATCAAGACCAGTGGCTGCTGGACATCCTGCTGACCAGTAGAGACAGACCCTTATAAGGCCAGGTCCTGAGGTCACTTGCGAGCCATCCTTTAGAATCTAATGCCTTCGACAGTAGACAGAAGAATACTAGCCTTATTAATCCTCCCTACCTACAGATAAAATCTTACACCCTAAGAAAGTGGAAAGAGCACTGGAGTGGGAAGCTGGAGACCAGCTCTGCCTCTGTACCAGGCAACTGGTAAGTCTGGAGCAAGGCTTTTGGCTTTCCTGGCCTCAGTTTCTCCAATTGTAAAATGAGTGGTCTGAATTGGATAGTTTCTAAGGTTCCTTCCAGCTCCAAAATTTTATAATCCTGAGAAGGGTTTATTATTTCCCTTCCAGGAAACGTGATCACATTGTATATTTGAGATCAGTTTAGTTTTACTGAGCCGAGCTTCATTCTCCACATACATATGCACACTCTAAATACACACATAAGCAGATGTATATACAGGCATTGAAAGAGGAAATTGTCCCTACACTTCAGTGCTTTCAACTGAGCCATCAAGTCATTCAGGTATTTATGATGGGGAGAAAAATACATGCACTGTTTTCCTCTCTCTGGAGGATCATGCCAGGAACTCCGCCTGGATGTATAACTCGTGTTGGGAGAAAGAAATGAGAGTTTGACATGCGAGTGGTGGCTGTACAAAAAATGCAATAACTTGTCTCCTCTCTGGCCCTGTATTTCGTGCACCAGCACGGCTGTCCTCTCAGTCTTTGATGGGCCCCACTAACAGACGTGCCCCTTTCTCTTCTTAAACCCTCCTGGTATTTGAATTAGTTTGGTTTCTGCCACGCCTGCATCCTGCAGCTATAGTACTATCTGTTCTCTTGGCCTATAGATTTCTTTCTCTGTCACTCATGAAACCCATGCTTATGGGGCCGTTACTCTGGGTCAGGAAGTGTGCTCAGTGCTGAGAATGCAGCTGTGCAGAGGACAGGCTCCATGTTCTCCTCAAGACTCTAGCAGGGCTGTGTTAGATAGAGTAAAGCTGGCTACCCAAATACTCAGTGTTTTAATATAATACAAGTTTATTCTTGGCTTATGTCCTATCAATTCAGTGTAGGTATTTGACAGGCAGGCTTCAAAATAGGCATTCAGGGAGCCAAGCTTCTTCCACCTGGAGCCTTGCCACCCCCAGGGTTGCTCGTCCTTTCCTTCCATTGGTAGATGGGTACAGGATGAGCGTGGAGAAGGTTCGTTCACTTCCAAACTATTTTAGCTCTGAAATGGCACTCATCACATCACGTGCACTAACTGAGTCATGTTCCCCTCCAGACTGAGGGCATGTCAGGAACAACATACACGATGGACAGGGAGCACTAGTCTTCTGTGGACAGACGCCAAATGAGCACTCCCTAAAAGGAGCTTGGGAGCTATGAAAGGGGAGAATTGAGTGCTTGGGCAGGCCTAGCCGAGCCCAGGGACAGTGGAGGCTGCCCGAGGAAGCAAAGTGCAGTTCACCAGGCACGAAAAGAGGAAAGGCAGAGGTACTGGCTGAGGATCTTCAAAGCCTGTGGGGTAGGGGAAGGGAAGGATCTTCTAGAAGTGAAGCATGGATTAAGGCACTGTGTCAGAAGGGGAGGTGGACGGGAGAGATGGAGGGGAGGAGGTTGCAGATCATGAAGCTTCTAGTAGGCCACGATAAGAAATTCTGACTTTGTCCTAAATACAAAGGAAACTCCAGGAAATGTTTAAGCAGGGGATGTGAGATGACTGCTGCTTTTGAAAGCTCACCCCGGCTGCTGGTGAGGATGTGATCCTGAGGCAGACAGATTCACCAAGGGCTACTGTGGCCATCTTGGGGAAGGACTATGGATGCAGCCCAAGGGGTTGTCAATGGGATGGAGAGTAGAGGGAGATTCGGGGGACATATAGGTGGTAGATTCCTAGAAATAAGTACCTGTTGGAGTTCCCTGGTCTCGTCTTTCCTACTTGGGTTATCATAGTAGCCTCTTGACAGTCATCGTGTCAACACTTACCTCTGCCAGCACTTAGATGAAGTGGCCATTTCGCTCCCTCTATGGGTCAGGCTCTATATGGCAGGTAACACAGGCCACTCTAGCCAGTTTTAGCAGAAAGCGATATATTTATGGGTAGAGGAAATGCATAGAACTACTGGGAGGACAGAAGAAATAGATTCTAGGCAGGGTGTTCGGGAGGAACTCCCAGTGCCCACTGCAGAACTGGCCTGCCAAGCAGCTGCCTCCTCTGCAGCCACCAGGAAGTTGGCACCTTAGCTGTCCCCTCTCCAGGCACGCTGCCACCCTCTGCCAGCAAAACAGAGGGCCACGCCCCACCTCGTCCATCCTATAACTGCTCCAAATCAAAGCTTACTGCAGGGGCATCTGATCAGCAAAATTGAGTCACATTTGCCTTCTAATGGCAGTGGAAGCTGGAAAATGTGGTTCTGGGGAATCTCTGATGGGAAGGTAGGTTTCACATTCAGGGAACAATCCAAATGCAAAGGGAGTGTTCCAGAAGTTTTGGGCAACCACAGATGACAGATGTGTACAACACTCCCCTGCTCACCGTGTTGAGTGTCTGACACCCGCGTCTCATCATTGAAAGCTCGCAGCAGTGCCACTGGAGGCACTTTCTTCCCACTCACCAATGAAGAAACTGACTCCTAGAGGCAAATGAGCTTGTCCAAGGTCACATGGCAAGCAGTTGGCTGCGTTGAAATTTGAACCCAATTTTGTCCCCCAAGCCTGTCCTTTCCCCCTGTGTCTGTGGAGTTATCATACTTACCAATCGTTTCTCTCAGGAAAACTCTCCTCAATCTGACCCGATTCAACCCATCCAGGTTTATTTTCCCTCTTGCCGCCAGGACATGAGGGCAGAATGGCAGCCACCTACAAAGCAAGTACATTCTTGGCATGCGTGGGCAGGACTGTGCCAAGCCATATGAGAACTCGGGCCGCCATTTGAGCCCAGCTAGGATCTTGTTAACACACACCATACACTGCTGCTCTGGGCAATAATGGAAGAAATACAGTCGTTAAATTTTAATTAGGAAGAAAAGAGGTTCATTATTAGTTGTCATTCCTCATTGTTTCCTAATTATGCTCATTGCGTGATAAAATGAAAGGCTACATTTCACTTGCATTGTGCTCGCTCACGGCTGATGGAGAAGAAAGAATGTCCCGATTCTCGCTCCTCCGCCTGGAGCCTGAACTGTCCCTCGGTAAGCGCCAACTGAACAGCCCAAAGGTGACGAGGGAAGATTCAGGAGTCAGATAGCCTGGGTTTAAGTTCAGCCCCCACCACTCACTAGGTCAGGTTATTTACCACATTAGATTTGTTTCTCCCTTGGGAAAACAAAGAGCAAAAAAACCTTCCTCCTGAGGTTCCATAAGGTTAACATTATATAAGATAATATTCATAAAGTGCCTGGCACAGGAGATGCTCTAGTAAGTGCCAGCTACTTTTATTATAGTGTTAAGGTCAATTATCAGCTAAAGGCTCAAATTCCAGGCTAAGAAGTCTAGACTGACTATATACGTTTAGGGACGTCCTGAAGGCTTTTTTAGCAGGGATTTGCCAGGATGGATGGGTGAGTGGTATTCAGGATCATCTGGTAGTTGATGCTGTAAAGAAGCAACTGAAAGTGTGAGAGGAAGAAAATGCATATTTGTTTCTAAATATAGTTTCACTTAATTGGGCTTCCCAAGAAAGATGTGATTTTTGACTTGTTTCTCTTGTCCCAAGGATGGGTTTGCCCTAAGCCCATTGGTACCATGAAGCCCGCTGTAACCCTTGGTAGGAAAAGACAGGCAGGCTTTAGGGCAGCCCATTGGAAGAGCACAGTGAATCGGTTTTGGGGACATTATGCAGCTTGGTGTCAGGTGCAGGTTGCATCTGCAATCCCCAGATTGGCTAAATACTTTTGAACTTCCTACTTGCCTCAAAGTTAATACCTCCATTTATGTTTAATTATTTGAGTTCACTGAGATTAAATTCACCTGGGGAATAGGGAATTGGGAGTTTTGCTTCTAGCTGATGCCCCAATTTATGGGGAATATATGTGGAGTTAATTTGCTCCTGCAGAAAAAGAGAAAAGGAAGAAAAGCTTAAGGATGATGTTTTTTTTCATTTGATACTGAGCCAAATATATTTATTTGGGTTAAAATATGTAATTCCCAGAACTGATCGAAAATTCACAAGGCTGAGCACGCCTCATGCGTGGCCTGCTGTGGAAACGCTATTGCTGAAGGAAAACTGTTATCTTGACTAATTCTCTTTCGAAAAGCATTTACTGTAATATGAGGCAAATGGCTGGTGAGAAAAGCAGCAGGCTTATTTTTGTTCCTTACAAGCTAAGTGGTACCCCTAGAGTAAAAATGTATGTCTCACATTTAGAGAAGGAGATAGTAGAATTCAACCAGTGAAGGGATGGAGTGAAAGAGAAAGGCCAGGAAAGGTCTCCAAACAGGTTTTGGAATAAAACTTAGGGTTTTCAAAAGCCCCGCTGATCTGAATCTTGGGATGTTACCAAAAACCAGTTGCATGGCCAGAAGCTTACAGCAGTCAGCATCATGGTCGGAAGTTACAGGTCCAGGATTATTATAGTGTTAGAGTCCTGAGCTCCTGGGGCTGCAGCCAGTGATTTTAGGGCCATTATAAGCACATTCAGTGTCTGACTCCTAGGGGACAGTTGGTGGGTGGGGTGGCAGGGTGATGTCCCCATGAGGTGGCTGCTTGCTGGGGATGTCACTGCAGCTCCTAGCACTGGTCATTGGCTCTGTAGCTGCTGAATTATGTCCTGGTCTGTACATCCAGTGGGTGTTCATGCCTAAGGAGCTCACTCACCTTAGTCAAAGACCCCAGAGACAGGAACAGGGAACAGACACCTGAGCCTTCCTGGAAAGGGGATGAGCTGGCTGCAAAACTGGGGACCTGACTTCACTACTGCTTTTTTTTGTTTTTTCATTTTTTGACAGTGTCTCGCTCTGTCGACTAGGCTGGAGTGCAGTGGCAGCATGATCTCAGCTCACTGCAGACTTGTCCTCCCAGGCTCAGGTGATCCTCCCACATCAGCCTCCTGAGTTACTGGGACTACGGACGGGCACCACCATGCACGGCTTACCACTGGTCTTTATACTATGCCCTGGATGCCTCTGGCTTCTGCAGACATGATATTGAGCTGAGGGACAAAGTTTTGGGGATCCTCATGCTTACTTGATCCAGAACTGCTGTCCTTTTATCTGCTTTACATACTGGAATTTTACAGATTTTGTTAGCATTTTTGGAAATTATTCTCTTTGCCCAAATAAGTAAACATCTGCTATAAAGTTATTCTCCACTTTGAGATAATTATTTATTTCTGGTTATAAGGGTAATATATGTATGATGTGGAATATCTTTAAAACACTAAAAAAATGGGAAAAAAAAGAATCTGATTACTCAAAAACTACCACCATTAATGTTTTTAGGTATTTCTTTCTGGTCTTTTTTCATGCACATATTTTTTTAAAAATGTTTTCCAGTTTATAATAAAGAGTGCAACTCAGGAATAGCCCAACGAAATACATATACAGGGCAAGGGAAGAGAGTGGGGGACAGTGGGGAAGGGCAGCATTTTCCCTTTGGGGGCATGTCACACTCCCAGCCCATTACCGTGTCTGCCAACCTGGAAGCTCCCCTGCACATATTTTTATGTGTTTCACATAGTACTGCATTCACCTTAACCAATGCTTTTCATGATTATTTTTACTTAAGATTATTTCAAAAGCATCGATAATATGGTAGTATCATAATTTCCTTGTTATTATTACTAGTCTTACTTTTTATTTATTACACATAAAGCTCTCCCCAATTTTGAATTCTTTTCAAAGGATCAAGTCTCAGCTGCAGCATGATAGGTTTAAAACACCTGGGTATTTTAAAGGTTAGAACACAACACAGAATTATCTTGCAAAAGGGTCATGCTGACTTGCTTTTTCATCAACCATACATGAAACTGCCTAATGTATCATACCTTCGCTAGCACTGGGTATTTTTCTTTTAAAAAATAGCATCGTGTTTCTTTGATTATGCGTAATTGGAGTATTTTTCATATTTGTTATCGGGTTGTATTTTTAGGGGGTTCCTTCAAAAAAATAAATCTGAAACTTTGCTTTTCTACTTAGAAAGTCCCTGTGGTCCTCAGTGCCTACGTCCAGGGCGTAGTCCTGTGGTGCACAGATGGGGGTGACCATACTCATTTGACGACAGAAATATCTTCTGCTCACAGTTTTTCATGTCATATCTGTGTGACCCTGGACGAGACCCTTGATCTCTCTTAGTCTTAATTTCCTTACCTGCAAAAATGGAAATTATGACACCAACCTCCTAGAGTCAAAGATTAAATAAGATGTCCTTTGTAAGAAATCCAGCAGAGCATCTGTTATAGAATAGAGCTCTAGAATGAGTAAGTGTCATTTCTATCATGATGAAGTATACAACTTTCATGAGAATAACAGCCAACATTTAACAACCACTTTCTACTAGCCAGGAACTCTGCTAAGCCCTGTACACATGTAAAATCATATAGCCTAACAATACCACATGTGAGAGATGATATTATTATGTTTATTTAATAGGGAAATGGAGATAAAGAGTTAATAAACTTGCCCAAATTTATGATATTATATTTATTTAATAGGGAAATAGAGACAAAGAGAGATTAATAAACTTGCCCAAATTTATACCACTAGTAAAAGGAAAAAAACCAGGAAATGAACCCATTTTTAGAGGACTTTTAATATGGGGTTCCATCTTCTCTCAGGCCTTTTCATACCTGAGCTCTGGAATCTTGGCCACTTGGAACTACATGGCCTTTCCCAACCACATCGTGCCCTTTCACCTCTTGTGCCTTTGCACATGCTCTTCCCCTCTGTGAATCTGCATCTCTGTTCTTCACCTTGAAAGCCCTTTTCACCCTTTAATGTTCGACTTAAATGTCCCCTACGCTGAGGACAAAATCAGCCTCTCCTTACTTTGAATTCCATTAATATTTGTACTTTTATCCCCTAAAGCACTTAGCCCCTGTGTGTGCACGTTGTGCATGTATATGCACATGTATATATGCATGTGTACGTGTGTGTGTGTGCACACAAGTGTGTGTGTCTTGTCATTTTTCTTGCAATATATGCTCATAATATATATCCCCTTTTCTAGACCCTGGGCTTCTAGTAGACTTCAATTTTATTTTTCTATTATTTCTAATTCCTAGTCTGATGCTTAATGCCTAGAAGGTGTCCAATCACTATCTGTTGCATGAATGAACATGGCTAGGGAGAGAACTGGAAGCAATAGGGCTTTCTGGAGGCCTTCATATGACCTCCCCTATTAAGTTCTGTATAAGGCTAGTCCTGTAACAAAATAACCTCTCCCTTTTTAACTGGCCATTGACTGCAGCTTGCCCTCCATGCAGAAATGCCTGTGGTTGCCAGCTGCACTCCCAGAGAGCCCAGAGAGCCTCGGCTACATGTTTTGAGGTTTGCATTCCTGCTGGTGGTGCAGCGCAGCAAGCTGGCCTGCTTCTCGCTCTCTGGCCTTGCACTTGGGTTCCATAAGAAGCCTGAAGGAGATGCCTCAGCTCCTGCATGAGCTCTGGAAAAATTGCTCTTTTGGGACTATCTCAGCAGGGACAGATTACAATATGCAAATGAGCCAGAGGTGACCCAGAGCTGGCCACAAGGAATAGTGTGCACAAAGAAGACAGGACATGGCTCCTAGGGTTTTCAGGCCAGATATAGGATGTGAGATGTGGGAGCGATTACAGTATGTATTCTGGGAGCCCAGCACTAATCATGCAGAGGGTATAATAAAAAATATTGTATTAGCTTCCTGTTGCTGCTGTAGCAAATTACCACAGACTTGGTGGCTTACAACAAACAACACACATTTTTTCTCTTGCAGTACTGGAGGCCAGAAGTCTGAAATGGGTTTTCATGAGCTAAAATCAAGGTGCCAGCAGGGCTGTGCTTCCTCTGGAGGCTCCTGGGGTTGGTCTGTTTCTTTTTTTCTTTTCTTTCTTTTTTTTTTTTTTGAGACGGAGTCTCACTTTGTCTCCAGGCTGGAGTGCAGTGGCAACTGCAACCTCCGCCTCCCAAATTCAAGCGATTCTCCTGCCTCAGCAATTCTTCTCCTACAGGTGAGCGCCACCACGCCCAGCTAATTTTTGTATTTTAAGTAGAGATGGGGTTTCACCATGTTGGCCAGGATGCTCTTGATCTCTTGACCTCGTGATCTGCCTGCCTCGGCTTCCCAAAGTGCTGACTTGTGAGTCACCGTGCCCGGTCCTGTTTCTTGTCTTTTCAGGCTTCTCCAGATCACTCTCATTCCTGGATTCACGGCCTTTGCTCGCTCCCCTTGCTTCTATCATCACATCTCTTTCCTGTTCTGTTCCCAATGTTTCTCTACCTCCCTCTTCTAAGGGCATTAGTGATTGCATTTAGGACCCACTTGGATAAGCCAGGATCACCTCCTTATCTTGAAATCCTTAATGCAGTCACATCCACAAGGTCTCTATCACCATGGAGGGTAATATCCAGAGGTTCCAGGGATTAGGACCTGGCTATCTGTGGCCATCGTTCAGCCCACCCCAAATGCATGCCATGGTGCTCTGTTCCATTCTGTAAGTGGGATGCCAGACTCCTTCCTTCCTTCTTTCCATTCTTCCTTTGCCTGGCATGTGTTTCCAGCACCTGCTTAGGACCAGATCCCATGTCAGGCACTGGAGATCCAGAGAGAGGCACCATCTCATCTGTGGGCCTAGAAGGGGTGGTGGGTGAATAGTCACGCAGAGTGAGTGCAGCATGACAAGCGCCATGGGAGAGGACAGTGAGGGACTGAGGAGGGGCCATCGCCTCCACTGCCAGAAGAGGGAAGGGGTCACAGAGCTGTGGGTCCCAGCAGTTGGTTTAATGGGTGAGGAGTTTCCTAGGGAAACAGCATATGGGAAGACAACATTCAAGGCAAAGGAAATAGCAGGGACTGATGTGTCAGAACAGGGGCATTTGGGAAACTCTAAAATGAGAGAGTCGGGTGAGATTACCCAGAGGAAGCATCCGGATATCTGACTCTACCATTTGATAACACAAGTGATATTCGAACAGTTGGCTGGGGCAGTGGGCAGGAAGTGGCCCTGACAGATGTGGGGCACACCCGAATCTGTACCAGGAGTCAGGATTCCTCCACTAACTGGCTGGGTCACCTTATAAAATCAAGGGTGACAGACAGGCTTCAGTCCTTGACCTTCAGTGCTTGTGGGAAAGGCTCAAAAAAGGGACACACACTCACTCCTTCACTCTGGGCCGTGGCTTTCACTGGTTTTCTTTCTTGAACTGTGCCTGTGTGCCTCCCAGCCCTGGTCTTTCAAGCCTTCCTCAGCTGCTCCAGCTCACCCTGATCTCCCTCCTTGAATCAGCACAGCACAAAGCATTGAGTGGGTAGGGGTGGGCAAAACACGGGATGAGGAGCATAGACCCTGGAGCCACACCACCCAAAGTCACACCTCCCAGCTGACAGTCCTGACCTCTCCTTACTTGCATTTGCACATCTATAAAATGGGTCTGTTGGGGCTCAGAAAACAGTACCTGAAAATGAAGGCCTCAGTGGCAAAAATGTTTCTCTGATCTCCTGCCCTCCTGTCTCTCCTCCTGTCCCATTCCTCCCCGAGGCTAGCCTTAGAAACTGGAATCCCTCTTTCCCCAGAATGGGTCATGAAAACCAGAACACTTCTTCCCTAAAGCCAGACATAAAAGCCTAAAAATATTACTCTAATTTTCCCTTCACCTTTCTGTATAAAAACTGGCCATAAAGAAATCATCTGGCTGGGCACCGTGGCTCACGCTTGTAATCCCAGCACTTTGGGAGGCCAAGGCAGGCGGAACATGAAGTCAGGAGATCGAGACCATCCTGGCTAACATGGTGAAACCTCATCTCTGCTAAAAATACAAAAAATTAGCCAGGCATGGTGGCGGGTGACTGTAGTCCCAGCTACTCGGGAGGCTGAGGCAGGAGAATGGCATGAACCCAGGAGGTGGAGGTTGCAGTGAGCCGAGATCGCGCCACTGCACTCCAGCCTGGATGATGAGATCAAGACTCCATCTCAAAGAAAAAAAAAGAAAGAAAGAAATCATCTGACCTCCTCGTTTGACTGTAGGCTGTAGGACACCCATTCCAGAGAGGACTCTGCCCCATAACCAGAAGGAAGGAATTCATGCTCAGAGAGGCCTAGAGAACCTAGATAGACAGGCCTTGCTGGATTTTCCTTCTCAATCTATCACCATTAGATCATACTGTTTTTATGTAATCAAATTTCTACATGACTGTCCATACTTTGTTGAACCTAAGCATTTAAATGGACAATTTCCCCTGTATCTTTGGGCCTTTGTTCTGAAGGCTCCTGTGTACACTCCATTCATACATTTGTATGACTTTTTTGCCAGTTAATCTGCCTTTTGCACATTGATTTTCCAGCAAGCCTTCAGACGGCAGTGGGGACATTTTTCCTTAGCCCCTGCAGGTCCAATGCAGAGAGTGCAGCTTATCTGAAACACCCACTATATTTAAGCTGTTATTATCACACAGTTGGATGCTTAATACATTAAATACCCTTGCCTCCATTCTGTAATGGTTTTGTGAGCCAGTTTCTCCTCTTTACTTGTAAGCCACCAGAGGGCAGGTCTGTTGATGCAAAGTTAGTTATCACTCACGTCAAAAATTCTCTCAATGGGTGTTACGAGAGCTCGCAACCGTGACCTTGCTTTTTGTTTTATTCCACCAGTAAGGAGGTTGTCCTTAGAGAAGAATCTGCTAGAAAGAATTTCCAATGCTTCTTAATTTTGGAGGGCCACAACTGGCCAAGAGGGCCCCAATTTACCTGACTTGGTATGTATAACTTCTAATTCAATGAAGTGATCCATGAAGAAAATCTAATTTTCCCTAGGCCTTCTCATTAGCCCTTGGGTATGCTCCATTATTACGGACAGTCCACGCTCTCCTCTGCGCTGCTGCCTGCATGCAGCAGTCCTGAGCCACCTCCCCTCTCATTATTTCTGGGCATCTCTGGGCACTTACAAGTGTTCATTAATGAACATCTGGGAGTTTTCACAAAGGTCCTGTGCCTGCATACCTCCTGAGGATGGATGCTTGCCTCTGGCACTGATTTCAGGGCCCTCATGGGAAAATTGATCTCCTGCCTAGAACATTGCTGTTTCCTGGAGCTCCTAAGCTCCCAAACCACAGAGGTGCTAGCCTCCAGTTCCCAGTGCGGTGGAGCTCCCACAGTCTGTGCCGAGAATGCACCTGTGTGTGCCTCTCTGGGCTACTCTGGCCTTGCTTCCCCGAGAGCATCTTCTTCTGCCTCCAGCTCTTCTCATATGAATGGTCAGAAGATGGGCATTATCCCCATCTCTCTCTCTCTCTCTCTTTCTTCTTCTTCCAGTTGTGTCTGTGCACAAAGCCTCCTTGGCATTGGTTCTTCTGGAGCATGCCTCCAGGGTCCCCACACATATCTGTTAATGCCTGAATCCCTGCAGACAACTCAGACTGCACTCAGCTGAGAGCTCAGATTAGCAGAGTTCCTGCCATGACTCCATCGAAAAGCTCACAGGCAAATTCCATAGAGATTACGACTATTTGACAATCAAGTTTGAGGAAGGACAAGGCCAGAGCTGAAGCAAGTATACAACACTGGACACGTGGAGTGCACATCTGCTCCCTCCAGCATGATTACAACAGCTGAATTAATTGCCTGGGGGTTAGGAGCCCCTGGAAATGACTAGAACATCCATACCTGTCAGAGAGGTGAGGTGGAGAATGCAAATAGAAGTTAAATTCCAGGGGATACTGCAGCCTCCACCATGGGGGTAGGAGGAGTCTGATTCAGGAGCCTCTGAGCGTTGGAGTTTGAGGGCTCGGGGGAGCAGGGGTTCCTGGAAGTGTGGGTACCTGTCCCTTGAATCTACCCTTGAACCATCACCCTGTTGGTATTTGATATGTAGAGGAAAAAAAGGCCTACAGGCTAAAATAAATAAGCCAATAAAGATGTAGCTCCCAGGGACTAAAAAACCAGATGGAGGATCACTTTTGAGAGTAGAATATCCCAGCACTTCAGAGGCTGAGGTGGGCAGATTGCTTGAGCTTAGGAATCCTAGACCAGCCTGGGCAACATGGCGAAACCCCATCTCTACCACAAAAAATACAAACATTAGCCGGGTGTGGTGGCACACACCTGTGGTCTAGCTACTTGAGAAGCTGAGGGGGTCAGATCACTTGAGCCTGGGAGGCGGAGGTTGCAGAGAGCTGAGATTGTGCCATTGCACTCTAGTCTGGGCAATAGATTAGAATAGAGGGCAGGCGTGAGGACGGAGGGAGAGTTGCAGGCACTGGTCAGCAGGCAGAGGGCCAAGCAGGTGGGGAGTGAAGAATGGGTGGGGGGGTATAGGGAGGGTGATGATGCATACAGGACAGATATTAGCTCCCAGTGGGGCAGGAGGAGTGGTGAGGACAATAAGGAAGGGCTTTTGTAAGCCTCGTCCTTTCTTCAGCACCTGTGACTTGGTTCTGCCCATGGAATGGGGCTGTTGTGAGATTCAAATAAAGTACAAATCAAGGTGCTTTGGAAGCTTTTCCATTCCAAGCACAGGTAAAGCAAAAAAGAATTATTAGGGGGTTGTAATAGGGTCTCATGTTTTCAATTTAGGGGAGGCAGTGGTAGGAAGTAAAATTTGCGTTGAGTGTGAAAGCTTTTCTTTTTTTCAGTTTTTCATCCAGAGATTCTGAAATTTTTGATGGAATCCATGTCTCCATTCATCTGTTCATGTTTTCAACACATGCCTGTTGCCCCTACTGAGTGACAGGCCTTGGGCTGGGTGTGGCCATGGACTGGGAAATGGGGCACGTGTGTGGTATCTGCTCCAGCACTGTCTCCTCAGCATCCCAGTGGGGACGTGAGGAGGGCAGGGCCCCCAGCCTTAGAAGGTATCATAGAAAGGGTCTCTTTCGGCCCTGAAAGCCAAGGATTTCAGACCCACCCAAATGCCGCATTGTTGCGCTGCACTTTTAAAGGGCTGCTGACAGCTGTCATTAGCTGAGCACTAAGAAGGGAGTTGCTTTATAATCATCACTGAGTGACTGTAAACACCATGTGTCCCTGAAGAATATTCGGAGCATCAGGCAACTTGTTAGCTTTTGTCTGGGCCGGAGAGAGGAAAGGGAAGTTCCCTCAGAGAGAGCATTTGCCAGAGTGAAAACATAAAATCAATCGTATGGTTCTAACTTAATTTTAATTCACATTTTTACACGTGGAGTTTGTTAGAAGGCTGACATTTCACTGTGGAAATCTATAAGGGCTGAATTGTCCTCACATTAGAAGATTTTTAAAAGAAGTTCTTTGCCACTAGGTTGCAATTTGT
Source organism: Homo sapiens (assembly GCF_000001405.40). Taxonomy (NCBI): domain Eukaryota; kingdom Metazoa; phylum Chordata; class Mammalia; order Primates; family Hominidae; genus Homo; species Homo sapiens. The sequence continues at coordinate 118,281,000 of NC_000002.12, forward strand.
TAAAACAAACAATAGCATAACCGCAGTGCAATAGGATGCCAAGGTATTACTGGACTCAGCGAAAATCAAGTAATCTTTTTTAGGTTCTATTCTCTCCCAACTAAGCTCCCCAGCAATGTCAGAAAATGACAAACTGCAGGATGAATGTAAGAACAGTGCCTTCAAAAATACAATAGTTATATAAACCATCTATTGTTAATGAAGAATATAATGCAATTTGCCTGTCTGTGATACAATTATGCAAATCAAAGAAAGAACTATCCAGAAATCTCTTTACATTCCGATTAAAATGAGATAATTTATCAAACAGAATATTACTGATTATGTTTATGTGTTGCACATTAATCCTGTTACAATAATGTATCCTTCTCATAATGTAATGGATTTGTGCAATCTAACAGAAAATGACTTTTATACTATCTACAATTAGAAAAATATTCAAAGCATATCCATCCCAATGCAATAGCACATGTCTACAACTGCACAATAAACCTATTAAAACAAGCAGAGCTTATGAATGTAACCTTCATCCCAATAAAGATGACAGTGCATTCAATTTTATTGTACTCATTACCTGAACAACTCCACAGATAATAAATACTAGGAGTAAATTAGTTTAACCTTCTTGATCTTTTTTTCTTTTCTTTTCTTTTTTTTTTAAGAAAAGGAGTGTACTTTAATCAACAGCATTAACATCACCTCTCCCCATCCAGATCTTTTGGTTGGTTAAAGATGACATAATTTTATATATAAGACATTTCCAGAAAATCCTTCATAAATGAGTTATACCTATTTCTACTTATTGGTAGGTGTTTGGACTTGTACATTTCCATCAGGTCAGGACTTTCACAAAATGTATCATTTCCCATCTTGTTTGTGTTCATATATGTTGGGAAAGAACTATGCTTTGCATAGAAATCCTGCTTGAACAGCATTCATCCATAGGGGGCACATGAATCCCCACTCTTCTCTGTGCATCACAGCCAAGAACTAATGAGGAGTATTGTCAGGAAAAACAAGAACCCAAATAACTGGCTAAGGTCTCACTTGTGCTTCTATTGCCAAGGATAATCATTTTTGCGTTTAAACCAATCTCTTCTACCTTGATGAGAGTCATTAGCATCTGACAGTGAGTGATAATGTGCTTACATTTCACACCTCTTGGCCTTGTTTGCATTGTCAACATTTTCCCATATGCATACCTTCGCACTAGGAATACAGGTTGACTTAAACAAATGTTTATCTTTTGTAGTAAAATTGTAAACTCTAGTGTAATTGTAAATTCTCAAATTATTTTTCCATGCCTTTAAGTACCTTTAAGCCAGTTTTGCTTTAGCTTATGCCTAAAATATTATTGTCTCAGCAATGTTGGGGGCGGGGGGATGGGAAAGGAGTTATCTTCCTATTTCGATTAGACTGACCTGCCAAATCAAGAAAAGAAGAAAAAAAAAAACTCTATGGAAAGCAGCATTTCTTTCCACTTTTGAGTAGCTGACTACGCACACACACACATATTAACACAAAGTACGATAGACAAATCTATTAGCCTTCACTGCAACAGGTCAGCATTTATTGTAAATGTAAAAGAGTAATTTCTCTCAAGGAAAGAAGGAAGGAAGGAAGGCAAGAAAGAAGGGGGGGCAGTATTTAATAAACCAACAGTTTTGTTGTCATCTAGAGTTTTTGAATGGTTTCCATGTAGATTGTTTAGAAGTAAAACCTTGCTGCTATCAATTTCACAGAGTGAGTCCTTACCAATGAAGAAGAATGATGAATTGAAACATAGCTTGCAGTGGCTAAAAAGTTTTTTCTTTCCATGGCATACCATCTGGTTTGGAATGCTGTTGAATTTTCTTTTCCTCAAGAATAGATTGGATTGTCCTAAGTGGAGACATTTGATGAAAGAAGAATTTATATTGCCTCTGAGCTACCTGGAAATATTTTGCACCTCTGCTCAAAGGGATGCAAAGGAGCATCTTCCACTGAGTAAGATTTCCTAGGCTAGGGCAAGGAGATCTGGTAGCTTTGACTTATCAGAAATGGGGGGATTAGAGAAATAGTACTAAGAGTGGGAGTGAGGAGTCTGAGGAGACAGCACGTATGGAAGACGTCACGCTCTCTGCACAGCCCAGAAGGACACCAGACCCAAGGGTGGTTGAGCGTGCACTCAAAGCTTAGGTTGGAAGACAATCTCAGTGGAAGAACAAGACTTGGGTGGATAGTCTGGGCACATCAGAGCTGTGCCAGACTGTCTTAATACTGTGTTGTAGGCTTTAGGACTGGGAATTCCAGACCCCTCTGCCATGAAGATGATCTAGAGAAAATGTAATGAACTCTCTTTCAGAGATTGAGCTGAGAGCAAACACGCATCCAGAAGAAGATAAAACAATGGGCAGGACACCCTGGGGAAGAGGGAACGATTGCATATTTTCTTTTTTTAATCTGAAGTGTATTAGCTGACTGCCAACTGCGTATCAGGCAATGTTCGGGGCACATTAGTGGCGTACATCAACAAATTTCTATCTTCGTGAAGCTTGTAATTCCAGATGAGCAACACAGACAATGAATAAATACACAATGTAACATATTAGTAGGGGATAAATGCTGGGGGGAAAAGTAGAACAAACTGAAAGAGATGATTTAAGAGTGTGGGAGATGATATTTGCAATTTTAAAAAGAATTACAGTTTTGTTGTCAAAACTTCTTTAAAAAATTTGCTTTAAATAAAGTATTCTGCCTAGTTAAGGCATCTGTTGTCATGAGGATATGCAACTAATTTGCATTTCCATAAATATGTGTGAAGTTTGATACACAGGTCCTTTAGGGCCCTGTTCTCAACTGATAACTTCCTGGAGTTTACTTCTGAAATTAAGACACAGGAGAAGAATCTTGATTAGTTATTTTGCTAGTTATTCTTGTCTGTGTTGGACAATAATCAATGGTATCATTTTAACTGCAATAAAATATTTATAATTGTTTTTAGCTTGATTATATTTAGTGGAGGTGGTTTAGTTAGGTTTCTTTAGGGGAAATAATAGGTTAGGGATCCCAAAAGATAGCATTAGAGACTGTGCATGCTCCCGCAGTTACCCAGGTATTTCAGTTTCTCTGTGGAATTTTCCATTTCTGCTGAGGATATTTACCTTGCTTTGTGCCCTAAAACCAGACCAACCATACAGATACTTTTGTCGCTGATGATCAACTGAATTGGACCAAGAATTAGACCAAGAGTGTACCCCGACACTGCAGTGGGCCGCCCAGACCCCTGTTAAGGATGGAAGTGCTCATAACCTTAGCTGCTGGGAGTGTCGGCAGCATCCAAGATCATAGTCTCCCACTGGGGGCAACTGGCATCCAGTGATTGGTCAGTCCAAGGTAGTTATAAAGGCCTGGCCCCCTTGCCCCAAGAAGGAACAACTCTGAAAGGGCATCCAAGCTCCTGACCTCCTCCTGGAATCAGCTGAGGCCTGCTGAGAGTGTATCAAAGTTCAACTCCTCCCTTTCCCCAACACCAGTTCCCTCACTCCCTAATAAACCTGCTGAATGCATTTTGCCTTCTCAGTCTGTTTCCCAAGGAACTTGATGTAAGAAGTGATTTCAGCTCTGTTTGCTGATGATACACATTTGCAGTTACGTCCTGGTCCTCGCACTCCACTCCGTTAGCTCTCTGCCAATTTCTGACCCTTTGGCACTCTTTCCAATATCTATTTTCACGCTCTCTATTTGGACTGCTATATGGCTTCAGCATCCTGAGTTTTAAGCTTTGCTCCTACCAGTTCTGGCCCTTTTTAGAAGGATAAAACCCCAACCATTCTAGCCTCAATTCAGCATCCTAATCCTGGGGTGCTTCCTCTCCCTCTCGTTCCATCCTGAGCAGCTGACTTCAGGAATGACCTTCTCTTACAGGCTGCACAGTGCCCATTCCATTCAGTGCTGAGACTCTTGCAAGCCTTAGGAGAAAGCACTATGAGACTAGGATGCAATAGACATGGAATTGTGGGCTACACACAGCAGTAATGGGGTTATTTCCTTCCACAAACTGGCTGAGTTTATGTTCACAGATAGGCCCTCTACACACAGTGTTTTCTTAAAACAATCGTGATTTTCAATGATAATATTTTCACGGTGATAGGGTTGGATTTGAACTCCTAGCTAGGGGAGTCATAACTGACCTAAAAGTCTACTTTAATTTTTTTTTAAATAATCTCTCTCTCGGTATAATGTTACCATAGGGTTTTGCAGGCATGGCTTCTCTTATTGTGTTATTCCAAATGAAACACCACCTCACTGTAGTGACTTTTGGTGCCCCTTAATAGCTCAGGATTTTTTTTCAGTTGCCTGTCTTTCTAAAATTCTCCATGGCTCCTGCACGGGTGGGTAAAGTTAGTTCCTCCAAAGAGTTATAAATCCAGGGTCCCCACTGAGCCCATTGTCTTAGATCCAAAAGTGTATGAATTGTTGCCCCAAGAGTTTTCTTTATTCTATGTTATAAAATGGGTAACCGGATATCACTGACTGAAAATCCTCCTTCGAAGACTTTCTGGCATCTGACTTCACTTTCAAGTCTTGCAAACCTTATTTTGGAAAAATGGTCATTTATAATATCAACATTTCTAGATCATGTTTTAAAGACGGTTACAGGCATTCAGAGTAACCACATGCCAACGCTGTCTACTTCTAATTTAACAACCCCCTAGGTTGAAACCAGAGTGAAACTTAGAGACAGGCAGCCAAGCGCTGAAACACTCTTGGGGGATATTTATAATCTCCAAACTCAACCAAAATTGTTTCCACTCAAAATTAATACTTGGAAACAGATTTTGAAGCCCAAATTTAGACTCTGTCTTCAGTTTCTTGGTTTGTTGTGGAGCCCACTGCTTGAAATAAAATGTATTTGAAGCTGATAGAACATTAAATTGATTGTCTTTTACATCAAAAAGACAAATGACACAAAACATTTAAAAGGATGCCCCACTTTTTCCCAGAGCCCTCCTAGCCAAGCACCAAGGATTGGCTGATGTCCATAGCTAGAAAGGGCCGTTACCAAGCTAGTGGCTTATACCTCTGTTTACACACGTGATTCTTCTGTAGCTTGAGTAAGAGTCTCTGCTTGGTGAATGCAGTTGCAATTCATATTTATGAAGGTAATGTGATATAATGGAAAGCATGTTGTACTTGGAGTTAGAAGATCTACGTTCAAAATATCGCTTTATCAGTTCCAAGCTATGCAGTCTTGAACAAATCATTTAGCCTCTTGGAATCTCAGTTTCTCCATATGTAAAATGAGACTAACCAGCTTGCTCTGTCTCCTCTTTAGAGCTGCTTGGGGGCTGACATGAAGAGAGATAGATAAAAGCACCTTATCACTATTCCAAATGCATGGTGTTACTGTGCTATTCTATTTTTTAAAATTACTTTTCAAATTTTAACACTTCTTGCCATCTGAGATGTCAGATCAGAGTCTCAGCCTTTATTTAACCAGTAATTTGCTGCAAAAAGGGAAGCATAAATACAGGCAAAATGGATTTCCCAAAGATGATCCCCTATAATAAACACTAATTAGAGCAGTGTTCTTGTCCTGAATATCTAGAGAGAGTTTTTTCCCAGAGGTTGAAAAGCATTTCCTGACCATTCAGCACAACCAATTTTAAAAGTTTGAGCTTTTAATTATTCTTTTATTTCTATATTCACATATTTCACAAAAATGTTTTGAAGATGTGTGAAATTCCAGGCAATATTCTATTAGGATTGCCAGAAAACATAAATTTTAATTTCAGATCAATAGCATAATATTTAAGTATAATACTGAGACTTTAAATTCATTCCCCAACTTACAATTGCACCTCTAGTATTGAGAACCACGCCAATGTTCTAAAGTTCTAAAATACTGTGTTGGCCAGAAGTAAAAAAATATTGCACAAGCATACTTACACTAAAAAGTTATTTGTTGATTACCTGAATTTCAAATCTAACTGGGCATCCTATATTTTTATTTGCTAAATCTGGCAACCTTATTTGTGTGCTGGGGATGTGCTGATCCCTGTCCTCAGGCAGCATTCATTTCATTGAGGGAGACAAAGGTAAGTATAAACAAGGTAAGTGTTATGAAGACAAATAAAGCTGAGTATGGAAAGAATGAGAAAGCAGTGATCCTATTTTTAAAAGGGATGAAGGGAAGGCTGCTTTGGGAAGGTGACTTGAAGTGGACACCTAAAAGTCATAGTGGGCCACCTGAAGATACAGGGAAGAGCCCCTAACCAGAGGCACAGCGGTGCAGAGAGCCTGGGTGAGAATGAGGTTGCCACGTGTGAGGACTGCAAGAAGGCCATAGGACTGGAGCCTGGTGTGGGAGGGGAAGGTGGTAGAAGACGAGATCAAACCTGCAGGGTAAGGACAGATTTTACAGCTGGCAACTTGTAGGCCAGAGTTTGATTTTAGCTTGGGTGTGATAGGGAGCCTTTGAGGGCTTTAAGCAGGGAGTGACTCAATCTGATTAAAAACACGATTCCAGAAGCCATGTGGGAAAAAAACCACAGAAAGGCCAAAGTGGACACAGGATGAGTGAGGAGCTTACTGTGGGATGCTCAGAGAAAGGGACCGGAGGCTACTAGGGTGGGAGGTTGGAAGAAAGGCTTGGAGTCGTGACACACTTCAAAGGTGGAGCCAGCAGGACTTGCTGTTGGGTTTAACACAAGTATGCGGAATTGTGGGCCCGAGCAATAGGGTGAATGGTGGCACCATTTACTGAGACAGGGAAAAGTAGAGAAGTAGATGGGGGGAAACAGAGCATTCTGGTTTGGACATGTTATGTGTGACATGCCCATCAGATATTCAAGTGTTGGCAGTGGAATACTAGGGTAAGAGTAGTATAGGAAGAGATTGCAGAAATTGCAAGAGCTGGGCCACCCAGGACCTTCTTGGCCATTGTAAATAATTTGGATATAACTTTAATGTTACAAAATACCAATACAAGTTTTTTAAAACAATGTAGAAATGAAGTGATTGAACTTTCATTTTAAAGGATCGTTTTATTGGGTGGTAAAAAAATTGGCAGGTGGGAGGAAAATTAGCACTGTTATCTCAGAGTTTCTTACCTGAGGAATCTTGTTGGAATTCCAATTCTTTTTCAGAAGATATGGGGTGAGGATCAACATTCTGAATTTCTACAAGCTCCTAGTGATATTTATACAGGTGACTGTGGACGACACTTTGGGTGGCAAGATATTAGGAGACTATTCTAAAAATTCTGATGAGAAAGGATGGTGACTTGATCCTTTTAGGTGATGGTGGGGATGGACAGAAGTGCACAGATTTGTTTTCTTGGGAGGGGATAGAGAAGGAATGAGGAGCTCTACTTTGGACATGTTGGGTAGACATATCAATTAGCTGTCATATGTCATAGCTGCATATATGAGTCTGGAGTTCAGAGTAGAACTGGGCATATGTATATCATGTCCAAAACTCTAGGTAGACTACATAGATCAGGAGTCAAAATCTTAAAAGCCCACCAATGCTAGGAAGGCTGGGTAAATGAAAGAAGTGGGCTGGCTGCAAGACAATAGGGAATAGGCTGGCTGTAGGACAATAGGACCATGGATCTCAAAGTATAACTCACCTTAACTGGCAGTTATCACTTCACTCCGCCAGGTAATTGGTGCCAAGCAGTAGATCTAGATCCTCCAACTTTTCAAGAAAAGCCAGAAATCCAGATAATTTATGGGAAACCCTTCAAGAGTTAGGAACCAAGCCAATGTTTTCAAATGCTGTGTTGGCTGAATAAAATATGTTGGTGGGGGCCAGGTGTGGTGGCTCATGCCTGTAATCCCAACACTTTGGGAGGCCAAGGCGGGCAGATCACGAGGTCAGGAGATTGAGACCATCCTGGCTAACAGGGTAAAACTCCATCTCTACTAAAAATACAAAAAATTACCCGGGTGTGGTGGTGTGCACCTGTAGTCCCAGCTACTTGAGAGGCTGAGGCAGTAGAATTGCTTGAACCCGGGAGGTGGAGGTTGCAGTGAGCCCAGATCGCACCACTGCACTTCAGCCTGGGCTACAGAGCGAGACTCTGTCTATATATATATATATATATATATATGTATGTATATATTTATGTATGTGTATATATATGTATATATATGTATGTATATATATATATGTGTATATATGTATGTATATATATATATATATGTGTGTGTGTATATATATGTCAGTGGGATGGACCTAACTTATGGGCTCCCAGTTTGCAGCCTCTGATGTGAACCTTTGAAAGGTATCATGTTTAACATCAGCTGTTTTGATTATTATATTAGTAGGAAAAGGAGATGCCCTGGAAGGTCTATGACATGAAGGAATTTATAATTGTCTTGAGGTGCAGATTTGAATCTGTCACTGGTTTGCAGTTAGTGAGTGATCCAACTACACACTGAGTGCTCAGTGTAACAGGACTTGATGTAAAGTGGTGAACATTTGATTGGGGCTTTGTACAGAAAACATGTGGCTCATGTTGGAAATGCAATTCAAAATAAAGCCAGCAGCCTAGATAAAAATTTCTACCATCACCAATGTGGAGGTTTGGGAAGGTCTCTGGATACTTTTGCCCAGAATCCTCAGGAAGATTTCTGACTTAATATGGATGGGAGAAAATGTGTGGTCTAGTTGAACATCAGGGCCAACCAAGGAACCAGGCTAGAATCTATTTACTTCCTAATGGCAGCACAGATCTCTTCTGAACCGGGTGCTCAGGTGAACAGAATGACATTCTCAGAAAGCAGATGCTTGTATTTGATAATGGGCTATGTGTGTGTGTAGACCTTTGCTCTTTTATGTCACAGCAGTTTTGGGGCACAATTAAGCGTGTGGGTAATAATCCTAATTGTTTTTGACTTAAGGTGCCCCAACCAGTGTCTTTCCGGGGCATCCAAGCCCTTCTTTATTTTCTCCCCCAGATCTCTAAGTGTGTCACACAGCAGTGCATAGATCGTTCTTATAGTTAGCATCACCTTCCTAGTCTTTGCTCGTCACCATGGTGGTCCCAACCTAAGCTTCGACGGCCAGCACCATTGGCAGAAAGAAGAGACTAAGGATGAGCTTGCCACTGGTAAGGAGAGGCCAGTGCTGATCGCCACTGCAGCTCTCCTCACTAAGGAGACGTAATTCTCTCAGCCTCTCTCTCCTCATCTGTAAACAGAAATGATAATATGGATTTCAGAATCCAAAGTGTCCAGTACAGTGTCTGGTATTCAGTAGGGACTCAATCATCTTCCCTCCCTTCCATTGTCCCCCATCTCTGTTTTTAAATTTTAACTAAATTTCAGTCTTGGAATCCAAATTTAGCATCTCCAAATCCTCCATCATTTCTCCCAGGAGGCCAAGTGTTGGATAGAAGGATGACTTCAGAGCCTTACCCCAATATCCCAGGATTCTCTAAATGGGAATGCACACTGAGTATTTTCCCCCGGAAATGCTGACCCTTGCTACACTTAATAAATCAATTAGTAAGCACGGCCCATTTATTCTATGAACTTTGATTGCTTACCATATGTTCAGTGTGAGACATGGTTTTGGCTCATGAGGGGCTGGCTGCCCAATGGGGAAGATCAGGCTTGTAAACAAAAAGTGCCATAAAGCATTGCAAATATGTATTGGGTGGCAGATGTTGGAGCCAGCTCACCCTCACATCTGGAAAAAATACACATTGCAATATTCTCTGAGCAATGTTTTCCCCCAAAATCTCTGTAAAAGTACTCAGTATGCTGAGTACTCAGGGCATGCTGGCATTCCCCCATTGCCCTCAGACCTGATGAAGCCTGACGTCTTTTTTTGCAGCATGGTTAGTCTCTCTCCTACTGTAACAACAAGGCAGGAGATTCTGTAGGTAATTAGGTTCAGTATGTCCATGTGTCCCACAGCTGTATCAACCTATGTGAATTTGGTTATGTCAAGGGACAGAGAAGAATACACCAGCCCGTTTCACAGAAGGAACAAGCTAACTCCAGTCAGAAGAGCTCAGGGCTGGGGACTTGGTCCTATTTGGTGAACTAAACATACGACTTTCCTCTTGATGTTTCCTGAGGGAAATGCCTCTCTCCTGGCTGACAGGCCTGGGGATAAATGGCCTGCAAACTCCTGTTTTCACACAGTACATCAGGTCTAAGTGAAAGGTTTGCGCTGCTGCCAAGAGCAGAAAATGATGCCTCGGCGTCACTTTCAGAAGAGAGGATGGCTTAAAGCAGACCCTGGCTCCCAGAGAGCTTTGGATAAGGCTGAGATGATCACCTGGGGCCTCCCAGGACATCTGGTCTGAGAGGCCCACCCAGTGCCTCTCCTTCCAAGCAATTCTCAAGGCTGGAGAATGCCTTGCATGCTTCAGACATCTGGGATGTTATTCAGATCTCTGCCTTCTACCTCTCGGTGAAGAAAAATATGGACTATAAATGAAGATTACATGAAAATAAAAGCTGATCATTTCTTGGAGCTACTTTTCCACAGGAGCATCCAGGGTCTGGACACAATTGATCATTGTGTATCATGGCCATTAAGTAGGATGCTCTGACTTGAAATGTGGGGCAGCAGCCAACGGGGACAGATCTCAGCACTCTCTTCTGGATCACAGCCTGCCTCCTGGACCCCTTGGCCTTGCCAAGCTTGAGCTCTCCTCCAGACCTACTGTGGTTTTCTTGGCGTCCTGTGACTCACAAGTACCCATTGCTTTTCACTTTTCACTCTCCATTCTGCCCCCTAGGGAGGACCTTGCTTTCCTTCTCAGATGCATTTCACCCTCAGCCCTCTCTGACTCTTTGACTGTCTGGCCAGTGACACTTTCCTCTCCTGGCAGTGCCCCAAGATGCCCATGTTATATGTCCTGCCTGGCCTTGCTGGCAGAGGCTGCTTCGTTTCTCTAGATTCTTCCTTTCCTCCTTCTTGAATGACTTTACAGGGACATCCTCACACTCTACATTAACAGGCCCCAAATCCGGCCACTACAAGCCTGGACAGCAAATAGACAGACATATGGGAGTGGTGGGGACTGGGGCAAACTGAAGGGTACCTGCCCTTACTCAGCTTCAGAAATTACTGCCTTCTGGAATGCAGGAGTGTGATGCCAGTTCTTCTGTTTTTGAAAGAGAAATCAGAAATACAGACTTTTATGTGAATCTTCTATTAAAATATTTTTATTGAGTTAATATGTATGCATGTTAAAAAAGAATTCTAATAGTATTAAAGGTTTATGATAAAAACATAGCACAATCCTGCCACCCTCTTCCCCACCACCAGTAACTCGTATAGTTTTTTTTTTTTTGGCATTTACCCTCTTTCTTGACAGGGTCAGTTTATGAATTTTAGACATAATCTGGCCACTCCTTTCTTAAGTTTTATTTCATTTTTAATTGACAACTAATTATTGTATATATTTATGGGGTACAAAGTGATGTTTTGATATGTGTATATACATTGTGGAATGATCAGATTAGACTAACATATCCATCACCTCAAATGCTTATCATTTCTTTGTGGTGAGAACATTTAAAAATCCACTCTTTTAGCTATTTTGATATATACACTGCAATATTACTAACTATAGTCACTATGCTGGATAATAGATCAACAGAACTTATTTTTCCTGCCTAACCAGAACTTTGCTCTCTTTGGCTAGCATCTCTTCTTTTCCTGTCCACCCTCCCTCCTCTTTGCCTCTGATAATCAGTATTCTAGTCTCTGCTTCTGTGAGTTGGATGTTTTTAGATTACACTTATACGTGAGATCATGTGATATTTGTCTTTCTGTGTTTGGTTTATTTCACTTAGCATAATGTCTTCTGGGTTCGTTCATGTTATTGCAAATGACATGATTCCTGCTTTTTAAAGGCTGAATACTATTCCATTGTGTGTGTGTGTATATATATATATATATATATTGTATATGTATATATTCAGTATATATGTATATGTGAATATACATATATATGTATATATGTGAATATTAGTTTATATGTATATACATATCTACTAAATTTTTTTAATCAATTCATCCATTGGTGGGCACTTCAGTTGTTACCTTGTCTTTGCTATTGTGAGTGATGCTGCAAGGAACGTGGGAGAGAAGACAGCTTTTGGACATACTGATTTCAATGTACTTTATTTTCCTTTTTTTTTTTTTTTTTTTTTTAACCAAACACTGACTCAAACCAGATGATTTCAAATTCTTTGGCTATATACCCAGAAGTGGGACTGCTGAATCATACGGTAATTCTTTTTTTAGTTTTTTGAGGAGCCTTCACAGTCTTTTCTAAAATGGCTGTACTAATTTACATTCCCACCAACAGTGTACAGGGTTCCCTTTACTTCACATCCTTGCCAACACTTGTTATCTTTCATCTTTTGGATAATAGCCAGTCTAACAGGTGTAACATGATATCTCATTGTGGTTTTAATTTGCATTTCTCTGATGATTAGAGATGTTGACCTAGAAGAAACTAATAAATTCCTAGAAACATATAACTTACTAAGACTAGATCATGAAGAAATTAGAAATCTGAACAGACCATAATGAGTAAAGACATTCAATGAGAATTAATGTCTCCCATCAGAGAAAAGCCCAGGACAAGATGGCTTCACAGCTAAATTTTACAAAATATTTAAAGAACTAATACCAGTTCTTCTCAAACTCTTCCAAAAAATTGATGAGGAGGAAATACTTCCAAACACGCTTTAAAAGCCTAGCCTCCCTCTGATACGAAAGCCAGACAAAGACACAAGAAAAGAAAACTACAGACCAATATCACTGATGAACATAGACGCAAAATCCTCAGGAAAATACTAGCAAACCTTATTCAACAGTACATTAAAAGGATTATTCACTATGATCAAGTCTGACTTACCCCTAAGAGGCAAGCATGGCTCAAGAAATGCAAATCAATAAATGTGATTCACCATATTAATAAGAGACAAAACCATATGATCATCTCAATAGATGCAGAGAAAGCCACTGACAAAATTCAATGTAATTTCATAATAAAATTTCTCAAAAATTAGGTATAGAAGGAATGCACCTCAACATAATGAAGATCATATATGCGAAGCCCATATATGGGGCTATCTAACATTATACCCAAAGGTGAAAAGTTGAAAGCTTTTCCTCTAAGATCTGGAACAAGGTAAGTATGCCCACCCTCACTGCTTCTCAACATAGTATTGGAAGTCCTTGCCAGAGCTGAAAGACAAGGGAAAGATATAAAAGGCATCCAAATAAAAACAGGAAGTGAAACTGTCACTGTTTGGTGATGACATAATCTTACATTAAATAATTTATCCAAAACACTATTAGAACCAATAAATGAATTCAGCAAAGTTGCAGAATAAAAAAATCAGCTTACAAAAATCTGTAGGGTTTCTACACACTGACAATGAGGTATCTGAAAAATAAATTAAGAAAATAATCCTATATACATAGCAATAATACTCTATCATTACAGTTGCATGAACTTCCATTCCCACGTTCACTTCTTTGTCATCTCAATATTATTATACCAGAATTGTTTGTTAAATTGATAGTCAAAATTTGTATCATCACCACTATACAAAAAAATTAACAGACTAGATATTTTACTAGATTGCATTTTCTTTTTCAGACTTTCATTTTTCATCTTTCCTGGAATTAACAATGGCTTTATGATTTTATTTCCCTGGCTTTTTTTTTTTCCCCAAAGTTTCCAATAGCTCGCTCAAAAATACACCATTATTTTCTACAATGTCAATGTGTCGATTCCACTATTTCCTTGAAGACAGTGGACTTTTGTTCTGGTCTGAATGAATAACTTCTTAGATCTGCTATGTAATTGTCATCCTGAGATTTTCCTTTGCTACTTTCCAGCATTGAATTCCTGTATTCTGTTGTATTTTTTCCCCTATTTGGTTTTTCCAGAGTATATACTCTAGTAGCTTTCCCAGAAAGGGTACACAAGAAGTACATTTTTTTGTCTTATTTGCCTAAAAATGTCTTTATTCTGTCTATAAAGTTGATTATTTTTACTAAGTATAGAATCCTAGATTGAAAATTCAAAATAATTATTCTTAGAATATTGAAGGCATTGTTTAATTATCTTTGAATCTCCAATATTGTTATTTTGGATTCTCAGTCTCTACTATGTGACCTGCTATGCTGTTTTCCTACAGACTTTTGGTATCTTATCTTTGCTTATAGTGTTTCAAAATTTCAATTATGTGTCTTGATTCTCTTGTATTCATTGCACTTCATACCCAATGAGCCCTTCATCATGAATACCAGATAAGCCTACCAACTTGGAGGATAATTCTCTTCCCTTCTGAGGTGTTTTCTTAATTGCTGGATAATTTTTTTTCTGCTAGTTTATTCTTTTTTCCAAGCACTTCTATCATTTGAATATTGGGCTTCTTGGACTAGATCTTAAACTTTTAACTTTTCTCTCTTTTCTCTTTACACGTTTGTTCCACTTTCTGCATTGTTTTCTCATCTCTTTCAGTGGTTTTGTACTGTATCAGCTTGCTTAACTCAGAACTATGTTTTCTGGAATCCTCTTCCATGAGTGGTTCCATGGTGCTGATTTTCTACTGTGATTTTCTACTGGTCTCCTTGGTTACATTGAAACTATGTTTCCAAATCTCTTTCCCTGTATGGTTTGGAGTTACAGCCAGTCCAAAGAGAATCCATGTAAGATTGAGAGGTGGACATGAAGCAGCAGCCATCACATGCTGGATGTCACCATGATTAGAGGAAGTGAGTGGTGGGGACAGATTCACAGGTGTCAGTGGATCCGTGTTCCACATGCTGTTCCCTCCCTGTGTCCAGCTCTTCTTTCCTACCATTGGTCCTGCTGCCCATCAGTGATCACAGAAGCTGGCACTAGGAAAAGAAGGCAGCCTTTCACAAATGTGTGCCCCAGCAACCCTTCATAGCTCCATGCCAGCAGCTGAAAGTACCTAAAATCCAGATGTCCCCGAAGTCTCCAACTTATCCACCTGCCCTAGTGCTGTAGGAAGGCTAGTTAGGGACTGTATTCGTCTGTTTTCATGCTACTGATAAAAACATGCCCGAGACTGGAAAGAAAAAGAGGTTTAATGGACTTACAGTTCCATACGGCTGGGGAGGCCTCACAATCATGGTGGAAGGCAAGGAGGAGCAAGAGGAGCAAGAGGAGCAAGTCACGTCCTACATGGATGGCAGCAGGCAGGGAGCTTGTGACGGGAAACTCCCATTTTTAAAACCATCTGATCTCATGAGACTCATTCACTGTCACAAGAACAGCACAGCAAAAACCGTCGCCCATATTTCAATCACCTCCCACTGGGTTCCTCCCATGACACATGGGAACTGTGGGAGTTACAATTCAAGATGAGATTTGGGTGGGGACACAGCCAAACCCTGCCCTTCCCAAATCTCATGTCCTCACATTTCAAAATCTATCATACCTTCCCAACAGTCCCCCAAAGCCTTAACTCATTTCAGCATTAACTCACAAGTCCACAGTTCTATGTCTCATCTGAGACAAGGCAAGTCCCTTCTGCCTATGAGCCTGTAAAATCAAAGGCAGGTTACTTACTTCCTAGATACAGTGGGGATCTAGGATGTGGGTACAGGCATTGGGTAAAGACAGCCATTGCAAATGGGAGAACTTGGTCAAAACACAGGGGCTACAGACCCCATGCAAGTCCAGTATCCAGCAGAACAGTCAAATCTTTAAGCTCCAAAATGATTTCCTTTGACTACATGTCTTGTATCCGGGTCGCACTGATGCAAGAGGTGAGTTCCCATGGCCTTGAGCAGCTTCACTCCTGTGGCTTTGCAGGGTACAGCCTCCCTCACAACTGCTTCATGGGCTGATGTTGAGTGTGGCTTTTTCAGGCACATGATGCCAGCAGACGGTGGATCTACCATTCTGGGGTGTGGAGGATGGTGGTCCTCTTCTCACAGCTCCACTAGGCGGTGCCCAAGTAGGGACTCTGTCTGGGAGCTCCAACCCCACATTTCTCTGCTGCACTGCCCTAGCAGAAGTTCTCCATGACAGCCCCACCCCTGTAGCAAACTTCTGCCTGGACATCCAGGTGTTTCCATACATCCCCTGAAATCTAAGTGGAGGTTCCCAAACCTCAATTCTTGACTTCTGGGCACCCACACAGAACACCACATGGAAGCTTCCAAGGCTTGGGGCTTGCACCCTCTGAAGCCATGACCTGAGCTGTACCCTTTTAGTCATGGCTGGAGCAGCTGGGATGCAGGACACCAAGTCCCTAAACTGCACACAGCACAGGGACACTTGGTCTGGCCCATGAAACCATTTTTTCCTCCTAGAGCTCTGGGTCTGTGATGGGAGAGGCTGCTGCGAAGACCCCTGACATGCCCCGGAGACATTTTTCCCAGTGTCTTGGGGATTAACATTTGGCTTCTCATTACTTATGCATATTTCTGCAGCCAGTTTGAATTTCTACTTAGAAAATGGGATTTTCTTTTCTATCACATTGTCAGGCTGCAAATTTTCCAAACTTTTATGCTCTACTTCCCTTATAAAACGGAATGCATTTAACGGCACCCAAGTCACATCTTGAATGCTTTGCTGCTTAGAAATTTCTTCCACCAGATACCCTACCAACACCTTGGTTTCAGACTTATGGCCTCTTGAACTGTGAAACAATTTTTTTATTTTAAGCTACCCAATTTTTGATCACTTTTATGAGGCAGCTATAGGAAACGAGTACAGTATTTTTTCTTGTTTCATGCCTTCTTTTCTTCCTCTAAGTTGTTGATTACATCTCTTAAAGTTTTTTTTCTAATTCATGTATTCTATTTCTTCAGGTTCCTCCTCCTCCTCCTCCTTCTCCTTCTTCTCCTTCTCCTTGCTTCTTCCTTCTTCCTTCTACCTCTTCGTCTTCTTTTGGTCTTTGACTTTTCTCTTGGTGATTTTTATCTTATTACTTGTGATCCTTGGTTGGCAGTGAAAGTTTAGGAATGGAGCACTAAAAGTTAGTTGGAGGCTCTGTGTATATAGGGAGACTTGTTAACTTGTGGGCTCCTCTGAAGAGCAGTTAAGCAGTAAGCCACATTTTCACTGGTGGGGATGGGGAGCGCCTAAGTTCAGCCTGTTTACATGTTTTGTCCATGGGACCATTCAGTTTATTTTAAGACTTATCCCCCAACCTCCTGCCTTCTATTCATTAGCCAAACTACTGGAATTCTTTAAACAGGGCAGGGAAAATTATTGAGAATGCATTCATTAGTAGACAGATTCTCCCTCAATTCTCTTATTTTCTCCTATGTCTCAGTGTCTCCCACAACAAACTTGAGATTGCGTTACCAAGCCTGGAGGCTGGCTGCCTGGCTGCTTAGGATGTTGGAGGGCAGAGGCTCTACTATTCTATATACAACTATCCAATCAATTACCTTGTTTTCCATCTTACACGTTGTGATGGTTAATTTTATGTGTCAGCTTGACAGGGCCAAGAGATGCCCAGGTAGCTGGTAAAATGTTATTTCTGGGCATGTCTGTGAAATTGTCTCCAGCAGACAGTAGCATTTGAATCAGTAAACTGAGTAAGGAAGACCTGCCCTTAACAACGTGGGCAGGCATTATCCAATCCATTGAGGGTCTAAATAGAATAAAAAGGCAAAGGAAGTGTGGGTTTTCTCTCTCTTACTGAGCTGAGAGATGGAAGACATCTGTCTTCTCCTGTCCCTGGACATCAGCACTCTTCGTTCTCCATCTTGCAGACAGCATATTATGGGACTTCTTCACCCTCCATAACTGTGTGCGCCAATTCCCGTAATTCATCCTTATCTATCTATCACCTATCGAACGATTGATCGCTCTATTTCTATCCATCAATCTATCCATCATATTGGTTCTATTTCTCTGGAGAACCCTAATACATACCTCATGTCTTTTTTTTTTCTTTTTTTCTTTTTTTTTTTTGAGACGGAGTCTCGCTCTGTTGCCCAGGCTGGGGTGCAGTGACATGATCTCGGCTCACTGCAACCTTCACCTCCCAGATTCAAGCAATTCTCTTGCCTCAGGCTCCCGAGTAACTGGGACTACAGGCGTGTACCACCACACCCAGCTAAATATTTTTAAATTTTATTTTTAGTAGAGACGGGGTTTCATCATGTTAGCCAGGATGGTCTCGATCTTCTGACCTCGTGATCCGCCTACCTTGGCCTCCCAGAGTTCTGGGATTACAGGCATGAGCCACGGCATTCGGCATCTTATGTCTTCTTTACAGAGCTTCACATTCAGAAGCTCAGAGCTTTTCCAAGGATATTAAGGGAAAATTCTGTCTACTCTTAATTGGATCATCGAATTGAATTGTACCATTGAGCTTCCTAAGTTGGGCTTCTTCCACTCTGCTAAGCCAATTGTCACTGTTCTATCTGCATCTGAAAGTCTGTTAAAATCTTTTGTTTCCTATTGTCCCCTCTCTGGTTATTTTAATCTTCAATGCCTGATATCTCTATATTTTCTTTTGCTATTATTTTTATTGGGTGAGAGAATAACTAAATACATATGGTCAGTCAATGTTAAATCATGTTAAATCAAAAGTACACTTCCAGGTGGGAGGAAACTTTTGGAGTTGATAGATATGTTTATGATACTGAAAGTGATGATGGTTTCATGGATGTATGCTTATCTCAAAAGACATCAAACTGTATACATTAAATATCTACAACTTTTTGCACATCAATTATACCTCAATAAAGTGGTTATAAATGCTATAATCACCTAAGAAGTAAATACACATGAAGATTAAGAGCAGAAAATGAAGGTAGAGAAATCAATGAAGCAAAAAAAAAAAAGTATCCTTCCAACTTTCAAATCATAGCTCACATTTAAAACCAAACAAAATGTAAGTTAAACAAAGAACTGTTAGGGTTCTCTTTGGCCTGTGGATGTTTTGATCTCTGCCGAGGATTTACGATGGAGGCAAAAACAGAGGCAAGGGATATAAAGCTGACATTGCAATGGAAACTGGAGCTGCTAATGCAATCAGGAAAAACTGAAAGGAGAGGGCCACTTTGCAAGAAGAGGTCCACCCCTCAAAGAGAGGGCCAGCCGATGCTTCCTTACCCAAGACCTGGCATGAACAGACATAGGACTGAATCTGCCAGAGGAAGCAAAGGAGTTCTGAGCCCAAGAGTGCTGCACAGGCCTCTTGGCAAGAGGTTTTATGGGGCAATTGTAAGTTGTCTATTTCAGTGTTATGAATTATCCCAAAATGTATTGTCTTAAAACTACAAAAGATCATTATCTCACAGGGTCTGTGGGTCAAGAATTTGAAAGCAGTTTAGTTGAGTGGCCCTGGATTGTGGTCCCTTATAAGCTTGCAGACCAGCTGTCAGCCAAGGATGGAGTCATCTGGATGCTTTCCTGGGGCTGGAGGATTCACTTTTGAGCTCACTTGTGTGGCTGTTAGTCTAGGAAATTTGTCCCTCTTTAGCTGTTGGCTGGAGGCCTCAGTTCCTCATCCGGTAAGCCTTTCTCCCTGACATGACAGTAGCTTTCCAGGACCAAGTGATCCATAAGGACAAGCAGGAAGCCTTTTATGACCTGGCCTCCAAAGTTGAACACTGTCACCCCCACTTTGCAGTTGACCCTTCAACAACACAGGAGCCAGGGACGTCAACTCCTATGCCATGTAGTCAAAAATCTGAATGTAACTCAAACTACCAATAGCCTACTCTTGGCCAGAAGCCTCATTGATAACATAAACAGTCAATTAACACATATTTTGTATATGTTATAAATTGTATTCTTACAATATGATAAGGTAGAGAAAAGAAAACATTATTAAGAAAATCCTAATAAAGAGAAAATATATTTACTATTTATTAAGTGAAAGTGGATCATCACAAAGGTCTTCATCTTCATTGTCTTCAAGAGAGGAGGGGTGAGTCTTGCTGTCTCAGGTGTGGCAGAGGTGGAAGAAAATTTGCATATGAGTGAACCCTCACAGTTCAAACTCCTGTTGTTCAAGAGCCAACTGTATATATTCTTAGGAATGAGTCACAAAGTTCAGACTGCTCAAGAAGAAAGGAATTAGGTTCCACTTTTGAAGGAAGAAATATGAAGGAATTTGTGGACATTTAAAACCACTACATGGGCTTTTAAAAATATTCCTTAGCATTTGGACATCTTTTTGTTTTGTTTTAATCTTTTTTCTCTTACTCACTGTATCTCTCTGTGTTTTTTGCTTAGAAGTCACCATGTGAAGTGGGAATCAATTTATATTAAGCAGATTATCTGATTTAATCCTTATAGCTATCACTTCAAAACTCACTGAGATAAGTATTGTCCTCATATACACTTATTCATTACATTCAACAAATATTTACCAAATGCATATAATATTTCAGAAGGAGATCATAAAAGGCATGCAGTTCAGTTTATTTATTCCTTCAACAAATATTTATCAAGTGCATATGCTGTTTTAGGCTCTATGCTGGGTGCCAGGGTGTACTGTTGAATAAGGCATGGTATCTGACCTCATCTCATTTTCATTCACACAAGGTTTCCATTCTTGTGGAAGGTACCTGAAGGGAAGTCAAGATACTTGTCCAAGGTTACACAGGGGTATGCCACCTTACATTGCTCTCATCAAAGAAGTAACAAGTGGAGGGAGGGAGGGAAATGGTTTCTTCTTGGGTGTTCAGCATTGTTCCCTGCCAAGGAAAGGAGGTAGAGACGGGAGGACAATATTCAATCAGGGAAAAGGCCATACATTTTTGCAAGCACCCACTGGGTTGAAGCTCTGGAAGGCAGAAGGATAAGATCCCCAACTCCACAGCCTTCGAACCAAGGAGTTAGCAACATGGGTGTCCTAGGTAGGAGAAATGGGCCAAGTGTCTAAGGACAAGGATGTTTTTCAGCCTTCCTCACATCATCTGTACA
The DNA here is from genome assembly GCF_000001405.40 of Homo sapiens. Classification (NCBI taxonomy): domain Eukaryota; kingdom Metazoa; phylum Chordata; class Mammalia; order Primates; family Hominidae; genus Homo; species Homo sapiens. Next base: position 118,301,911 of record NC_000002.12, read on the forward strand.
GACAGCTGTCCTCTCTGCCTCCTATGAGATTTAGCATGGCCTTTTCCTGGCCAATGCATCTAAGGACTGAGAGTCTTGTGACTGGGGTCTCGGACAAAGAGCAAAGGTTAGTCTGGAAGCTAAGATGCATGGACATTTAGGGAGAAGCTAATGGCAAGTTTGAAAACAAAACTTGGATTGCATTGGGGGTTTTAGAGCAGAGGACTCCAGCAGAAGGGAGCAAGAAGCCAGAGGTGAAAGAGAGGAAGGAATGCTTGTGTTTCCGGATGGGGTGGGCTGATTCTGAGGCTGCTGGAGCCTGGGTGGCTGTCGGGAGCTTTTCTGCTCTGTTGCTGTTGTAATTACAGCATCTGAAAGCTTGCGTGACATTGCTAATTTTAGAGAAAATGGGACACTGATATCTGTAAGAACACTCAGGCTTAGGTTGGTGATTAACGTTTCCACGTATCACAGAATCAAATCCAGAAATGGTGTAGGCATTAGGAAATATTATTATTAGAAGAATGTTCGTAATGATGGAAATGAAAAATGTAAATGCCAACTCTTTAGAGAGGTTTAAAGAGATTAATTGGAATAATAAAACAACTGAAGTCAAATTGGTTATGGAACTGTGCTTTGAAATGATAAATTCTATTTGAAGTCTGTTTTCTTTTGGCACATTCTTTTTTGGCTAAAATGTAAAAATAAATTAGTGAAGTGAGCTTCTCAAATCCATGAAGGGCTATAGAACAAGGTATATGCTGACCAAGTATTTCTTATTTGTTGTAGGGAAAGACATTTTTTAAAAAGGAAAGAAAGCTGTAATAGGAAGATCACAGCAATATACATATATATATGTATATTGTATATATATGTATATGCAATATATATGTATATACCATATATATGTATATACATATATATGTATTGTATATACATATATGGTATATACATATATGTATTGTATATACATATACGTGGATACATATATGTGTATTGCATATACATATACGTGGATACATATATGTGTATTGCATATACATATACGTGGATACATATATGTGTATTGCATATACATATACGTGGATACATATATGTGTATTGCATATACATATACGTGGATACATATATGTGTATTGCATATACATATACGTGGATACATATATGTGTATTGCATATACATATACGTGGATACATATATGTGTATTGCATATACATATACGTGGATACATATATGTGTATTGCATATACATATACGTGGATACATATATGTGTATTGCATATACATATACGTGGATACATATATGTGTATTGCATATACATATACGTGGATACATATATGTGTATTGCATATACATATACGTGGATACATATATGTGTATTGCATATACATATACGTGGATACATATATGTGTATTGCATATACATATACGTGGATACATATATGTGTATTGCATATACATCTACGTGGATACATATATGTGTATTGCATATACATCTACGTGGATACATATATGTGTATTGCATATACATCTACGTGGATACATATATGTGTATTGCATATACATATACGTGGATACATATATGTGTATTGCATATACATCTACGTGGATACATATATGTGTATTGCATATACATCTACGTGGATACATATATGTGTATTGCATATACATCTACGTGGATACATATATGTGTATTGCATATACATCTACGTGGATACATATATGTGTATTGCATATACATCTACGTGGATACATATATGTGTATTGCATATACATCTACGTGGATACATATATGTGTATTGCATATACATCTACGTGGATACATATATGTGTATTGCATATACATCTACGTGGATACATATATGTGTATTGCATATACATCTACGTGGATACATATATGTGTATTGTATATACATCTACGTGGATACATATATGTGTATTGTATATACATCTACGTGGATACATATATGTGTATTGTATATACATCTACGTGGATACATATATGTGTATTGCATATACATCTACGTGGATACATATATGTGTATTGCATATACATCTACGTGGATACATATATGTGTATTGCATATACATCTACGTGGATACATATATGTGTATTGCATATACATCTACGTGGATACATATATGTGTATTGCATATACATCTACGTGGATACATATATGTGTATTGCATATACATCTACGTGGATACATATATGTGTATTGCATATACATCTACGTGGATACATATATGTGTATTGCATATACATCTACGTGGATACATATATGTGTATTGTATATACATCTACGTGGATACATATATGTGTATTGTATATACATCTACGTGGATACATATATGTGTATTGTATATACATCTACGTGGATACATATATGTGTATTGTATATACATCTACGTGGATACATATATGTGTATTGTATATACATCTACGTGGATACATATATGTGTATTGTATATACATATACGTATCTACGTGGATACATATATGTGTATTGTATATACATATACGTATCTACGTGGATACATATATGTGTATTGTATATACATATACGTATCTACGTGGATACATATATGTGTATTGTATATACATATACGTATCTACGTGGATACATATATGTGTATTGTATATACATATACGTATCTACGTGGATACATATATGTGTATTGTATATACATATACGTATCTACGTGGATACATATATGTGTATTGTATATACATATACGTATCTACGTGGATACATATATGTGTATTGTATATACATATACGTATCTACGTGGATACATATATGTGTATTGTATATACATATACGTATCTACGTGGATACATATATGTGTATTGTATATACATATACGTATCTACGTGGATACATATATGTGTATTGTATATACATATACGTATCTACGTGGATACATATATGTGTATTGTATATACATATACGTATCTACGTGGATACATATATGTGTATTGTATATACATATACGTATCTACGTGGATACATATATGTGTATTGTATATACATATACGTATCTACGTGGATACATATATGTGTATTGTATATACATATACGTATCTACGTGGATACATATATGTGTATTGTATATACATATACGTATCTACGTGGATACATATATGTGTATTGTATATACATATACGTATCTACGTGGATACATATATGTGTATTGTATATACATATACGTATCTACGTATATACATATATGTATTGTATATACATATATGTATTGTATATACATATATGTATATACGTATATACATATATGTATTGTATATACATATATGTATATACGTATATACATATATGTATATACGTATATAGATATACATATATATGTATTGTATATACATATATGTATATACATATATACATATATATTGATATACATATATATGTATTGTATATACATATACAATATATGTATATATACATATACATATACAATATATGTATATACATATATATGTATTGTATATACATATATATGTATTGTATATACATATATTGATATACATATATGTATATATACATATATGCATATATGTATATATACATATATGCATATATGTATATATACATATATACATATGTACATATATACATATATACATATATGTATATATACATATATACATATGTACATATATACATATATACATATGTACATATATACATATATACATATGTACATATATACATATATAGATATATATACACATATATAGATATACTTATATGTATATATACATACATACATATGTACATATATACATATATACATATATATACACATATATATACACATACATATATATATATGGTGGGCAGAAAGTGAAACACAGAAATTGGTACTCAAACATCATTTAGGGAAAAACTTCTACAGAGGAACTGGGAATGTTATGCTTGAAAACAGCGATAATGGAATGGTTTTAAGGCCACACCTGGAAAGAGTAGAAACAAGAATAGGGTTAAGAGACAAAAAAAAAAAAAAAAAAAAGTTAGAGTTGGTGATAAGAAGTGAATAATGTTTAGGCTCAGAGTGAATAATACAAAGGTGTATTTGTTTTAACTAAGAGAGAATAAGTCACATGAGAAGAACTGAAATTCATCATTAGTCTTAGGGATAACAGCCTGGAAATATTTCAATCAAAAATGTTATTATATCTCATAGATGCAGACTAACATCTTATCAAGGTCCCTGACAATGTATTATTAATAGTGTAGTTTCATAGTTTATAAGCTTAATTCCAAGAGTGCTGGAAGGAATATGAACTTTGGAGCTCCATAGAGCTGGTTTTGACCTCTGTGACTTTGTGCACACTTTATTTTGCTGTGCCCCGGTCCCTCTGTGTAAAAGAGAATAATAGTGTTAACCTTTCAAGATTGCCATGATTAATGAGGCCATGCATGTATAGTCTCTTGGCACATATTACATGCTTGCTAGTACCTCTTCTCCTTTACTTTAAGTGGAAACTACATAAAGAAGGGAACTTACAATGTGATATGTTGTCACCACCCAAGCAGCCGGGCCACAGCCTCAGGTCTAACCTCTAAGATTTATGCATTGAGCATGGCTCTGAAAGGTCAGAACTCGTTTTACTAAATTGTCCATGGACTCAGGAAAACATCACAAGGAATCCTGCAGTGTTTTGGATCCCGTGTTGAAGATATTAAGGAGAAATTGTTAGGGCAATTAGGCTAAAAGAGAATATGCATTTAATATTTGTGATGCTTAGATAATACATCAGTTACTAATCGAGTCATTAATCCTATTTTATAAAATATTGCCAGCCATTATTAGTTTGGGAGAGTCACATACCTTCTCTCACCCTGTTTTCTCATCTCAAAAATGGGGATAACTTATGAATTCTTTTTAGAGTTAATGAATAACAGAAATGGGGGCTTGTAATAGTCTGCATAATTTCAAATTCAACCCTAAAATAAATTCTATTTTGGTATTTTTTTAATAAACTAAAAATGTTGAAGTGTCTGTATATTATTTTAGGTGACATTGTTGATGAGAAACTAATAATTTTCATAAGTTAAAGGACATAGCATTCCCTTATTATAAAAATATGACCTCTAAATTTTGTTTCCATAATGTTTTTACAGAAAGTTTCAAATTTTAATTTTCTTATTAAAACATATAGTTACACACACAAAAACAATAAAATGGGGATAACAATAGTGCCCACCACGTAGGGTTGCTGTGAGCCCTGAATGAGATGACATGTATAAAAGTGCTGGGTAGAGTGTCTGGAACAGAGTGGGCAATTAATCAATACCAGATAAAAGTTAAACAAGCAAAGAAACAAAATCCTCATCCCTCTTAAAGTGCCTGAAACTCCTAACACTTTGTGACTGTTGGCTCTCAGCCCTGGCTGCATAATTAATCACAGTAGAGTGAACTCTCCATTATCCGCACTAGTGAAGGGCAGAGGCATGGATAAAACAAGGGGTAATCTAAAAATCATTTATATATTTGGCTTTGGAATGAAGTCGGAGAAAGACACACACAAACACACACACCTGTCATTTCTGTCCTGGCAAAGGCTTCCCAACTGGGATCTCTATTGAAGCCTCTGGAGACTTTCTAGGGGCAGGAGGTGGGGGAAGGTAGCACTTGGCACTTAACAAAGGAGATACAGAATATACAAAGCACTTAAGATTTTTTTAAATATACGACATATAAAAATTGTCATTACTGTTATTAATAATAGTTTACTTTCAGATTCTTGACAGGTGACAGGCTGTTTTCATCCACACCTCCCCTGTAACAAATAACGTACTTTTCTGCTGCTCCACACTGCCCACCCAAAGAGAATTTTGAGCAGATGGAAGATGAAATATGATTCATTTTTATATTCCTCTGAAGTCTTTAAAAGTGCTTGGCATATAGTGGGAGGTCATAAAGCGTTGAAATTGTGAATTAATGTCTTTTAGGGATATTTCTGTTTGAAGTGAGTGTTGCATTTTGACTTGGGATAGAGGTCTCCACCAGGTCTGAGAGCTCCCAAAAGTCACTGAGCAGCTCCATTTCATCTGAGATGGTTTTAGGCTGTTACCTTCTTAAGACTCATTGCCCCTTCTGGAGACATTACTCTAGTTCTTTTGTTGAAACTCGGCATTGATAGTGAAGGTGGAGAGGGCTGGAGACAAAGAAGGTGCAGAGAAAGATGTGATAGCAGCCTCACAACTTTTGTGTTAAGGGTTTTCAGAGTCTCCCAGGTGAAATCGCCATGTCTCATTGAAACTTCATTCATTTCACCAACATTTGCTTAGCATGTTTTACAGGTCAAGTATTGTGCCAAACACCAGGAAAACATACTCTAAGATTGTATTATGATTGTTTATAGGCCTGTTTCATCTCCTAGACTCAGCTATTTGTGGGTAAGAACTACATCTTGTTCGTCTTTGTGTCCCTAGCATTCAGTACAGCACTGAGCTGTGAACTCAGTACTTGATGGAGATGAATGAGTGAGTAAAACACAGTCATTTTCTCAAGGGGCTTGGAGCTGGGTAGGAGAGGCAGCATATCAGTAAATGCTTGAGGAACAGTACATGGGCTGCTGTATCAGAGATTGCACACAGAGCCTTCATCTGTTTGTGTGGGCTGGGGAAGGTTCACAGAGGAATGGAGGACATGGCTCTTGAAAAGGCTAGAATTTAGCAGGAGAAGAAGAGAAAAGCATTCCAAAAAGATGGAATAATCCATGCAAATACACGCCATGTTCAGGTACAATCTGAAGAGAGGAAGAGGAGTAGGAGAAGAGGGAGGGAAGATGGGCAGGAACGTGAGAGCCTTTCATGCCCTCATTGTTATCCATACATCACCGTGGATCACTTTATTAAAGGCTGCTTGTTGAATATTTTCCTGGGCCTCTCCAAAGTGTATATGGCTAATCCTCTCAAGGGCATTCCTTCATGCCTTCCCTTTGCTCTACAGGACCCAGACAGGGCAGGGCATGGAGCAGGCACACAGTCCGACTGTCTGGCTGGACTCCTGACCCTTACCATTTGGTCCAACTGCATTGTGCTGAGCTCTTGAGCCACCAGTTTATAGGGTTTTGACACAGATTATGCCTTGTCTGTGTCTTTCTCTCACTCGCCCATCCATCCATCCATCCATCCATCCATCCATCCATCCATCCATGATTAGGAAAGACATCTATATTTGTTGAGTACATGTTTATTAATGTGTAGAGAACACAGCAGAGTTGGAGTCTCCTAAAACATGACTTGCACTGGCTGGTGCCACCTATAGGGGTTCAACTGCTTGATTTTCTTTTTCTTCCTTGTCCCTACCGCCCCCCCCGCTCCCCCGCCACCATCCCTCTTTGAATAAATGAAGATGTTGAGGTTCTTCTATCGAGGTTCCGCTCACTGATGCTAGATATCTAAACTTCATGCAGAGAAGCCATCTACAGAGGCAACAGGCCAGGGTGGGGGCGAGGGGGAGGGCCTGAAAGAAGTTGCCCCCTTCTGTTGATCTCCGACCCGCTTGAAATCTGAGGCATCTCCTGGGGTCAGGAGGCTGCCTTAATATCCGCCCCCAACACTAAACATTTAGCGCAGGGCAAGGAGAGGCAGGCGAGGGAGGGAGGGAAAGGGGGAAGCACATGGCCCTGCTTTGGCCTGTTTGCCTCCCATAATAAGAGGGAAAGGAATAGAAAACACCCAGGCACAACATAAATATTTCCTATTATGGAGAAACTAAAGTCACAATGGAATCTGTCATGCTTGTGATATGAGAGATGGACAATATTTCGGGGCTGCTGCCATGCTGGCACCTGAATGGAGTTTATATTTTGTTTATGGAGCTGAATCCGAAGCCTTTTATTTTTTTGGCTCGGCCTGTGTCATTCTTCATGGAAGCTCGAAATGGCCGCGGAGCAGCTCAATATTCCATTTATTTTACTTATAAAAGAAATTCAAAGGCTGAAAAGATGAAGTAATTGACTTAGTGGGATGACAGTTAAACCCACTAAATTTAATCTTATCCTCTCAAGTACAACATATCGCGCTTACAAATTATCGCCAGCCACCAGGCAGCCCCGCGCTCCTCACCTAATGCAAATGGAGCGGAGGCCTCTGTTATTGTATTATCTGACTTTACTATCAGCATTAATCCGGCTTAGCCCGCTTAATGATGCCACTTGTGGCACTCCGAAGGCAGCGGAGAAGTCTATAAACTACTTCCATTAAAATGCAAATCGGGCCCGCTGAGAAAACAAGTGACACAAAAAGTGGGCGCCGCGCGGCCGCCGCCCGCGATGGCGCCGATGGCTGATGCCGCGATTACGCCGGCGGGGGCGGCCCGCGCGCCACGAACGTGCCCGACAAGCCGCGCCGCTTAATTTCTGAAGAGATTTATATTTTTTTTGTTGTCAGGAAATGAACAAATACTTATCAATGTAAAAACTGCTATCTCCGATCTCCCCGCCGGGTTTTTCATACTGATATTCTTTGCACCCCGTAACACAGGAAATGAAAATCTTCTCCGCCTCTCACGTCGCCGCTGCGCCTTCAAATCCTCTGCGAGCAGACTGGCCTCCCCCCACCGGCCCCCTCCCGGGCTCCCCTCCCCGGTAAACAGAAAAGAAAACTTCTGTGGGCGAAGGAGGGAGAAATTCCAAGGCTCTGGCTTTCCCCAGCCGACTTGGGTTTCGGGGCAGCGCGGGCTCCCTTCTTTCCAGCGCAGGAAGAAGGGGTGAGGGAGGAGGGGCCGGGGTGCTGGCACTCAACGGTAACATCTGTTTTACTTAAGCAGCTCGATTTCGTTTTAGGATGAAAAAGTATTCCCTTTCAGCATGAGGAATCGTGGGCCCTGGGGCTTGTATTGATTCAGAACAAGGCCTCATAAAACACTAGCAGGTGATTTAGTTTCATATTTTGATTCCTTTGTTTAGACAGTTTCTCTCAGGTTCTCCTGTGTCGGCCCGGGGACCCCAGCATCCCTCCTTTGATGTTGGAGGGACACCCGGGCCGTCGAGCTCGCCCCGCTCTTGTGGGTGACTTTGTGCTCTTGAGGGCGCAGCATTTCCCAAGGTTCTCCCCCACCCTCACCCGGCGAGCCCAGGCTCTGCGGTCAGGCTCTCAAATCCTGCAAGGATTGATGGTCCTCACAGAGGGATCAATACTACATTTTAAATATTACAATACCTTTTATTGAGACACTATTACAACACAAATGTTTTACCCTGTCACGGGACCCAGTTAAAATTGCTTTTGACCATCTTATTGGTGGGCTTCCCCGGCCCTCTGTGTTTCCCACTTCTGGGAGGAGTCACTGTGCTCCCGGGATGGGCTGGCCCCGCCCAGGAGGCCTGGGAAGGAGGAGGATGCAGCCTGGGAGGGCTGTGGGGCACCTGGGGAGTGCTGCAGAAACTGGCTGTTGCCCACGTGGCCTCTTTTGGGAGGCTTGTTCTCACTCCTATTGACTCTTCCCTGGCTGTATTAAAAAATACGTCCACAAAGTCCTCTCTTTCTTGGATTTGCACCCCTTACAGGAGAAAGGGGGAGTCTGTGCAGGTGAAGCTAGGATTAAGGACGAAATTTATCGTGGAGCCCTGGGACAGGGCCACAGACCATCTTCTGTGAGTTTGTCAGTCCTCTGTATGTGTCTGGCTGGTCTGCATTTGCCACATCGCCTCCTAACTCCCCCTGCCTGTGTTTATTTCCCTCCCTTTCTGGACTGGAGGAAGCTGCATCTGATTTTCCGACAGGCAGTGCCTAGGATAAGGTCTGGCCTCTGCAATAGAGATACATAGTATGTGCTCAGTGAGCGTTTGTTGAATGACTAAAAGAATGAAAGCTGGCCAGGCCTGGTGGCTCACGCCTGTAATCCCAGCACTTTGGGAGGCCAAGGCAGGTGGATCGCGAGGTCAAGAGATGGAGACCATCCTGGCCAATATGGTGAAACCATGTCTCTACTAAAAATACAAAAATTAGCCAGGCATGGTGACATGCGCCTGTAGTCCCAGCTCCTTGGGAGGCTGAAGCAGGAGAATCACTTGAACCCGGGAGGTGGAGGTTGCAGTGACCCGAGACCGGGCCATTGCACTCCAGCCTGGCAACAGAGTGAGACTCCCTCTCAAAAAAAAAGAATGATGGCTGTGTTATGGTCTGAATATTTGTGTCCTCCTAAAATTCATATGTTGAAACCTAATCCCCAAGTGATGGTGTTTGGAGATGGGGCCTTTGGGAGGTGTTGAGGTCATGTGAGTGGAGCCCTCATGAATGGGTGTTTTTTTTATAAAAGAGACCATAGAAAGCTCCCTGATCCCATCTGTCATGTGAAGACACAGTGAGAAGCACCAGAAATCCACCATTCTCTAGACATGAAATCCACCAGTACTTGGATCTTGGACTTCCCAGCCACCAGAATTGTGAGAAATAAATTCTGTCATTTATGAGCTACCCAGTCTAAAGTGCTCTGGTGCAGCAATCTACACAGATGAAGACAGGAAGGAACGCTATCTTATTGTTCCCCGCTCATCCCTGCAGAAGCTGAAGAGTTGCCTGTGAACAGCTAGCGCACATCCGTGGGTTGCCATCACAGAGGAGAAAGACTCGTTCAGTTTTCCTTGGTCCACCTGAATTTGTTTGCCCCATGTGTTGCCAGTATGGAGTCCCACCTGAGTTTGTACCCTGGTTTCTTCACTTCAAAGCTGTGTTTCTTGAGAGAGATACTGAATCATTCTAAGCCTCAGTGTCTTCGTCCCTTAATTGGAAACAGGAATACCTGCCACACGGAGCTACCGAGGGTTTGATGAGATGACGTGTGTAATGGTTCTCAGAGGAAGCATCCGAAAAGCACTCTTTTTCTGTGAGCCCAGCTGAGATGGTGTAGTAACAAGGGCCCAAAGGCTGCTTGGTACCAATTCATAAAAAAACAAAAAAGTGAAGGTAAATCATTTTCTCCATTAACATCCTAAAGTGGGCCAGGCTCAGTGGTTCATGCCTATAATCCCAGCACTTTGGGAGGCTGAGGTGGAAAGATTGTTGGGTTCCAAGTTCTAGGAGTTTGAGACCAGCCTGGGCAACATAGCAAGACTCTGTCTCAAAAAAAAAAAAAAATCCTAAACTGCACACATTTTTCTTTTCTTAAAACTTTGGCACATGTCTTCTGTAAGTGGTTGCTGTAATGGAATTGAATATATCCGAGTTTCATAGTGTTTATCTACTCATTCATTATTCCACAGATATTTATAGTGTGCTCACCATATGCCAGGCACTTAGTAGGTAATTGGATACAGCAGTGAGTAAGACAGACAAGATCAGGGTACCTAGGGAGCTTCTATTCTAAAGAGGCAAAGAAAACAAGCTAACAAGCAAATACAGACTATAATTGCAAATTGTGACAAATGCTATGAAGAAAATGGAAAGAGTGATGGGATAGAGGATGTTCCACCCAAAAATTATGATTTCTGGGTAACTGGCCTTCTGAACAAGTATGAGAACAATCAGTGTATGTGTGACACCCAGCCAGTACACAGAACAGCTGGCTCCAGTTAACTATTGCTGTGTAACACAACACCCCAAAACTTAGCGACTTAAAATAACAACAGCATTTACTTTGCTTGCAAATCAGCAATTTGAGCATGGCTCCGCAGGGACAGCTCATCTCTGCTCCACTTAGCCTCAGCTTGTGGGGATCAAAGGCTGAAGGTGGGGTCATGTGGAGGCTCTCTCATTTACGTGTCTGGAGGGTGATGCTGGCTGTCAGCTGGGACCTCAGCTGGATCTGGGGCTGGAACATGTGGCCCTTCCACCAGGGGGCTACCTGGCTTCCTCATGGCCTGGAGGCTGGGTTCCAAGGGCAAGCATCCTAAGGGTAAGATAACTAGGCAGAAGCTGTATTGCTTTTTATGATCTAGACTTTGAAGTCCACAGTGCCACCTTTGCCACATTCTATTCATTAGAGGTTAGTCACTGAGGTGAACCCACATTCAAGGGGAGGGAATAGACTCTGTTTTTCCATAGGAGCAGTGTCAAAGAATTTGTGGACATAATTTCAAACTGCCTAAAGCCTCAGTTGAAGAGATGAGAAGCATTAGTTTTGAAAACATGATCAAACACACTTGACCTTCATATGCCATCTCACTTGCCAATGGTTTTTTCTCCCTCTGGTTTATCTCCAGCCTAGCCACCCTGCCATGATGACAGGACTAATTTTTCTGATCATGCCCTGGAGGCTTGTTTTTCATTTTGTCCCTCTGTCCTTCCATGGCCCTCAACTGTGCTAGAAAAAGCCCAGGTTTCTTATCCATACATTCACAATTCTTGCATATCTGGCCTTAGTCTCCTTCCCTACTTTATTTCCTAAACCAGTGAAGGAAGGATGAAGGCTGAAGGCTGAATGTAAAGACAAGACCGCTTCAACCAAGTTAGTCCACTTATTTACACCTAAATTACCTACAGTGTGCATTTCTTTGTCTGCTACTTTCTCCATCTGATAGTTCCCCAGCACCCAAATTCTATTTATTTTTCAAAACTCAGTCCAAGCTTCTCTCTTACATGAAGTTTTTCCTGACCAAACACCATTAATAACAAGTAATAGCTGATAATTATTGAGTACCTAATGCAAGCCAGCAATTTTACTAGTGACTTTGCATCTATTTCCATTAATTCTCACAACCATCTTGCAAGTTTCCTATTTTCCCGTTGAACAGATGAGAAAACCAAGGCAAAGAAATTTTCTCTGGGTTATCCAGCTAGTAGTATGAGATGCATTTGGGATTCAAATCTGTCCATCTGCCTTGAATCCAACACAATCTCTATAAAGTAGAAAGTGATAAGTAGTTAAGTCATGAAGGAAAAGCACTGGACAGTTCAGTGGTCTTGTTTTGGGGGAGTTGAGCTAATCAGGAACGTGAATGTCAGTGACTTGGTGTCTCCAGAGAAGTAAACAGACCTATCTCAGGTTGAAAGCTTTTGTTTGTCTGTTGGCTGCATCATACTCTGGCCAGCTGGGCTCTGAGGAATTTTTACGATTTTGTTAGGTATCCTAATCGCCAACTTGCAAGTAGTGCCTTAAGGTCAAGGGGGGTCTAATGGTTTAATGATAGAGAGAGAAGAATGGGCTAGGAATGAGACAGCTGGGCTCTTTGGTCTACCTCCCCAATTTTGAAATAGATTCTTATTGGGCTATATAAAAAAATATGCCCACAAAGTCCTCCCTTTCTTGGATGCACTCCCCTCACAATGTGTCTTTGCTGCCTTTCCCAAGAAAAAGGAGGGGGATCTGATGTGAATTGGCCTGATGTGAACTTGCTTTGCCCAATTGAATGGGAAGGAGCCATACGATCAAAGTTCTGAGATTATGCCTTAAAGAGCCTTGCAGCCTCCTCTTCACCCTCTTATAACTCTACTCTGATACCGCCATGCTAGGAAGAAGCTGGGATGAAGACCAAGTAGAGAGAGGCCCAGCCATTTCTGCTCTCCCTGTTGCCCTGGCTGAACTCAGCCCCATCTGAAATCTGTTGAGTGAGAACTGACCAGCCAACCACAGAATCTTTGGGAAAGGTAACCTGTTGTTTAAAGCCACTAGCTTTTGGTATGGTTTGTTACACAGTAATAGATAACTGATACACATCGTTGAGATTCCACTAGGGAAAGGGAATTTGAAGAGCCTTTGGAATATATGTATGGAAAGGAGCTTTGCCTGTGGAAATTGAATGGAATGGGATGAGAGAGAAGGCTCATCATCTCCAGGAAGTCAATAATAATGGAAGAAAACAGGCACATGAAAGAATGTTCAAACCAAGAGTTAATATTCAAATAGTGAATAAAATGAGAATCATAGAATCAGAAACTCCAGGCCTGGGAGAGCCTTCTGTAACCAGGTGTTTCAGGGATGACAAATAGGTTTCGGTGGTTGCCCACTCGAACGGATTAGTTGTGGCTGCCTGGAGTGCTGTGCTGAGAATGCTGAGGCTTTGTCCATTTTCAACAGAAAGGAGGGCTGTGATCAATTAGTGATGTCTGCCACGGGTGCGAATCTTACTTCAGTTATTCAAATGTGCAAAGCTCTTTCCAGTCTCAGCACATTTTCCCATGCTGCACACTCTATTTGGAATACTTTCCCCACTCCACCACTGTTTTTCTAGCTGGTTTGGAGACAAGATGTCTCTCTGTTGACCAGGCTGGAGTGTAGTGGTGAGATCATAATTCACTGTAAACTCGAACTCCTCCATTCAAGTGATCTTCCCACCTCAGCCTTCTGAGTAGGCAGGACTACAGGCACACGCTACTACACTGGGCTAATTCTTTTTGTAGAGTCAGGATCTTGCTATGTTGCCCATGCTGATTTCAAGCTCCCAGCCCCAAGTCATCCTCCTGCCTCAGCCTCCCAAAGCGCTGAGATTACAGGCATGATCCACTGTGCCCATCCCATCCATTAAGTTTCAATTTTAATGTCACTTCTTTGTGGAGGCCTTCCCTGCCTGAAGCAAACCACTTCTATTAATGTCTCTTGGTTGCATGCCTCATAATTTGCCATTATATGTATGTGTGTATTTGTTTTCTCACCCTTTTCTCACAACACACTCATTTAACAGCAAACTTCCTGAGGAAAGTACCCTGTCTATTTCTTCCCAGCTATTTACCTAGTACCTGGTATAGTGCTGAAGTGGAAGAAGTGCTTAATGCTATTGTTGAATGGCTGATTGAGAGATTGCATGGATACTGAGTTCGGCCATCCTGAGCTAAACCAATTTCCTCTTCTAACCTGGAATGCTTAGGTCACATGCCTGGAACATACAGTCTGTCAAGCTACAAACTCTTAGTTCTGTGCTTTTTCTAAGACATCAGTTCTACAATGCACACAGATTTTGTTTTGTTTTGGTCTGTTTTTGGGACTGAGTCTTACTTTGTTGCCCAGGCTGGAGTGCAGTGGCAGTGGAGTTGCACTGCAACCTCCACCTCCTGGGTTCAAGCAATGCTCGTGCCTCAGCCTCCCTGGTAGCTGCAATTTCAGGCATGCGCCATCACTACCATACCCTGCTAATTTTCATATTTTTAGTAGAGATGGGGTTTTGTCATGCTGGCTTGGCTGGTCTTGAACTCCTGGCCTCAAGTCATCTGTCAGCTTCAACCTCCCAAAGTGCTGGGATTACATGTGTGAGCTGCTGCACCCGGCTCACACAGAGGTATTTTAGAGACTAGAAGCTGCAGGAGAAAGAGGTTGACACTGTGCTGAGAGACAGATTTTGCTGGAGCAGCTAGCCAATTCAGATGCTTATCAACCTACTGACCGGGAGAAATAATAATGTTTCGTCAAGTTGACTTACCAATTTTGTCGCTTTAAGCTCATGTTTGGCTGTGATCTGACAGGTGCTGTTGGTAATAATACCAAGTTGTGGGCATGCAAGAAATGTTTTGTATTGGGCTGTGTCCCTGTGCCCTCAACACAAATAGAATGTTCAGAAGTTGAATGAATGTGTGGGTGTAGCATCCTATATCCAAGGGGGGGATGTTCTAAATGTAATAAGACATTTTTGTGACCCCAAATACCTTTTGAGTATTAATATTTTGAAAAGAAGATAAGTTAAAGATGAATAATAAAGACAGGTACGATATTTTGTCTTACTCTCAAAGTTAAAAGCAGTAAAAATAAATTAATTGACATGTGTCCAAAGCAATCACCTATTTGACATGGGAACCCTTCTGTGTTGTCCTAGAACTTCCACGGATGGCAGACACATTTCACTCTTTGCAAGGCCTTTTCTTATTAAGGATGACCAGTGTTTCCCTGAGGTGACCAGCCTGTTCAACGGGCTACAGAAGAACTGGGGCACAGAGAATGCACTTCCCTTACATGTGCACTGAGCAAGAAAAGAACATTTGGCAAATTTCTGTGACAGCTGGAGTGACGGTGACCATTTGTGGGCTTTAAGTAGTGACAGGACACATTAAATTAATTTTGATATTTTATAAGTTAAAACCTTTTATTTTGTCTTTATGATAAATGTTCTCTCCCTAGCTTTACCCTCTAGGGCAGAGATTGGCAAACCTTTTGTAAAGGAACAGATCGTAAATATTTTAGGCTTTGTGGGCCAGGAGATTTTTCTTGCAACTCTGCCATAGCAGTTTATAAGTAGCCATAGACATTATGTAGATAGATGAATGTGGCTGTGCTCCAATAAAACTTTATTTACAAAAACAGGAAGAGGGCTAGATTTGGCCTGTGGGCTATGGTTTTCCAGTGCTTGCTTCAGGAGACTGGAGTCAGTACTTTTTTTCTCCTGTGAAAGATGAAAACTTTAGTCACTAATTTCCAAAGACTGCTTCTTGCTTGCAAATATGTAATTAATATAAGCAGCAAAGTATAGTAGAATTTCCATGATTTTACATCTACTAAAACAAAAAAGATTAAGTTCATTGTGCCTTTAAAATGAAGGAACAGTATCTAATCTGAAAAACTGTTAAAAAGTTAAAATGATGTATAATTTCCAAATTCTGCTTCTATGCGGCAGCCCTCCTGCATGTGAAATTGTCGAGTAGAATAGCTATTATTTCCCACTGATGAACCACAAATGGGCTGAAGATATTTGCATACCTTTTTACACACAATATATACCAGCACTCTAACCTCTGATTCTTCTTACCAGATTCCATTTAATTTGTCATTAATTAGTAAATTGTTATGTGAAATGCTGCAAAGCTTCTTGGGTAAAATGGCCAGTGTGATGATTATTCTTTTGGAAGCTATCTGAAATTGTTACTACTGAGCAATTTCCATGAAAATAGAAGGGTCTTTGGAGCTGTTCTTTTAAAATAAGAATAAAATGAACCAAATGGGGAGAACACATAAAGGCAATAATAAATCAAGGACAAAAGACAAGAAACTAGTCCCCAAAACAGTATCTAGGAAGAAACTATAGTAGCTTCTTTTTGCAAAGAGTAGGTACTTCTTCAACTTTCTTTTCAAGCTGCAATAAAAACAAAACAAAGTTAAAGCGAGTCCTAAAGTAAACTTTCAGAAGTCCAGTTAGTATCTGCTTTAAGAATCTTCAGGTCTCTGAAAACCTTTATCTAAGAGGGTGGGGAGGGGGGAATCTTTGCCAACTATAGGTCAGTTCTTTCCTTCTTTAAGTTACACCCAGTGTATGTATTTGCATTTATTTTGTCAATTGCAGAATCATTGCTTTGAGTGATTGTCATTGTCTACATCTTTCTCTCTTTTTTCCTTCTTGCTTGCTTTCTTGCTTTCTTTTTCAATTTCCTTCTTCTTTCCCCTTCTTTTCTTTCATTTAAAGCCAGGCAGAATGCACCTTCCTGATAGATGGGATTTTGCCTTCAAGTTGTTTCCAGTGTTTAATTCCTCCTTACTGTTACCTCCGGAACCAAGTCCAAATGAAAGGCGAGCCTCTTTGACCCTCTGCCCTCCCTTTCCTGCCTTCTCTTCTCCTGGGTTTCAATGGTTGATTGAACGGTGTGTTAGGTTCACTGAACTTGGTCTTGGCTTCGGTTCCAAGCAGGGACAAAGTCAGCTTCCAGGCCAATTTCCATATGAAAGCAGCTGAGATCTCTTTCCCCATTTTGGAATTCCAGGCAGCACCCTGGGCTCTGACTTCTCAGATTCAAAGTTCTTGCTCAAATTCCCCCCACCCCCACATTCCAACCCAACCCTAATCTCCTCCCACTTTGGTTTCTCTGCCCACCAGGTTTCCAGGTCTCCCAGCACACTACAGTGGCCCTGAGAGGGCAGCTGTGAACTCAACTCAAGAAAAACTCCTTCACGTTTCTCTGAGGCTGATGGCGTAAGAGAGGGATTTGTTTATTAGGGTTTGAGATGGGCAGGGAGAAGTGGGAGGTCCCACGTAGGACAGAGAGAAGGTGGAAGAGTCAATGCTTGTTAGGGATGAATTTAAGAAAATTATACTTCCTGTTGCCAACTATTTAGGAACAAATACAGCCCCATTAAAGAATTTATCCAGCTGTTTGTAAATTTTGGTTTGAGGTCTTAGGTAAACTGCCTCCAAAATTTCTGCTTTACTTCCAAGATGTGGTTTTGCCAAACTAGAAAATGACAACAAAAAAGATGTTGCCTCTTTCCATTGCATTTCTTATGTAAGCAAATGGCCTGTTTGGACCCTTAAAAATGCCATTAGCAAAAATAGTATCCCCAAGCTGGAAGGAACTCAGGAAGGCTGTCTCTATTTGAAAGCCACAGAGATGTGTGTGGGTTGACAAACCATAACATCACTCTCAAATCCTCATCCACCTTAAACCAGAAGTTTAAGAAGTTGCTGGTGGCCAAATCAGACTCTATTTATTTACTGGCTTGTGTTAATATCGGTGCCTTGATTTTTCCGCTCGAAAGTCTTTCCAATCTTAATACCTGGTCACATTTCAGTTCTGTTCTGAACAATGCTTTGCTTCTTTCTTTTGTTGGGGAGTAAGGCACAGTGATTTATAGACTGTGCCTTACAATTGGTGAGACAATTGCTGTTATTGTTTTCGTTGTGTCTCCTAAAAAATGTCACTTTTATAGCAGGGCACAATTGTCTAGAAGACTATAAATATTAGTATCATTTGGACACCGCAAAGTTGTCACAGAATTCCTGCCATGGATATGAGGACCAACATGTTCATGTGCATAAAGAATGTGTGTGTGTACAAGCATGTGTACATCCGTGGGTTTTTATGCTTGTTCCCATATACATGAGCAATGTATATGTGTGCATGTGGTATATTTTCAACTGTGCGCATAAGGGTGTTTGGGTATGTATGTGTATGTGTTGGTGTGTGAGATGCACATGAATTTGCACATATGTGCATTTAATTTGTAGAAGTAAGTGGGTTGTGTGTCAGGGAGTGGGTGAATGTGCAAATCAGTAAATGGAGTGCTGCCAGAAAGAACTTGCTTGGTCCTAGCAGCCAAAGGCTTTCAGGACTCTTTGTTATAGTCGCATTCCCGGCGGGCTCCAAACCTCAGACTCTGCCTGGAGGTACAGTATGCTCTTCCGAAAGCAGAAATTATTGAAACACAGAATGTCTCCTAAGTTGTGCTGGCCAGGTCCCCAAGAAACAGTCTGGACATCACTGCAGACACAGCCCCTAAGCAAAAACACATGTGCATGTCTCTGCCTCAGAATATGATGGCCTTTAAGGAAATGGATCTCTGTTGAAGAATGAAGGAAGAAAAAACTGAATCAGCCCCACCATTTGCAGTGAAGGTGTCTGGTGTCATTTATTTTGCTGACCAAGTATCTTCTCTATGGATTATAATAAAAATAAAAATAATCTTCCCTTGTTTTATCTGCAGACACTTTATTGTCCTGTATGTGGCCTTAGCAATGAATTCATACACAGATGGGTGACAACAAGGAAAAAGAGTTTAACTATTTTGGCAGTGTTAATATTGATCACAGAACAGATTAAGAGACAACTAGGAGAAATTTCTTCATGGGATGAAAATCTCCCTCCTTCCCCAAACTCCTGAGACAGCCAGCAGTAGTAGACAGCATCAACATTTATCAATGCAACAATTTCAACTCTTGAGCAAAAGCCTCCCATCTCAGAGATTTTGCATCTAACAAATCACTGCATTTTGTCCTTAAATTTATCCTGTGGCAACATTTTGGCAGGATTGTTGGACTGTGGGATAAGAAGACGAAGAATTTTCAAGAAAGAGTTTCCCACCCCCAACTGCTGCACACTGAGCTGCATTGTCCAGGGAGAGGTGGTGATGATTAATTGTGCCCAGTTCCCTAGGACCCACTCTGCCCTTCCCCCTCTCTCTTCTGACTCCTTCTTCTTTTCGTAGGCTTCTAGACAGGGAGAATGATTTACTGACTAGTTGAGAATAACAGATATCAGGTCTTAGGCTCAATCTAGTTTAATGTCTTTTAAATAAACAGGCCTGGTTTTGCCTTGGGCCCTAACACCGTTGCCTTTTTCCTGGCTTTTATTCTGAATGGTTTGTCTCAGCTCCCAGATCTTGTTTACTTTGTTTGGGCCTGACCCCTGGACTTATTCTGCAGCCTAGCGGAGACCTAGGGTGTGGATTTGTGTTCCCTGCTGTGACCTCTGGCTTCCCCTCCCAACAGCAGTCCTCACTTGCTCTTCTGGTTATTCTGCCCTGAGGCTTTGGGAAAGCACTTTGCATGATTCCAGTAAGCGTCCTTGGTGGGTTCTCATTAGTTCCAAGGATGGAACCCCCAACTTCTGGCCAGCTAGAACTGTGTTCTAAGGATTTCTGCAGGAATGAGATTTAATAAGAAATAAAGAGGAAGAGGAATATGGTTTACTGAGCATCTACCCCATGCCATGCACTGTGCAAAGGAGCTTTATATATTACCTAATACTTCTAACAAGAATGGGTTATCACTTCTAATTAACCTTTGCAGAAGCCGCATCTAAGAGTTCAAATAACTTGCCCAAAGTCACTCAGCACACCTAGTGAGTGGAATAGCCAGGGTTTAAGACTACATCTAAGTGTTTTCTGTTATCTTGCCCTTTCCAATAATCTTAACAGTATTTGCTGAGCATTTATATCTGCCAGGCTTTGTGCCAAGCCAATTGTCTGTATTATTTGTTTACGCTTAAAAAATTAAGGTTAATTCACATACTGTAACATTTACCCTTTATAAGTGTACAATCATTCAATGTGTTTTTCATATATTCACAATGTTGTGCAACCATCACCACTAGTTCATTCCAGAACATCTTTCATCACACCCCACAAAACCACATACCTAACAGTCGCTCTCCATTATCCTCTCTCCCCAGCCCCTGATAACCCCTAATATGGTTTCTGTCTCTAGGATGTGTTTATTCAGGATGTTTCATGTATAGAGAACCATACAATATGTGTCCTTTGGTGTCTGACTTCTTCCACTTAGCATAATGTTTTCAAGGTTTATCCATGTTGTAGCACGTAGCAGCACCTCATTCCTTTTTATGACTGAATAATATTTCATTGTATGGATACAGCACATTTTGTTTATTTTAGGTAAACTTTACAACTATCCTATGAGGTAGGTACAATTATAATCTCCACAGGTAAACTGAGCCATAAAGAGGTTAAAAGGCACTTTAGGTCACATTTTAGAAATGACTTTCCAAACACAATCATTTCGTATTTGTTTTTCAGTTTAAGTTGCTTTTTGTCCATTCCAAGCAGGTGATAGGCCAGCCTTGTAACCATGATGTGGTTACACACAGGTACATCACAGCAGGTTTTCCCTCAGGCTGTGTGCAGGAGCACTCCCCAGTCTCCACTTCAAGACTCCACAATCTCCTCCAGGAGGCTTCCCTGACCCATCCTAATCCCTCAGCCCTAGAGTGGCCTCCTCAACCTCCATGGTTTTACAGCATGACCTGGGATCACGGCATGGCAGGGGAAGTTGATGAAGAGAAGCAGCATTTTCTAATGGGCACGGTGTGTCTATTCAAGTGTTCTGCTTCAATCGGAGCTGCAGGAGTTACAGGTTTTCCTTCCCCAACAGGAATTTCAAGGACCAAGTGGTTTATAGAAAATAAAAGAAAAAGAATGAAAGAACAGACTAAACATTACAGCAGTAAATAAACGGTTTTTGTTTAAATCAAAAAAGTTCTATTTCATGTCAACCTCTTACTGCTTCATTCTATCTTTTTTTTTGAGACAGAGTCTCACTCTGTCACCCAGGCTGGAGTGCAGTGGCATGATCTTGGCTCACTGCAACTTTTGCCTCCTGGGTTTAAGCGATTCTCCCTACTTTAGCCTCCCGAGTAGCTGAGATTACAGGCACCTGCCACCATGCCTGGCTAATTTTTGTATTTTTAGTAGAGACAGGGTTTCACCCTGTTGGCCAGGCTGGTCTCGAACTCCTGACCTCAGGTGATCCACCTGCCTCGGCCTCCCAAAGTGCTGGGATTACAGGCGTGCTTGAGTCTATCTTCACGATAATCAAAGATTGACTGGTTGCCCGTTGCGGAACCGGCATAAGAAGGCACGATTCCTGCCTTCAAGGAGCTTACACTCAGAGTGGGGAGCTAGACAATACATAGGAAAAGTCACTGGCTATAGCAGGCACTGGATACCCTATTACACACCAGCATCGATAGTGGATGGGCTAGAGGAGTCCAAGGAAGGGAGAACCATCGTGTGTTGGAGGAGGCTGAGAATCCTCCTTCTATTAGAAGGAGACAAGATGAGACTGGGAGGGGTTGAGACTTTGAAGGTAGACTGGAACTTAGGAAAACATTCAGATGAGGATAGAGGTGGAGGAAACAGCCCAAGGAAAGGCACTGGGGTAGGTATGAACTGGGTGTGGTGGAGAAAGATGAGTAAACTTATCTGGCTAGAGTTGAAAGGATCTTGGGAGGAGACTAATGAGGGAAGTGGAGATGAAGCCATGGCAGAACAAAGAATGTGAATTTTATTTGGTAAGGAAACAAATATCAGACCAGGGGAACTTTGGCAAGGTCAACCTGAGCGTGGTACAATCTGCTGCCAAAACATGAAGTGTCAAGAAACTGGGAAAATATTTCAACTTGCTACTCCTTGAGAAATAATGGTAGAGATATGGCCCTTGAACCCAGTGGGGAGGGCATGCTTGGGGTGGTATGATCACAGAGCAAAATGCAGATAGCAAGCAAGCTGCTATGAGGAGTCGACCTAATGTGGACTAGCGCAATGAGGGAAACCAAGGGAGAATTCTGAATGTGTCCAGGACTGTTGGACTTAACCACTTTGAATTGCCCAGTTAGGTTGCTAAGTAGGGGATGTGGGTTGAGGGACAGAGAATGGGTTGAGAGACAATGAGCTAGTGTCTAGGGTGGACTATAGCTACATATGAACTCAATAAATATGTCAATAATGAGGACTAAAGTCTATTCTGAAGGTCTAGTTTTAAAATGTATGTGAGAAGTTTTCATTCTACGATAACTGTCATTGATTGGACTCTTGTGTGCAGGGTACATTATGTATATTGGCTTCCATGTTCATGATTTTATCCATAAGAAAACTGCTCAGGGAGGTTGAGCAACTTGCCCAATGTCAATTAGCTAGCAAATGGCCAGACAAGGACTCAGTCCTTGTGTCGCTGACACTGAAGCCCACACTCCACTCAGCTACGTTGCGTCCCTATGAGTTTTCAGACATTGTGTTGACAAGAGGCATCTGTGTGTATTTTTATCCCAAATATCCTGACTTTTGATTTCTTAACCCATGTGTGAGGAATACGTCATAGTCCTGGTTATTTTTCCTTACTCTGGCCTAAAATGTAGGTGCCAAACACAAGGCTAGATTAAAAATTTGGAAGAATTGGTACCTTTTTTCAGGGTTTTAAACAAGAGTTTCAATCAATGCTGTTTATATCCATGAATGTGATGCCACAATTCCATGGTTGAATTTTTCTGCAGTTGTCCAGCTATCTAGTGCTAGTATTTATCTTGATATTTAAGAAGTCAATTTCCTTATAGGAAAGTTTGTATCATTTAAAGCAGAAATCCATTGCTATTTTATAGCCTTTGATGCTTTTTTTACCCTGGCATCTTAGTTCACAATATTCATTGGGAGAGTAAAAATATGCATGCGCATGTGCATATGTGCATGTGTGTGCACACACATACACTCAGCCTTTGTTATTGAAAAAGAACAAGCACAGAGATGAAGTGGAAAGTAGTCTGGCACAGGACAGTCTTGCCTGTCTGGTGAGGTCTGTACACAGGCTGTGCTGCAGGGGTGGGGTACGCAGAGGGGAGAGGTCTGCTCCCCTGACCTTTCCACCAGGGATTCTGGCACCAACACTTACATTCCAAGCATCCTCTCCGAGGGCACTGCTTGGGGTATGAGGCTGCTCACATCAGGCCAAGAAATTTCACCCATATGTTTCTGATTCATTTATGCTCATAAAAATGAGATTTTTAAGAGCAATGTGACATGCAATAAGCTTTCTAGGCCGTCTCTCAAGCTCTGTCTCTGCTCCCAGGAGTGGACAAATTTGTTTTTCCAAGAGAAAATGAATTCAGACTGCAGTATCCTCAACCCCAGAGGCAGAACCGGCAGCGAGGTACTCACAGATGGTCCTCTGCCAGTGTGAGGTGACTCCCAACAATATACCATCAGGCTGAAATTGTGCCTGTGGTCTGGAGGGAGCACTGGTTCAATAACTTGATGATCATGATGGCTTTTTTTTCCTTGCTATTTATTTTTATTTACTCTATTTCTCATCATGTCATTTCCTCTCATTACCCTAGGAGCATTGATTCCTCAGCTCTGCTCACTGCTGTAAATACTCCATAGCCACGATTCTATTCTTGCTTTTTCAGTTTGGCTGATCTTGAGCCAATCCATTTATTTCTTTTGTTTTTTGTTTTTATTAACTGAGATATAAAACCTGAAAGTTGCCTGAAAGTAGTGGAGTTCTGTTTCATTCTCAAGTCTTTATTGTCTTCTAGGCCATTTGGCTTAAGAACTGTGTGTCTTGGCCTTCAATGACTTTACCTGGCTCTGCCATCAGACCATACCCAGTCTGTTGTTCTTGTGGTTTTTGTTTTACTGGCCAGCCCGGTTTGGTTTTACGCTTTGCTGCTCCTGGATTCAGCAGGTAAGATCTGCTTCTGTTATAGCATCATTTCCAGGTGATAGAAAATAATTCAGTGATGCTGCTCCATCTTAGATAGGAGCTTTGGAGCCCTAGTGATAGGCCAATTAATTTTGACTCTACCACTTCCTGCTTGTACAGTGTTGGGCCTGGTTTCCTCTTCTGTATAGTGAATACTATAAAATCCATCTCACAGAGTTGCTGTCAGGATTTAATGAGGTCATGTCATTATTTGCTCCTGTATCCACATGGCCTACCACAGTGTCAGGCGTATAGGAGGGACCATTTCATGTTGGTTATTGTCAGTAACCTTCAGCCAAAGGCCCCCAGGAACAAACCTGTAGTTAGGCAAGTTGGAGGCATTATTTATGGTGCTGGAGAGAACCCCTACACTGGGAAACTGCGGGGCTTCTCCGTAACAGGGTATTCAAAAGCTTGGTACAGGACTTGGGCTTTAGTTAAGTGATTTGGAGGAGACTCTAAGGAAATGGTTTGATGCTGTCAGAAAGTGGGGATAATTTTAAAATTGGGTATCTTATTAGTTCTTAGACACAATTATGAAGTGTGTCTTACTTTGTCTCATTTTATCATGGTCTCCCAGTGCCCTTGTCTGAGGGTGGCATTCTGTAAATTGTTTATGTCCAGTAGGACAATCACACAGTTTAGTTGTGAACACCAGATTGACTTCTAAATGTGAGGTGCTTCTCTTTCTGTTTCTGCCTGGTTTCTCTTTTTCCCTCTCTCTGTCAGAGGGAAAGCAGGCTGGCCAGCTGGTCAGTATGTCTGTAAGGAAGGTGAGTTAGGGGAGGCGAGGCCCACATGTTCTGCTGTTACATCAAATGGCCCTTATGGAATCAAGTCTATGAGAAAGTGACTCATTTGATTGGGGAGCAATTTGGATAGAGCATGGAAAGGAAGTAAAGGCATTGGGAAGGGGGCAGAATGTTTTCTGAGTTCTTGTCCTGGCTAAGTGGGGACATACAGAGGTGCAGCATGCCACAGTCTGCTGAGCATGGAGTGATCTGGCGGCTGGCGGAAAAGCAAGCATGGTGTGTGCATGGTGGATCTCAGAGGAGTGGAGAAGCCCAGCACAAATGTGAAAACAAGAACAGGCTACCAGAGGAACACCAGACCTGATGAGATGAAGTGACAGGCTTCAGGTGTTGGAACTCGGACAAGCATTGTAAAGCACAAGAGTGGAGAGGCAAGGACTTTATGAGACGTGATTGTCCTGATTACTT
The DNA here is from genome assembly GCF_000001405.40 of Homo sapiens. Taxonomy (NCBI): domain Eukaryota; kingdom Metazoa; phylum Chordata; class Mammalia; order Primates; family Hominidae; genus Homo; species Homo sapiens. The sequence goes on from NC_000002.12 coordinate 118,327,701, forward strand.
ATGGGATGAAACTCTAGAAGATGCTGATCAGTTTGGACAAAGATAGCATATTAAGAAACCATGGGAATAGGGAATAATGCTTGCCTGCAAGTTGTAAAGGTGAGAAGTGACCAGATTATTTATACTCTTAAATGCAGTCACCCTGTCCCCTACTTCCCCCACAACATATTTGTTTGTTAGGGTTAATGCCTTATGATGATTAGCTTCTAGATGGCTATACTGATGTTTTTGAAAGATTGCTGTTGCCTAGAAATCTTTCCCACTCTAGATCACAAAGGTGACTTCCCTTCATCTTTAGCAAGTCTCAGAGTTTTCTAGCAATCCTATCATGTTTGTGAAGGATGCATCTAGCTGTTCTCCACATGCTTCGTAATTTATCGTCTTGCTGGTGTGTCTGCAATTGTCATATTTTTCCTTAGTCAAAGTCAATGCCAGAAGCTACTCTTTTCTTGGCCCAACAGTGGCTGGTGCTAACCCTTCCTGCTCTGGGAAGAGAAGACAATAAGTTTGCAACTGCTGGCTCTGACAGTCAATGACCCAGTGTCTATCTTCATTCCACCACAGGTTCTCTAGGCTCTTTTCTAGATTCTTTGTCATGTTTATGACAAATCAGCTATATTAATTTTTCTACTTCTTATTACTAGACAACCTGGAATTTTATTTGCCTAATTCTTCAGGTCCCTTTTTTCCCCCTATATATTTCTTATTTACATTGAGAAAATTGGCTCCTGATCCCAAATCCTTGGGTTGTAGTGACCACCAGCTCTAGGCCCAATCTCATCCCTGACTCAGTTCTATAGCTTCCCTAGTTCAGCTCCTGCTTCCCTTCCTTGATTCCCTTACACCCACCAATACCCACTTTTGTTTGTGGGGCCTGCCATTGAAAGTGAGGGAAGTGGAGAGATTATGTTCAGTGGAGTCCAGATTCTGGACTATAGAATCAAACTGATAAATAACAAGGAAGGCATTGATGGCGAGATTTGGTGAGGGAACCTGTCCTGGTTCTCAATTATGTTGTACTGATACAGTGGTGCCAGAGTGGGACTCCATATTGGATGTGGCCTTTGGCCAGAAATAGGCCATCCAGGTGTGTTTGAGAATGGTGGGCAGCTATCCCTCCCTTCCTCCTAGCTCCAGCCCAGCTTCCTATTGTGTATCTACCCAGTTGCTCTGATCATGTTCTACTGTGGCATATCTGTTCTTCCCTAGATAAATTTCCTGCTCCCTAGAGCTCTAGGGAATATATTTCTTACTTGGCCTTTAAATATGAGTGCCATGGCCCTATTTGGTGTGTAGTCTGCAGAGCTGTGGAGTAATTTCAACCTCTTGAACTCTACCTACCATCTGCCCTTCAAGCTCTTCAGCTAGGTCCCACTTCCTTTTTTTTTTTTTTTTAATTTTATCTTAAAATATTTTAATGTAAAATGTATCATATAAAAATGTACTCAAACAAATTTACAAGAAAAAAACAACCCCATCAAAAAGTGGGTGAAGTACATGAACAGACACTTCTCAAAAGAAGACATTTATGCAGCCAAAAAACACATGAAAAAATGCCTACTTTCATACTCTAATTCAATTACCCCAAATAACCAGTTCCTGGCTGTGCCTTGAACTTCATTTATTATATCCTCTTTTATTTTTTCCCCCATCTCCTCCAGATTTCTAACTTCCCAAATGCCCCTTTACCTTTGGCATAATATATTGTCTTTTATTTCACAAGGAAAAAAGGGAAGCCAGTGAGTGAAATATTTGTTTTCCGGCTTTCACACTGCACAAATGTTCTTGCATCCATACTCTTCTCCTACTCGCTCCGCTTTTCTGCAATCAAAATGCAAGAAGTGTCTGTTTTCCTTTTTAAGGATAATTTTTCCCCACCCCAATGACCCTTTTTCATTTTTTTCCTAAAATTATCTACTTGTCTTAGCACCATTTATTAAATGTATTTATTCTTTTTCTACTGGTTTAAAATGTTACTTTATCACATTGAAAATTTCTTACATTTATAAATTCTAGACTATTTTGTTCTATGCCTCCATTTGTCAGTTCTTGTGCCAGTGCTATTGTGTTTTAAGTACCATAGCTTAATATTGCATTTATACTTAATGTAAGTTATTATTAAGTGTTTACTTTTGGTCTCCCTACTAGAATGCAATTTTCACGAAGTGAGAACCTTGTCATTTTTGGTTACTGTTGGATCTCCAGTGCACAGCAGCTTTTCAATAGCTCTTTGCTCACTAAGTGAATTTCCTCTGTCTTTCATCTTCCCTTCTCAATCTGTTCTTTACCATTAACACTGAAACACACTCTTTCATTTAAAAAAAATAAAGCAACCCTCCTTATACTCCATTGTCCCTCCAGCTGGAGCCCTTTTACTAGTTCTCCATAGTCATAGTTTCTTTTATTTTTTTTGAGACAGAGTCTCACTCTGTCGCCCAGGCTGGAGTGTAGTGGCATGATATCGGCTCACTGCAACCTCCGCCTCCTGGGTTCAAGTGATTCTCCTGTCTCAGCCTTCTGAGTAGCTGGGACTACAGGCACGCACCACCACGCCCGGGTAATTTTTTGTATTTTTAGTTGAGACGGGGTTTCACTGTGTTAGCCAGGATGGTGTCGATCTCCTGACCTTGTGATCTGCCCGCCTTGGCCTCCCAAAGTGCTGAGATTACAGGCGTGAGCCACCGTGCCCGGCCCTAGTCATAGTTTTTTAAAAATGTTGTCTACATTGTGTAACCTCATCACATTTTCTTCTCACTTCCTGAAATCTGATTTCCACCTCTGTCACTCCCTGGAAATTCTCCTACCTTGGGCACCCAGGACTTCTGCTCCTAAAATATTCTGATGTTCCCAAATCTCAACCTAAGCATGATGCCTCCTCTGAGCTCCCAACTTCGGACCGATTTCCACCTGCTTCCTCAAACTATACACAGTACTCTTCCTCCCATGTTTCTTACCTCAGAAAATGACATTGTCATACATCTAGATGTTTAAACAACAGACCCAAGACATCCTTGAGAGCTCCCTCTTCCTCACCCTCTCATTTGCAACTTCCAGCTAGTCACTAAGAACTTCCTCAATCTATTCTCAGTTGCTTCTCTTGTGTTAGCTGCTGCCTTTGCCTGGATTACTACAGCAGCCTCCGAACTAGACTTGGTGCCTCCCACCTTTTCTCACTGAGACCTGCTCTGCCTTCCGAAGCCAGAGTACGTGACTGAAATGCCACTCCAATCCTGTACTCCTACTTTAAATCCATCACTGGCCCTGACTGACTATGGAATGAAGCTCAAACTTCAAAGCATGAGTTCCTGTCTCTGGGCTACTCTTTATTAGCTTTATAAATATACACAAGTTTTTCTGAAACTTCTTTTTTCATCTGTACCATGCGAATGATAATACTTGCCCTTCCTATTTTGTAACAAAGATGAAATGTCATCAAATATGTAAAATATGGAGTGTTTAATGAAGTAAGGGAAGAATCTGCTGTTCATGACACATCTGTTGATGAATGGGTTGCTTCTGTCACTCTGTTTCCCTGTTCAATACCCCCAGATGGGGAAGGGAAGCAGAGCGGTAGGGGAGACACCTTCTAGCTCCTTGAATTTGAGGGGATGCTGTCTCACAATCTGGGACCAGTATGCTTAGTGCTGACTTTCTTCTCCTTAAGTGTCTTTATTGCATCCATCCATTCATCCATCTGTGGAAGAACCACTTCAAATAAGCTCTTCTCAGCGTATACTACCCCCCTGAGGAGAGTATGTTCTGTGAAGTGAAGGAAATAAATACAGATTTTTCTAGAAAGAGAGAAAAAGGGAGGAGTTTAACTTTTATTCAGATATTACTTCAGCAGCTGTCTACATGACTGGGAAAATTCCCCTCACATCTCTCGACGGATTCTCCATTGTCAAAAGCCCCCTTCTTGCTGGCTGACAGAGACTGGTTTTTATGCCATCAGTATCTGATGTTGAATGCAGAAGGAGGTGACACTGAGATCTCTTACTCCACATTCATCTCTTCATTATTTCTGACATAGATATTATAATTTTGTCACAGATTTAATAGAGGATAATGGTAATACAATTCTAAAGCATTAGGTGTGATCTGGGGTGACTATAGTCTAAACTTTTAATATAAAAGAGATATTCTGTATGTGAAGGTAAATGAGCTTGAACACAGTCTCACACAATGGCCATCACAAAGGCATTGCCTTCACAATAGGGAGTGAGAAATGAACTTTTCATTACTGGTATGATTGACATCTTTTTGTGTCCATTCACGGCTGCAAAAATCCAAGTGTCGTAGGAAAGAACATGAAGAATTTTTCCAACAGCTGTGATGGAGACTTTAAAGCACACAGTTTTAGAAGCTTGAAGTCAATTGTTTCCAAAAATGCAGAGCAAAATGAAATAATTTTGCACCTTGCTGTTAGTCAAGATGTTTCCTTCCAAGGCATTTTTTTTTCCACCCAGTGGTATCTAAATGATATATATCTTTCCAATAGCCACAGGTGGTAGTTGTCTGTTCCAAGGATTTCTCTGTAAGTATTTCCAGCAGGCCCCCATGGAGATAAAGAAACCAGAGAGAATCACTGAAGTTGCCCAGCCCTTCAGCTCCCAGCCACTCTAGTGTCTTAGAACTAACTTATCTTTCCTTTTTTCTTTGTTTTGTTTCTCATTATATTTCATGTGGGTTTTACATCTGGGCTTCTGCTGTTTCCCAATATCCCCAAGGATTAGAAATTTAAGTTTGACTTTCTGCTAGTCTCTAACTTGATACTTAGTCTTTTAAGTTGATTTTTTCAAAATCAGTCTCCCTGACCATAGTTAAATGAGACACGGTACCTTCTTTTCCCTGCTGTGTTTCTAGGGGCCCCTGACAGGTGAGTCTGGAGCATTTTCCAGGCTCTACTTGTCCTGCTAGGGCGATCAGGTGATAGGTCATGAGGACAGAATGATGAGACCCATTATCTGGATGAGAAACTGGGGCTTAGAAAGGTCTTGTGAGTGGACAAAGGTCACACACATCCATGGCAGAATGAGGACAATACCTGTCCATCTAATTCCTTGAGTCATCACTCTGATTCATGGGAGACCAGGAAAAAGAATTGGAATGGTGATAGTAGTCTACATTTTTCATAACCAAAATGTTTTAGAACACATCATAAAGAATTTAGGCAGGGGAGGATAGTTTCCCATAACTTTGGCTGGAAGAATTTCTTCCTTTAAAAGTGTGTTTCTTGAGTTTCTCCTTACTTTAACAAAGGTAAAATATTAAAACTTGGCAGGAAAATGTATTGCTATAGAAATAAAAAGAAAGGAAAAAATACACTTGCAAAAGTCTCTTGGAATATTTCAAAATCTTGAAATATAATAATATATTCTTGCAAAACCATGAGCTCTTTAGCAGGTTGATAATGGACTAACTTTCTATGTTTACAAGAAAAATGAGGACTGTTCTACTTTGTAAATCAGTGTTTCTAAGGATGTTGGTGAGTTTGGTTTGTCTTTCTCCAAAGATAATGAACTCAAATGGGAAGTCATGAGAAGAATTAAATTATAACATAACACTGAACAGGTGAATCCAAGCTGCGTAAACACATTTTATCCATTTTATCTTAGTAACTGACCTAATACGTTGGTCACTTGAGGCATGTTGCTAATAAAATATTGGGGAGGGAAAGAAGTAAAGAGATTTAGGTTCAAAAGAGCATAAGCAGAAAGAGTAAAGACTGCGTAGAGGGGGAAGAAGAGTTGTTGCTGGTTACACAGCATTGCCAATATTGTTGTAATGATTACCCTATATTGAACTCTAACTGGTCCCCAACCTATGAGAGTTCAACTTACAATCTTTTAACTTTATGATGGTGCAAAAATGGATCACATTCTGTATGCCTCTCAACTTATGACATATGGTCACATTGGAAAAACCCACTGTAAGTTGAAACTATTGTACAATATTTGGCATCTGTAATGCCAAGTGATTTACATACATTATTTTTGTTTTATTTTTGCAATAATACTGCAATGTTACCATTATTATTTCCATATTGCAGGCAATGAAAAAGAGTTAGAGTAATTTGCTTAAAGTTATAAAGTTACCATGGTAGGGAGCTTCTGACATGCCTCTCAATGATCTCCTCTCCAGATGGTTCAGACCATCTGCTCCAGTATGGGCTGGACTAGTGGCTTGCTTCCAAGGAATATAATATGGTACAAGCAAAGGGATATCACTTTCACAATTAGATTATAAAAGATTGATTTCTCTCCTCATTCTGTCTCTTTCTGGTACTTCCTCTTGCCTTCTGATTTTCTCACTCTGATGAAGCCAGCTGCTATGTTGTGAGATGCCCTATGGAGTAGCCTATGTGGCAAGTAACCAAAGGAGATCACCAGCTAACAGCTCATGAGAGACGGAGGCCTCTGTCCAACACCCTGCAATGAACTGAATCTATCCAACAACCACAGAAATAAACTTGCAAGTGGGTTTCCCAGGTGAGTCTTCAGCTGAGATCACAGCCCCAGTCAACATTTTGATGGAAGCCTGTAAGAGACCCTGGGACAGAAGCATCCAGCTAAGCCATGCCAGTTTCCTGAGACCTATAAGAAACTGAGATAATAAATGTGTGCTATTTTAAAATGCTATGTTTTGAGGTATTTTATTACACAGTAAAGGATAACTAATGCAGTTAGAATTTGGGTAAGCTAGAATTTGAACTTAAAACTTATGTGACCCTAAACCCATCTTCTTTCTATGCTACCTTCTTTCTATGCCATTCTGAACATTTATCAAACATTTTTTATGTGCTGGCTGTCATGATAGGCACTGGGGATGCAAAGACACAGTTCTCTTGGAGCAAGGAATCTTTATGAGGAGGTAGCATTTGAAATGACTACTTCAAATGTCTTGCCTCAAATGAAGAATGGAACCATGTCTCAAGTAGGTGGAAGATTGTGAGCATGGGTAGAGGAGATGTAATATACTTGGCCTATAATGAATAGAGTAGCTGGGCCAGAGGGAAGGTTCTCATCTGTGGCTTATAAAAAAGGGCTCCAATGCAAACCTCATGTACCTTCAAGATATAGCTAAAAAATGCCAATTTTCTTATGTACATTTATACTAGCATTCTTTTTAATAAAAGTAATGTTATTATATGAAAGATTCTGAAAGATAATATCTCAAGATCTCTGTGAATTAATATGAATTGATTTCCATGGTATATTCTTAAGTGAGTAAAGCAATGTGCAGAATAGTAGTACACCAGCTATTAAATAAGAAACATTGAAAAGATAAACTGGGATGTAGCCCCCTCTAAGAAAAATGCTTATCTTTGGAGCAAGATAGAGGGTAAGAGTGGTGAGGAGAGAGATAAGCATTGTTGTATCTTTTAAAATATTTTATATTGACAGATTATAGTTGTGTATATCTATGGGATACAAAGCGATGTTATGATTTTTTTATATGACATGAAATTATTAAATTAAGCTAATTAATCTATTCATTACCTCAAGTATTTGACTTTTTGTGATAAGAACATTTGAGATGTATTCTCTTAGCAATATTGAAATGTACAGTACTCAATTATTAGCTATATTCAAAATGCTGTGCAATAGATCTCAAAAAAATTTCAAACTGATTCCTCCTAACTGAAGCTTTGTGCCCTCTGATTATCATCTCCCCACTACCCTATCTCCCAGCCTCTGTAGCTACCATTCTTTTCTCTGCTTCTATAAGTTCAGTTGTTTTAGATTCCATATACAAGCAAGAACATGTGACATTTATCTTTCTGTTTTTGGCTTATTTTACTTTGCATAATGTTCTTCAATCCCATTCACGTTGTTGCAAATGTCACAATTTCTTCCTTTTTAAAGAGTGAATAGTATTCCATTGTGTATACATACCACATTTTCTTTATCAATTCATCCATTGATGGACACATAAGTTGATTCCATAAATTGGCTATCATGAACAGTGCTGCATGAACATGGGTGTGCAGATGTCTCTCTCTCTGTTTTTTTTTTCTTTATTTTTATTTTTTTGAGATGGAGTTTCGCTCTTGTCACCCAGGCTGGAATTCAATGGCGTGATCTCAGCTCACTGCAACCTCCACCTCCCAGGTTCAAGTGATTCTCCTTGCCTCAGCCTCCTGAGTAGCTGGGATTACAGGCACCTGCCACCATGCCCAGCTAATTTTTGTATTTTTAGTAGAGATGAGGTTTCACCATGTCGGCCAGGCTGGTCTCAAACTTTTGACCTCAGGTGATCCACTCAGCTCAGCCTCCCAAAGTGCGGGGATTACAGGCGTGAGCCATCGTGCTTGGCCTAGATGTCTCTTTAACATATCAATTTTAAATACTTTTTCAAATATTTTCAACCTGAGTACCCAGAATTTGGATTGCTCGATCATATGGCAGTTCTATTTTTAGGTTTTTGAGGAACTTCCATGCAGTTTCCCATAATGGCTACACTAATTTACTTTCCCACCAACAGTTATAAGTTTTCCCTTTTCTTTGCATCCTCAAAAATTCTTACCTTTTTTTTTTTTTGATAATAGCCACTGTAACAGGTATGAGGTGGCATCTCACTGTGGTTTTTATTTGCATTTCTCTAATGATTAGTGATGCTGAGCATTTTTTAATGTGTCTGTTAGTCATTTGTATGTCTTCTTTTGAGAAATGTCTGCTCAAGTCTTTTGCTTTTAATCAGATTATTTGTTTTCCTTCTATAGAGTTGTTTGAGTTTTTTATGTATTTTGGATATTAATCGCTTATCAGATGTAAGGCTTGCAGATATTTTCTCCCAATCCGTAGGTTGTCTCTTCACTCTATTAATTGTTTTCTTTGTTGTGCAGAAGCTTTTTATGTTGATGTAATACCATTTTTCTAGTTTTGCTTTTGTTGCCTGTACTTTAGGGGTCAAACCTAAAAAAAAGTAATTGTTCAGACCTATGTTATATGGTTTTCTCATACATGTTTTCTTATAGTAGAAATACAGTTTCACGTTTTATGTTTAAGCCTTTATTTTGAATTCATTTTTGTATATGGTATGAAACAAAGGTCGATTTCATTTTTTGGCATATGAATATTCAGTTTTCCCAACTCCATTTATTGAAGAGACTGTCCTTTTCCCATTGTATATTTTTGGTACCTTTGTGGAAAATCAATTGAACCCATGGATGCATGGGTTCATTCCTGTGCTTCCTATTCCATGGCACTAGTTGATGTGTCTATTTTTATGCCAGCACCATGCTGCTTTAACTACCATTGCTTTGTGGTATAGCTTGAAATCATGTAGTGTGATGCCCTCAGCTTCGTTCTTTTTGCTCAGGATTGCCTTGATGATTTGGGGATTTTTGTAGTTCCACATGAATTTTAGGATTATTTTTTCTATACCTAAAAAAATAACATTAGGATTTTAATAGGAATTGCACCGAATCTGAGGATCATTTTGGGTAGTATGGACTCTAGCAATATTAATTCTTCCAATTCATGAACACCAGATATTTTTCCATTTATTTGTGTCTTCTTTAATTTCTTTCATGAATGTTTCATAATTTAGAGTGTGCAGGTCTTTTGCCTCCTTGTTTAAATTTATTCATTATTATTTTTTTTTGTAGCTATTGTAAATGGGATTGCCCTCTAGATTTCTATTTTGAAAAGTCTGCTGTTAGTGAAGAGATGCTATTGATTTTTCATGTTGATTTTGTATACTACAACTTTACTGAATTTATTTATCACTTCTAGTAGGTTGTTTTGGTGTATTCTTTAGGGTTTTCTATATAAAAGATCATGTCATCCACAAACAGTGACAGTTTCACTTCTTTCTTTCCTATTTGGATGTCTTTTATTTCTTTCTCCTGCCTTATTGCTCTAGCAAGAACTTCTAATACTATGTTGAATAGAAATAATGAGAACAGACATCTTTGTCTTGTGCTGGATCTGAGAGGAAAAGGTTTCAGTATTTCATCACTCAGTATAATGTTAGCTGAGGGTTTTTATATATGGCCTTTATTGTGTTGAAATACATTCCTTCTATATCTAATTTGTTGAGTTTTTTTAATCATGAAACGATACTGAATTTTCTCAAATGGTTTTTCTAAATCTAATGAGATGATCATATAATTTTTTTCCTTGATTCCATTAATGTGGTATATCACATTTTTGGCTGTGTGAATGTAGAACCATTCTTGCATCCCAGGAATAAATCTTACTTGATCATGGTGAGTGATCCTTTTAATGTGTTGTTGAATTTAGTTTGCTAATATTTTGTTGAGGAGTTTTGCATCTATATTCAAGAATATTGGCCTATATTTTGTTTTTCCTTGTGATGTCCTTGTCTGGTTTCAGTATCAGGGTAATGCTGGCCTTATAGAAAGAGTTTGGAAGTATTCTTTCTTTTTAATTTTTTGGAAAAGTTTGTAGACAATTAGTATTAGTTTTTTAAATGTTTAGTAAAATTCAGCCAAAAAGTCATGTGGTCCTGGGCTTTTTTTTTTTTTTTTTTTTTTTTTAATGGGAGACTGTTTCAAACTCATCACTCATTGTTAGTCTGTTTAGATTTTCCATATTTGTATGATTTAGCCTTGGTAGGTCATATGTGACTAGGAATTTATCCATTTCTTCTAGGTTATCCAATGTTGGGTCATACAATTGTTCGCAATAGTCATGATCCTTTGTATTTTTGTGGTGTGAAGTGTAATGTCTTCACTTTCATTTCTGATTTCATTTATTTGAGCTTTCTCTCTTTTCTCTTAGTCTAGCTAAAGTGTTGGTTTTGCTTACCTTTTCAAAAAACCAACTCCTAGCATCCTTGATCTTTTGTATTGTTTCACTAGTCTGTATTTCACTTATTTCTAGTCTGACCTTTATGCTTTCTTTCTGTTAATATTGGGCTTAGTTTGTTCTCCTTTTTCTATTTTTTTCTTGAGGTATAATGTTAAGTTGTTTATTTGCACTTTTTGTTCTTTTTTGATGTAGACATTTATTGCTATAAATGTTCATTTTATAACTGCATTTGCTGCATCCCGTAAATTTTAATATGCTGTTTTCATTTGCATTTGTCTTAAGATACTTTTAAATTTCTCTTTTAATTTCTTCACTGACCTATTGATTATTCAGGAACATGTTGCTTAACTTCTATGTATTTGTTAATTTTCTGAAATTCTTCCTATTATTCACTTCTAGTTTTATACCATGTGGTCAGAAAAAACATGATATGATTTCCATATCTTCTTAAATTTGCTCAGATTTGTCTTGTGACCTAACATATGATGTATCTTAGAAAATGTTTCATGAATACTTGAGAAGAATGTGCATTCTGTTGTTGTTAGATGGAATGCTCTGTATATGTCTATTAGGCCCATTTGGTCTAAAGTGTTGTTCAAGTTCAATGTTTCGTTATTAGTTTTCCGTCTGGATAATGTGTCCAGTATTGAAAGTGGTGTATTGAATTCCCCTACCATTATTGGATTATAATTTATCTTTCCCTTTAGATCTTTTAATGTTTGCTTTATATGTTTACATGCCCCACTGTGGGGTACATATATATTTATAACTGTTATATCCTCTTGATTAGTTGACCCTTTTAGTTATTATATAATGTCCTTCTTTGGATTGAATTTAATTGGCAATCTCTGAACTTCTTGTGCATAGACCTTGATTTTTTTCCTCACATTAAAAAAGTTTTCACCCATTATTTCTCTAAATATGCTTTCTGCCTCTTTTTCTCTTCTTTTTCTGGAATGGTCATTATGCATAGGTTATATATCTTGATGGTGTCCCATAATTCCCATGGGATCTCTTCATTTTTTAAATTATTTTTTTCCTTTTGCTTCTCCGATTGGGTAATTTCAAATGTTTTGTCTTTGAGTTCACTGATTCTTTCTTCAGCTTGATTAAGCCAGCTCTTTGTGCCTTCTATTGCATTTTTCAGTTTAGTCATTATATTCTTTATCTCTAGGATTTCTGTTTGGTTTTTAAAAAAATTGTTCTCATTTCTTTGTCAAACTTCTTGCATTGTTTGTGTAAATAAACTTTATTTGCTTTTAAAATTCATATATTTTTGAAGTCTACTGAACTTTTAAGAGAATTATTCTGAATTTTTTTCCTGGAATTTCATAGATCTCTCTTTCTTTAGGGTTTGTTATTGAAGATTTGTGAGTTTCTTTTGGAAGTGTCATGATTTCTTGAGTCTTTGCAATCCTTGTGTCCTTGTGTCGGTGCTTACATATTTGTGGAGACAACCATGTTTTCTGGCTTTTACAGGAATTCTTTGGCAGAGATAGGCCTTCACCAGTTAATTTAGCCTGTGATTCTAGATGGGCCAGCTGGTAATGACCCTGGGCAGGCAGAGCTTACTTTCAGGTTGTTTAGATGGCAGGGCTGTGGCCTTTGCTCTGAATTTGGGTGGAGCAGCTGTTTAGGCTCTGCTATCCAAAAAGACCACTGGCTGAGTTTTACTATCAGGCAGAGCTGCTGTGCGGGCACTGTAATCACCTCTAATCTGGCTGGGCCACAGGGTGTATTTCCTGGTCAGAAGCTATTGCTATTTGAGTCCAGCAATTGGACAGAGTTTCAGAAGGGGCCGCGAGCTTAAGTGAATCAGGCTGAATGGACCAACTGCTGTGCTCAGCAGAAGCGCACAGTTGAGAATTTCCTCCCTTTCTGGGCAGGATCTGGGAGTGGACTTTGAGGCTGAGAGAAGTGCTGATTAAACTCACAGCATGTGGCAGAACTAGTACCCGCTTCTGGTTGAAATTTGCTATGGTGGTCATCTCACTCCCTGGGTGGGGCCCAGGGTTAGGGTCTATTGCTGGGCCTGGAGGTTACCTGTTTAGGGGCTCAAGCCAGGCATCACTTCCCACCTCTTCTGGGAGCAACTAGGTTGGCTTTGAGGGTTAGCTTTGCTGTTAGCTGGTATCTCTAATTGAGTGCCGTTACTGACAGGTACACTGAGCTTTCACCAAAATCTGCATGCTGATCTCTGCAGATTTCACCTCCTTGCTTTGTTTTCACCAGATCCCACTTGGTCTAGCATGCAGTTTCACTTACATTCCTTAAGAGGTGGAGTGGGCTTTTTGGGAAGCATCTTGGAATGTTGGGAAAACTAGATGTTCACCTTCCTGGTTCTCTTTTCCAACTGTAGAGACTGAGGGATTAGAGAATCCTCTCCATGTGGTGCTATGCTGACTTGTGGGACCGGGAAAGGCAATGCAGTCCAAGCAAGACTGTTTCTTATACTCTTTCATAAGTATTTAGTTCCATGGAACACACAGGTGACTCAGGCTTATTTCCACATTTTGGCATTTCATTGAGATGTTTTTGTCTGTGGATTATTGCTAGTTGATCTCTCTGTTGGGGGGAGGGTGTGGAGAAAGGTCTGGAATCTCCTATTCCACCTTGCTGATGTCATTCCTATATATAGTTTTGACATTTGAACTTTGTAAATGTCTTATTGTAATGAAAGAAAAGCAAACTTTAAAGCCAAAAATAAATAGGAACGAATTAATCAAATTGTATATAAAATTAAAGAGAAGAATTAACTTCAAGTGACTGTTGAACACAATTCTCTAACTGAGCTTGCATATTCTAAGAACAAGTAGAATTGACTCTACTTAGTATTTTTATATTAGAAGCAACACTGGTATTATAATTTTGAAAACTATTTAATTTTCATATGAGGTAAAGCAAATAAATTATGCCAATATTATCAGGAACCACGATTTTACGTAGAAAAGAAATCTGTATGATAAGATGTGCTTGACTCATATATTACATAATTGACCCTAAACCTGGAATTGAACATTTCTCCAAGCAGCTCTGGTTCCTCTTAGTGGGAAGTGGTATTTAAAAACCACAATCTGGGTACTAGAGAATACCGAAAAAAAAAAAAGTTCGCATTTATGTCTTTTTATTGCCCAAGTTTCTGGAGGCAGCTGCTTTGGTTTAGTTTTACCTCCAGCTGGAAATGTGAGTAGTAGGGGATGAGTTTAGAGGGGTTGAGTACTGTCAGATGGTAGAAGGCATGAAATGTCTATTATAAATCTGGAAGTTAGCTGATCAGTGAAAGAGAACAATTAAAGGTTAGTGGGACTAAGGTGCTTGCTATTGACAGCAACAAAGAATAATGTTTAGTCTGATGCATATTATGTACTTAAGTTATGTCATCTGAATCTAACACTGGAGTTCATAATTTCTTATCTGCCAATGTTTTATAACCTACTTATACAATGAGTACAAAGCCTTTATATAACTTTGCAAATTATGGTGGTATTTCTTGCTATTCCATTGTACCTACTTGAGGTCCTGGTCTTGGCTCAGCAGGATTTTAATTTTATTTTGCTACCAAATTAATACAATTTCAGTTAAATATGTATTGAACGTTAGATATGTGGGTAACAGCTATGCTAGGCAACCTGACTCTTGCGCTAATCCATAATGTCTCCAAATTTGTTTCTTAGGAAGTATACTTGTTTTGTTGTCACTCCCTATTTTATAAATTATAAAAATAATACATCTAGGAAAAAGAATAATTGAAATACTACAGGGTACAACGGTTTAAAAAAATAACAGTCCTCTTGGGCCAGCGGTGGCTCATGCCTATAATCTCAGCACTTTGGGAGGCCAAGGCGGGCAGATCACCTGTGGTCAGGAGTTCGGGACCAGCCTGGCTGATATGGTGAAACCCCATCTCTACTAAAAATAGAAAAATAAGCTGGGCGTGGTGGTGGGTGCCTGAAGTCCCAGCTACTTGGGAGGCTGAGGTAGGAGAATCACTTGAACCTGGAAGGAGGAGGTTGCAGTGAGCCGAGATCACACCACTGCACTCCAGCGTGTACAATAGAGCAAGACTCCGTCTCAAAAAACAAAAATAAAAAACAACAACAAAAAAAGGTGCTCTTATCCCCACTCTCATTTCTTATGAGTTTTTTATTTTTCCTTTGGTTACCACCTAATTCCAAATAATAGATGAGTAGCTCTTAATTTATAGACACCCTTGTTTGGGAAATTTCAATTTAACTCACCCATGTATACTAATTTTACCTTTCTTTCTGTGTCTCCCTTGAACTTGTTGGTTAAATTATTATTTTGGGTTTTATTGATGATTTTTATAACTTTAAATAATATACTGAAACCTCTACTTTTGGTTCTATCTGCTTTAGAGATCATCTCTTAATTCATGATTATTTAGAAATAAATTTAAACCTCTATATTACTTGACATTTTTTCTCTCACTTCCCTGATTTGTAAATTGTGCATCAGCTTTAGGATTATTTGTATATTATCCAAATTTTGACACTGATATTAAGTAATGTAATTATATAAGTGTGTTGTCCATAGGCTTATTCAAAATACTAGAAATTAATAAATAGAAGTTATATCATTATGATATATAAATATTATTTACAGCAGAACTAAATAGTGTGATTAGGTCTATGGAGAAAATAAATATAATTTTATGTTATTAAATTTGTGCTGCTTGTAAGAGAATGTGCCAGATGCCAATGCCAATGGGATTTTGTTTTTTTAGTATGCCATAAATTGCTTAAATTACTGCATATTTTAGTGTACTTTGCTTTTGATTCATGACTTTCTTGTTAACGGGGCTTATAATTGCATTTCTTAGTTTTCTTTTTGAGAAAAGAAGCTGTCCCATTTTTAGCAAAGTACTTGGATCTTTCAGCTTTTCCTTAGATCATAGTAGTTGTTGAATAAGATGTATTTGCTTTGAAGAAACTTTCCTCGGAACGCTGCAACTGCTGGTTCTAATTTAGTCAAGTTGGTATTTTTCTTTATCGCACTCTGTAGTAATTTCCTTGTTTCTTAGAGTCCATGACTTCTTTACTTTCTTTTTTTTTTTTTTTTTTTTTTTGAGACAGAGTCTCCCTCTGTCGTCCATGCTGGAGGGCAGTGGCATGATCTCTGCTCACTGCAACCTCTGCCTCCTGGGTTCAAGAGATTCTCCTGCCTCAGCCTCCAGAGTAGCTGGGATTATGAGCATGTGCCACCATGCCTGGCTAATTTTTGTATTTTTTTTTTAGTAGAGACAGGGTTTTGCCACATTGGCCTGACTGGTCTGGAACTCCTGATCTCAGGTGATCCTCCTGCCTCGGCTTCCCAAAGTACTAGGATTACAGGCATGAGCCACCATGCCCGGTCGACTTCTTATTTCTAGATTACATTTTTATTTACAGAAGTACTACACCCTTTAATAATTTTTTTTCATAGTGTGATAGGTAAACTTTATGACCTTGCATATATATATTATGGCCTTGTTTGTATATAATGAGAATATTTATTTTCACACTCCATAGCTTTTCTAGGTATAAAATTCTAGTTTCTGTATCATTTTCCTTCAGAACATCGAAGGCATTGCACCACTGCCTTCTAGCATCCAGTATTGTTCTTGAGAAGACTGGTGCCAATTGGATTTGAAATTTTCTTTGGTAGGTGACCTGCTTTTCGTTTTTCTCTGACAGCTTCTAGGATATTATTTTTATCATTGCTGTTCTTAAATTCATGAGCATTCAATTAAGGCCTTTAAAAATTTTTAAAAAATTGCCGGGTGTGGTGGCTCACGCCTGTAATCCCAGCACTTTGGGAGGCCGAGGTGGGCGGATCATGAGGTCAGAAGATCGAGACCATCCTAGCTAACATGGTGAAATCCAGTCTCTACTAAAAATACAAAAAATTAGCTGGGCGTGGTGGTGGGCGCCTGTAGTCCCAGCTACTCGGGAGACTGAGGCAGGAGAATGGCATGAACCCAGGAGGTGGAGCTTGCAGTGAGCCGAGATCACACCACTGCACTCCAGCCTGGGCGACAGAGCGAGGCTCCGTAAGAAATTTTTAAAAAATCCTACTAGGTTGTGGTTAAGCCCTGTCAATCTGCCGAGTTCTGGAAAATTTTCTTCTGTTTTTCATTGACTATCTTCTCCTCTTCATGTTTTCTTTTCCTTTTTACCTGGAACTTCTATTAGATAGTTATTGATCTGCTGGTTTATCCTCTATGTTTCTTACTTCCTTTTAAAAAAAATCTCATATTTCTAATTCTTTGTTATTTTGCGGAACGTTTTAGAAGAGTTCCCTAATAAGTTCTTTTAACACATTGGATTTGTTTTAATTTAGACTATTATATTTTTAATTTCTAATGCTTACTTTTTAAAAAATAGAGATAGAGTCTTGCAATGTTACCCAGGCTAATCTCGAATCTGGCTTCAAGTGATCCTCCACCTTGGCCTTCCAAGGTGCTGGGATTACAGGCATGAGCCACCACACCTGACCCTAATACTTATTTTTAAAATCAACTTATTGTTCTTGTTTTGGTGGTAGCTTATTCTTGTTTTTTATATATATTGTCTTAAATTTCTCTGAGCATATTTTCATTATTAATCTTAAAATCTCCATTTCCTCTGAAGTCAGGTATTCAGATGGTTGCTTCCTCCAAACCTCATGTTGAAATTTGAACCCTCGTGTGGGAGGGGGACCTAATGAAAGGTATTTGTGTCATGGCGTCAGATCCCTCTTGAATGGATTGATGGCCTTCCTCAGGGCTGATACTTACTCTATTAGACCCCGAGAGAGCTAGTTATTAAAAAGAGCCTGGAACCTCCCCCGCTATCTTTTTGCCTTCCTCTCTTGCCATGTGATCTCTCCACAGCTGGCTTCCCTTTGCTTTCCGCCATGAGTGGAAGCAGCCTGAGGCCCTCATCAGATGCAGATGCCCAGTTTTGAACTTTCCAGCCATCAAAATTGTGAGCTCTTTTCCTTTATAAATTACCCAGCCTCAGGTATGCCTTCAGAGCAACACAAAACAGAGACATTTTCTTCTGAACTGCTGATTTCCTTAAACATATCCTTATCGTTTGTTGTCTTTTGGATTTGTGAATTAAGCACAAGGTGTGTTGTATGAATGGTTGGTATGCATTTCCTCTGCTGTGATGCAGGTCTGTTTCTCTAAGATGCTTTGTTCACTTCCAAATGAGATGGCTACTTGGAAGCTTTGGTATGTGGGTGGCTGGTCCATAGCAGGCTTTACTTTGGGGCTGTTGGGATGGGAGCAGATCTTGCTCCTTTCGAAATGCCAAAATAAGATAGCCTTATTTGCAATTCCAGCATCCACCCTTGAGGTCGTGGCTTGGCTCAGGTATGTTTCCATGTCTAGAAAGTACTCTAGTTTATGTAGGGAGTAAACTTTGCTGATGCCAGTGTCTCTGCCCACTTGGGATGTGGATTTAAAAACTATGCTTTTTGGCATAGTTGTATATAGAATGTGTTGGAATCACTCTGGTTTCACTAAGAAATCCTTCTTTCCAGTTTTTCCTGGTCAATTCTGTATCCTTCCCTAGGGCCCTCTCAAGATGGATTGTGAGGTAGGATTTGATGGACATTTTGGGGCACTGCCCTTCAGCAAGTTCTTCACAGGTAGTGTGGCTTCTCTCTTTACAAGGTGGGGAGCTTTATACCTTTGCTCTCAGCTGTAGTCAGAAAACAGAAGAACTGGAGACAATATGATTAGTTATCTTTTAACATCTCTGTGCACAGAAAAAGAGTACTGTGTGGTCTCTCCACAGCCTGGACTCTCCCTTTGGACCTGAGTCTCCCAAGATTAGAGACTAACTTTTTCATCTTTATTTCTGTCTGCCGATGATGCTGATGCCAAACTGAATATCAGCAAATGCACCAGGAGGGAGGGTGCAAGAAGACTGGGTAATTTTGGAGTGGCTGAGGAAAGAAGGGACCAGAGGAGGAGAGAGAAGACTTCGGTGCAATGCTGAGCTGAATGGAGAAGAACCTGGTGAGTTCTTCCTTAAGGCCCAGGTTGTGATGTTGTAATTCTGTAATTACCTCAGAGCTAAATCTGTTTTATTTGTCTAGAAATGACATGACCAATGCAATAGACTTAACTTTGTAAAGTGTCAAGCCTTTGGGCAAAAGGAGAAATAAAAAAGACAAAGCCTGCTGGGTAAAGACAGAGAGAGTCCTGTTTGTTGATGGGCTTTGAAGTCCACTCTGAGTGCAGTTGGCTCCCCATCTCCAGCTGCCTTATGTGTTTATTCTTTAACTCTGAAAATGTGAAATTGTGTTCTCCCATCAGGAGAAACCTTCCTGACAGTTGCAAGTGCTCCACAGGAGTGTTTGGAGCGGGCCTGTGCAGGCCTGGTGATTAGGCCCTGTGTTGCTGACTGACAGACTCTCACTCCTGGGGGTCATCCTAGCTCCAGCAGCTCTGCAGGGAGAAGCTGAGCTGGACAGAATGGGAAAGGCTCTCTCTCTAGAGCCTGTATTAAAGAACGGGTCCTGCCATTTATGGAAGATGCCACTTTCTCTGTGGGGCTGAAATAATTGAGAAAATTAGTTCATGTTTTGATAGAGGAAATGGCATATTTTTTCTGTTCTATTTTGGCACTCATAATTCTAGAATGTGGCTGGATGAGTTGGTTTCCCGATGTCCAAGGACATTCGTATTAAGAACTGAAAATAAAATAATAGAAACTAGCATTTTTGTTGCACCCACTATTACAAGCTCTGTCATAGAGTGCTTTCAGCAAACTGTCTCATTCAATCTTGCCTCCTTCAGAAAAGGTTTTACTGTCTCCATTTCACATGCATGTAAGTGGAAAACTGGCATTTGAATGCAGATCTGTCTAGCTTCAGAATGCAACTTTTTCCTCCATTAAAACCCTTGTTTATTAAAGTAAAGAGTACTTGGCAAGCAGTAGGTAAAAGTCCCCATTTTGCTACTGATTAGATGATTTTAGGTGAATTAACCTCTTTGAGCTTCAGATTTCTCATCTGTAAAATAGAGATAATAACAGTACTAAGTTTGCAATCTGTTATGGGTGTTAAATGACTCTGTATATCTATCTGTTATCTGTCTATCTCTTATCTATCTATCTATTGAAAAACAATAACAGTCTTATAGAACGCCCATTTCCATGTAACAAGGTTTCTCAGCTTTAACACTATTGGCATTTTGGACTGGGTAATTTTTTGTTGCTAGCTTCTGGCTTATGCATTATAGTATATTTCACAGCATCCCTGACTTCTACCCACTAGATGCCAGTAGCAGCACCCTCCTCCCCACAATCATGACAACCAAAAATGCTCCAGACATTGCCGTATGTCTCCAGTAATTGCCCACCCCTCTGCTTAAGAACTACAGCCTCAGAGAGAACCCTTTCTGTCTTGGACACTATAGAGCAGCAATATGTAAACAGCAAATTTTTTACATAGTCAATAGCAAACAGTTTAGACTTTGTGGGCTACTTGTTCCCCGTTGAAACAACAAAACTCTGCCATTGTAAAGCATGAAAGAAGCTATAGACAATACATAAACAAATAAGCACTACCATGTTCCAGTAAAACTTCATTTACAAAAACAAGCTGGCCCCCAGGCTGTAGTTTGCTGACTCCTGCTTCAGAAAAAATGCAGAGTGAGCAAGTATGGAGTCCCCTCTTTAAATATGCCACACAGTCACTGTGTCCTACGGGCCTGGGACTGGCCTTGCATATAGGCAGAGGGGATTTTGTGAACACATAGACTGTGAGAAGGGCCCCTAAGACGCCCTGCGCCTCACAGGCTAGGTGTAGTGCCTCCCATATCACCAGGGAAGAATGATCTTGGGGGATGTGAAGCATGGCTTTGACCAGTCCTCTTCTAAAGAGCACATTCCTACAAGAAGGCTGGAAGATAAAGCTGTTATTAGTGAGCACTACCTATATGGGAACGAGTTTCTCTATTCAGAGGGATTCTTAATTCTCTGTAGTCACTGAACCTAGGACAAGGAGATGAGACAGGAGAACAGACCTAAAAAGAAGGGACTCTATAAAAGTGTGCAGCAGGGTCCCTGAGCACAAACTTGGCTGACAACTGAAACCTGCTGATAAAGAACATCTCCAGTTTAAACAGAAGAGGAAGTGGCACAAAAGTCAACTCTATTATTTGGCAAGGGTGTAATTAGGCTTACAAATGGACCTTTATTAATAAGGAGCACTAAAATTCTTCTCTAAATAGTACCCTGCAACCATCGTGTCAGCAGCCTGCAGGCTAAAGCATGTCCCTTATTATCATGATGCCGTATGCATCTGTCTCAATGGAATACCAAAAATAGTCTACCACAAACACATTCTCACAGTGCCACAGTGAGAGTCCTTGCCAAGTGCAAACAAGATGGTGGGGATGGAAAGGAAAGGGACTGAAATAGACTTGTCTGAGATTCACTGCTTTCTTTCATTGAGCTCATATCCACCACCTGTTAAACAAGGAAACATTTAAAAACATCTCCAACGTGATGGTATGCTTTCTTTTTGGTGTTACTATCCTTGCTTCTCTTGTAGAAGGAGAGGCCAATGAGATGTAAACAGCAGCCACGGGAAGCTTCAAGAAAAGTTCTTCCAAGGACTGACTTAGTTGTTAGATCCCTTTTGCTTGTCTGCTCTATCCATTTGTTTCTGCCTGAAACTTGGTTGTAATGGCTGGAGTTTTTGCAGCCACACTGTGATCAGGGGTCTGGGTTGCTAATGACATTTATAAAGCTGCAATCAAGATCTGGATAGCACATCCTTGGACCTATCATTTAAGAGTGAAAAGCAAACCTATCTTCTTTAAGAAACTATTTTGGGAGTCTTTATTATGTTAACTGAGGTATCTTAAAGATGACTACAAATTATTTTCCACTTTTGCCATAGAGAGGTAGAATTTGTTTCCTTTCCCTTTAAATCTGGGCTAGTCTTCTGGCCTGTTTGGACCGAAATAATGTGGTAACAGTTCTACAGTGCATCTTCTGGATCTGGGCTTTAAGGGGTCTGCAGTTTCCATCTTTGCCACTGAGAGCATCTCTTCTTGGAACCCAACTGCCATGCTGTGAGAAGTCCAAACCACGTGGTGAGATCACACAGAGAAAAACTGAGACACTCCAATCCAAGATTCAACTATACTCTCAGCTGATAGGCAGCACTGACTTCTAGCCAAATAATTAAGCCTTCTAGAATGTTCCAACCCTGTCAATCCTCCAGATAACTGCAACTCTTGCCAATACCATATCAAACCAAAGAATCACATAGCTGAGCCCAGACTTCCAGATGATACCACCCAAAGCATCAGATGAGTGAGTCCTCACAGAAGTCCTAACCCATCAAGTCTCCAGATGACTGCAGCCCCAGCTAATACTAGTTAGAAGAGAAAAACCACCCAGCTAAGCCCAGTCAACCCACAGATTCATGAAAGGTAATAAATAGTGGTGGTTGTTTTAAGGCACACCAATATGATGACTGAAAATAAGAACCATGCAGGGATAGAATGAAGAAGGAAAGATGGAAAAGGCAATCTCATTAGAATAATTCTACCCATTGGCCTCGAGGACATTGCCTGAAATTTATTCCCCAATTCTGGGCTCTGTTTAGCCACAGTCACTCTTAAAAACTTCAGCTCTCAAGCATACATTCATAGGAATATGGGGATCTAATTCTCAGCTTAACTGAATGTTTCAAAAGCCCCTGAACTGAGAAACAAACATAAAAACAGGCCAAGTGGTAAATCTTTGGTTATCTGAGAAAACCAAAATTGAAACTATCCCATAATCTGTCAGCATGAGCCTGGGTCCATAAGACACCACCCTCCTAGAAGATAATTCCTGTTGAAGATGAACTGATGAGTGAGAATTACAAAGTGCACAGGGAAAGTCGATGTATGACTTCTTGTACATTTGGTGAATGAAAAAAAAGAACATAGCCCAAACTAATAGGCAATAGAGAAAGAAGAAAGGGCCTTTGAAATTAATATATTTAAAATATTCAAAAAGATAAAGAAAGGATGAAATCAGTAACATTAATAATGGGATTTCATGAAAAAAATAGGCATAGTTGAACAAAAAACTAAATAGAAATTCTAGAAATAAAAAGTAATTTAAATTAAAAAGTCTCAATGGATAAAGAATAGACTATATATGTATGTATACATATATATG
Organism: Homo sapiens; assembly: GCF_000001405.40. Lineage (NCBI taxonomy): Eukaryota > Metazoa > Chordata > Mammalia > Primates > Hominidae > Homo > Homo sapiens. The sequence continues at coordinate 118,350,658 of NC_000002.12, forward strand.
TTTACTCTCTCTCTCTCTCTCTCTCAATGAATGTCAAGCCAGATCCAAGAAATTACTTAAGATACAACACAAAGAACTAAAATGATGCAAAGTAGAAAAGAGAAGTTAAAATATGTAATAAGAATTCTAGGAACATAAAACAAAGTGATTGCAGTGAGTTGTGTAATTTTTCCAGAAATAAAGAAATACTTGAGTCCCTGAGTTGAAAAATTATTCTGAGTCTCAAATGGCATTTCCTGCACAATTGAGTTGTTGACTAAAGTGATATATGTGTATACATATATCGTTTTTCTTTGTGTAACATATTGGCTTCATTATAAAATAATTCACTTTCATATCATACCTTTTATAATTTCCTCTGATGATGGGACTGGATCTTTGTTTTATCTTTCTGCTTCATTTCTCTGGCCCCTTTCCCCACATTCATGAGCTCTTTCTCACTGTGTCCCTCTTATTAGGAATGCCCAATCCCATTTCCAATGCCTAGCCAAGCTCTGTCACCTTCTAGAAGCCTCGCCTGACCACCCCAGGGCAATGTCTCTATTTTCTCTAAAATTTTACAGCACTGAAATCTGTTCACTTATTTGGCTTATAGTCAAATGACTTTTCAATTAGCTCTGCAAGCTCTTTAAGGTTGGTGGCAATAGTTTGCATTTCTGTGACTTAGTTCTCAATAAATGGTACTTTGTTAATTGATGGCCAAAATTCCAAAGATTTGTGAGACTAATTTTTGGGAGGATTGAAGAGATAGCAATGGGAAGGTTTGCTAAAAGCTTGACATAATTACCTGATGTTATTCCTGCTGCACCTGTACAAAAATAACAAATACTACGGCTATTACTACTACATCACCACGGCCACTTTTACTACTGCCATTATTAGTATTGCTATGACCACCAAGGTGTAACAAAGCCCTCAAAGTAAAACACTGGAGCAGAATTTTTCAATGAGCCTGTGGAGCAAGAAGACTCTAAAGTGATGGTGGGAAAATTAGGTAGAGGAAAGAATTTCTGAAAAGGCAGGAGAAAAGTGAAAGGCATACAGTTGGAGGGGAAAGAAGATTGAAATAGGAAAAGAAAGTTGGACTGGAATTCACTTCTTGATTGGGTAGAATTCTAGGAATAACAAACAAATTAAACAGGACAATGGACCACAAAGATGGTGTAATGTAATTTATCTCCATGAGAGGAAAAGTCATATAAGCCTATCAGTTTTATAAAACATGCAGAGGCTGCTTGCCCAAGAGAAAGCCTCATGACTAGTTCAGAGAAGCCAGGTTGTCAACTCCACAAAACTACCTCCCTGGAGATGTAGCATCATTTTTTTTCAGTTACTCAGATTCGCTGGAACAATGAGAAACTGCTTCAGGGGTCATGGAGGCCAAAAGTTCTCTTAGGATACAGCCTCACATCAAAACAGCTTGGATGGGAGCTAGCGCTTCACAGATTTGGCAGCTTGGGCTCAGCCAAGAACTGAGGGTTTTGACTTTTTTCCCCAGAGTGATAAATCTAAAGAAACATCTGGATCACTATCACCAAAACCACCAGCAAGTTTGTCATAATCATTGAACTTTAATCACTGACTAACTGGGTTAGTTTCCATAGCCTTTAATTTTTACTATTTTGGAAGGAAAAATACCGTTAATCCCAAATTTCTCTCATTTCCTTGACTAAGCTCCTCTCATTTTGTCCCTCCAAACTCAAATCATTCTTTTCTTGGTTAGTTTATTAACTGAGTTTTCTATATTATGTGTTACAGCTCTTGATTCAAAATGTCCTGCTGAACACATCAATCTATCTTGTTGCTGACTTTCAACTTCCTGCTCAATCAATCACAAAACACCTTAATCCTTCTTGTCTTGAATTACATTTGATACCAGTCCAACCTTATCTTTAATAAGCTCACCTAGGTAATTTGCATATAACAAACAAATTAGATCTTCCAATGATTATTTATAGGGTGCCAAAGCCATAAATCAACTGAGAAATAATCTGCTATAAGAGGCCTTCTGGCTAAGTGGGGAACAGAAGTTAACAAATTAAATTCCTTCTTTCAAATTCAACCTTTTCATTACACCTACACAATTCCATCTTTCATCTACAATTAACCATTAGGTTCAGGTCAAAAATGAAACTCATGCTACTATTTTGGATATTTTGGTATCAATTATTTGATTCTTTTCAGTGCTTGATCACAAATTTGTGATATTTCTCTATTCTGCACTGATGATCTACTGTACATATACATGTGGAATGATACAAGGCAGAGACATAGGATTCCTGGATTTTCCTGCAGGCTCTGTCATACAATATCTGAGTTTTGGGGTAATATGCCACCATCCTCCCACTTTCCCCACTCTAAATTGAGGAGGGGTTTATGTATAGGCTTCAAGTGATCTGGGAACACTTGAAGTGTCATGCAGCATTTTTAATGTGTTTGTGCATTTTTTTTTTCTTTTAGAGAGAGGCCCATAGCTTTAATCAGAATTTATCTCTAACATCAAAAGGTAAAGAAAGTACACATTAAAGTATATCTCTCTTCTATTTCAGCCCTTACATAATATAATTTGATTATTATTTTATGTTCTCAAGGGAGAATTCTATTTTTCAAGAAGTCAGAGTTTTATGCACTCTAACTGAAGGCACCTGCGAATCAGGGATGTTGTGAGGAAGGGTAGACTTTTTGGTAAACTATCGTGAGATCGTTTCATATGAAAAAATTAAATTCCCATCTCACACCATACACAAAAATAAATCCCAGATATATATATAAAAAAAATGAAAAGCCACAATTTAAAAATTAGAAGATGTGGGAAAATATCCAGCAGTAAAGTATTTCAAAAATAAAACAAAAATTATACATCATAGAGGGAAACATGGATACTTTTTTATTACCATATAGATTCAAACTGCTATATGGTCAAAGACTTCTAAACAAATTTTTAAAACATACTACCAACAAGAACAAGGTATTTTAAACACTTATAACTCACAAAGTATCAATATCTTGAATATATGAAAGTTTTTATATATGAATAAGAAAAATACAAAAAATAGAAAATAAGGAAAAGATATAAACAGTCAACACAATGTAAAGTCACTATGAATGGCCACTGCCATTCACATCCCTTTCAGTTCTGACATGCCTTGTCATTTCTATAGCTGTTACTAATTGTGTCATTTACTTTAAAATGTATTATGTGCCATTTATCATGGTTATCTATTTCATTTGGGGAACTTTTCTTGTTACATCCCCTGAGAACAAGCACTGCATTTAGATCTTTAAAATATATCCATCAGACAGCCCCTAGCTCACCAATGGATACCCTGAAGAGACTCCATGAATATTACATATATATTTTAACGTCTCTGAAATTGAGACGCACATTACAATCTATGGTATTTAACACTGAGAGCCAGGCAACATTCAAGGCATAGTTGCCATTGACTGCATAGGCATGAACTTGGTTATTACTACTCATATTATCATCACTTCAGTTAAGTGCACCCTTGGCATTATATTTGTAGAGTTTAATTGTCATTTTAAATATATTTTAAAAGATTACACTCTGACTTGACATTGATGCAAAAAGTTACAGTAAAGGCAGAAGGCACAGAAACAAAGTGGTGGGAGAAAATTGTTATCTGTAGAGCAAATACTCATAACTGTGAAATTGCCTTAATTCCACATTTTCTTGCAAAATAAAGACCAAACTACTTGGTCCTTTGAAAGGAAGGGATCCCCAAACAAATGAAGCTGTGGAAAATTCTGTCTCTGAGATATTTGCAAAAACATTGTCTAAAATAGGCCAAGTAGTGCAACCCAAGGCAAGAAGAATTGCCACATCTCTCTAAAGGAAATTCAGTGCAACAAAGGAATGATGTGACTGGTTCATGCTGCCTCTCATTCAACCAAGAAAAGATCAGCATGAAAACTTGAAGAATGCATGTTAGCAGCATGAAGAAAAATTCCAGATAGAATAGTGGAATTCTCTTTTAAGAAATGCTGCCTCAGGCCGGGTGCGGTGGCTCATGTCTGTAATCCCAGCACTTTAGGAGGCCAAGGCAGGTGGATCACCTGAGGTCAGGAGTTCAAGACCAGCCTGGCCAATGCAGTGAAACCGGTCTCTACTAAAAATACAAAAATTAGCTGGGTGTGGTGGCAGGTGCCTGTAATTCCAGCTACTTGGGAGGCTGAAGCAGGAGAATCGCTTGAACCTGGGAGGCAGAGGTTGCAGTGAGCCGAGATCACGCCATTGCACTCCAGCCTGGGCAACAGGAGCGAAACTCCGTCTAAAAAAAAAAAAATACTGCCTCATCAATGCACCTGATGGTATAGAGGATGATATTGTGAGATAAACATAAATGTTGACTCTGAAATCAGACTGTGAATACGAAGGAATTTTGAAAATGCCTTGAATAATTTATTATAGTTTTTTCTGTTTGTAAAATAGTGATAGTTGATAAAAAATATGGCTAGTTATGTCTAAAAGATCTCTTCCAATAAGCTTATAAAATAAACAACAATAAGAGATAAAAATTGTGTCATCATTGTGTATAAATAAACTTATATCCTATATTTGATGTAATAGACATGATTATTTTTATTAGGTTGTGTTTTATCCTTTCACTGAAACTTGACTGGTTTTGTGACTAGCTTTGAAAGATAGAATGTAGAAGAAATGCTGATTTCAGTCCTAGTTCTTAAAGACCTGGAAGAAGCTGGGCATGATGGCTCACATCTGTAATCCCAGCACTTTGGGAGGCTGAGGTGGGCGGATCACGAGGTCAGGAGTTCGAGACCAGCCTGACCAACATGGTGAAACCCCATCTCCACTAAAAATAAAAAAAAATTAGCCGGGCATGGTGGCGCATGCCTGTAATCCCAGCTACTCAGGAGGCTGAGGCAGGAGAATTGCTTGAACCCGGGAGGTGGAGGTTGCAGTGAGCCGAGATCACACCATTGCACTCCAGTCTGGGCCATAGAGCGAGACTCCATCTCAAAGGAAAAAAACAAAAAAACCTGGAAGCTTCTTACTTTTTCTCTTTTGGAATGCAGACACCATGTTACAAAAATGCTAATTTAGACTACTGGAAAAGAGAGGCCACAGAGGAGAGGAATGGCACCCAGGTGATTGCCAGCATCAAATGCCAGACATGAGAGACAGGCCTAATTTGTTGTTCCAGTCAAGTTGAGTGCAGCTGTATGGGTAAACTCAGCTCACACCAGGAGGAACAGAACCACCCAGCTGAGCCTAGCCAACCCACAGAATTATGAACAACACTAAAACATCATTGTTTCAAGAAACTAAGTTTTAAATATACTTTGTGCAACAACACATAATTAAAACAGGGGTTTGTCCTAAAGGGATGTGTTGTCATCACAAAAATCTCAAACCTGTGGTACTGGCTTTGGGACAGAATGTCAGGAGGGGGCCATGAAGGCAGCAAGGAGATGGTGGAAAAACAGCAAAAGAAGGCAGTTTATAAATGCTAGAAAAAATGGTGAACATTTAGTGCAGGGATTGAACAGTGGAGAAAAGAGCAGACAGTGTTATGTAGTGTCAGAGTAATTAGCAAGACTGCCATCTGGGGTAACTTGGAAAAAGAAAAATTACCTAGTAAACTTGTGGATCTGGCTAAGAATACTTCCAAGCAAACTGCTAAAAATATTATCAAGCTTCTTTTAAAAGCATATAATGAAGTGTTGCAAGAGAAAATTGAACGAAAACTGAACTGTTTGGTTTTTAAGCAGAATTTAGAAGAAATATAGAAAATTCAGGTCAGTTTTTCCAGATGGCAGAAAAAAAAATCCTAAGAATAAATAATCTCATGGAAAATAACAAATATACAGTATTGTCAGTAAAAGTAGCCTCAGGGTTAAAATGAAATAAGAGTGTGGCTGAAAGACTCATTGTTTAGACCTCAGAAAGATTTAAAGTGGTACTTGGTGGACCATTCAGCTAAACAAAAAAAGCTTTTAAGAATCTTAAGGTAAATTCTCTCAGCAGAAACATAAGTCTCATAATGAATTTGGAAGTGGCTTTGAGGCATGGGATAAACTCAGTCAGATTCATAGAAAATCCACAGAGTCTTTAAGAGGATCATATTAGTAAAAATATCACCAGCACGGGCTAAAGGGGACAGTGAAATTTGTAATAAAAAGAAGCAGGCTAAAAGAACTATTCTGCTATAAATATGGGCCATTTCTTATAAGGATGCAGCTAAGCCCAGAGTAATTAGGGAATTGATCACAGGGAACAGAACTGGTACTAATCAAAGGATATGCCCTGCTTTGAGTTGGGGAACTGACATATGCCCAGTGGATTTCAAAATTATTAGGCAGAAACTGCTATGTACCCTTCATATATATAATTGTGGTAAAATGCATATAAAATTTACCATTTAGCAATTTTTAACTGTACAATTCAGTGGCATTAAGTATGTTCACACTGTTGTGCAACCATCATCACTATCCATCTCCAGAGCTTTCTTACCCCAAATTGAAACTCTGCACCCACCAAATGATAACTCTCCATGTCCCCTTTCCCCCAACCCCTTATAACCATGATTCTACTTTCTGTCTCTATGAACTTGACTGTTCTAGGTACCTCATATAACTGGAATCATACTATATTTGTCCTTTTGTGTCAGGCTTATTTCACTTAGTGTGATGTTGTGAATGTCCATTCATCTTGCTATATGTAACAGAATTTATTCTTTTTTAATGCTGGATATTATTCCATTGTATGTACATACTATGTTTTGTTTATTCTTTGGTCTATTATTGGGCATTTTGGTTATTTCCACTTCTGGATGTTGAATAATGTTTTTATAAACATTGGTGTACATCTATTTGAGTTCTTGCTTTACAATTATTTTGGTTATCTATCTAGAAGTGGAATTGGTGAATTGTATGTTAATTTCATGTTTAATTTGTTGAGAAACTGCCATACTATTTTCCACAGCAGCCACAAAATTTTACTTCCCCACCACCAATGCACAAGGGTTTCAATTTCTCTACTTTCTCACCAACACTTGATTTCTGTGTCTGTTTTTGTTTTAATAATAGCCATCCTAATGAAGTAGTATCTCATTGTGCTTTTGGTTGGCATTTCCCTAATGATGAGTGATGTTGAAGATCTTTTTATGTGCTTAATGGTTATTTGTATATCTTCTTTGGAAAACTGTCTATTCATGTCCTTTGCCAATATTTAATTGGGTAAGTTGTTGTTTTTGTTGTTGTTGAATTGTAATAGTTCTTTATATATTTTGGATATTAATCTCTGATTAGATATATAATTTTAAAATGTGTTTTTCTAGCTCTGTGAGTTCTCTTTCACTCTGTGGATAGTGAATTTTAATGTGTCAAATTTATCTCTTTTTTCTTTTATTGCCTATGCTTTTGGTGTCATGTCCAAAAAATTATTGTCAAATGCAAAGCTATGAATTTTTTCCCCTACATTTTCTTCTAAGTGTTTTATAGTTTTGACTCTTACATTTCTGTCTTTGATCCATTTTGAGTTAATTTTTGTATGTGGTATAAAGTAAGGCTGCAACTTTATTGTTTTTCATGTGGATATCCAGTTTTCTCAACATTATTTCTTAAAAAAAAAACCAAAAAATAAAAAAAACCTGTCTTTCCCCATTGGATGGTAATGGCACCCTTGTCAAAAATCATTTGAGTATATATGGAAGAATTTATTTCTTGTTTTTCTATTCTATCCTATTAGTTTATATGTCTGTCTTTCTGCCAGTACCACACTGTTTTGATTATTGTAACTTTGTACTAAGTTTTGAAATTAGAAAGTGTAAGTCCTCCAACTTTGTTCTTTTTCAAGATTGCGCCAGCTATTCAGGGTCCATTGGGATCCATGTAGATTTTAGAATTTAAAAAAAAAATCGTATATAACACACGGTGATTTTTGACAGAGACAACATTAAATCTGTAGATCACTTTGGTATTATTTTTCTCTTGACAATATTAAGTCTTTCATTGTAAAACATAGGAGGCTTTTCCATTTAGTTAGGTCTTCTTTAATTTCTTTCAGACATTCTTTTTTCAGTTTTCAGTGTACAGGTCTTTCATCTCCTTAGTAAAGTTCATACCTAAGTATTTTATTCTTTTTGATGCTACTGTAAATGGAATTGGTTTCCAAATTTCCTCTTTTGCATTATTTTATATTAGTGTACACAACTGATTTTGTGTATTAATTTTGTATCCTGCAACTTTGATGAATTTATTCATTCTGAGAAATTTTTGTGTGGACCGTTTGAGTTTCCTACATATAAGATCGTGTCATCTGCAAAAAGAGATAATTTTAATTTTTCCTTTCTAATTTGGGTGTCTTTTATTTATTTTTCTTGCCTACTTGCTCTGACTATAATTTCCAATATGATATTGAATAAAAGTGGTGTGGGCATCCTTATTGTGTTCCTAATCTTCTGGGAAAAGCTTTCAGCCTTTCACCATTGAGTATGATATTTGCTATGTACTTTTCACATATAGCCTTTGTTAGGTTAAGGTAGTTTTCTCCTAGTTTGTGCAGTGTTTTTATTCTGAGAGGGTGTTGAATTTTGTAAAATACTTTTTTGCATCAATTGAGAAGATCATGTATTTTTTTCTTCATTCTGCTAATGTGGTGTATTGTATTGATTGATATTTATATGTTGAACCATGCCTGCAATCTAGGAATAAATCCCACTTAGTCATGGTACATAGCACTTTTACTATGCTGCTGAACTCAATTCTTTGTTTGACTTTGGTATCAGGGTAAGGCTGGCCTCATGAAATAAGTTAGGAAGCGTTCTCTCCTTTTCAATTTTTTTTTTTGTTTGAAATGGAGTCTTGCTCTGTCACTCAGGCTGGAGTGAAGTGGCATGATCTCAGCTCATTGCAACCTCCACCTCCTGGGTTCAAGCAGTCCTCCTATCTCAGCCTCCTGAGTAGCTGGTACTACAGGCACGCACCACGACGCCCAGCTAAGTTTTGTATTTTTAGTAGAGACGGGGTTTCACCATATTGGTTAGGCTGGTCTCAAACTCCTGACCTCAGGTGATCCACTCGCCTAGGCCTCCCAAAGTGCTGGGATTACAGGCATGAGCCACCGTGCCTGCCCAACCTTCCTTTTCAACTTTTAAGAGTTTCAGAAAGATTGGTGTTAAGTCTTCTTTAAATGTTTGGTAGAGTTCAGTGAAGTTCGAATATTGATTTTGGTTCCTTGACTTTTGATTCCTTGATTACTGATTGAATCTTAGTAGTTAGGCCTATTCAGATGTTCTATTTTTTCCATAATTTAGTCATGGTAGGTTGCATATTTTTAGAATTTGTTCATTTCATCTAGTTTAAACAATTTGTTTGCTTATAATTGTTCATAGTACCCCTTTATAATACTTTTTACTCTGCAGCATTGATAGTAATGTCCCTACTTCCATTTCTGATTTTAGTAATTGGAATCTTCTTTTTTTTCTTGGTCAACCTAGCTAAGATTTTGTCAATTTTGGTGATCTTTTCAAAGAAACTATAGTTGGTTTTGCTGATTTTCTTTATTATTCTTCTATTCTTTGTTTTCTTTATCTTTGCTCTAATCTTTATTATTTCCTTCCTCTGCTAGTTTTGGGTTTTGTTCACTCTTCATTTTCTCTTCCCCTAATGTGTAAAGTTGAGTTGTTGATTTCAGATCTTTCTTCATTTTAAAGTATTTAGAGCTATAAGTTTTCCCTTTAGCATGGCTTTTGCTGCATTCAATAAGTTCTGTTATGTTTGGGTTTTGTTTTCATTTATCTTAGATATTTTCTAATTTTCCTTGCTATTTCTTCTTGTACCCACTGGCCGTTTAAGAGCCTGTTGCTTGGCTGGGCACGGTGGCTCATGCCTGTAATCCCAGAACTTTGGGAGGCTGAAGCAGGCAGATCACGAGGTCAGGAGTTTGAGACTAGCCTGACCAACATGGTGAAACCCCATCTCTACTAAAAATACAAAAATTAGCCGGACGTGGTGGCATGCGCTTGCAATCCTAGCTACTCAGGAGGCTGAGGCAGGAGAATTGCTTGAACCTGGGAGGCGGAGGTTGCAGTGAGCTGAGATTGTGCCACTGCACTCCATCCTGGGCCATAGAGTGAGACACCATCTCAAAAAAAAAAAAAAAGGAAAAAAAAAGTGTTGCTTAATATCCACATATTTGTGAATTTTCTTCTCTTATTCATTTCTAGTTTTACTCTATTGTGATCATAAGTACTTTGTATTGTTAAAACCTTTTTAAGTTTAGTAAGACTTGCTTTGTGGTATAATATATTGTCTATCCTGGATAATCAATAAACACTTGAGGAAATGTATATTCTGCTGTTGTTGGGTGGAGTGTTCTGTATATATTTGATAGATCCAGTTGATTGATAGTGTTATTGCATCCTCCATTTTCTGATTGATCTTTGGTTATTCTATCCATTACAGAAAGTGTAATATTGAAGACTCCAACTATTATCATAGAACCGTCTTTTTCTCCTTTCAATTCTGCCAGTGTTTGATTCATATATTTTGAAGCTCTGATGTTTGTGCCATATATGTTTGTAATGGTTATTTTGCGGTGTGTTGACCCTTTTCTCAATATATAACATGCTCTTTGTCTATTTAACAGTTTTTGACTTGAAGTTTAATTATCTGATATTAGTATAGCCACCCCAGCTATCTTTTGGTTACTGTATGCATAGAATATCTTTTTCCATCCTTTCACTTTCAACCTACTTATGTCTTTAGAATTAAAGTGAATCTCTTATAGAGGTTATCTAGTCAGATCGTGTTTTTAAAATTCATTCTGCCAATATATTATTTTAATTTGAGAATTTAATCCATTTGTGTTTGGAGTAATTGCTGAGAATGAACTTCTTACTTGTGTCCTTTTATTATTTGTTTTTGGTGTTTTATAGTTTTTTCATTCCCCCCCATTCCCTCCAATACTGCTTTCTTTTGTGTTTAGTTCATTTTTGTAGTTTCACATTTTCATTATCTTCTCATTTTCCCTTGTGTATATCCTATAGATACTATCTTTGTGGTTATGACAGTGATCACATATAACATTCTAAAATTATAACATAATTTGAATTGATACCAACTTAACTTCTGTTGCATATGAAACCTCTACTTCTATGAAGCTCTTCTGTCCATTATATAATTGATATCACAAATTGTAACTCTATGATACAGTTTGGATTTTTGTCCCCTTCAAATCTCATGTTGAAATTTGATCCCAATGCTGGAGGTAGGGCCTAGTGGGAAGTGTTTGGGTCATGGGGATGGATCCCTCATGAGTGGCTTGGTGCCCTCCCCATGGTAATAAGTGAGTTCTTGCTCCATTAGTTCATATAAGAGCTGGTTATTTAAAAGAACCTGGCATCTCTCTTGCTCCCTCTCTTGCCATGTGAGGTGACTGCTCCCCCTCCACATTCTGCCATGAGCAAAAGCTTCCTGAGGCCTCACCAAAAGCTGAGCAGATGTTGTCTCATGCTTGTACAACCTTCAGAACTGTTAGCCAAATAAACTTCTTTTCTTTATAAATTATCCAGCCTAGACATTCCTTTATGGGAGCACAAACCAGCTAACATACTCCATATATTGTGTATTCACTAACAGAGACTACCTTTTTTTTTTTCCATTTGTCTTTTAAATTCTGTAGAATATGAAAAGTGATGTTAGAAACTAAAATTACAATAATATTGGTTTTTATATTTGCCCATGTATTTACCTCAAGTAAAGATCTTTATATCTTCATGTGACTTTGAGTTACTGCCTAGCATCCTTTTATTTCAAAATGGACTTCCTTTAGCATTTCTTATAGGACAGATTGAGTGGTAATGAACACATTCAGCTTTTGTGTATCTAGAAGTGTCTTAATTTCTTCATCATTTTTGAGGGACAATTTCTTTAGATGTAGAATTTTTGATTAACAGTTTTTTTCTTTCAGCACTTTAAATACATCATCCCACTGCTTTCTGGCCAGCAAGGTTTCTGTCGACAAATTGACTGATAATATTAGAGGATCCTTCGTATCTGACAAACCATTTCTCTCTTGCTGCTTTTAAGATTCTTTCTTTGTCTCTCTTTGTTTTCCAGCAGTTTTATTATAATGTATCTCAGTATGGATTATTTTGAATTTACCCTACTTGTAGCTTGTTGAGCTTCTTGGACTTGTAGATGAATACATTTACAAATTTAGAAAGTTTTTGACCATTGTGTCTTCAAATAATCTCTCTGCTTCTTTCGGTCTTATCCTTCTGAGACATCTATAATGTTCATATTGATCTGCTTGATGGTGTCTCACATATCCCTTCGGGTCTGTTCACTTTTCCCTATTCTTTTTCCTTTTAGCCCCTCAGATTAGATTATTTCAATTTTCCTGTCTACATGTTCACTGATTTTTCTGCCTGCTCAATCTGCTGAATTCCTGTAGTGGTTACTACAATTTAGTTATTGCTTTTTTTCAGCTCCAGAGTTTTTTCTTTTAATAACTTGTATCTCTTATTGATGTTTTTATTTCTCATATTCTTTTACTAATTTTATTTAGTTATTTGTCTGTGTTTTCCATTAGCTCTTTGAGCATATTTAAGACAGCTGTTTTAAAGTCCAATGTTATGCTTGAAATGGAATTATTTCTGCCAATTTGAATTTATCTTACTTGCAGCTTGTTGAATTTCTTGGATTCATAGATTAATAGAGTTAATCAAATTTAGGAATTTTTGGCTATTTCTTCTTCAAATAATCTCTCTGCCCCTTTCTATCTTCTCTTTCTGAGAATTTTGTTCTTTACATATGCCATGTTTTATTTATTTATTTATTTATTGTACAGGCTTTGTGATTTTTTTTTAATGGAAATTGGGCATTTGAAAAAACAGCCACTCCTCGCAGTCTTTGCAGACAGAAGCAGTCATTATGCTCTAAGCCTAGGGATCAGCCTAAGGTGAGACCTTGGAGTCTTCTCAGGTCTTTTTTGAGATTGTGTTTTGCCTGGGCTTATGTCTGGCTTTCTCAATTCGCCTATAAACACGGCTGCTTTTGAATGTCTTAATTTCCCAAAGAGTCTTACCTTTCATTTTCCTTCAGGCCTTAGATGGTCTATTGTTTGTCTCCACCCATAATCTCTTGCCTCAGGTATCTGTGGGTTAATAGTCATCCTGTGGCTTTCACAAGCAGTGGCTGCTGCTTTTTCCCACCTGAGATCTAAGTTAAGCAACACAGAGACTGGTCCTTCAGGCAGTCCCCAGAAAGGTTAGAGCTTGAAAAGTATGGTCTGCTCTGCTCTCTCTGGTTCAATTGGGCTATAGTCTCCTCATGACCAAGACCATACCATACCAGAGAGGGGCTGGGGAAGAAGTGAATAAAAATGCCATGAAAATGTCCTACTAATTTGAATGTGGCTTTTTTTTTTTTAAATTAAATATTTGCTTGGTTGCTGTAGACTTTTCCTTTATTCCAGAGCTCCTATAAGACTAGTTCAGCTAGTTTCTGGTTGTTTTCTGAAGTTTTCATGGGAGAACAGAGACTGAGAACTTTTCTATCTACCATTTTGCTGCCATCACTACATTTTACCCCTTTTTAAATGAGAGCACCTAATGAAGTTATCCAATCCATGTCACACTACTGTATGTGGTGTTTTAGGGCAAAAAACTAAAACTAAAACTAAAACTTTTTAGTTTAGTGTAAACTAAAAAGTTTGCATATTAAAAATGTTGCATCAAGGAGTCTCATATACTTTCAAACTTGATGCAGATGATGAGATTTGAATTTTGAGCTGTTGCCACAATGAAATGAGACTTGAGGAGTGCATGTATTTTGCAAGTGGGAGAGATATGAAATGTTGCTGTCAGGGGATATACTATGGTAGACTATTTTCAAAGATGACCAACAAGAAATTCTCTCTCTTGTACATACATACCCCTTCTTCCATTGAGAGACAGAGTGTATTCCCCCTTCCATTGATCTAAGATGGCCTTATAACTTGCTTGGACAAATAGAGTGCTGTTCAAATGATGCTCTTGGACTACTAAGCAAAGGTCTTAGAAGGTCTTATAACTTCCATTTTTAGCCTCTAATTCAGCCATCATGTAAACAATCTTAGGTTAAGTCACTGAATTGTGATAGACTGCCTGGAGAGAAACACTGTATACAGGAGCACCAAGACACCCCAGCTGAGCCTCAGCTAAATGCAGTCACATGCATGACACTCACTACCTTGGGTGAGCAAAGAGCCACCCAGCTGAGCCCCACTAACATGAGATATTAGCCTTCCCCTGAGCCCTGACCAAATTGTGGAATCATAAGCAAACAAAATTATTGTTGCTGTTGTTGTTTTAAGCCATTATGATGTTTTTTGTGGGGGAGGGGGAGGAAGTGGTTACATAGCATAGCCACACTACTTATCTAAGACAACTATTTAATTGATTTTAATGAGTAATTTAGGTTACAAGCCATTTTATTCTGTGTAACTGACTTACAAATTACCCCTGTTTAAAATGAGACTCCTTAGATACCATGTCCTTCTTTCATTAACTTCTACATGCTAGGGAGGAAATAGCATACATTTGGGTATACTCAATTCTGGGTATTAAATTATCTGTTTTTTATAAGCTAGAGGCCCGGGTAAGTGACTTCACCTTTCTGAGCCAAGGTTTGCTGTTCTGTGAAATGAAGATAATGATTGTGACATAGATTTTTGGGAAGATGAAGGATACTATGGTGTGATATTTGGTCCATATGGAAAACATGAAGCACAATTCCTAGCACACTGTAGGCATGTAAATGGTGGTAATTAGAGGAATCCCCTCCTAAAAGAGGTGTTCTTAGATATTGATATTTTCTCAGAGCTCAAAGAAAGGAGGCTAAAAAGGCAATCTTGTAGGTGTTTAGTTAATTAATTAAATGATAACATGAGTTTAAACTTGTAAAGGAATTGGAGCAGTGCTTGTCTACATAATAATAATTAACTGAGTATAATTATTGTTGTTATTATTGTTGCTGCTGTTATTATTTGGTCAAATGACTTCACCTAACATCCCTCTGGTCACGCCTAGGAGACTTATCCGGCCTTGTTTTAGGTCCTGGTGCCTTCATGCTGGTGAACCACCTTTGGGACCCATCTCTCTCCCACAGAGAAAGCAGTAACATCACAAGTCTGTATTCTACACCAAATAGATGTATTTATTTCATTCTGACACCGTCAATGAGCCATGACTCCCCACTATCTCAGAAAATTTTGCTCTTTGGAGCAATAGAATGGCTTTATTATTATTGTCTGAACAACATAGACTTGAAGAAATACTTGATTGTTAGAACCAAAATGCTCCTAGAGATGTTCCATGTTTCCTACCTTTCTTCCTTTTTTTTTTTCTCTTTTCACTTACCTGATAACTTGCCATGTTCCAAGGAGTATCTAAAAAACAACATATTTTCCAGTTTGCTTTATATTAGTTTAGTTGTTTCTTAGGACATTTTTCAAGTGGTCAGTTCGTGGTGACATACTTTTTTTTTTTTTTTTTTGAGACAGGGTCTCACTCTGTTGCCCAGGCTGGAGTGCAGTGGCGCAATTTCATCTCACTGCAACCTCTGCCTTCTGGGTTCAAGTGATTCTCATGCCTCAGCCACCCAGGTAGCTGGGACTACAGGCATGTGCCACCATGCCTGACTAATTTTTGTATTTTAGTACAGATGGGGTTTCACCATGTTGGCCAGGCTGCTCTCGAACTCCTGGCCTCAAGTGATCTGCCCACCTTGACCCAAAGTGCTGGGATTATAGGCATGAGCCACCATGCCTAGCAATGTGATTTTCACATAGAGGGTTTCATCTACAGTCTTCGGAACTACTTTGACTTCATTTATTTGCTGTAAGGTCAGAGTTCCACGTATCTTAAATCCCCCACCAAATAGCCCTTTGCTAAGTAACCTGGACGCTGTGAGCTCAGTGGTGGCTTTAGATCCTTTGTATTTTTCAACCAAACTTCCAAGCTTACTTACAGTGCTAATTATCTAAGCTGCAAAATAAATCACCCTAATACTTTGTAACTTGAAACAACAATAATCATGTATTATCTGTCACAGTTTCTGTGGGCTAGAAATTTGGAACAGCATGGCTGGGCTGTTCTGACTTGGGATCTTTCATGAGGTTACAGTGAGATGTCAGCTGGGGCTGCAGTCATCTGAAGCTTTGACCAGGCTGGAGAATCCATTTCCAAGATGGCACACTCAGATGACTGACCATTTAGTGTTAATTGTTGGTAGAAGGTCTCAGTTGCCCTCCATGTGAGTCTTTCCACAAAGTTTATTGAGTCTCTTGACAGCGTGGTAATTGGCTTCTCTCAGAGCAAAAGATCTAAGGGAGCAAGGAAGAAACTGCAATGCCTGTTGTGATCTAGCCTGGGGAATCAAACTTCCTCCATCACTTCCCCTATATTCTGTTGGGCACTTGGCAGGCCTTCAAGGTGACTTCACAATGGAGAACATACTAGAAGATGAGGACTACTGGAGGTCATCTGGAAAGCTGACTGACACATCATCATACTTCACCAAATTTCCTAGAGTAGGTTCAAATCTAAAATTCTGACCCGCTCAGGTATTAACTACGTATCTCAGGAAAATGGTTCTCTTATACTTTGTTAAAGTACTTTTCTCCTTGAATTTCTTCAGAGCTGTTATTCTTGGTCAATGTTTCTAGAATTGACTATCTTATCTATACAACCCTTAACAACCTCTCTTATTTTAGAAAAAAAGGAAAGTAGAGAGAAAGAGAAAAAGAGGGTGGAAAGTAAGAAAAAGGGGAGGGAAAATCCTATTCAAGGTGTTTAACCTTGTTGTTAAAGTGTTCTGGAGTGCCAGTTGTCACACTGAAGGCAGTGTTTTCCAAGATTTCATTTTAAAGAATCAGGCCCATTAATAGTTTCCAAAATTACATTTCTTCTCCTACTAGTTGTATCAACTTGTTCTCTGAGTTTTTTTAAAAAATACAGGCTTTCACATGGCCTCCGTGACATGAAAAGTGGTATTTTTATAGACATGATCTTTTTGGTTCAGGTCTTCTCTGTGTATAAGAGACTATTTAGCATCTGCCATCAAATATACAGAATATGTGCCAATTAGAATTTTTGCCCGTGTCTGTCATGTAGATCTAGTGCTTTGGAAAAAATAAATATTTTTGCGTTTTAAAGCTCAGGTCTGCATTCATGCTGCTCCCCACAGTTTGGTTTTCCTTTTGCTAACCTGGCCAGTTTTTTTCTCTAAGCCATGTAGGCCTCCTCGTAAAGCACAAGGGTACTTACGCAGGATACTCTAAGAGGCAAGACTCAGGCTCTGGCATCTGAACCTGTGTGAATCATGGCTCTGCCAATTATTAACTGAAAGACCATTGGGTAAATTATTGGAAGTTTCTAAGCTTCAGTTTTCTTATCTGTAAATCGAAGATATAAATCGACAACTTTATAGGGGTGTCAGATAGACACTGGCCCTGACTGCCATCGTCGGAAACTGGTTTTGAAATTGAATCTAAAACAGCACTAGTCATTGTGTCATTGTGTGAAGTTAAATGGCGCAAGTGAAAGTGCTTTGAAAAGCTAAGACTCCTGTGACAGTGTTCTAAACACACCATATGTGTGTAGAAGAATTCAGGTAACTGCTACTCCCAGGAATAGCCACTTCGTCACACTAGTAGATTCGTTCAGTTCAAAATAGTGGAGTTAAATGTCAGCTTAAACATAATTCAGACATTTTAAAACTTTAAACTCAGTATTGAATGGAAATCAAGCTTTACTTTTTGGAGGAAATAGGTCTCTGTTTTTGGTGTCTTGACAGACACAGGGTTCTCTATGGTAGTGGGTCTTCTTTCGATGGAACACTTGTGTTAATCAAAAAAATGGCAGGGTGCATGAATCTCAACAAAATATTTTTATTTATAAAATATACCCATTTTCTATAATAATATGTACATTAAGAATATACACTAAGAATAAGAATTCCCACATTAAGTATATTGTTTTTGTAAAACAATGTCTGTCCAGCTTATTGTCCAGTTAATAAAGTTAAAGGTCCTTTAAAAGTTGTCATTGTAAATAAAACAACTTGCAAAAAAGTGTTCTGGAATAGAATTAACAAAATATGATCTCTATTCATGAGTTGGAAACTGGAAAAAGGATTCTTGAAGTAAATGTTCTGAGTGGAGTTACTAGGATGTCTTCCAGCCTCCTGCAGTCAAGGAGTACCACTGTATTGATTAGTCCGCATGTAGCAGGGCTCCCTTCATCACATCTGGGGACTTGTTTTCTTTTTCTTTAATTTCATTTTTAATCCTCTTAGCTTTAAATATACTGCCTAGAGACTCAGTTACTACCCAGTTTGTGGGTTTTTTGGGATAAATGTAACTGGACAGTTTGTTAGCTTTTCAATTAAAAAAGACACTTAGCCCATGTGGGATGTCATTTTTTATAATCAGTGTTCCCATGTGGGGAAAATTATTCACACTACTTGCAAGTAAAAAATAATTTAACTTTTAACATTAAAATATGTGGTAAAACCCAGAAAACATCCAAAACAAAAGAATATACATAAAGAATAAAATTAAAATTGTAATGTAATGAATAAATAAAAGTAGTGGTTGCTAGTTTTTCTTTGTGTATTTCAATGGATTACCTTGTCCACACTGTGAGATTTACCTGTCTCACTGTGGAGACCACTTTCTTGCATGTCCGTGTGAAGAGACTACTAAACAGGCTTTGTGTGAACAATAAAGCTTTTTAATCACCTGGGTGCAGGTGGGCTGAGTCCAAAAAGAGAGTAAGTGAAGGGAGATAGGGGTGGGGCCGTTTTATAAGATTTGGGTAGGTAAAGGAAAATTACAGTCAAAGGGGGATTGTTCTCTGGCGGGCAGGAGTGGGGGTCACAAGGTGTTCAGTAGGGGAGCTTTTGAGCCAGGATGAGCCAGGAAAAGGACTTTCACAAGACAGTGTCATCAGTTAAGGCAACGACTGGCCATTTTCACTTCTTCTGTGGTGGAATGTCATCAGTTAAGGCGGGGCAGGGCGTTTTCACTTCTTTTGTGATTCTTCGGTTACTTCAGGCCACCTAGGTGTATACGTGCAAGTCACCAGGGATGCGATGGCTTAGCTTGGGCTCAGAGGCCTGACAACCACTGCTCACTCTCAGTTGTACATGAAAAATAGTCAATTAAAACAACAATGAGATACCACTGTAGAGCTATTAGAATGGTGAAAATCTAAAATACCAGCACCACCAAATGCTGGTGACAAGGTAGAGCAAGGAGCTCTCATTCATTGCTGATGGGAATGCAAAATAGATACAGCCACTTTGGAAGATAGATCTGGCAGTTTCTCACAAAGCTAAACATACTCTTACCATTTAGTCTAGCAATCATATTTCTTAGTATTTAGACAAACAAAGTGAAAACTTACATTCACACAAAAAATCAGAACATGATTATTTATAGTAGCTTTATTCATAACTGGCAAAGCTTGGAAGCAGCCAAGGTGCCCTTCAATCGGTGAATGGATAAACAAACTGTGGTACATCCCTATAATGGAATATTATTCAGCAATAAAAAGACATGAACCACAGAAAAAAAATGGAGGAAACTTAAATGTATAAAAAGGCTGTATACTGTATGATTCTAACTATATGACATTCTGGAAAAGGCAGTAAAAAAGATCAGTGGTTGTCAGGGTTTTGGATAGTAAAGGCAGGTGGATGGAATGATAAAAAGGTTTAGCACAGCGCATTTTCTAAGCAGTGAAACCCTTCTGTATGATATAATGACGGATACATATACATTTGTCAAAACCCAGGGAAGTACATAATGCAAAGAGTGAACTCTAATGTAAACTATGAATTTTAATTAATAATAATGTATCAATATTGGCTCATCAATTAGAAAACAATGTATCACACTAATGCAAGATGTTAATAATAGGGAAATTGTGGAGGAAGAGGGAGAATATGAAAACTCTACTTTCTGTGTAATTTTTCTGTAAACTTAAAACTGATCTGACATATAAAACTTATTTAAAAGATAGACTAAAAAAAGTATAAATGGTTGTTCTGACTAGATTTTGACTTGGCTGTCTGTGTGAGAATTATTAGACACCTTGTTGAAATTCTAGTGGCCAATGTTTGGGACATGATTAGCAAAGGAAAGTGTTTTAAAACATTTTAGTCCAGGTAAAAGATTGCATTCCCTTTCTGGAAAGATGACTTTTAGGTGGGCTAAATTTGAATCTGGGCCCTAATCCTTATAGCCACATGAGCATGAGTAGCTCACGTAACTGTTGTGAGTCTCAGTTTTGTCTTCTGTAAAATGGACATAATTTCTACAATATCAAACCTCAAAAAGTTGGTGTGAGGATTATTAGAGCAAATATATGTAAAAAGATTGGTGATCAGTAGGCATGAATGAACAATCACTTTTATTGTTAGGCAAAACCAAGTAACTCTGCCTGAGAAGCCATCACTACATATTATACCTTGGCTTATGCATCCATTGAAATGAAGAATCATGATGTCTGTTAAAAATTCTCTCAATGACACTCAATTTTACTGAAGCATAGGAAATAACTGGGAACAGTAATAGTTATAAGAAATGAAATAAAATGAGGCTAATGTAAATAAAAAGGAGTTACCTACTGGCTTTTCCCAATTAATTAGCATATGCACATTCAATTATTCATACTTTAGGGAACTCATTTAGGCAATCAGGTATCCCATAAATATTCATCTTGTTTACCTACAGTGTGTCTGTCATTAGGATTGGAAATTGGCAGTGTTTTCTCAATATATTTCACAACTGGTTGCTTTGAAAAAAAATTACCTGAGACTAAATTCATATGTCATTAATGGTGCGAACAATCTGCCACATGAACGCTGAATTAACAGTGGGATGCTTCGTGCTTGTTTGTCCTCTCTTGGGTAGGGGCTCCATCACCTACTCAAAAGGCATGGATTTTCTCAGGGGGCCAGCGGATGGAACTGCAGAGGTGCGATTCTGACCTTTGGCCACTAGCATGTGCTCTTGAATAGCTTTTCATGGCAGTCAGGCCCTGGGCCCACAGGAACTGAGAGGCTACCTCTGGTTCTAATTTGTTGAAGAGGCAGAAAGAATGTGATTTATAAGTGTGAAAGCATTGTGCCACTAACTCAGACATGACCCCACATAAGTGGCTCTTCAAGATGCCAGGAATGGCCCAGGCATTTGCAGAATCGCATATATAATCAGGAGGGGCTACGGAATATGCAGGGCCAGTGCAAAATCAAAATGTGGAAATGTAGAGCCCCTCTCAGCACCCGCTGTTCAAAAATTAAGTATTTCAAGACAGTAACAGCGGGGCCTTTCTGTCTGAATGTGGGGCTCTGTGCTACTGCACATGTTAGGTTGAAGCTGGCCCTGAATGCAATACACTGTTACCTTCTCCCTAACTGCCCAGCCTCAAACAGATGACAAAACAAGGATGAATGACCTCTCCTGGCTATTAGGGAACCAAATTTTGCGTTATAGGTGCTATTTCTTGAGCACTTATTAGAGCCAGTGCTAGGCTATGATATTTTCTCTAACCCCTATGTTTCCCTTAGGCCTCCAAAATAGACGTTAGTGTCTCCATCATACAGGCAAAGAAATGGAGTTATAGAGAGAGCAAATGACTTACACAGAAGTAGTAAGTGACTGAATCAGGGTGTCCAGGTTTGTCTAACTCCAAAGCCCATGTTCTTTCCATGGGAATCATGCTATTTTGTAGGGTTGGAAGCTATGAACTTCTAAAACATAGCATATGCAGTTTTGGTGGGTAACTTTCTATTTCCAATAATTGTATTTACCTTTAAAGATTTTGCAACATTCCTCAGCTTCCTTTACCACGTTCTGCAATCTCTTCTCTCAGCAACAGGAAACACTGCAAGAACATTTTCCAGAGCAAATTACAAGTGTTGCTTCCACTTCTTGCCCTCCAGGCTGCAGACAAAAGCTCTTTTCATTGTGTCAAAGGGATACAGTCAGGCGAACAGTATAAACTAGCAGGACGATGTAGTTTCCAAAGAGGAGCCTAGTCTAAACTTTTTTGATCCACACTTGAAATAAATCAATATGGTGCAGGACGGACCATGAAAGACCCTTTGAGAAGAGAAAGGTCTTCAGAATACGGAATGGGACCAAGTCTTTCCCTAACTTTCTCACTCCCAAATTGTATAAAAAACAGGGACTATGGGGTGGGGGGAGTACCAAGGAATGGCCTCTTGTCTTGTTTAATGGGAAGGAGACAATTCCAAAATGTCCCCACCTTTGCAAAGGAAAGCTCCTTTTGTTTGAAGCTTAGCAAAGCTACTTTGGTTGCTATGAAAACAGAATCAGTACGATGGACTGTTTCAGGGTTTCAGGCTGTGCTCCTCTTGGAAGTCACAGCCCCCTTGCAGCCAACAAACAGCATGAGTGGCTCAGCTTTCCCAAAGCTGGGCTGCTCATTAGAGCCATCAGTTAACCCCCTGCCCCTGCCCATTGCCTACTTATTGTAATTAATTTTATGGCCCCTTTAAAAAAGAGAGAGAAAAGAAAAGGGAGACCTCTACATTTTATGCTACATTGCACAAGCAATTGAAAGTTGCGGGGAAAGAAGAAAAAAAAATCAAGCACCAAATGTTTAGCAGGGTTTTCTTCTCTTTTAAATGAGCAATCTATTTAAATCAATTATCAGCTCAAAATGAGCAGGCTGATCTAATTAGTCTTGGCCCCTGGTGGGTTAATGAATGAAAGGGAGGTGCCGGGTAGATGTGCGCTTTCTTTGGAGTCTTCAGAACTGACCACACTAACACTAAGCCTTTCTGGGTTGCTAAGTCTTATCAGGCAGAATTATAGAAAGACATAAAAAGAGACAGAGAGAGAGAGAGTAGAATGAGAGAATAGGGGAGAATTATTAGTTCCATCAACGGAATGACTAAGCATTGCGTGGCATATTTTCAGTCTGAGATTTACCACACAGTGATCATTACCATTTGATAAGTAGTTCAGAATTGCAAAGAAATCAATTTGTGTTTTCTTTAAGCATGTTTGAAATGGAACAACATATTGACTTCAGAAGAAAACATGCTGGTGAGGGATGACAGCTCCAGCCCTGAACCTTGGCACAAGTAACCTCCTCCCCCTTCTAGCCCCAGTCACATCTTACCCTTTATTTAATCATAATGGCCCCTGGACATTAAATATAGTTAATTAAGGAGCTAATATGAGGAAGCAGGAGTGGGAAATATGATGAACAATAAGTTTGTGAGTGCTGGACCGGAAGGTCTCAAGTTTCCCAGGATTGAAAAAATATATATCTTTTCAAGTATTCCTTGGTGCAAGGAAGTAGATATTTGCTTTTTGGGTTATGACATTTCTTACCCCAAATGTTAACTCTCTGGTAAATGTTACAAGTATTTATGGTTTGGGAATTCGATATGTGTTACTTTTTGGGGTTATTCTTTTCTAATGGAAATTACATGGGCTTTAAATTTAGGCAGTCCAGCTTTGCTGCTGAAGTGAGTGGCCTTACATGACTTTCTCCCCACCTCTGAACCTCAGTTTTTTCATCTTTAACATGGGATAACTTCATTTAGTTGTGCTGGGAATTGAGATGCTGTGCACTGAGTGGTCACTGTATACACCCTGCCTCTCCTTCTTTACTCAGAAGTGTGGACCTGAGGATGTTTTGGCAAAAGGCAGAAGTAACTTTTTTTTCTTTTTTTTCAAAATAATGCAATGAGGGTGTGAATTTTTATGTGTTGATTTTTTTTTAATTTTAATTTTTTTTGAGATGGGGTCTCACTCTGCCTCCTAGGCTGGAGTGCAGTGGTACCATCGTAGCTCACTGCCACCTTGATCTGCAGGGCTCAAATGATCCTCCTGCCTCAGCCTTCCAAGTAGTTGGGACCACAAGCATGCATCCCCATGCTAGGCTAATTTTTAAAATTTTTTGTAGACAAGGAGTCTCGCTATATTGCCCTGGCTAGTCTTGAACTCTTGAGCTCAAGTGATTCTCCTGCCTCAGCCTTCCAAAATGCTGGGATTACAGGCATAAGCCACCACGCTCAGCCTCTGTGTGGATTTTTATTTGAATCATTTCACTTTTTTAAGATCCTACTTCAAGGAATGAAAAAAACAAGTCTCAAGGAACCAAGCCCTGCCTCCAACTGAGGATGGGGAATAACAATAAACTGCCCCTGCTGTTTACTTGAGTGTAGTCAAGAGACATTTCTGGATTACAAAAATATCTATGAAAAACTGAAAAGAGCCATCATCATTATTAGGTTTTCAGGAGGCCAGTCATTGCAGGGTGGTGTTCACACTGCCTGAGCGAAGCCTGTGATGTGGGTAAAGGCCTTGAGGAGCTGGTTCAAGACATACTACCAGGTATAGAAGAACCACTCTCCGTGATTCCTCTACCCCTTCCTTTTCCTGCCCCACCAGATTGTATATTATCAGTGTCAAAGAAACTTGGGAAATATTGCATCATCTTTGAACTACAAAATTATTATGTTTCCTATGTGGCAAGATAATTCTTTGCTACCAAACAGCTATGTCTTTTAGAACATTTCTAAGAAGTCTCAGTCTTTTATTAATGAAATGACCAGAATCATTGGCCTATATGCAAATCGAAATCCCATTGTTTTATGACTTTTCATGGTTCTTTTCACCAAGCCTGATCTCAGTGAGGAGAGAAACCCTGTTTATCTATTGCCAATTGTTTTAGATTGGGAAGGCTCACAGTGGAACTACAAAACTCCTTGCTGGAGATGAAAGTGGCAAATTTTGGAAAATGAGGAAGAACTTTGCAGAATCTCATGTGAACTGGATTTTGGCTTTGTGTGACAAAGAGTGGGCGTGGGAGCATTCAGGAGCATGATAAAGGAATGCTGGAAATAATTTGCTATTTTTAGAGACAGAAAGACATAAAGAAAAAGAAAAGAAAAATCTTTTGCAGCCAGGGAATGCAAACTTTGTAGTTCATCATAGTTTCAACATGGGTTCTTACAATGATCTATTCAATTAACCTCTTGCCTGTAAGCCCCCATCTTTAAATAAGCAGGATCTGAGAACAACAATTATAACTTTGCTAACGAGAAGCTGGGTAAGTATTAAGTGTTTAAAAACCCCACTATTGGAGCCTGGTAATTTTTAAACATATAATTACCTATTTTATTATACTTTGATTAGATTAAAATTAATGCATTATTAAGTCATGATATGTTCAACCATCTAGACCTCTGTATAGACACAGATAGCAATTCCTTTTTTTCCCCTTCCCCAGGTCTAAGTTAATTAAATTCCCTTTAATTATCATTTACTAAAAAGCTTCACTTTTGCCACTATTATGTCTTTTGAACTTTGAAATTCGGGAAAAAAAAGACCTTAAAATGGTCTTTTACAGGAGAAATGAACTGTCAGCGAATTCAGGCAAAATTAATTATTTCAGCTTGATAAACCTTTTCATCTATTTGACTCCTTATACAGAAAAGCCAATTAATAATGTCAAACATGCTTTGCCTCCAGGGACCCGCAAGTTCTAATGAGTCTGTTTACTGTGGAGTGGCTAGCAGAATGAGCTTCATGTAGAAATTTTCTAATCGCGCCATACCTGTCAAGCTCAGTCTCATTATCTGTGTACCAAGGGCAAACCTCATTTTGTCAGTAGTGGTTTTCGAAGAACTAACAGATGCCTGGGGGAACATGCAGGACTGTCGGCCAGTAGACGAGTCACTTAATTACCAATCAGAGCAGCCGGGGTGAATGCCTAATGCTCCTTAGTCCCGACCTCCTCCATCCCAACTCCACGAGCCCATCTTATCAGAGACCGGAGATTGGTCCTTCTCAGCACCCAGCGCTCATCTACCACGACCCCTTTGTCCTGGGCCCTCGGAAGTGTTGATTGATGAGGCGCCTCTGGAAACAGTGATTAATCATACGCGCATTGTACCACAAGTAGGACAATCTGGGGGCTCCTGCTCCACCTGCCTGGGCGCTGATTATGGTTTGGCTGATGCGGGTGGAGCCTGCAGTGGAGGGCGTCCCCACAGCCACGCCTAACGAGACCCAGCATTCCCTACCAGCACCTTTGCGCCTCTTTGACTTGCAAGAAGCACCATCTACCGCGCAGATATTTGGCTGCAGACAGGGGCTAGCATCCTGGAAACTGTGCATACTGTAGAGCAGCGATTCTCAAACTTAGTGCACCTACACATCACCACCGGGAGACCCTGTTCAAACCAGTTCCTGATCCGTGGGTCTGAGGCCAACCTGAGATTCTGCATTTCTAACCAGCCCAGGCTTGCACTGCAGACCTGTGGACCACATACTGAAGCCAAGGTCGAGAGCAGAGATCCTGGACGAGCTGTTCAACCTTTCTGGGCCTTACATTTCCACCTCTTTAACATATTACAGAAGATTCGGTTTCTTCCTGTGGCCTTTTATCGAGCAAGCTCCCAGATGAGCACCCTGCGACCCAGGCCCTACCTGGCCTCCCATCCTCACCTCCCCTTTGCCTCAATCCCTCATTGCAGCCTCTCAGAGCTCCGGGCAGGACACATGCTGCCGGAGCCATGGTCTCTCACGTCCTCTTACACGGCCAGTTCCTTGCATTCTCTTTCAATCCTTTGCTCAGTCATCACCTCGGATAGAACACCTTTCGTGACTTGCTCTCCCCTGGTCCTAGAACAACTAAGGGGACCCTCCTTTGTGCTTTGCTGCACTTTTGTCGACCTCGCTACAGTCCAAGTTACCCTTTGCTGCAATGAACTATTTCCCCACTTACCTCTACAATTAGGTTAGAGTTTCTTGGGAGAAATTCTGTCTTCGGCTTGCTGCTCCTACCTTCACCAAGTTCCAGAATCTTCCTTCTTCTCCTGAACCCCTCTTCCTCTGTCTTAATCACAACAGGTATTATTTCTGGACTATTGCAGCAGCTTCCTCTTTATTGGTTTCTCTGATTCTAGTTTCTTTCCTGTCTAATATACCCTTAACATTGTTACCAGAATCATTACCTAAAGTTGAAATCTGCTTATGCAGACTACTGCCCCACTCCAACCTGCCCAAAGCCCTGTTGCCTTAAACTTGCTAGTTTCTTCTTCCCTGAGAAGAATTCACACCAGCTGCCAACTGTGAGTTCCAAAGATCAACATATTTCTGCAGTCGCTTGTTTGAAGAGAACTTATTTTGGCTAGGTCCAGACCCACGGCTCTTGAGGTAATTTTATAATGTTGCATTATGCCTGAAAAGGACTGAGATTTGCAAAGCAGCCTAGAGAGGCAGTCAGACTCAGGGCTTTGATGTCAATGAGTTCTGGATTCAAAATCGAAGTCTGCTATTTATAAGCAAGTCACTTATTCTTGTTCTGCCTCAATTTCTTCTTCAGTAAAATTGAGGACTAAATTCTAACTCACCTATCATGATGAGGATTAGAGAGATAAAATTTAATAAATTTCACTACTTACTGAAATAGTCTGTGAAAGAGCTTTGAAATCAGGTGAGTGACATTTATGCACAAGGCATCAGTACTTTGGCTTTGTGACTTGTTCACAAATGTTTTTCCTCTGTCCACTCTGAACACTGCAATGTCATTGAGCCATGTGCTTAAAGTCTAAAAGAAATCAGGCAGTTCACATAAAATTAGGCACTGGGCTTTCAGGAAATCAAACATAGTTAACCTCTCCTTTCATTAGCTTTATTTCTCCAGGAAAACTGTGTTTCTGGGGAAACCTCAAAGTGTGTCTGAATTAGCCAGAGCCTCCTAATTTCTTAGCCCAGGGAGCAAAAGAAAACTTGAAAATGGAGCCTGATTAATTCTGTCAACACTTTACTAGATTGCGTTCTATGCTGCCCTCCTGTTGAATATTGGGCAGAGAGATGGCTAGACGCCAAGGGACTCCTGTCCAGAGTGGATGCTTCAGCTAAGCTGGCATTATCCCATCTCTCTTAGACCTTTAAACTATTGGCCACCAGAAAATTTTCCATATTTTTTATACAATAATTATTTTTTTATTTCACATTTTCCCCTTTTAATATGTAAGTAGAAAAGGCTTGGTCCATTCTTAAAAGGTGTTGTTTTTACGTATTTATGTCAATTTGTTTACCAAAGAACACATCTCTAATTTTGTAATAATGGTCAAGAGCAAATTAAATCTTGATAAGAAAAGAAATCACAGGTTAGGCGTGGTGGCTCACACCTGTAATCCCAGCACTTTGGGAGGCTGAGGCGGGTGGATCACCTGAGGTCCAGAGCTCGAGACCAGCCTGGCCAACATGGTGAAACCCCATCTCTACTAAAAATACAAAAATTTGCCAGGTGTGGTGGTGCGCACCTGTGATCCCAGCTACTCTGGAGACTGAGGCAGGAGAATCACTTGAACCTGGGAGGTGGAGGCTGCAGTGGGCCGAGATCATGCCACTGCACTCCAGCATGAACAGAGAGAGACTCCATCTCAAAAAAAAAAAAGAAAAAAGAAAAAAGAAAAGAAAAGAAAAAAAAAGGAAAGAAATCACTTTATTGGAGAGCTGTGGTATTCTGGCCAGGAATTTTTACTGTGTTCTGTGAAGCCCTAGATTTTCAGAGAATTACCTTGAGACTGTTTCCCAGGGAAAGAATGAAGGAAGGGGTGCAGCCAAAGGTTCCCTGTCCTAATTTCAGTGACCTCTGCTTGTATTTGTTTTGTATATTGGGGATCTATTAAGATTTTGTTTGAAAAGGGGCACCATGACTTTTAAACATATTGGAAACCATTGTTCCAAAAAGGTTTGGACGACTAGGTCAAATTTCTGTGCTAATGAGGATGTTCAGACCTTGTTGCTTTAGAATCCTCAGGCCGCGTTTACTCGATGCCATATATTTGCTTATCACAGCCAGCACTGGCCATCAGTTCCTAACACAGCTTTCATCTGCACCCACCAATAGCCTTGTTACTTGATGAACTTTATCCTACACAGAAAATAAAAAGAGTCCACAGTCCATTATATTGACATTGTAATTGATAAATACCTATTGGGAAAGCTGTCCATCTGGCCTCCCTTTCTGTTATCACAAGGGAGACCAGAGAAAGAATAGAACATGTGTAGGGAAGATGGCTGGACCTTTTTATTCACACTGGAGGATGCCAAGAAAATTATTTGGAACACTGGGGCTCTGTTCCCCATGATCAGTTTGGTATTGCCAAATGCCCTTCTACATTTTAATGGAGAACCCATTTACAGTCACTCAAGCATCAGGCATCTTCAAATTGCTTCTGTAAACTTTATTTACACTTAGAACACTGGACTATCTATGCCTATGCAAGAGTGTCCCCCTTCGTATAGTAGAAAACCCACAGGTTTTAGAGTTTGACAGAACTTTAACAAATTTCACTCTACCACTTATTGGCTAGGCACTCTTAATGCCCTGTTTCTCCTTATATTTCTGGGAAAACAGAACCCTCCCCCATCTTTTTCCATCAAATGCACCTCATGATTGAGAGCCAACTTATATAGTACAGATATTTTGGGCCAATCTGAAATGCATTGGATTGTCTGATAAGAAAGAGCATTTCTAAGCAGATTTCAGTTCAATCCAGCGCAATTCCATATTCAGCTATTAAGCACACATCTTATGTCAAGCACTGCCCAAGGTACAGTGAGGGACACACACAAAGGTGAGTCAAATATACATCTTAAGTCAGAGAGATGCAGACCCCACTGGGCCAAGCTGAGGTAAGGGCTATAGTTGGAATTGCAGCTCTGGCATCATAAATGATTCTACAGGCCTTCACTAGGATTTGACTGTTTCCTCTCAATTCTATTGTTAAAATAACAAGCAAAACATATTACGTAGGTTTTTCTTAAAAAAAAACCACCTTATTACAAAGTTGATATTTTCAGCTTTTATCCCTTAAAACTAACAAATACAACCCAATACCTCATTTGGATATTGTCACTCAGACAGTATTCAAATCTGTTAGAACATTTGAGGACGAAAAGGTTGAGGAGATCACATGCTCCAGTCTCTTCCCTTTACAACAAATAAACCAAGGTCTTGAGATGGGAAGAGCCTTAGGAAAGGTCACATCCTTCGTCTTCTAGGCCACAGCATTTTTTATTCCACATAGGTGTCAACTTAAAGGACCCCATATTATGCCTCCTGATGGCCTATCCTGGGCAGGTTGGCACTAATTTCATATTCATCTATGCTTTAAGTCTACTGTCTTTTAGGAAGTCTGAAAGCCTTTCCCACTTTTTAAAAGAATGTGACTTTCACCCTTCACAGATTTCCCATTGCATTACCGTGTCTGTCCAACTCTACTGGCAAGCCTGTGAGCATTTCTGAACCCCTCAGAGCCCTGTGGTTAGCAAGGGCTGGTAGAAGTTAACGCCAATTTCTTGCCACATGCTGGTTTTGTTACCTCCCAAAGAGAGCTTGTTTAAACCTCCTTTGATCAAAGCAATTAGAAGAACTGGAGGCAGGTGATTCATAAGCTCAGCAGCTGGAGAAACTCTGCTTGGGGATGCAATCATGAATCGTATTTAAATACATTGTCTCATTACCTTACCAGGACAGAACTTGAATATTCACACTTGTTTTTCAGGGTTAAAACTCCTGGAGAAGATTTCAGTGCTGCATTTCCAGAAAGCCATTATTTGCTCAATGTTTCCATTTTGATATGATAACAGAGTCTACTTAAGACTATAACTATCCATTCAATAAATAAGTACAACTTAGCCTATCTTTGAGAAGTGCTAAGTTTTGAAAATTAGCCTGCCAAAGAGTATCATGGAAGCAGAGACCATATTTATTCACCTGGCTTATTCACTTGGCTTATCACAGGCCAGGTACTTTGCTAAACTATGAAGATTAAGAAATGAGAAAACTTATGAAACTCCAAAGGCAGTCATGATGCAGTAGTGAAGACCTCCAAGAAGACATGGTCTTGCAATATAGGCTGGTAGGTGAAATAATAATGTACAAGCAGTGCTGGTATAACTCTATGAAAACTGGTGGTAAGAAGTGAATTGGGTCTCTAAGGGGGAGTGAGTGAGAGTTCTCTGATTCCCATTTCAGACAGAAATTTCCTGGGAACTTTCACTTAGGCCTAACAAATAGATATTAATTCCCAAGACCTCATGAACCAATTGGTTATTGAAAACCTTAAGATGATATCACACAGTGGTTAAAGAGAGGACTCCAGATCCAACCGCCTGAATTTGGACTGGTCGTACCAATTCTTAGCGAAGGGATGCTGTGGAAGTTGTTTACTTCTCTGAGTCCATTTCTCCCTCCATAAAAATCAGAATAACAGTAACTTCCTTATAGATGATTGTGAAAAATAAATGTTAGAGATAATCTACATTAATCGCTTGAGACCATGCTTGGCATGTGGTAGATGTATGGTAAATGTTGTCTTTATGGTTTCATTTGTCCCTCCCACATCCACATACAGTTGACCCTTGAACAGCTTGGGTTGGAACTGTGAGGGTCCACTTATATGCAGATTGTCTTTCACTTCTGCCACCCCTGAGCAAGACCAACCCCTCTTCCTCCTCCTCCTCAGCCTACTCAATGTGAAGAAGATGAGGATAAAGATGTTTATGATGATCCACTTCTACTTAATAAATAGTACATATATTTTTTCTTTCTTATGATTTTCTTAACCCATTTATGCCTAATGTTGCAATTTTTTGAATTTTTGCAATCAGACCTTGGCGATGACCTTGAGCAGTAGGATATAAATAACTCCGACATGCTTAGTGTTCCAGTAATGGAACACTAGGCATTTTCTTTTCCCTAGCTTATTTTATTGTAAGAATATAGTGTATAATACATATACAAAATATGTGTTAATAAATTGTTTATGTTATCAGTAAGGCTTCCAGTCAACAGTAGGCTACTAGTAGTTAAGTTTTGGGAGAGTCAAGTGTTGTATGCAGATTTTCAACTGCATGGAAGGTAAGGCCCCCTCACCCTTGTGTTGTTCAAGGGTCAGCTGTATCTTCATTATTTGCTTGTTGCAGTGCCTACTGTTAGAATTGACAGTGTGTTAAGCAACAGAGACCAGAAAATTGTCTGTGAGTAGTCTCCAGTAAAGTGTTGGTAGTTCCTTGGCCCAGATATAATTGGAGATGGTCTAGTTATTTAGCAATATTTGTCATGGATATGGGACAGAGAAGCAGGGTCATATATGAGTCTTAGTTGTCATCCTTTTTCTTAGGCCTTTAGAAGGTGGGGCCCAGAATAAGGAAGTCTCAACAGTGTGAATATCAGAGGACCTGCACTGTGGCAGCTAGGGAAGGGAAAAGCCTGGGCAGCAGAGCCTGTCCTGAGAAGGCCAAGCACTAGGAGGAACAAGGCAGGCGAGGAGGACTCATGAGGCAGGGCTGGGAGGGATGCAAGGTAAGAGGGTGGTGCTCAGAAGGCCAGCATCATCAATTCTAGAAGGATTTACAAGCAAGGGTAATGACACCGAGGAGGAAATTATTAATTGGTTCATGGGTCATATGTATAGAAGTTTAACAAGCATCAGAGGTATCAGGTGATGCCATGCTTTAATCATTTAGTCAGTTAACAAATATTTATAACCATCTCCTGTGTCAGTGGGAAAGCTGACACAGGCCTTTCCTAAAGCTTATATTCTGCTGGATGGGGAACAAATTATGAACAAATAAGTATGTAATGTGGTAGATGTTATACGTACTCTAAGGAAAAATAAAACAGGGTAAAAGCAAAGTAATAGAACATCGGAAGGGGTTCCATTTTGGGAGAGAGCTCAAGGGAAGCCCCTCTGATAAGATGGCTTTTGAGCAGAGACCTGGATGAAGTGAGGCTGAGAGCCCTGCAGACATTTGTAGGAAGAATATTCCAGCAGTAGGGCACTGTGATAGTGAGCCTCCAAGATGGCCCCCCAAGATTCTCACTTTCTGGTATCCATTCTTCAGTGTAGTCTCCTTCACACTGAATAGAGTTGACCTGTGTAACCAACAGAACCTCATGGCAATGACGGTGTGACTTCTGGGGCTAGGTCATAAAAAGCATAAAAGGAATGATCCCTTGTTGATCATTCACTCTAGAGGACACCAGCAGCCATGTCATCAGGAACTTCAAGCAGCTCTTTGAAGAGGTCCGCATGTCATGGAACTAGGGCCTCCTGCCAACAGCCAGTACCAATTTGCCAATCATATGTGTGAACCATCATGGAATGAGATCCCAGCCCCAGTCAAGCCTTCAGATGACCCCCGTCCTAGCTGATATCTTGACTCTAGCCTCATGGGAGATCCCCAAGCCAGAAGCACCACCTAGCTAAGCTACTTTCAAATTCCTGGCCCACTGAAATTATATGAGAGAATAGATGCAGATTGCATTTTAAAGCCAATTTTTAAGCCAATTCTTAGAGCAATTTGTTACTCAGATAACTAGTAGAGTAATTCAAAACAAAGTTTCAGCTTAAGTGCTAAGGATGAGATGTCAGCATTTGGACATCATTTAGGACCTGCCCAATGGAGCCGCAGAAGTGGAGCAGAGCGCCAATGCCCTAGGTTGCTTGTCACGTACAGTGTGTTCCCTGGCCTTTGTTTAAGTCCTCCTGTCATTCACATTCTTCACCCCCTGTTATCTCACCTGGGGCAGCTTCAAGCCTAAGCTTTGGTCCGACCTCCTGCATTAGCCTTACCTACCTAGTCATGGTAGTTGGGTATGTCATGTCTCCTGTCACTGAACTCACATAAGCAGAAGTGAGTGGAACATGGATTGAGTTCATGTTGCATACACAGCACTGTATGCACATTATCTAATGTAACCCTCCTCCAACTCTATGAGAAGGTATTATTATCTATCTTTTATAGAGAGAAAAAATATGAGACACAGAATGAGTAAGTAGTTTATCCTATGACAAATGACTGCAAAGAGATAATTTAAATTCAAACCTGCTGACTTTTAAGCTTTAGCTTTTACATTTTTTTCTTTTTAACTGCCTAGGAAACACACTGATTATAAAAAATTTGGAAAGTTTAGACAAGCATGCACACAAATAATTAACAATCCCACAACTGAGAGATAACCACTGCTAATATTTTGGACTAGATATATCTAGTCCATTTTAAATCATTTAAAAAAATTTACAATGTTAGATTAGACTGTACAAACTGTTTTTGAACAATTTTTCATCAAGGAATATACCATAAACACATTTTGTGTGGTTACATATTCCCCTAAAAGGTAATTTTTAATGGTTGCAAGTATATTACACGTTTTGATTATATGACAATGTATTCAATACACTTTATTATTGTATATTTATGTTGTTTCCAGTTTTTTGCTATTGTTAAGGATCATACAATAAGGATATTTGAAGATAAATCTTTGCGCACATAAACGGTTATTAGGGTAAAGTTTTACAAGTAGTGTCACTGGGTTGACATAAACATTATAAGACTTTTAATATGCATCGCCAAATTGCTCTCCAGAAAGGTTACATCAAACCTGTTCCCATCAGCTGTACATGAGGATGTTCATTTCCCCACACGTTCACCAGAATTTAAAAAATTCCTTGTTAGGTCTTTTATTTTGAATTAAATGTGAGACTATTGATGGTTCATTATAAACTGCCCAAGGAAAGCTTGGTGAAAAACATGCTCACGAAGTTCTTGAGTAGCCAACGACATAACATGTAAACAGTTGCCCAGTCACTGTATTGGTGAAGTCCAGAAAAACAGAAGACATTCACTTCCAAATGTCAATTTATAACAGTGGAGGGAAACATGGTGGAGGAGCAGTATCCCTACCATGATTCTACTATGATTACTACGATTCCTAGTGATCATAGTGCCAGAGGTGAGGTCCTAAATATCCCCTCCAATACAATATGGGGTTGCATGACTGCAAGGTTTATGAAATAGCTGGTGCAGGCCTGTGCAGGCTGCAGGGAGTTGATCCACAGTTGCATGATTTTCACATCTGCATTAATGCAAGGTGTGCCCTCTGGGTGTCCTCATTTGAGTGTCGCTGTACTGCATGGGGCACTGTACCACATCAGCATGACATGAACATCACCCTCATGCTACTATTCAGGTCACCAAGGCTCAGGGTTACATAGCCAATGAGCGAGCAGGCAGACCTCAGACTTGACCCCAATGAGTCTGACCCACAGCTTGTGTTTTTCCTTCCCCTGGTTTCATACATTACTCCACAGAGTTGTTGAAGACCCCTGCCTGGCCTGGCTGGCTCAGGGCCTCCTTCTGTTTGCCTGACATTCTACACTTAATGCTGTGACAAGCATGAAGCCATTAAAAGGTATAACGTGTTGGAATGTCAGTCTCCACACTAGTCTGTGCACTCCTTGAGAGGGAGAACAGTACTTGACTCACCCGTGCACAATGCCTAGTATTAGAGTAGTTCTCTTTAAATGTTGCCAACTGACTGATAAAAGAAAAGTGGGGATGAAGAGAGGGAGGTAGGAAGGGAGAAAGGAAAGAAATTAAAGAAAAATGGGCTACAATCTGGCCCAGTAATTTCCCCCAAGGACCTGGAGACTACTGTGCCCTCATGTTTTAACTCTTCCATGTAATGGTGTGTGAGGTTGCTAGTGGTGGCAGTGTTGTAGAGAGACTTCAGGAGAGACAGGTGGGCACTTGGTGGGCAGAGACTCCACTCACTGGGTATGGGACAAGGCCTTCCTTGGTCTAAGGCTTTATGGTAGATCCCAGAGGCTCCTGGCAATGCCAGGGAAATTGGCAATGGCCCTGCACCATTTGGGCAGTGGGCGACTCCTCCTGCATATGGGGTGCTCTAGGGGCCTTTGATCTTGATCGTTAGGGTGTGCCTGCCTTTCACTTCCCATCAGAATCACCACTGGGCCCATGCCAAACTTGCTTTCATGCTACTGACAAAAAGCCATTTTGGAAGGGACATTCTTGTGTAAGAAAATCATTTTTGAGCAGGAGCAGATATTAACCTAATGTTCAACGTGTTATTCTTTCAAGCTCTTTTTCAAACATAAAAAACAAAATCTTTGCCATGACGTGCTAGAGCATTACAGCTTTGTAGATTTCTTTTTCTTTTATTTTTTAGAAATGTACCACAGATCCTGCTGAAGAAGCCAGTGGGAGAACATTCTCCTCATTTCTCTGGTGCTGCCGCCAGAGAATTAGAGGCCTGGCCTGGAGTTTACACAGCATTTTTCTGGCCAACTTGTGAGCTGTTCAGAGTGAGGGAAGTATCCATGTAACGTTGCTGGAAAATAGAGACATATTGAACATGCAAGACATGCTCCCTTCACTAGTGTGGAAAGTCACAGGGCAGGGGTGGCTCCTCAGAGCCTGCTCACTACTGAGAGATGTGCAGGATCCCGATGCTGGGCCCCACCCCACCCTCATGCTTCGCTCCCTTCTGACCCAGTACCTGTTTTCCAGATGTCAGGGCAAGGCTGCAGAGGAAGACAGGGACATAGGCCGAATCATCCTTCCCTCGGAGGAGAGTCATAGGCTGAATCATCCTTCTCTCAGAGGAGAGTCAGGATGACCTCATGCACGGCTAGTACCTCCCTAGTCGGCTTGTTCTCACAGGGGAAAATTGAACCCTCACCTTGGGCAGGTCCATCTGCTGCAGATGTTTATAGGGTTCTTACAGTGAACTCAGCTTCTCATGACCTGAGCTGGGTGCTGGCACCCTGTCTATCTCAGCATCAAGTAGTCCTTGCTTTACCTTCAAAAGGCTGCATTTCTTCATGGGCCTCAAGGCCAGCTCCAGAAGACACAGGCAGACAAGGAGGACAGCAGTGCTGGGACCTGGGGAGCTCCGGAAGGGACTCTGGTCCCATCGGTGCATTCATGGTACCCCCTTCTCTCGGCAGGGCTGGACTTCCTGCTGGATTGACCTCACAAGAGGATAGACAGAGGAGAGGGCATCACCTACAGATGGCCCTGCTGACAGTCCATGAGCTGATAGCTCATCAGTTGCTTTTCTTAGGGCCAGACTTTCCCATGACTTGGCATTTTTATTCATCTTTAATTCTGAGGGTTCAGACTACACAAGAGGGAGGCACACTGATGCCAAAGAAAGAGAATAGGATTTTTTAACAGACAACTTTGGTGCAAGTCCCAGCAGAACTGTTTATGATTTTGAGCAAGTGCTTTAACCTCCCTGGGACTCATTCCACTTGCCTGACTCACTGGGTCATTTTAAGTGAGACAATGCATATAAAAGCACATCATGAAGAGCAACATATCACACATGCTCATTAAAGACTTATTGGGCCCATTTATTGAGTATTTCTTCTATGTCAGGCCCTGAGCTAGGCACTGGGCATAGACACTTCATATACAGCACACATTCAAAGCATTCTCAGGGCACAACTTTTGTCAGTATGATTAATAATAAACATTTGAAGGCAGGCAAACCAGCAATGATGGTGAGGATGCCGGTTACATGAGGCCCCTGAAAGGCAGGGTGTGAGGGCAGCCATTTCTTGTTAGTGGTCTGGAGAAACTACAAATACTGATGGCCCCTGGGATAGGATCTGGTCCATGGGAGGTGGGTACTCCCTGGTTTTGAAGCTTCTATGTTCCTACTTTCTCTCTCCAGATTTTTTCCTCTTGAAATCTTCCTAGATTTTTAATACATTCTGTTTGGAATCTCCTACTTTTGGACACCCACTGTACTTTGATAACTTGGCTCCTGGGTATAGGACAGGCTCACAGTTTCTTGTCTGAAATCCTGTGGCTTGATGTGCTTCAGAAATCATTTTTGGGTTTTAGAAAAGTAACATGGTCTATATTTTTCATATTAAGTAACACCCTTAGCAGGGTTTGGACATCACCCTCAATCAAACACGGAAATATTTCTGCAGCAAAACCTAAAACTATTTTCTACTAAGTGAAATAAATAAACAGTGAGTTGTGGTAAAACTAGATTTCTTAGGTTTTCAGTGTTGGAGTTGTGCATAAGGAACTGTGGAACTGCAATAGCTCAGTCCATGGACTCAGTAAATATGTTTCTTCTTGCCTTCAGGTCCAGACAGTTTTAATGTTTCTATATTTTAATAATTTAATGTATGTCCAGCTTGGTCTCACAGAGGATATAAGGCATTTGGGGCCCACTGCCACAGTTCAAGCCAGAGAGGGCCCACCACTTGAATGTACTAAAAAAGTGTACTAAAAGAAGAAAAAGGAAAAAGAAAAAAAGACCACTCATGGCAAAGTCACAAAATAACCTTCTTTCCCATGCTAGTGGGATTAACATAGCTCATGATCACAGGAGCTCCTCTTGGCTGCCATTTCCTCACTCCTCGTGACTCACTCCTTCAGTCACTTATTTACTTATTAAATTACTCATTCATTTTTTATTCCTTCCTTCATTGATTCATGTAATCATTCATTTAATAAATATATGTTTAGTAACCAATCTGTGCCAAACCCAAGGCTAGATCCTGGGAAAAGAAAAACAAGTGGGACACATCCTTGCCCTCTGCAGCTCTCAGTCACGCTGGGGAGACCAACAGGAAGCCAACTATGGTGTGCTTCAAAACAGAATGAAATTGGAGAGGGGGATCCAAGCAAAGGGTCCCGGCAGACAGATGAAGAAGGTGGTTGTGGAAAGCTTCATGGAGAGAGACCCTTGCCTGGCCCTGAAGAACTGCTGTATTTAAATGGATACGAAAGTCAGGGCAATGAATGGGGTAGGTGATTGTTCCAGACCGGGGGAAATGCACAGACATGGAGAGTTTAAAGCCATGGCATAGCTGTGGTATATTAGAGAGCAGGCTATCAGGGATAACTGCAGTAGCTGTTAATCGTCCTAGCTATGTTTATGAGAAAGGGATAGTTCAACAATCAGGTAGGGGGACATCCCTACTCTCCCTTCCAGGAACATTCTCCCTTTAGAGAATGTTAAGATTTATTCACAAATGGTATCTCTTAGAGCCAAAAGACACCTCAAGTAGTTGCTATGTGGTCCTGCCCTGGCTTCAAGTAGGTATTAGACCTCCTTTGCTAACAAAAATTCCAAAGGCAGGAGGTGGAGGGAGAATGGAGCTGGACCATCTTAACTTCCCAGGACAGTTGTCAAATCAAACCTGTGATTTGGGAGACTTCAGGGTGAGGTGGATAGAGTATTGTTTTGGATTCTGATTCTAGCTCTGCTGCCTTTCAGCTGTGAGATCTCAGGCAACTTTTACCCCTAGTCTAACCTCAGATAAGTTGTCAAAGAACACAGTTGAAATTATGAGCAAATATCCAGGCAAATAGGATGTACTCAAGGATTGTTCCAGATGTTAAATCCATGACAACAGAAATTGTTATCTATTGCATCTACTGCTAATTCCCCAAGATCCACAATAGATTGGTGTGTAGTAACAGATCAACAGCTATCTGTGGAATGAATGAAAGACTCCTCTTCTCACCTTTCCATGGCTGGTACATTCATTCACTGGAGCCTCTTTAGCTGTTTACAGTTACTTCCACATTCTTAATTTCATTTGCATCTTTTGATTTTGAAGTGTGAACATGACCACACCGTAAGACAGGCTGGTGTTACAGAAAAAGATTCATGATATATTTACTGACAGGGCTCAGACCAGGAGTTGGATGGACCCATTATCAATTCACAAAAGTTCAACTACATTCGACTACTTCAAGGAGAAAAATTATGTAAAGCAATAATCACGATTATCAAGAGAAAAAAATTGTGAATTGTGAGCAACCTGGGGACAAAAACTCAAACTTGTTTTATCTTCAGTTCCTGACACAGCAACTCATAGGCATTAAGAACTCAGTGAATATTGAATGGAAGAACAAACCAAGAAATGAATGAAGGAGTGAGTGAACGAGTGACTATATTAAGCATTAGTTAATAAGAGATGAGGAAAAGGAAGCTGTCATTGAGTGTCCACTGTGTGTCAAATTCTGTGCTAATTGTTTAAATCTATTCATCAATAAAAAGAAATTTCCCATTTGATGAGCCAATATTTTCCTCTTCGTTGATGTATTATCTTTTTCCTTTTATGAGTCTGATATGGTTTGGCTCTGTGTGCCCAACCAAATCTCATCTTGTAGCTCCCATAATTCCCACATGTTGTGGAGGGATCTAGTGGGAGATGATCGAATCATGGGGGCAGGTCTTTTCCGTGTTGTTCTCGTGATAGTGAATGGGCCTTATGAGATCTGATAGTTTTAAAAACAGAAGTTTCTCTGCACAAGCTCTCTCTCTCTTTGCCTGCTGCCATCCATGTAAGACATGACTTGCTCTTTCTTGCCTTCTGCCATGATTGTGAGGCTTCCCAGCCACGTGGAACTGTAAGTCTAATTAAACCTATTTCTTTTGTAAATTCCCCAGCCTCAGGTATGTTTTTATGAGCAGCATGAGAACAGGTTAATACAGAGGCATTTACTGAATTCCCTAAATTTAAAATGGATGTCTTTTTTCCTTGCTAAAGTTTATGAGTGACAAATGAAAGCAAAAAACTTTGGATGAACCACCCATGTAATTCAAAATCTCACTGAAATGACTTAGAAATAGACATTTTTGTTGCTTATTTTGTTATAGTGGAAGGCTAGGATGGAGTAGGCAGTCAAATTATGGCTTAACAGGTTCATGCCAAGTGGGAGGGGAATACACATTCTACAAAATGGGGAGAAGGAAAAATTTGTCTCCCTGTATCCCACTTTCTTAAAAAGAGTCAGTAAATCAATCAACACAGACTTTCTGAGCTGGAACTACAAAGTCATGTTTCTGGCAATCTGTTCTGAACTCTTCTTTGTTCCTCAAAGCTAAAATCCTTTATACTCTCTATTACTTTTTGTGGATTGATGTTTAATTTAAAAATAATAAATTATTAGCACCTTAACAAATATTATTCATGTATATGGAATCTAAATATATAATTTTATTTCTTGGCCTAATACCTATATTTTCTCATAAAACAAAAAAGTATTCCCTACCTCAAACTTACTTTGACCAGAGTCTTGTCATCATCCGTGACCTGGTTATTTATACTTAATGTCGATAGCACAATGGTGCCTTCATGGTATGGAAACCACTGGTTGGAAAGAAATGTTGAAGAGGTGGCCCTCAGCATTCCCATTGGTTAAACTGTGGCCCCCAGTCTCTGACTCTGCCCACACCTCCCAAGCTTTGGGGAGATAGAAAGAACAGTGTCTCACACTCATAATCACAATCTTCCTCCACTTCTCCTTCCTCTTCTGTTGTCAGCTCCCATGCACCGTTGGAAAGTCTTGTGACACAGAAATGAATCCTATCTTGGGAGATATAACATGCAAACAAATAAACAAATAAACATTTTATTTAATATTTATATATGTGTTTTTATTGTTGTTGTTTATACCAATCACTGACATGTATTACAAATGAAGTTGGGTTGCATAATAATTCTGAAAAGCCATTTCTGAAATTGTATTTGATTCCTGTGTACATCAAAAAGATATAAAATATGAATGTCCTTTCACAGATTAGTATCCTAATACCAAAAAGGAATGAAATATCCATGATCTGGGGTAAGGGGTATGCAAGTATGTATAGGCTTGGAGGGTGCCCCAACTGTTCCAGGCTAGATAGGGGTGATAAGCAGAAAGTGTCCTAAGAGAAAAGGAAGGAGTAGGAGGAAGAAGGTTAGAGACATCTCTCTTTGGGCAAATTAGGCTTATCTCATTTAGAAGCAAGCCTTGCTTTGAAAACTATTTGTCAACCCAGGTCTGCAGGCCCAGACCTCCGCCTCACCTCATAACCCTCACACAAGGGCTATTTGGCTCCTACCTGCTCACCCAACTCTATCAGAGGCCCTGGAGACAAACCTGCTCATGGCCAGGGATTTGAGGAACTAAACGACATGGGGTTTGGCATCAGCAAGGGCACCGGAAGTTTCCAATTAATTACATGTACTCCAGTAGCTGAAGTCTTGGTTTGTTAGATGGGTGCTGGCCTTGGATGCCGTCAACTTATCCATTGAATAATTGTTTAGTATCCACTATTGTGCCACCCACTATGCTAGGGCCTGGAAACCCAGTGCAGAACACTAGATGTCTCCTCCCTCAAGCTTAGAGTCTACACAGGGCAGCAGCATCAAGTAGGGAATGACACAGTGGTCATTTAGGTGGAGTTGTGCTAAGTGCAGCAAAGCAGAAGCCCAGCAAGGGGTGAGTGTGCACAACAGGTTGGGAGGGATTCCCCAAGGAAGCAGCATCTCATTCCAAATCTCAGCAACAAGTGGGGTCTCACCAGATGAAGAGTGAGAGGAACAGTGCTCCAGGAAAAGAAAACGGCACTCGTGGGAAGGCCTCAAGCAGGGAAACAAAACAAGCAAGGGTGACAAAGGGTACCATGAGATTGGACACTCAGCCTTGTCCTCCTCTGTATGTACCTCACGGGGAAACATACATTCGTGCACCAAAAATATGCACTCCAATGTTCATAACAGCAGGGTTGGTAATATCTCCAAACCGGAAGCTACCTAAATGTCTATCCATAGAAGAGGAAATAAATGCATTGTGGCACATTGACATTGGAAAACTATGCATCAATGAGAGTGAATGGACCCCAACTATCCACAACAAGATGATGGAGTCTTACAAACATAACAGTGTATACAGGAAAGAAATCAGACTGGATGCACTGCATGACTGTGTCTACAGAAGGTATAAAAATAGAGTAGTGCTTCCCCTTTGGAGGGTTCATGACTAAAAGGCTGTTATGAGGGGTTGTCTAGGTTGCTGCCAATATCCTCTTTCTTGAATCTGTGTGCTGGTTACATGGGTGTGTTCAGTTTAGGAGAATTCATAAAGCTACACACTTGTGATATATACCCTTTAATTTGTGTAGGTTATACTGCAATTAAAGGTTTAAAAAATGATGTTAGACAGACAGGCAGGGACCTAATAGGTCTGATCTAGGTTTTGAAGTCCACCCTACTAGTGCTGCTGACCGGGAACCAGGGGCCTTGCTCTTCTGAAGGTATTTCCAGTTTCCATTACCTGCTTGATTACCTGCCTGCGAGCCTCAGGTCCCACACTGCAAGCTGGCCACAGCCCCACAGATCCACAACCACAGAAGGCATCACCTTCTGTCCAGCTGCCTGCTGTCTAGTTCCCATGCTGTGGTGGCAGCCAGCAGTTTCTCTCAGTACCTGCCTCCGCAGAAGCGCTTCCTGTCAGTACCAGGTATTACACTCCACCTCAGCATCTAAATAAGCAGGATCACTGGGACATGGGGGGTCAGGGGGTGTGCATGTTTGTTCCTATTTCATTTGGCTTAACCTCTAAGATGCAACAGGACATCTCTCACTTAAGTTCTTAGTAAGAATATTTTTAAAACTTATTATCTTATTTGCGTCAATATTTACTCTCTGCATTCGAATCCTTAATTAAGGCTAAGTGCCTATTAGATAAAAAAATAATAATCCCATATTGTTTAAGCTACTTTTAGATGGCTATTATGCTACTTGCTGCCACAGGCATTCTATAATAACATATACATTGTCTTTTCTGCATAGAAACAGCAGCCACTTCCTCTTAGATCCTCTGCCTCCTTGTGCAAGGGGTGGTAGAGTCTCGTGAGGGTGGCGGGAAGCCCAGGCAGGGAGGCAGGACACCTGAGGTCTAACATTCTCTGTAGCACAGTGTCAGACCTTTTCATATTGAAACAATCAAATAAATAAGCTAACAAATGAGTAACTGAAAGAGACAAAAATATACCTGAGTCACGGTAGGCAGTTTATCTAAACTCTCAGGGCTTCAGTTTCCCTAAATGTTAACTTGGAGGGTCACACCAGTTTCGTATTTTCCTCATTTCAATCATTTGCTTCCTCCCGTCTTGATTTTTGCCATATATTCATGTCATCTGAAGGACACTAAGTATTTTATATTTAAACTGATTCCCTTTTTCCAACAAGTTCATTTCATAAGGTAGCTTTATATCACTACATGAAAAATCAGAATCACTTGCAACATAAAGGGACAACTGTCAAAACAAATGCAATGTAAACAGAACAATGTGATTCTATCCTGGCTAGATCTTGTTTTTTTTTTCTCTTTTTCTTTTTCTTTTTTTTTTTTTTTTTTTTTTTTTTTTTTTTTTTTTTTTTTTTTTGAGATGGAGTTTTGCTCTTGTTGCCCAGGTTGGAGTGAAATGGTATGATCTTGGCTCATCGCGTCAATCGCTTGAAGCCTCCACCTCCCGGGTTCAAGCGATTCTCCTGCCTCAGCCTCACGAGTAGCTGGGATTACAGGCATGTGCCACCACGCCCGGCTAGTTTTGTATTTTCAGTAGAGACAGGGTTTCTCCATGTTGATCAGGCTGGTCTCGAACTCCAGACCTCAGGCTAGATCCTGTTTTATGGGAAGGA
Organism: Homo sapiens; assembly: GCF_000001405.40. NCBI lineage: Eukaryota > Metazoa > Chordata > Mammalia > Primates > Hominidae > Homo > Homo sapiens. Next base: position 118,395,016 of record NC_000002.12, read on the forward strand.
ATGGGCCATCAGCAAGCCCTAAGACCTCATCCTGGATGAGATCAGAAGTTTGAAAAAAAGGGACTTTCTCATCATGCAATACCATTTGATTCCATGCCTTGCCTATGTACCATCTAAAATCACCCTGAAAAGCCTTGGACGGGCTGTCCCACGCCTGAGACACAACCGTCCTATCATTCCCTAGACCTGGTTGGTAAGGAGGAAGGGAAGTAAACACCTGATGAAGAGGGGGATATGTAGAAATATCTTCCTTTGGCTAAGAAAATAATGGAAGACAAACACCTTGCTTGGCTGCCCGTCCCTGCTTTCCTACTTCCCTTCCACACTCATCACTTGAATGGGATCAGCAGAGCAAAGCTGTCCACGATAGTGAGAATGAAGAAAGAGAGGGGCTATGGCCCAGGAGTACAATGTTTACCAGCCTTGCCTGCCCCGGAAGTGGTCCTAGGCCCTCACTCATTCCCCACCCCAGACCCCATCGGGGTCCCAACCCAGAGGTCCTCACAGCATCCAGGCTGCCTTTTGTAGCCTCATCCTGTTCCCAAATCAAAACCAGACCCTTTAGGTCTTTGTATTTTGCTGGATTTTGGCTGGATGGTGGGATCTTTGGGGGGTACTGTTCCCAATCTGTATGGAAGTGAGTTGTGAATGATGAATACCATAGATCATCTTGTTTGTGAATGGCACCTTAATATGCTGAAAGTAATATGAAGCCATATATCTTTCCAGGTGAATACATCCAGGTCCTGAAACAGCTTAATAGACTCTCTCACTCCCTCTAGTTATTGCAGAGGGTCATCAAATGGAGTTCACCAAAAGACGTTATGGCTTTTGACCAAAACTAAGATTTCCTGTCTCTGATTTCCTGTAATTTCAAAGTTATTTCCCTTTTGTCCTGTAAATTGCAAACCCAAATCCCCAAAGCGAAAGAGACCCTATACTTTTGCTTCTTCCATAGCCCTATAATAAATAATTAATATTTTATGGTTTTATGAGGTTGCTTTGCCCTCAGCAATGATTGCAAAACATTGCACTTTCTGTGGATGCTCCTTTAGTTCTCAAGAAAGCCAGCATTGTTAGCCACTTTAACTTTTAATTAAGATGTTCAGAAAAAAATGAAAAGCCTGTAAAAAGTTATGGGCAGCTTATGACTAATATTTCTTGATGCAGGGACTTATTTTTACCTCCATATTAACTCTGAGACATCTATCTGCTTCTTTAACCCATGATTGCCCTCTGATTGCCAGCCAGTCTATGGGTGCCTTCCAGTTGCTTAATTCATCTTAGGAAATCATGTCTGCTTTATTCTTAAAAAAGTGTATTCTTGCATCTGGCCCCCTTCAAGTCATAGAATATATGAGAGAATGTTTTTTTCCTTTTCTCTTGTTTCAGTCATTCTCTAAGTCGGTGTTTTCAAGACGTCTTATGCAGAAAACTAGTCCTAGGATGTTGCAAGGTCAAAATACCTTGAAAAGTGGTACATACTGTATCCTCTTCTTGGAGATTCCCAAGTGTTTTTTGTTTGTTTGTTTGTTTTGTTTTGTTTTGTTTTAAGACTCTGTCACCCAGGCTGGGCTGCTGTGGTGTGATCATGGCTCACTGCAGCCTCAAACTCTTGGGCTCAAGTGATCCTCCCACCTCAGCTGCCCAAGTAGTTGGGATTACAGGCATGAGCCAATGCACCTGGCTGATTCCCAAGCTTTTTAAGATTTTTTCTAAAAAAAAATCTGTGAGTACATAGTAGGTGTATATATTTATGGGGTACATGAGATGTTTTGATACAGACATGCAATGTGAAATAAGCATATCATGAAGAATAGGATATCCATCCCCTTGAGCATTTATCCATTGAGTTGCAACCAATCCAATTACACTCTAAGTTATTTTAAGATGTACAGTTAAGTTATTATTGACTGCAATCTCTCTGTTGTGCATCAGATAGTAGGTCTTATTCCTTCTTTCTAACTAATTTTTGTACCCATTAACCATTTCCACCTCCTCCCAATCCCCCCCACTACCCTTCCCAGCCACTGGTAACCATCCTTCTACTCTCTAGGTCCATGAGTTCAATTGCTTAGATTTTTAGATCCCACAAGTAAGTAAGAATATGCAATGTTTGTCTTTCTGTCTTTGGCTTATTTCACTTAACAGAGTGCTCTCCAGTTCCATGCATGTGGTTGTAAATGACTGGGTCTCATTCTTTCTTTATGGTTGAATAGTACTCCATTGTGTATATGTACCACATTTTCTTTATCCACTAATCTGTTGATAGACACTTAGGTTGTGATATGGTTTGGCTGTGTCCTCAACCAAGTCTCATCTTGAATTCTCATATGTTGTGGGACGACCTGGTACAAGGTAAATGAATCATGGGGGCAGGTCTTCCCCATTCTGTTCTCATGATAGTGAATAAGACTCATGAGATCTGACGGTTATAAAAAGAGGAGTCTCCCTGCACAAGCACTCCTCTCCTTGCCTGATGCCCTCCACATAAGTTGTGACTTTCTCTTCCTTGCCTTCAGTCATGATTGTGAGGCTTCCACAGCCCTATGGAACTGTAAATCCAATTAAACCTCTTTCTTTTGTAAATTGCCCAGTCTTGGGTATGTCTTTATCAGCAGGGTGAAAAAGGACTAATACAGTAAATTGGTAACAGTAGAGTGGGGCATTGCTGAAAAGATACCTGAATATGTCAAAGCGACTTTGAAATTGGGTAATAGGCAGAGGTTGGAACAGTTTGGAGAGCTCAGAAGAAGACAGAAAAATGTGGGAAAGTCTGGTACTTCCTAGAGAATTGTTAAATTGCTTTGACCAAAAGCCTGACAGCAATATGCACAATTAGGTCCAGGCTGAGGTGGTCTCAGATGGAGATGAGGAACTTGTTAGGAACTAGAACAAAAGTGACTTTTATTATGTTTTAGCAAAGAGAGTGGTGGCATTTTGCCCCTGCCCTACAGATTTGTGGAACTTTGAACTTGAGAGACACGATTTAGGGTATCTGGCAGAAGAAATTTCTAAGGAGCCAGCCTTCAAGATGTGACTTGGGTGCTGTTAAAGGCATTCAGTTTTATAAGGGAAGCAGAGCATCAAAGTTCAGAAAATTTGCAGCCTGACAGTGTGATAGAAAAGAAACACTCATTTTCTGAGGTGAAATTCAAGCCTGCTGTAGAAATTTGCATAAGTAGTGAGGAGTCCAATGTTAATCCCCAAGACAATAGGGAAAATAACTCCAGGGCATGTCAGAGGTCTTCATGGCAGATGGCAGCCCCTCTCATCACAGGCCCGGAGGCCTAGAAGTAGTTTTGTGGGCCAGGCCAAGGGTTCCTGTGCTGTGTGCAGCCTGGGGACTCGGTGCCCTGCATCCCAGCCACTCCAGCCATGGCTAAAAGGGGCCAACAAAGAGCTCAGGCCATGCCTTCAGAGGCTGCAAGCCTCAAGCCTTGGCAGCTTCCATATGGTATTGAGCCTACCAGTGCACAGAAGTCAAGAATTGAGATTTAGGAACTTTTGCCTGGATTCAGAGGATGTATGGAAACGCCTGGATGCCCAGGCAGAAGTTTGCTTCAGGGGTGGGGATCTCATGGAGAGCCTCTGTTAGGGCAGTATAGAAGGGAAATGTGGGGTCAGAGCCTCCAGACAGAGTCCCTACTGGGGCATTGCCTAGTGAAGCTGTGAGAAGAGGGCCACTGTCCTCCAGCTCCAGAATGGTGGATCCACTGACAGCTTTCACCATGCACATGGAAAAGCCACAGACACTCAACACCAGCCCATGAAAGCAGCCAGGAGTAGGGCTATACTCTGCAAAGCCACAGGGGTGGAACTGCCTAAGACCACAGGAACCCACCTTGCCTCAGTGTGACCTGGATGTGAGACCTGGAGTCAAAAGAGATCATTTTGGACCTTTAAGATTTGACTGACCTGCTGGATTTAGGACTTGCATGGGGCCTATAGTCCCTTTCTTTTGGCCAATTCCTCCCATTTGGAATGAGTATTTACACAATGCCTGTACCCCCCATTGTATCTAGGAAGAAACTAACTTGCTTTTGATTTTACAGGTTCATAGGCAGGAGGGACTTGCCTTGTCTCAGATGAGACTTTGGACTGTGGACTTTTGAGTTAATGCTGAAATGAGTTAAAACTTTGGGGGACTGCTGGGAAGGCATGATTGGTTTTGAAATGTGATGACATGAGATTTGGGAGGGGTCAGGGGCAGAATGATATGGTTTGGTTCTATGTCTCCTGTGTCCCCATCCAAATATCATCTTGAATTGTACTCCCATAGTTCCCATGTAATAAGGGAGGGACCCAGAGGGAGAGAATTGACTCATGGGGGCAGTTTCCCCCGTATTGTTCTTGTAGTAGTGAATAAGTCTCATGAGATCTGGTGGTTTGATAAGGAGAAACTGGTTTTGCTTGGCTCTCATTCTTTCTCTTGCCACCACCATGTGAGATGTGCCTTTCACCTTCCACCATGATTGTGAGGCCTGCCCAGCCGTGTGGAACTGTAAGTCCAATAAACCTCTTTCTTTTGTAAATTGCCCAGTCTTGGGTATGTCTTTATCAGCAGCATGAAAATGGACTAATACAGTTTGCTTCCAAATCTTAGCTACCATAAACAGTGCTGGAATAAACATAGGAGTGCAGATATCTCTTTGATATACTGATTTCCTTTATTTGGGGTATATACCAAGTAGTGGGATTGCTGGATCCTGCGGTAGCTCAATTTTTAGTTTTTTTGAAAAACCTTCAAACTGTTCTCCATAGTGATGGTACTAGTTTACATTTCCACCAACAGTATACAAGGGTTCCCTTTTGTCCACATTCTTGCAAGCATTGGTTATTGCCTGATTTTTGGATAAAAGCCATTTTAACTGGGGTGAGATGATATGTCATTGTAGTTTTTATTTTCATTTTTCTGATGATCAACAATGTTGAGCACATTTTCATGTGCCTGTTTGCAATTTGTAGGTCTTCTTTTGAGAAATGTGTATTCAAACTTTTTGCCCATCTTTTGACTGGATTATTATATTTTTCCTATAGAGTTGTTTGAGCTCCTTATGTATTCTGGTTATTAATCCCTTGTCAGATGGGTAGTTTGCAAATATTTTTCTCCCATTCTGTGGGTTGCCACTTCACTTTTTTCATTGTATTCTTTGCTGTGCAAAATGTTTTTTTAACTTGATGTGATCCTATTTGTCCATTTTTGCTTTGGTTTTCTGTGCTTGTGGGGTATTGTTCAAGAAATTTTTGCCTAGACCAATGTCCTGGAGATTTTCCCCAATGTTTTTTTATAGTAGTTTCATGGTTTAAGGTCTTAGATTTAAGTCTGTAACCCATTTTTATTTGATTTTTGTATATGGTGGGAGAGAGGGGTCTAGTTTCATTCTTCTGCATGTGGTTATCCAGTTTTCCCAGCACCATTTATTGAAGAGACTGTCTTTCCCCCAGTGCATGTTCATGGCACCTTTGTAAAAAATGAGTTCACTTTGGTGTGTGGATTTGTTTCTAGGTTCTCTATTCTGTTTCATTGGTCTATGCCTGTTTTTATGATAGTACCATGATGTTTTGGTTACTATAGCTCTGTAGTATAATTTGAATTCAGGTAATGTGATTCCTCTACTTTTCTTTTTTTGCTTAGGATAATCGTTTTCTATTCTGGGTTGTTTGTAGTTACATATACATTTCAGAATTGCTTTTTCTATTTCTGTGAAGAATATCATTGGTATTTTGATAGGGACTGCAGTCAATCTGTAGATTGCTTTGGGTAGTATGAACATTTTAACAACATTAATTCTTCAAATCCATGAACATGGAACTTTTTTTATTTTTTGGTGTCCTCTTCAATTTCTTTTATGTATTTTATAGTTTTCTTTGTAGATAACTTTTACTTCTTTGGTTAATGCCTAGGTATTTAATTTTATGTGTGGGTATTGTAAATGGGATTACTTTTCATGTTTTATTCTTTCACATTGTTAACTGTTGGCATATAGAAATGCTACTGATTTTTGTATGTTGATTTTGTATCCTGCAACTTCATTGAATTTATTTTTTAGTTCTAGTAGATTTTTGGTGTAATATTTAGGTCTTTCCAAATATAAGATCATATAATCTGTAAACAAGAATAATTTAACTTCTTCCTTTCCAATTTGGATACCCTTAATATCTTTCTGTTGTCTGATTGCTCTAGCTAGGACTTCCAGTACTATATCCCAGTACTGTAACAGTGGTGACAATGAGCATCCTTTGTTGTGTTCCAGACCTTAGAGGAAAGGCTTTCACTTCTTCCGCATTGAGTATGATACTAGCAGTGTGTCTGTCATATACGGCTTTTTATTATGTTGTGGTATGTTCCTTCTATCTCCAGTTTTTTGAGAGTTTTTATCATAAAGGGACATTAAATTTTATCAAATGCTTTTTCACCGTCAATTAATAATATGGTTTTTGTCCTTCATTCTGTTGATATGCTGTATCACATTGATTGATTTGTTGTATGTTGAGCCAGACTTGCATCCTGGGGATAAATCCCATTTGGTCATGATGAATGATCTTTCTAACGTATTGTCAAATTCAGTTTGCTAGTATTTTGTTGAGGATTTTTGCATCAATATGTATCACAGATATTGACCTACAGCTTTTCTTTTTATGTGTCTTCATTAGGTTTTGTTGGTATCAGGGTAATACTGGCCTCGTACAGTGAGTTTGGAAATATTCCCTACTCTGTTTTTTGGAATAGTTTGAGAAGGATTGGCGTCAGTTTTTCTTCAACTATTTGGTTGAATTCAGCAGTGAAACTATCAGCTCCTGTGCTTTCCTTTATTGGGAGACTTTTTATTTACAGCTTCAATCTCATTACTTCTTCTTACTTGTTAGGCTGTTCAGGTTTTGGATTTCCTCTTGTTTCAATCTTGGTAGGTTGTATGTATCTAGGAATTTGTCTATTTCCAATTTATTGGCATATAGTTGCTCATAGTGGCCACTGATGATCCTTTGAATTTCTGAAGTATCAGTTATATTGTCACCTTTTTCATTTTTGATTTTATTTATTTGGATCTTCTCTTTTTTTCTTAGTTATTCTTGCTAAAGATTTGTCAACTTCATTTAACTTTTCAAAAAACCAACTTTTGGTTTAATTGACCTTTTGTGTTTTTTATTTCAATTTCATTTATTTCTGCTCTGATCTTTATTATTTCTTTTCTTCTACTAATTTTGGGTTTGGTTTGCTCTTGCTTTTTCCAAGGTTTTTAAATGGTCTGAGAATCCTGGTATGTGAAGAAAATTGTTTAACATTGTGTAGCTATATTTTACTAAACTTTCTTACCACACTGCAGGGTATATTTGGCACATGTGTTCACTAGTTATTTCTAGAACTGAATTTAAATAGGGGACTTATAAAGGAGTGATATGGTTTGGCTCTGTGTCCCCATCCAAATCTCACGTCAAATTGTAATTCCCAGTGGTGGAGGAGGGACCTGCTGGAAGGTAATTGAATCATGGGGGCGGACTTCCCCCTTGCTGTCTCATGATAGAGTTCTTACAGGATCTAGTTTTTTAAAAGTGTGTGGCACCTCCCCCTCCTCTCTCCTGCTCTGGTCATGTGAAGGCTGTGCCTGCTTCCCCTATGCCTTCCACCATAATTGTAAGTTTCCTGAGGCCTTCCCTCACTGCCTGCAGAGCTGTGAGCCGATTAAACCTCTTTTCTTAATAAATCACCCAGTCTCAGGTATGTCTTTATAGCAGTCTAAGAAAGGACTAATACAGGGAGCGTGGTTTTAATACATGGCCTCCAATTCTGTGACACTCCTCCTTTCAAGAGTTAGGGTCTATGTCTGCTCTCCTTGAATCAGGGTGGGTTTATGACTACTTTAACTTATAGAGTCCTGCAGAAGTGCTCTGTGCCTGGATACACATGCCCACATAGCTTCTGCCACATTGCATTTGGAGTCCCAAGCCACCATGTAACCATGATGCCACTGGATGTCTAACTATCCAGAGACTACCAAAATCATGAGACCACATCCAGGTGTAGTGGTCAGCAGCTAAGCCCAGCCATCTCCTCCACTGCGTCAGCATGTAAGTGAAATCATCTTGGATCTTCCAGACCCAAATTATGCTCCAACTGAATACCACCACCAAAAGACCTCCATTGCTACCATGTAGAATAGATGGATCACTCAGCTGAGCCCTGCTTGAATTCCTGACTCACAAAATCAAAAGAAATAATAAAACAGTTGCTTGAACCTCTAAGTTTGGTGTTAGTTTTTTGCATAGGAATAGATATATCAGGGTAGGGGTGTTTAAATTATTATTTGTGGGTGAGAAACCTGAGTGTCTCCTCTGAGACATTCCAAAGCTAGAAGGACCAGGACCCACTAGCGAAAGCTTAGAGTCTGGGGATACCAACAGATCAGCACTTTGATTCAATTTGATAAACAAGTCATCAGTTTAGCATTAAGCAAAAAATGTGAACAGAGTGAGAACAGGTTGGAAACAAGAACGTTTTTGGACTGTTATACCTTACCTTTCCTGCCTGATATATGGATGTGCTAGGCTGAGACAGAGCCACTGCCTTGCTGCATGAACCTAAATCTTCTGATGTAGACATCAAGGAACCAACCACATTTTCCTACCACAAGGGGCTTGGTCTCTCTCTAAGATATAATCATGCATTGGATGGAACATGGAGAAGATTCTGATGTCTTTATGTCCATGGGGAGGAAATAAGTGATAGTGATAGTAAATTAATTTCTGGAAGGGTCAGATTAGCTATGACTGATCACCGGATATCATAAAACCCAAATTGCTTGATTCATTTCCTTTATGATTCTGCCCTCCACCTACACAGGACCATCCAATGGTACTCCAGTGAGTCAGTGGTTCCTTCCTTTATACCTGTCACTACTCTCAGTTTCTTTATCTAGGTTCTTCCCTCTGTTTATGTTACATCAAATAATGTATTAATCAGGAATGGACTGCTGCCTTGGCTGGCTCTGATACCTTCCTATTTATTGCGTTCCCAGACTGCTCTCCTAGTGAGCCTAGACACATACCACTTGATCCTGGAGTATGATATGGATGAAACCACTGGGGATGAGGGAGAAAATGTGCTATTCTCACACGGACCCCACAGACGCATATTGAAATGGCTGATGCTTATGTGCAAACACTCTCTTATCCAATTAGTCATTAGCACTTGATAATGACACCTCCTATGTATATTACTAATCCAACACATCCTCTCAATCACTGCTCTAGTTCCGACACTCATCATTCTCTTCTTATATAACATTTGCCTTCTGACTCATCTCCTTTCTTCCAGTTTCTCCCCAGCTGTTGTCTGAGGAGTTTTTCTAAAGCACAAATCTGACATATTGCTCTCCTGCATAAGATTCTTCTCACTGCATACAGGGCAAAGTCCAAATTTTATAATGTTACCATATTGGTCATAGTCCAGTGAAAAAGAAACTATTCTAGCTATTTTAAATAAGTGGAATTTAATAGAGGGAACTGGTTACATAGCTAATGAAAGATGATAAGGCAATGCGGACATTAACGAGGAGGAGGTGGGAGCTGCCATCATTGAGGTAGGGGCTCTATTAGGACCTTCAGCCACAAAAAAAGATGATGTAGCTGCTGCCAGAGAGGTCCCCTAAGGCAGAGCAATACCCTGGTTTCTGTCCTGCTTTCACCCTCCAGTTTTCTTCTTGAGTCTTCAATTGTTCAAACTTCCTAGGAAGCCAGGTAGCAAAGAATTTTACTCTGTAGTTCTCTGAGGAGCAGAGAAAGGATGGGAATGGAACTGAAAGCAAAGAGAAAAGTGACCAGCACAATGATGTATAAAGACCGTCAAGGTCTTAACTCTACTGATATCTCATTTCCATGTTTCACCATTCCTTCAACTTCTCCTTTCCCCCTAATGACACTGAACTACTCAGAACTCCCCAATTGTATCATTCTGTTTCGTAGTTTCATAGGTGAATTGGCACATGCTCTTCCTTTCATCTTTAATGTCCATCCCTCCATATGATTAGAGAACTTAAACTTACCTTTCAAAACCCAGCTCACTATCTTGTTTGTTAAAGCTTTCTTAGACCTCTCCAGAATAGAGCTGATCAGTCTTTCATGTGCTCCACTCCTGCATCCTGTTTCCTTATAATATTTATCATATTGAATTATAAGTAAAGCCGATAACTCTTATTTTTGCTTGTCTAACCTTTCTTTCTCTTATATTAAGAGGGCACCTGTTTTTCTTTTAGGAGCCTCTTCTAGTTTACATGGTGCTAGATAGGTTTTCAATCACATGGATTGATCTTGTTTTTGATATTGGCATGTGACCCAGGTTTAACAACCAGAGTACCTCATCTACAGCGATTGGGCTGTGATGTGTACATGAATAAATGATCTATCAGAGTTTTTAGAGACCGATAAGGATATTTGAGGGTGGAAGAGTAGTCTTTAACCATTAGTGCAATGCAAGCGAGAGCTTCTGGTGAGCATCTTTGCACCTCATGGGAAAAGCTCACCTGAGAATCAAGCCCAAATGGAGCAAAGCTGGACATTGTTTGGGCACCTAGATTTGAATGTGCTCGAAGGAGATTAACCCCTAAATCTCTCAGGCACATGAGCCAGCAAATAACCCCTCCCTTTTAAAATTAAAACATTTTTCATGTGCACGTAAGGCTTATTGTCTGTTACTGGAACTCAGAATTTGATGTATACCATAAGATCTACATTACTCATTGTGTTAGTTAAGTCTTCCATCTTTACTAATTTTTTTTATTTGTCTTGAACTGTGAAAAATATATTAAAGTTATCTATAAATAGTATATTTCTGTCTATTTATTTTTGTTTCTATAGTTTCTGTTTTATGCAAGTTGTTATTTCACTGGATGCATATATATTAATTATATCTTTTTTGTTTTTGCTCTTTTTTCTTCATTTTATTTATTAATTATATCTTTATTGTGAATTATATCAATTAGCATTATAAAATATAACTTAACAAAATGCTTCTTGACTTATTTATATCTTATTAAATCTTGATACATCTACTTTTTTTTGTATTTTCACTTTCCTGATATGTCTGCTCATTCTTTTGTTTTTAACCTTGCAAGAATATTTGTTTTAAATGAGTCTTTTGTATACAGCATAGGATTTGCTGTTAGTAAATTTGAAAATCTTTTTATTTTAGTAGATAAGCTAAACTCATTTACAATTGTTAATAAGAATGGTAAGTTTTTTTTCAGTGTTACCATATTTTTTATACATGTGTATGTATATGCATATTTTATACTATGTGGTCTATTTGTTTTCTTTCTCTCTTTCACATTTCTCTTCCTATTTGAAAAGCCTCATTTTTTATTGTTGTTTTACTCATTACATTTCAACAAATATCTTCATATAATATATGTAATTTCCTTTTATCAGATACTGTTTATTTGTTCTTATTATGAACAACATTGAAGCAAGCCAGTAACAGCTTATATCTTATTCTCTCTTTTTTCCTCACCCCAGCAATTTTTTTTTTTTTTGAGACAGGATCTCACTCTGTTGTCCAGGTTGTAGTGTAATGGCACTATCATAGCTCACTGCAGCCTCAAACTCCTGGGCTCAAGCAATCCTGACACCTCAGCTTCCCAAGTAGCTAGGACTACAGTTGTGCACCACCATGCCCTGCTAAGATTTTTGTGCGCATAGAAATGAGATCTCACTATATTGCCCAAATGGTCAAACTCCTGGCCTCAAGTGATCCTTCTGCCTCAGGCTCCCAAGGTGCTGGGATTACAGGCATGGACCACTGCACCCAGCCACCCTGGCAAATACTCTACTCCTACTTGACATCAACAAGAAAATTAGCAAGCTTATTTTACTTTATGTATGCTTCCCCCACCCCAAACATTTTTGATATTTGTGTTATATCTATATTGTTAGAGTAGATTGTAACAGTTACATAAATTATGCCACTTTTATCTTTATTATTCAATGGTTGTAACAGCCATGCTTATCATGAGTCCTCATGCCAATAATTTTTCCAATCATTTTTGGTTTTCTGAGAACAATTTTTTCCTAAATAATTACAGGTAATAACTATTCATGTGATTTATACTTGAAGATTGGTTTGTTTGGATATAAAATCTTCGGCTGCTCACATTCTATTTCCTAGATTATGTTAACAATTGTTGTTTTCCTGTTTTCTATTCTAAAATGTTGCTGTTGAAAAGACTGATGCCAATCTGATTTCCTTTTCCTTATAGAGCGACTGCAAGTTCCACTTTGTTCCAGTTTACATATTTTGTCCAGTAATAATTACTGGTGGTTCCCCATTTATTCTCACAAGTGTCCCAGCCTACCTAATAAATTACATGTCATCCTGCTTATAAGTGACAGCCTTTCTTCCTGCCTGCCTGGAAGTTTTTTCCTCATAATTTCATAGATTTAGTGGAATAGATTTTGGTATAGACTCTCCTGGATTAATTTTCCCATGTACAAATGTGATCTTTTAATATGTAAATTCAAGATGATTTTGTTTCAGGAAATTTTTCTTAGATTATGGTTTTCAGTACCTGTTCTGTTTTACTGTTTTGAGTTTCTTCTTTAAGGATTACTATTATACATCTGTTGAATCTTCCTTGCCTTTAATTACTCTCAAATCCTTCTTTTAAAAATATTTTCCATCATGTTTATTTAACCATTTTTTCTTTCTTCCTAATCTTGTTGGTACTTTTTGTGGTGTTTATTTTACTTTGCGCTCCTTCTGCTCTAGTGTTTATTTTTGAAAAGTAATTTTTTTAAATTTATAATTCTTCCTTAAGCTTTTTCAGGCCTTTTTAAAAATATCTTCCTTCTGCTTTGCATATTTTTAAAAGTCTATGTATAAGGTTTTGTTAGACAGAGAAAAGTAACATTTCCATGACTGATTTACCTCCTCCTTCCATAGTTTCTGCCATTCCCTTAATTTCCTTTAGCTTAACCTACTGTTAGTTTATAGCTCTTCTCTGTTTGTGGCCATATTTTTCTGACATGTTTTCATTTCCTCTAAGGATGCTATTCAGTTTATCATTGTTATCTTCTTTCATTTTTAAAATGTTTTTGTATGGTTTCTGAATTCAACTCATTCTTTTTGTTCCTGTTTAAGTGAAGTGGGTTTTCTGTGCTTTGGAAAGTTTTCTGTACAGGGGTTAAAGAAGGATAGCTTTCCTACCTTCATGGCTCTTAGCCACCCTAATCAAAATATGACCTGTTAGTAAAACTACCTCTCCAGTATCTTCTAAGTTCTGCTTCTTCTTCTTCCCTCCTCAAGACCAGGAGAAGGATGAGGCAAGTGAAGAACCTAGGACACCAAATTGAAGGAGGCACTCACTCCAGAGCCATGCAGTGCTGACTACACTTGAATGATGTCAAGAATGAGGGCCTCCTTAACTTTTGTGCTCTAGTGCTTTGCTTGCTCACCTGATATCTGAATTCTGGCCCCTCCCTAGCTGGTATCTCAGTTTTCTCTGCTATTTATCCCAGTTACATTGTGCTCTATTCCCAGAAATCTCTCCTCAGTCCTATTTCCAAATCTCTCCTTTGCCTTTTCTCTGAGTGCATAAGTGCCCAGGCTGATTTGCAACATCTTACCTTTCCATAACCCTCCTGACTGAGCCACAAATTGAAGTCTGCAAATTCCCCTCCCAACCACTCTGATTACTGTCCTCAGAGAGGTCAGGTCAGCTCTCCTTTCTAGTGGAAAACCCCTTCTTTTGGAGGAATAAACCTAAGTCTTTCCTGGGTTCCTTGGCCCTTAAGACCATCGGAAATTTGTCTGCCCTTTGCTTGCTTCTGCACAGCTACTGTTCCCGAAAGACTCTTGCTGCTAACCATGCTCATTTGTATTCTGGGCTTTGTGCTGTCGTTCTGTCACAACATTCTGTTGCTGGTGTTCTTCTGAGATTTTTCTTTTGCTATACTAATTGTTCTTTTTTTTTTTTGAGGGGACTGTGTTCTTATTTTTTTTTGAGGGGACATGCTGCTGCTACCATTTTGCTTCTTCTAATTCTGTAAGGTATTTTAAATTGAAGCCAAAGAAAGCCAACCAATCCTGAAATTGTTTACCTAGTTTTGTGTCTTAAAAAAAAAAAAAAAAACAAAATAATGAGTTTCTTAAAGATGGTGTTCTTATAGTCTGGCACTTAGTAGGAGATTAATAAGTGTGTGTTGAGCCAAGGAAAGAAGAAAGAATGAATGAGTGAGTGAGTGAATAAATACCAGATGGCAATAAAGAAATAAGGGGGAGGTTCCAAGATAGCTGAATAGGAACAGCTCCCGTCTGCAGCTCCCAGCATGATCGGCGCAGAAGATGGGTAATTTCTGCATTTCCAACTGAAGTGCTTGATTGATCTCACTGGGACTGGTTGGATAGTGGATGCAGTCCACAGAGGGTGAGCTGAAGCATGGCAGGGTGTTGCCTCACCCAGGAAACACAAGGGGTGGGGGTATTTCCCTTTCCTACCCAAGGGAAGCCATGACAGACTACCTGGAAAAATGGGACACTCCCCGCCCAAATACTGCACTTTTCCCAAGGTCTTAGAAACCAGCAGACAAGGTGATTCTCTCCCATGCCTGGCTGGGTGGGTTCCACACCCATGGAGCCTTGCTCACTGCTAGCGCAGCAGTGTGAGATCGATGTGCAAGGTGCCAGACTGGCTGGGGGAGGGGCGTTTTCCATTGGTGAGGCTTAAGTAGGTAAATAAAGGGGCCAAGAAGCTTGAACTGGGCGGAGCCCACTGCAGTTCAACAAGGCCTACTGCCTCTAGACTCCACCTCTGTGGGCAGGGCATACCTGAACAAAAGGCAGCAGACAGGCTGGGCGCGGTGGCTCATGCCTGTAATCCCAGCGTGATGGGAGGCTGAGTCAGGCAGATCATGAGGTTAGGAGATCGAGACCATCCTGCCTAACAGGGTGAAACCTTGTCTGTACTAAAAATACAAAAAAATACAAAAAAAAAAAAAAAATACAGGCAAGTGCCTGTAGTCCCAGCTACTCCAGAGGCTGAGAGGCAGGAGAATGGCGTGAACCCGGGAGGCGGAGCTTGCAGTGAGCCGAGATCCTGCCACTGCACTCCAGCCTGGGCAACAGAGCAAGACTCCATCTCAAAAAAAAAAAAAAAAAGGCAGCAGACAACTTCTGCAGACTTAAACGTCCCTGTCTGACAGCTCTGAAGAGAGCAGTGGTTCTCCCAGCATGGCGTTTGAGCTCTGAGAATGGACAGACTGCCTCCTCAAGTGGGTCCCTGACCCCTGTGTAGCCTAATTGGGAGACACCTCCCAGTAGGGGCCGACAGACACCTCATATAGGCAGCTGCCCCTCTGGGATGAAGCTTCCAGAGGAAGGATCAGGCAGCAATATTTGCTGTTCTGCAGCCTCTGCTGGTGATACCCAGGTAAAGAGGGTCTGGAGTGGAACTCCAGCAAACTCCAACAGACCTGCAGCTGAGGGACCTGACTGTTAGAAGGAAAACTAACAAACAGAAAGGAATAGCATCAACATCAACAAAAAGGTCATCTACACCAAAACCCCATCTGTAGGTCACCAACATCAAAGACCAAAGGTAGATAAAACCACGAAGATGGGGAGAAACCAGAGCAGAAAAGCTGAAAATTCTAAAAATCAGAGTGCCTCTTCTCCAAAGGATTGCAGCTCCTCTCCAGCAATGGAACAAAGCTGGATGGAGAATGACTTTGACAAGTTGACAGAAGTAGGCTTCAGAAGGTTGGTAATAACAAACTTCTCTAAGCTAAAGGAGGATGTTCGAACCCGTTGCAAGGAAGCTAAAAACCTTGAAAAAAGATTAGACGAATGGCTAACTAGAATAAACAGTGTAGAGAAGACCTTGAGTGACCTGATGGAGCTGAAAATCATGGCATGAGAACTTCGTGACACATACACAAGCTTCAATAGCTGATTCAATCAAGTGGAAGAAAGGGTAACAGTGACTGAAGATCAAATTAATGAAATAAAGTGAGAAGACAAGGTTAGACAAAAAAGAGTAAAAATAAATGAACAAAGCCTCCAAGAAATGTGGGACTATGTGAAAAGACCAAATCTACGTTTGATTGGTTTACCTGAAAGTGATGGGGAGAATGGAACCAAGTTGGAAAACACTCTGCAGGATATTATCCAGGAGAACTTCCCCAACCTAGCAAGGCAGGCCGACATTCAAATTCAGGAAATACAGAGAACACCACAAAGATACTCCTTGAGAAAAGCAATCCCAAGACACATAATTGTCAGATTCACCAAGGTTGAAATCAAGGAAATAGTGTTAAGGGCAGCCAGAGAGAAAGGTCGAGTTACCCACAATGGGAAGCCCATCAGACTAACAGCAGATCTCTAGGCAGAAACCCTACAAGCCAGAAGACAGTGGGGGCCAATATTCAACATCTTAAGAAAAGAATTTTCAA
Source organism: Homo sapiens (assembly GCF_000001405.40). Lineage (NCBI taxonomy): Eukaryota > Metazoa > Chordata > Mammalia > Primates > Hominidae > Homo > Homo sapiens. The sequence continues at coordinate 118,411,456 of NC_000002.12, forward strand.
CCCAGAATTTCATATCCAGGCAAACTAAACTTCATAAGTGGAGGAGAAATAAAATCCTTTATAGACAAGCAAATGCTGAGAGATTTTGTCACTACCAGGCCTGCCTTACCTAAGCTCCTGAAAGAAGCACTAAACATGGAAAGAAACAATCGGTACCAGCCACTGCAAAAACATGCCAAATTGTAAAGACCATTGATGCTACGAAGAAACTGCATCAATTAACGGGCAAAAAACCAGCGAACATCATAATGACAGGATCAAATTCAGACATAACAATATTAATGTCAATGAGCTAAATGCCCCAATTAAAAGACACAGACTGGCAAATTGGATAAAGAGTCAAGACCCATCAGAGTGCTGTATTCAGGAGACCCATCTCACTTGCAAAGATACACATAGGCTCAAAATAAAGGGATGGAGGAAGATTTACTAAGCAAATGGAAAGCAAAAAAAAGCAGGGGTTGCAATCCTAGTCTTCGATAAAACAGACTTTAAATGAACAAAGATCAAAAGAGACAAAGAAGGCCATTACATAACAGTAAAGCGGTCAATTCACCAAGAAGAGCTAACTATGCTAAATATATATGCATCCAATACAGGAGCACCCAGATTCATAAAGCAAGTCCTTGGAGACCTACAAAGAGACTTAGACTCCCACACAATAATGATGGGAGACTTTAACACCCCACTGTCAATGTTAGACAGATCAAGACAGAAGGTTAACAAAGGATATCCAGGACCTGAACTCAGCTCTGCAACAAGCAGACCTAATAGACATCTACAGAACTCTCCACCCCAAATCAACAGAATATATATTCTTCTCAGCACCATATCTCACTTATCCTAAAATTGACCACATAATTGGAAGTAAAGCACTCCTCAGCAAATGTAAAAGAACAGAAATCACAAAAAACTGTCTCTCAGACCACAGTGCAATCAAATTAGAACTCAGAATTAAGAAACTCACTCAAAACTGCACAACTACATGGAAACTGAACAACTTGCTCCTGAATGACTAGTGGGTAAATAACGAAATTAAGGCAGAAATAAAGATGTTCTTTGAAACCAATGAGAACAAAGACACAATGTACCAGAATCTCTGGGACACATTCAAAGCAGTGTGTAGAGGGAAATTTATAGCATTAAATCCCCACAAGAGAAAGCAGGAAAGATCCAAAATTGACACCCTAACATCACAATTAAAAGAACTAGAGAAGCAAGAGCAAATACATTCAAAAGCTAGCAGAAGGCAAGAAATAACCAAGATCAGAGCAGAACTGAAAGAGATAGAGACACAAAAACCCTTCAAAAAATCAATGAATCCAGGAGCTGGTTTTTTGAAAATATCAACAAAATTGATAGACCACTAGCAAGACTAATAAAGAAGAAAAGAGAGAAGAATCAAATAGATGCAATAAAAAATGATAAAGAGGAAATCACCACCAATCCCAGAGAAATACAAACTACCATCAGAGAATATTATAAACACCTCTACACAAATAAACTAGAACATCTAGAAGAAATGAATAAATTCTAGACACATATACTCTCCCAAGACTAAACCAGGAAGAAGTTGAATCTCTGAATAGACAAATAGGCTCTGAAATTGAGGCAGTAATTAATAGCCTACCAACCAAAAAAAGTCCAGGACTAGATGCATTCACAGCTGAATTCTACCAAAGGTATAAAGAGGAGCTGGTACCATTCCTTCTGAAACTGCTCCAATCAATAGAAAAAGAGGGAATCCTCCCTAACTCATTTTTTGAGGCTAAAATCATCCTGATACCAAAGCCTGGCAGAGACACGACAAAAAAAGAGAATTTTAGACCAATATCCCTGATGAACATCGATGCGAAAATCCTCAATACAATACTGGCAAGCTGAATCCAGCAGCACATAAAAAAGCTTATCCACCATGATCAAGTGGGCTTCATCCCTGGGATGCAATGCTGGTTCAACATACGCAAATCAATAAATCTAATCCAGCATATAAACAGAATCAAAGACAAAAAGCAGATGATTATCTCGATAGCTGCAGAAAAGGCCTTTGACAAAATTCAACAGCCCTTCATGCTAAAAACTCTCAATAAATTAGGTATTGATGGGATGTATCTCAAAATAATAAGAGCTATTTATGACAAACCCACAGCCAATACCATACTGAATGGGCAAAAACTGGAAACATTCCCTTTGAAAACTGGCACAAGACAGGGATGCCCTCTCTCACCACTCCTATTCAACATAGTGTTGGAAGTTCTGGCCAGAGCAATCAGGCAGGAGAAAGAAATAAAGGCTATTCAATTAGGAAAAGAGGAAGTCAAATTGTCCCTGTCTATAGATGACACGATTGTATATTTAGAAAACCCCATTGTCTCATCCCTTAAGCTGGTAAGTAACTTCAGCAAAGTCTCCGGATACAAAATCAATGTGCAAAAATCACAAGCATTCCTATACACCATTAACAGACAAACAGAGAGCGAAATCATGAGTGAACTCCCATTCACAATTGCTTCAAAGAGAATAAAATACCTAGGAATCCAACTTACAAGGGATGTGAAGGACCTCTTCAAGGAGAACTACAAACCACTGCTCAACGAAATAAAAGAGGACACAAACAAATGGAAGAATATTCCATGCTCATGGATAGGAAGAATCAATATTGTGAAAATGGCCATACTGCCCAAAGTAATTTATAGATTCAATGCCATCCCCATCAAGCTACCAATGACTCTTCGCAGAATTGGAAAAAACTACTTTAAAGTTCATATGGATCCAAGAAAGAGCCCGCATTGCCAAGACAATCCTAAGCAAAAGGAACAAAGCTGGAGGCATCACACTACCTGACTTCAAAGTATACTACAAGCCTACAGTAACCAAAATAGCATGGTACTGGTACCAAAACAGAGATATAGACCAATGGAATGGAACAGAGGCCTCAGAAATAATGCCACACATCTACAACCATCTGATCTTTGACAACCCTGACAAAAACAAGAAATGGGGAAAAGATTCCCTATTTAATAAATGGTGCTCAGAAAACTGGCTAGCCATATGTAGAAAACTGAAACTAGATCCCTTCCTCACACCTTATACAAAAATTAATTCAAGATGGATTAAAGACTTAAATGTTAGACCTAAAACCATAAAAACCCTGGAAGAAAACCTAGACAATACCATTTAGGTCATAGGCATGGGCAAGGACTTCATGTCTAAAACACCAAAAGCAATGGCAACAAAAGCCAAAATTGACAAATGGCATCTAATTAAACCAATGAGCTTCTGCATGGCAAAAGAAACTACCATCAGAGTGAACAGGCAACCTACAGAATGGGAGAAAATTTTTGCAATCTACCCATCTGACAAAGGGCTAATATCCAGAATCTTTGAAGAACTCAAACAAATTTATAAGAAAAAAACAAAGAACCCCATCAAAAAGTGGGCAAAAGATATGAACAGACACTTCTTAAAAGAAGACATCTGTGCAGCCAACAGACACATGAAAAAATGCTCATCATCACTGGCCATCAGAGAAATGCAAATCAAAACCACAATGAGATACCATCTCACACCAGTTAGAATGGCGGTCACTAAAAAGTCAGGAAACAACAGATGCTGGAGAGGATGTGGAGAAATAGGAATGCTTTTACACTGTTGGTGGGAGTGTAAATTGGCTCAACCATTGTGGAAGACAGTATGGCGATTCCTCAAGGGCCCAGAACTAGAATTACCATTTGACCCAGCAATCCCATTACTGGGTATATACCCAAAGGATTATAAATCATGCTACTATAAAGACACATGCACACATATGTTTATTGCAGCATTATTCACAATAGCAAAGACTTGGAACCAACCAAATGTCCACCAATGATAGACTGGATTAAGAAAACATGGCACATATACATCATGGAATACTATGCAGTCATGAAAAAGGATGAGTTCATGTCCTTTGGAGGGACATGGATGAAGCTGGAAACCATCATTCTCAGCAAACTATCACAAGGACAGAAAACCAAACACCACGTGTTCTCACTCATAGGTGGGAATTGAACAATGAGAACACTTGGACACAGGGCAGGGAACATCACACTCTGGGGCCTGTTGTGCTATAGGGGGCTGGGGAAGGGATAGCATTAGGAGAAATACCTAACGTAAATGATGAATTGACGGGTGCAGCAAACCAACATGGCACATGTACACCTATGTATCAAACCTGCACGTTGTGCATATGTACCCTAGAATTTAAAGTATAATAATAATAATAATAATAAAAGAAATATGGCTCAGAAATTTGTCAGGTAGAGAGAAGAAAATTACCTAGGATTAAACCACTAAATGCCCTTTTGTAATCTACTGCAGTGATAAGTTCTTGGCCTATCTGTGATTACCCTGAAGTTTCAGGGCTAGTCACATAGTCTCTTTTGCTTTTGGGTTCCAAGGCTTACAAGAACTGTGCAATCAGTTGCATGTTAGGTTTTACAGTAATTAGGAAGATCATTGGTTAAAATCTCGAATCTACAATTCCTAGCTATGTGGCCTTGAGCAAGTGACAATCTCTGACCCTGTTTCCTCACTGGTAAAGTGAATATGATATTGTATCTTAGGCCTGTCATAAGGGCTTAATGAATTAAAAGATAAAGCACATAGTGTAAGACAGTCACTTATGAAAGGTCATTTTCCCATTTCTCTGTCCTCTTTTCACTCACCTAAATACTTAGGCATGAGTTTTCCTTGAAGTCTATGAATAAGAACACTTTGCTGGACCAAGGAAAGCCACATTTGGGGTAGGTGGGATTTGGAGGAAGACGGGAGGTGAAGGGAATTTTAGGGTTTGTGCTGGTCACATTTGCCTTCTCTGTACTCCCACCTTCTCTTGTTAGGTTCTGATAGGGCCAGATTACCCTATTTGTCACAAGAGGAATGGGTGCCTAGGCTGCGCCTGTGGACAACCCTATTGGTCTGCAGGGTTGTGTGTGCCTCTATTACAGAATTCTAGGAACAACCCTTCAGAAAGAGCCTCAAAGCCTATTCTCACTTGCCACACTTTGTGGGTAGGGGAGGGAAGCTTCCCCTTTATAACACTTTTGTTCTCTGAATTTCATTTTGACTGATTTAGGCAATCCCTGCCTCATAGGGAAGTCTAGAGCACAGGTTTTATTTGTTTTTTGGGTTTTCCTGACCTCTGTTCCTTTCGAACAAGGCATCAAAGTATCCCTCCCCTTTTCTCCCTCTCCATCTGGGTTGTCTTGGTATGAGACAAAAAGGGGTGGCAAAATTCATTGTTGACTCCTTCTCCTTTCTGAGCAGCTTTGGCTTAGTTAATTTCTCATTAAACTATGGGGAGGAGCCTCTCGCCTGGTCCACAGCATCACCCGGCCTCACACTCAGGATTATACAAGTTCCCTGCTACTGTGGAACATGTTCAGGGTTTATCACCCTCCAAGCTCCTGTCTAAGCATTACCCCTCCCCTCTTGGTTTCTCCTGTCCTCTCATCAGCTATTCTGCATCCTTCCAGGCTTGCTAATTTCTGTCTCCTCTCTCCAGCTCCTGCGTGACCTAGATAAAAAAATAGACATATTTTTAAGCCACTCTCCTATCTGCAATTTGCATGTCCTATGTCAAATGCTTCAAGTTGCTCTGAGTTAATTTGCTTAGAGCATTGGAAAAGGTGCAGAGCCTGGATTCAAGTCCTGGCTCATCCCATAGCAGCAGGGAAGCATTTGTGAGATGCCATTTACTAAACCTGTCTTTGCAAGAAGTTGCATTACAACCATGCCTCAATGCTGGATCTGTAAATTGCAAAATCCCACATGACTTGAGCTAAATATACAACAGATAAAGTCACTTTTGCAGGAAGAACCCACTTTTAAGAAAAGAAGGGTAGAAGGTATAGCCAGTCATGTTAGCAACTACTGTAAAGTCCCTGGAATGGATGTCAGCAGAAACATCCTCACAAACCAAGGCTCCTCACCCCTCATGCCTGGCCCTGGCAAGCTCCCTCCCACCCCTTGTCCCACAGTGGGAATATCTGGGAAGGCTCTTTTCCTCTTGGACTCATTTTAAATTACATTCTGGCAGCAGTTAGATAAATTCTATCTGTCTTCTGAGCCCCAGGCCCTCCTGAGATCACTACTTATAATTGAAGAACGAACAGAAACCAAAACTTGATTCAGGCAGTTTGGGTTTATGTGCTTTGTCAATTTACCTATGTGAATCCCCAGAGGACAGAGGATAAAGTTACCTAGGAGTGAAAAATCAGACGGAGAGGTCCTTACAGTGAGTGTTGTGCCTTACGCTAAATAAAAATAACAGTTCACCTTTGACACAAGTGCTTTTTGTACACAAGGGGTCAAGTTAAATAACTTTGAATCCATGTCTAGCCATCACATAAGCATCCAGCTGAGTCACTGGTGCAGTAATGCTTTGTGCAGTGCTTCTTCATACTCAGCCAGAGAACAGTTAGTAAGACTGGTGTTAATGACTTCAGGGCTCTGAATGTGATTTCCACATGGGTCAGGCTCTGCCCTGGCTACAAATTTTATGCAAGAATTAGTATTTCCCAAAGCTCCAGGGTTGGCTCTTGGTTTTCTTACTTTATGCTGTCTCCTTCTGAGAGTTTGTCTGCCTCATGACTTTAATTATTACTCCAGTTTGGAGAGCCTTCCATCGTTAGTCTGTCTCTGGAGCATGAGTTCTGAGGCCCAGGTCAAGTATCCAGCCTACACTTCCACTGTCTCCACTACCCAAGTACATAAGTGCCATTGCCATCAAAAGCTATGTTTCCCTCTGAACTTTCATAAGTGGCACCTTTAAAGAAAGAGGCCACTCTGACATTAAGAAGATCCATGAAATAAGTAGTCCTAGATATTCCAATGTTATTTACAGAAAAACAAAATTAACCCTTTTTACTTCAGTAAGTGACCCAGAAGTTAAGTACTTTTCATTCCTATAGCCTTTTGCAGCTTGGAAGTGAGTGGCTCCTACGTTAGATCTGTAATCATTTTTGCCTGTTTCATCTCCTATTTTAGACTGTATGAGCTTTTTCAGTGCATGGACTGTGTTGTGTATTTTTTATATGCTCTACAGAACATTAAAGAATGATTGCAATAGATGCTCAAAAACACTTGCTGAAAGAACAAATAAGAGAGTGAACAAGTGGACAAATGAGATATTCCCTAAAGGGAACCTCAGTTTTCCGTTCTCTGACCTTTAATGACTATAGTGAGTCTTGTTGTGTTTCAAAAGCATGCTTTCTCTGAAAATCTGTTTCTCATATTTTCTAAGAAGTCTATGTGTAGCTAGTAAGTGTCTCCTAATTCTGGTAGCTGCATTTAAAAGATGAGATGGTTTTGGCATTTGAATCTTGAAGGTTTAGAAAATCAAATCTATAAATACTAATGCCTTTTTTTCCTCATTCAAAGGATAGAAAAGTGGGAAAGTCCCCTGGAAAATCCACATTCCAGTAGAAGTCTTCAAGTTGGGGTAGGGTAAAAGTGCCTTACCATTATAAAGTTTGATACATATCATTGAACTTTGAGCTCCAACCTTGTGGGAACCATATTATGAAGTTAATCAGGAAATGTTGCAATTCTGCAAGGGAATCTTCTTGAGATCTGAAATTCATCTAGATCTCTAAGAATTCTGAATTCAAGGTTACAAGGTAAATTTTATTATTTTTTGCCCTTCAAAAGAAACGCAGACACTTCATGTGTGAAATAAAGAAACCAGAATTTTTAACAGAAAAAGAAATGATAAGATGCCCTAGTGCTGAGGTGAGACTTGGTGACTCCAACATCCTTCATCCTTTTCACCTCACAAATTCTGCATAGTGCGTGAGTTCATTGCCAAGATCCACTAGAGATTCCAGTCATAGAAAGAAACCAACTTTCTTTAGTCCCCAGTGATTAGAAGTACTATATCTATTCAAGTGATTGTATGTCATATCGTTTACATGCTATAACCACTCTAGTCAATCCCAGCACAGTTAAAATAAAATTCATACTCCTTGATGTGCGTTTTAAAGTCATACATCGTGTCCCTCACTGGCTTTTCCTAACTCATCTCTTGCCACTGTCTCCATCACTCTTCATGTTCCATCCAGAGTAGTTCTCTGTTGATTCTTGGCAAATACAAAGATCACACCTCACCTCACTCATGTACTTTTCACTTTCCGTTTACTGTGTTCCATATTCTCCCACATCATTGCAAAGCTGGTTAATTCTTATGTCTTATCTTAATACTTACTGGAAAGTGGCATCTCATAGTCACTGTCTGTCATTGCACTGTGCTTAATTTTTTCTTAAAGCTTTTTTCACTGATTAGAATTTATATATCATCATATGCCTTCTACTTGTTTATTTACTTTTCTATATGCTTATTGTCTGTCTTGCTCTACCAGAATATAAGTTCTTTAGTTCTTCAAAAGGATGGGCTTTGCCAGTCTTTTCTAGAAGAGAACTTGGCCCAGTGTATGTGTGTACTCTTAGAATGTAAGAATCCAGAAGAAAAAGTAGCTTCCAACCTGGCAATAAGAAAAAAACTGGATAATTTACAAAATCAAACTTTCCATGAACCCATTATAGATCTTCTGTCAACCAAATGAACTAAATTACAAAAACCCAAAAATTTCTTCAAGAGGAGTTGAGGCACACAAATATTTCTACCTTCATCAGAGAATGAGAGAGAGAGAAATGACCTCCATTAAAGCAGATGGAAATCAAACAGCTAAAAAATGTAATAAATTCTTCAAGGACAATGTGGGCTAGAGTGACAATTTAGAATAACTGAAAACCCTCAGACACGAGAGGCAATATTCACTCACAAGCAATATTTTTATGAGCCTTCACTGGGCGCTCCCAACAAAGATTGACCAGAGGACCTCCTTGCATGGTGCAGGAGTACAGGAAGTACTGTGAGGTGGGGAGACAGGTATGAAACACCATGCACTTCCCTGAACACTTTTCTCACTTGAAGCAAAGACTTAAGCCAATGGAGGAGGGGTAGAAATGTTCTCTTGCAGGGTTCAAGCAAAATCTGAAAAAAGAGTGGAAGAAAAGCTGTCTTCCACTGGTGGAGATGTAGAAAATGTTCTTTGTTCCAGGATCCTGTATGCATACAGAGCAGAGTAAGCTTTCACTTGGAAAGGGGCAGAAAATCATCTCTTGTCCAAAGCCCCCACAGATGCAATAAATAGTTTAACTGTCCTGGATGGCTACCCCTGAAGCCCAGATGTGCACAGCCTATATGAAACTAAGACTGGACCAGAAGAACGAAGAATCTTTCTGTGCCCACAATTAGCTTAGCACTGAGAAACAAACAACAGCAGTCTATTCCTGTGGAAGAGGGAAGAGCATGGTGCATATGTGCAGAGACTGCTAAAAGCTGAGGGTAATACAAGAACATTGAGAAAAATCTTTCCATACCCCAGATCCCATTGCAAGCGCATGTTAAAGGTAGCCCACTAAGGGAGAGACTTCAACTTTGTGGTCAGTTTGCAACAATGAAACACAAATTCAAATCAATTTCTATCTAGATTGACTCAACTTCCCTACTCAACCCCATTTCCCAACACCAATGGCCTGATACTAAAAGAATCATTATTATTTCCAGGCAAAAATATTTTTTGCTTCTGCATCTGCTGTCTTCTTACATGTAATGTCTGGAATGTAATAAAAATCAGGAGATTTACATACAAGCAAGGAAAAAAACAGAAAAAGCCAACACCATCCCATTGTCAAGAGACATGGATACACTTTGAAATAAAGCAAATGTTGGAACTATCAGACAGAGACTTTGAAATAACTATTATAATGTATGTCAAAGGATCTGGTGAAAAATATGAATGACATACGTGAACAAATGGGGATTACAGCAGAGAAGTGAAGAACTAAAGAAGGCATCAAATACAAAATATCAGAAATGAAGAATTTCTGTGATGGGCTTGGGAGAAGACAGAACACACATGAGGAAAGATATCTTGAAGATAAGCCAATATAAATTATTCAAATGGTAACAAAGAGGGAAAAGAAGAGGCAGACAAAAAACAAACAGAGCTTCCAAGAACTGTGGTCCAACATATGGGTCACTGGAGGCCCAGAAGGAAAAGATGGAGAAAACAAATGAAATAGGTATACATATATATACATATTTGAAGAGATATGTGCTGAGAGTTTCCTCCTAATGAAAGAAAACAAACCACAAATTTAAGCGGCTCAGAGAATCCCAAGCCTGTATGTGCACACAGACACACATTCACACACACACACACAGAATTCACACACTGATTATAATAAAACTGCTCAATATCAAAATCAAAATGAAAAATCTTCAAGGTATACAAAGATAACGACAACATTACAAATAGGGCAACAAATAATGACAGCAGACATGTAGTCGAAACTATACAAACCAGAAGACAATGGTGTGACATCTTTAAAGCCACACTGTCAACTCAGAATTTTATACTCAGTGAAAATATTTTTACAGAAAGAAAGAGAAATAAAGATTTTTGTTCAGACAAACAAAAGCTGAAAGAATTTACTGCCAACTAACCTTCACTACAAGAAATACTAAATGAGAGAAAATATGATACTAAAAAGAAATTTGGTTCTAGATAAAGAAATGAAATACAATGGAAATCATAAAAAATGAGGGAAAATACAAAAAGACATTTTTCTCTTATTTTTAATTGCTTTAAAAGATAATTGCAGATATATAAAATGATGTTTGTCATCATTACTTAATCAAATTACAATGAGACACCATTTCACAGCTACCAGGATGGCTAGAATCAAAAGGTTAGATAATAACATGTGTTGGACAGGATGCAGAAAAATCACAATATTTGTACACTGCTGGTGGGAATGTAAAATGGTACAGCTGCTCTGGCATACTGTCTAGCAGTTATTTACAAAATTAAGTATAGAATTACCATAAGACACAGCAATTTCATTTCTAGGTACATACTCAAGAGAAATAAACAAATTTGCCCACATAAAAACTTACACACAAACATTCATAATAGCATTATTCATAAAAGCCAAATGTTGGAAGCCAGTTCAAATGTCCAAAGACTAACAAATGAGTAAACAAATGTGGTATATCCACACAACAAAATATTATTCAGCAACAAAAGAAATAAAATACTGATACATACTATAACATGAATGAACTAGCATTATGAAGCCAGCATAAACTTACCAAGAATATTATAAGAAAGGAAAATCACTGTCCAATCAATCTCTTTCATAAACATACCCACAAAAATCCTCAACAAAATATTAACAAATCAAATCCAGAAAAACATAGAAAGATAATACAACATGAACAAATTGGGTTTATTCCAGAAATGCAATGTTTATTTAACATTAAAAAATTAATCTGTATAATTATCACATAAATGGAATAATGGAAAAAAATGTCATCTCAATAATTACAGGGAAATCTTTTGATCAAATTTAACATCGGTTCCCCTCAAAATTCTTCACAAACCAAAAGTAGGCAATAATTTCCCTAATTTAATTAACAGGTTTCTTACAAAAATCTTTCAGCTAACATCATAATTAATGCTAAAGTATTTAAAATTTTATAATTGAGAGACAAGACAAAGATACCTGCTATTACACTAACATCATAATTAATGCTACAATATTTAAAGTTTTATCATTGAGAGACAAAACAAAGATACCTGCTGTTATACTACTGTTAACATTGTCTTGGAAGTCTTACCCAGCGCAAGACAGCAAGAAAAAGAAATAAAAGTCCTTAGGACGGTGTTTTGGTTTCTCATGCCTTCTATAATAAATTACCACAAGCTGGGTGGCTTAAACAATAGGAATTTGTTCTCTTTACAGTTTTGGAGACTAGAAGTCCAAAATCTGGCAGAACTGTGTTCCAGAAAGAGACTAACACTAACACTACTCTTTACTTAAGCACTTTCTTCTCTTAGTATTCACCTTGAATTGCTCATCTCCAGCACTCTTCTCTGGTTAATTTTCCTTCAGCACAGGCTTCTTTATTTAGAGAGTTATCTTCACCCCAATCTTAACTCTCTAGTACTATAATCTTCTGGAGGAAAAGAAACAAATCTATTACCTCTTTATGTATAACAAATGCTAGCTGTCTTTGTAATTTCACTTACAGAGAAGAAGTCCTTTAGATAACCTTCTAGATGACCTGATCCAACTCCCATATCTTCTTGAAGAGCAAACTTTAACTCTGAGAGGTGACAAGACTTGCTAAAATTGCATATCTAGTTAATACAGGAACCAAACCTAAAGTCTAAATAAGAAAACTTCTAAGTTGACAGTTGGGAAATTCTAATGTCTCTGATTCCCTGTGAAAAATACAAAGAATATACTCTAATGCCACATACAAAAATAACCCTTGCTCCTTGTAGTTTTCTTGTAACACGATGATCTGTTTTATATTAAGACCTGGTAGGTCTCTACTGGATAGGTTTTCATTTACAGAGCCAGTCCTCCCAGGGCAGGGGTGCGGGCTCAGCCCGGCACTGGGACAGAGCAGGAGGCAGGAGAGGACATGTTCAGCGCCTCTGAGCCCTTCCTACTGTGTTCCATCTCAACCTTGAGCAGGGCAGACATGTTGACAAGTGCTCCTGGTGTCACTGGAGGAGCAAGAGGATGAGGAATGATTAGGTAGCAGCCACTACATAAGACAGGCTGGAGGAGAAGGAGACCCCAGCATCTGGCTAGAGTTGGTGGGCAAAGGTGAGGAAGTTCCATCTTGTGAGCCACTATCTAAATCTCTGAATTAATTTTTGCTTTGAAGTTCTACTGCTTATAGAGTTTATTTCAGCTCTGCTAGGCTGTGGGAAGGAGCATAGTTCCACATCCTTGAAACAAAATATTGACAGCAGTCTCCCTTCTTCCCAGAGGTCAGTGCTGTGGGGCCGGGGCAATCTGAGAGCTCTCCAGAGGGAAGGAGAATCTTGTGGAAGATAACAGAAGCAGCAACCTTAATGGCCTGCTGTCCCATCTGAGCCAGTGTGCCCACTCTATTGTATACTTGGATGATTTACGATTAATGTTATGAAGGAGATTACTTGTATCTTTACACCCTCAGTCCTCTGCTTCGTCTGGCATGTAAACCATTGCACTCTGGGGAATCTAACCTGCCTTCTTCACATCTCTGGCCACAGTTTCTCTCAGCAGAGAATAGATCTCCTTAATAAATGAGAGATTAGTTCATAATAGGCAATCTAGCTTCTCCCAAGCCAATTTTAAAACTCAGTCAAGAAGCGTTTCTGTCTCTCTCCTTAGGCTTCTTTCATGCCTTAGAGCTCTCTAGAACATGTACTTGTATCTGGTGGCTGTGAAATGAATTGCCAACAGTAAGGTGGGAGGTGAGGAGAGCTGGGCAGGTATCTTAGTACAAAGAGACTCAGACATGACAGACACCGGCATCAACAATGACATCTCAGTAGAACCAGAGATAGCATTCCACAGGTGGGAGATAAGCGTCTTTCAAGTAGGAAAGGGTTAATCTGCCTCGAATCACCTCAGAGAGTGGCTCCATTAATAGGAAATCACTGTTAGGATAGGAATTAACATCTGCATCCTAAAAGGCTCATCTGGCCTCTGCCTTGGTGAACAGGCCCATGTCAAGACAAGGTAGCCCTGGGAAGAAAGAGGCTTACTTTTCCCTCTCGCCCCTCCATAATGCCCTGTTGTGTCTGGGAAGAAGGAATGGGAGTGGAAAGTATGGTGAGAAAATTTCACCACATTAAACTATCTCAATCCCCCTTTTTATAGCTGTTGTGGAAAATAGAGGAAGCGTTTAAGCCCTTGGTTCATGTGTTTTAAAAACTGATTATAAAATAAGGGAAATGTGCATTTCATGCATGAAGCATTTTAAGACACTGGAATATGAATTTCACAAAAGCCCATGCTGGAATCAGAACACTGGTTGGCATTCATCACTTACTGTAAACCTTGACTTCAGTGCCTGGATTCCTGGGGAGCCTGTGTTTGCTTCGGCGGCTCCTGCCAGCTTTCACAGTTCATAGCCCTCCTATATCACAATTTCACGTTTGGGGGGAATGCGTCAGCTCAGGACATACTCCTATAGTCTAGATACACCCATGGTGCAATGGCTGAGGAATATGTTGAAGCCTAACTGGTTCCCTTTTTGTGGGTTCCTTTCTTTTTTCCTTTTGAAAAACTTTCAAATAAGATTTGTAAGACTTTTTAGACATTTACAAACAAAATCTGTGCTCATCAATTTTTTGAAAAAGTCTCTAGTAGAACAGAGTGGCCAGGAGCAATTTCCAGGACTAGCCTGCCTGGCTTTCCTTGTCATCTCCATTACTTACCAGCTGTGTGGCTCTGGACAAAGATTGCATGCTCCCTATGTCCCCAAAATCTCCATACATGGTAAGATGGGGAGCCTATCAGAACTAGAGTCATACAGTTATTTCAGGAAAGGAACATATTTCTGATGAGTACACACTGGCTGACTGCATTAAAAACTTAGGGACTCTCAGCATCTGTATGGACAACTGCCTTTATTTGTCCTTTTAAAAATAAAATGTATGCTACCTTTCCCATTACATGTTAAAACAACTTGGAAAACGCACAAAAGTGGAAAGGAAGAAAAGGCATTCTTACTGTTTCACTTGAAGGGAAAACTAGTTAACTTTTGATACGTTTCCTTCTAATCTTTCTCTGACAAAGATGAAATTTTAAAAAATCCCGCCCATAGTTGTGAATTAGCTACAAACACCCATCCAGAAGAAGATGCCTTGTTAACATCAGCATAGGGAGTGGTTCAAAACTAGACCCAATCTCATCTTGCTGCTTCACTGTCCAGAGTGGTCACTGTGGTTTTTCTTTGGTACACTTACTCTTGCTTCTCCAGCCAGAAGTCAGAGCTCCAGGGGGGAGAAATTACATGCTTTATTCTTTTTGTAGCTCTCTCTAGGCATATCATAGATTCTCCATAAATAGCTATAGCGCAAAACTGAAAAGCCGTGGGGTTACTTATTATTGTCAAGGTAGTAATATTGAAAACCTTAGAAGACTAGCTGGGACAGGACGAAAACCTTGTCCGCTGAAATAGCTGATATTTCTAGGAAGTGACAGTCACTGTTAATGACTTTGAGAAAGAATCCCAAGTACTCTAGTTTACCTTGTGAGGACAGTCTTTGGTCCTATTAGTGATGGCCTGAAGTCTTAAGGGCTGGTTTGAAGATTTTCACAAAGAAGCAGAGATAATTAATTGACTATTTTGGACTGAGAGTGGATGTCTGTTAATCTTTTTAATGACTCAGACTGGGGATGGTGGCAGATATTGGGATGATGGAGGAAGGGCCTGTCTACTCATCTGGCCCTGCCATGGGGTGGTGGTTGGCACCCTCTGATTGAGCTCACCCAGGATAGCCTCACGGGGTTGGCTTCCTACGGGAGATATCAGCAGTGTTTGTCTTTGAGGTACACCTTCTCATGCTCCTCTGGCTGGCAGCACCTACTCCCAGGTACCTAAGCCCTGTGAGGTACTTCTACTTTATCCAGAATTGGTTTTAAGAAACCAGCCTCTGTCCACCACTAACCTCTCAACAGGAATAAATAACTGTGCTTATTCCCCCAGGTGGATTAATTTTTTTAGTTTCCATCTGTGACTGTGAGAAATGGGGTTTCTGTCTCCCATGCCAACCAATAGGGAAGGGAGAAATTTGGGAAACCTTAGATACCTCTCACGTCCAGAGATTTGTGGTAGGAAAGGTCACCTCATTCTGCCTGGCTTTGCTTTGACTTTCCCAGTGATCCTGGAGCGCTCCTCCTCACCCTGGCTGCTGTGTTCTTCCTTAGAACTGCAAGCTGTAAGCTTGAAACGAGGAACACTTCACTCCATAAGCAGAGTGAGGCCTTGGGTGGGTGAGAAAACCAAGACCTACGACATCAGCCATCCCTGGAACTTCTGGGGTCTTTTTGTTCTGGTACTGCTGGTTATTTGTTTCCATAACACTTCAGAGAAACAAGACCTCCTTGCATGATTATTCTAACTTTCTCCCTAGTAATTTCAAGTTCAGGTTGACATTTGTGTAGCCTCTATTTATTGTTTATTCACTTTTATTTATCTGAAGTCCCTAGGATATCAATGCTGTGCATAGTTGCTACAAGAAAGGCTGTAGAGAGACTACATAGGGTGAGCCATGTTGATATGGGGCAGGGAGGTACTTGTTCCAGCCTGTCAGCTCTGATGCTGATGAGGTAACAAGAGCCATGATACTCTTTCTCCACTGAAAACTAGAAAGTTTGGCCCTTTTAGGAGAATTTCAGTGCCTAGAGCCACCTCAATCAGCATCAGAATTATCCTGAAATATCCAAAACTGTTGCTATGCAGTGGGACTCGATGTAGTTTTTTATGAGAGTCTGGTCACATGAAATAGTTACATCATATAATACAAATAATTATTATTTACATGTGCCCCATAAATATGTACAACTATTATGTATACATAAAAATTAAAATAAAACAATTTTAAAAGTTAAAAAATAATTGTTATAGATTAGGTTTACTGAGTTTACTATGCACTTCAGTGCTTTACATGTACGCATTAGTCAGTATAGTCAGGGGTATGCTTCAGTAACAAAATTACCTTGTATGTAAGTTTCCTTTTTGTCATAATAAATCACATCAAATTTCATGTCTTAAAATAATACAAATATATTATCTTACAGTTCTGTAGGTCTAAAGTCTGGCACAGGACTTACCAGACCCAAATTGAGGTTCTAGCAGGGTTGCATTCCTTTCTGGGGACCTAAGCGTGAATCTGTTTCCTCACTCCTCAGGTTATTGGTAAAAGTTAGTTCTTGTGGTTATAGGAACCAGGTTTCCATTTTTTGACTGACTATACACTGAGAACCCAGTCCCCAGTTTCCAGCAGCCACAACATTCCTTAGCTCACCATTCCCTTTATTTATCTTCAAAGCCCCCAATGGCATGTTGAGTCCTTCTCACATGGAATTTCTCTGATCTAGTTGAGAAAAGTTCACTGTTTTTAAGGACTTAATGTGATTCAACTGGACTCCTGCAGATGACCCACCTCAAAGCCCATACCCTAAATCACATGTACAAAGTTCCTTTGGCAATGTAAGGAAATGTATTTCTATGTTCTGGGGGATTAGGGTATAGACATCTCTGGAGGGCCATTATTCTGCCTGCCATACCCTGAAATCACAGTGGCTTAACACAATAAAAGTTTGTTTCTTGCTTTTGTAAGATCTAGTGGATATGGTGCAGGTTTTCTGTATTTTGTATGTCTCCCATTTAGGGCATCTGAACTTTTAGGTCAAATGCTACTGCTAAATCAAGTAAAATGGAGACTGTTGGATTGAAAGCATGGCCTTGAATAAGGTAGTGATGGTGGAGGGAGAGGATGGAGGCTTGATTGGGGCAGGCTCAAGAGATACTGGAAGGAGAGTAATTGAAGACAGTGACTATTGTCAGCTCTAACTATTTTTGCTTTACCAATCAGAAGTTTGAGAATTAGGAATTGTCTGTGCAAAGCCTAGATTAATTTTTGGAAAACCTGAAAAGTCAGTGAAGTTGTCCTGATGAGCCACTTTATTATAGTAAGAACTCTGGATTGGCACCCAAAGGATCTACATTCAGGCCAGTCAGTTACATCTCTGTGTAGGGACTTGACTATAAGCCCTCAGCGTTAAGTGCAGGTTATATGTTTAATCTGTAATATGTGTGTGGATATAAATATGTTTATATTTACATATTTATTATGTATTAAATATGAATTTAATACATATTTTGCAATTTATTTGAATTAAACAAACAAAACCCACAGTGTAGTAAGGGCTATAATAGAAGTATGAACAAGGACGACAGATACCTGAGAATAAATTAGTTTATGCTAGATTAGCACTCCACTATATGTGATATGTTCAGTTACTCCTCTCCTATAGGAGAATATGTCCATCATGAAGACATCTGGGAGAGTAGTACATGGTCATTATGGATGTTAGGCTTGAAATAGACACTTGTAGGCTTAAACCTCTACTCTGCCACATATAGTTATGTGATCATACCTGAGTTAATAAGCTTTCCCCAATTTTGACTTTCCCATCTATAAAATGGGTATGATAACAGCCCCATCCTGTAAGTGAGATAAATACAGAATTCATATAAAGCACCTAGAACAAGACTCAGTAAACATCAGGCATTGTGATAATTAACTTCATGTGAAGAAGATATAAGGTGGTGATGAAGGAGGTTATAGAAAACCTGTCTGCTTATGTGTAAGGGGTGGATGGCAGGGGTGTGAGTCTGGAGACTAAATGTCAGTTCCAAGTCTATTTTGAGTGCAAATGATAATGAGAAGGGCCTGAACCAAAGTAGTGGTTATGGAGGCAGTGATTTGAGAGCTGCTTAGGAGGTAGAATCAGAAGGACTTAGTGATCAGGAAGGAAAGAGGTGAGTTAAACTCCCAGGGTTCAAGTCTGGGGGACTGGATACCATCATCAATTAAGAGATGCTTTGTAAGAGAAGAAGATGAGCTCAGCTTTTGCTCTGTTCACTTCACTGCCTGGTGCTTGTGGGACCCATAGGTAGAAATAGCTATGGCCCGCTGGTTGTGTGGCTCTGAGCTTCTGTTCTCTCCATGTTGTTCAAAAATAATGCTTTGAGTGATAGCTGCACAGGAGTGGTGACAGAAACCATGCATGGGAGCAATGCCACTTAGCAATAGCATAGAATAGGGTTTCTCACTCTTGACACTATTGACATTTTGGATGGGGCAGTTTTTATTGCAGAAGATTTGCCTGTGCATTGCAGGATAGTTAACAACACCTCTGGCCTCTACCCACTAGATACCAGTAGCATTTCCCCTTCCAAGTTGTGACCACCAAAAAAATGTCTCCAGACATTGCAAAATGTCCCTGGGGGACATCCTCACCCCTGGTTGAAAACCTTTGAATAGAATAAGGGCAAGAGGCCAAAGGACTGAACCCTAGAGTCCACCAACATCTGAAAAGAAGTAAAAGAAGAGGAGTTAGTGCGAGCAACCAAGAGAGGAGAGTTCTGAAAAAGAAGTGTTTGGAAAAGGAGATCTCCCCTCTAGGGAGATTACATAAGATATGGACAGAAAAAATGATGGATTTGGGGATTAGAAAGTCCCTGGTGACCTCCTTCATAGAACTGGTAAGGGAAGGAGACTGAAGGTGGGGAAATAAATGTAATGCGTGGGAGCAGAGTTAGAGAAGGTAAACTCTCAATGTGCTTGCGTAAGAAAGGAAGGAGGAGAGTGGTAATTAAAGGGGTGGGGTGTCAGGAGAGTGCCTTCTAAGATATGAGACTTCTTGTATCTTGCGAGGTGAGCAAGATACAAGAAATCTTGTATCTTATTTCTTTTTGAAATATCACACTTGATCCATAGAACAGGCTCAATAAACATACATTGGTTGAATTAGAAACTGCTTTTGTTACCTTTCTTGGACTTTGGATATTTTAAAACAAATCCAGGAAGAGAGCAATGTACAACACAAAGGGATGAATCACAAATGGCAGAATTTCAGACATGAGTCAGAGATATTTTGGGTGTAGACCTGCCCTGTGTCCTATAACCCTACCACCTACTCACCTCACATTTCTCATATGAACTGATTGTTCTCTTGTTCCCTTTTTTTGTTGTTGTTGCCAACGAGACTTTGTTCCCAAATTCAAGCCAGCCATGGGTAATTATTTCTCTCTTGACTAATTGACGATGACAACTACTAAATTGGGTAGATAGGGGACAAATTTGGTGTCTTAGTTTTTCCCGAACTCTTCAGGCTGGGAGAGATAGGAATGTTCCCCTGGATTGAATTGAACAAAATTGTACCATCAATCTTTAGGATATCTGCACTAGCTAATTAGATGCAAACAGTGACACATCAAAAACAAAACCCAACAGAAAACCTCCTAACTTATAATGTTGTCCTAAGGGCGGCAGCAGAGTACAGAAAAGAGAGGGGGGAAGAATATCTACCAGCAAGACTTTTGAGTGATGAGTTGTTGGTTTACCTATAGCTTATGAACATAATCTCAGCCTAAAAAGATGAACGGGAAGAGATTCTGAGAAAAAAATATATTATTTGAAGCATGCAGAATTGTAGTTTTGTAAAGCCACAAGCAGAGGCAGTTTGTTTCATTTGGTTTTGACTATAGCTCACGTCTTCTCCCCCAAAAGAACACAAAACCAGAAATAGCTGTAAAAAATTGATAACCAACATTATTTATATCAAGAACGATCCCAGATCATAGCCACTAAGAAGCCAGGACTTACTGAGGGCTGACTCAGAGCTCTTCTGTACATCACCGAGCCCGGTGCCCTCCAACGAGCAGTTGCTTGGCTCCTGTTTATTGAACTAAAATGGAGTGATTTTTTGAATTGATGCAGTTTAAAGTAGGATTTTGAATGTCTCATTTGATCTTAAATGAAAACGCAGAAAATCAGCTGGGCATCAGATGATGCCATTGGCCTTGAAGGGAACAGCTCTCAGGTAAGCCCCAATTTTTGATGTATTGCTGAACAGCCAGCTTAATCAGAACGCCTTTCCTGAAGCCTGCATGATGAGCAGTGACATGCTAATTGAAATGTACTTTCCCCAGTGAACCACTTAACAATTTATATAAATATCAAAGCCCTGGGCTTTACTGTCAGTCTTTGTTTTGGAATGAGAAATTTATAAAAAACATATGTTTCCAACTGTCATTGACAGAGTGTTCTTAAAATATGGCCACTGAATCACATCCGACTTTTCTTTCTGCAGACGCCGAACCAGTCAGGGTACATTTCTCTGTTAATAACATCTCCTTTCAGAAGGCATCTACTCCACACCAGGGTTTCATTACTGAAATCTGGGGAACTGTTGATAATGGAGGTGGCTTTGAGGGAAAGAATGCCCAGGGAAAAAGAGCTAATATATTTGAAATTCTAATTCTGGCAGGTGAGAAAAGGGAAATAGTTGGGAGAGAAACCACTGATCTCATTGCTGGCTTGGCAATCTTAATGAATAATACTGTCTTCTCTGGTAACTGTTACAGAGAAGTCTACGTCCCTTTTACAGGTGAAAGTTCTGTGATTGTGAGTGAAGTCGCTCCTGAATCTGGAGACCTTCTTGTTTGAATTGGAATAGGGACAGTCAGTCTGCGATCATAAGTCTGGCTTGCAGAGGACTTGGGAGTTGAGCTAAAAGTGTGAAATCCTGCAATAACTGTATCAACTGGGCCAGACAGAGTGTCTTTTGTCTTCTTAGGCTATCTGACTTTCCCATAGGGTTTCTTTCCCCTAACAGGCCTCAAATGGTGTCATTTAATAAAAAATGCCACTCGGGACAAGGTAGCTTGGGCCAACCACCATACGTGGTGAATATTCTAGTAACTCTAGTCATATGGGAGAGCTGAACAGGCTTAGACAGCTTGGGAAAAATGAGTGCTGAGAGTGGCACCAGCAGAGCCACAGGGCTGGAAGGGTGGAGGAGGTAGGTCATGTGTCAGTCCCTGTCCTCCACAAGCCCCCTGCAATCCATCTCCAAAATGCCACAGACCCTGAAACCATGCAATCGTGTTGCATCTAGTGCTGCATATAAATCTTTTAATGGCACGCCTTAAGCCTTGTGACATTTAGGCTGACTTTTTGGGAGGAAAAAATAAAGGAAGGAAGGAAGGAAGAAACTTCTGCTGGCAGCCAAGCGATCTGCATTTCATTTCAATTTAGATAGTTTTGCTCTACATTTTTTTCCCAAGGTTTCCTGGATTTCAATAATATATCTTTCATCACCAGATCACCAAAACGTGGTTATGCAGAGCTGTCTCAGGGGCTTTGGCCTGGATATCAGGGATTACTTCATAACTGGGAACTTATGAATTGTATTGGGTTTACAAATGACTTGTTTTTCTCAGTTTAATGGTTAAACCATGAAACTGATAACTTATTCCTAGAAGGGTATGTGCATGATATGTTAATGGGTCTTTGAGAACAGGATTTAAAAATTCACACACACACACACACACACACACACACACACACACACACACACAGTCAACTAGCTTTAAATAAGACATTTGCTGAGTAGATGAGCTCTGACTGCCACAAATCGCAGGCATTAAATTTTCCATTTTAATGTTTTCTTGCATTTCTCTACCCTTGACCCACCTATTGCACTTACTCTAAGAGCTTTGGGGCTGAATTTTTTTAACCTCTTGGCAGCTGTCATTTGACCCTGTAGTACAAGCAAGGCATTGTATAGCCCAGTGGACTTCTAGCAGGAGCCAACAGTGGAGGAACCCTGATCTCCAGCATGCACTGACTTGCATTGTGGGAGTCACTGGCTGGCAATGGGTGCAGGGGGTGGTGGGGCGGGGAAGGGCAAGTGAACATGGCACATTTCTGAGCACATCTGTTTTATTTCATATCAGTGTGATGGCTGTGGCTGGGCAGGGGGTAGCAGGAGGCGGGTCGATAGGTGGGGGGTTTCTGCAAAAGACATGTTTGGATTTCCATTTTACAGGGATGAAAGAACCTGTGTTTGCCAAATTGCAAACCCAAAGAAATATCCTGGGCTGGAAGTGGGGAATTCAACTGCAGCCTTTGAGGTGAAGGTGATTTATGGCTGGCCAAAGGAAGAGTCCAGGTCCACAAAATGAGGGAGGTGGGAATTGAGGAAGCAGCATGAGAAAATGAAAGAAGGATTGGAATTTTTCTGACTCTCCAAAAGCTGTCTCAGTATAATGTTGTGAGGAGTTAGGTGTAAATCAATCAGAATCATGTGAATTAAACTTCCCTTCAAGTAGGGGAAGTACAGTCATGCCTACCATAATGACATTTTAGCCAATGCTGGACTACATATGCAATGGTGGCCCCATGGTATTTTTATTGTACCTTTTTTACGCTGAGATATGTTTAGATATACAAATACGTGCCATTTTGTTACAACTGCCTACAATATTCAGTATGGTAACATGCTGTACAGGTGTGTAGCTTAGGAGCCATAGGCTATACTATAGGTGTATAACAGGTGTATAGCCTAGGTGTACAGTAGGCTTCACAATCTAGGTTTGTGCAAGTGCACAGTGTGATGTTCCCACAAGAACAAAATTATCTTATGATGGATTTCTCCGAACATCACTGTCATTAAGTGAAGCATGACTGCAGTGGGATACAATGGATGTCAAACTGGGGGCTAGGGACAATTCTAATGTAGACCTCGTTTAAAAATATCTCTGCTGACTGACAAGGGAAAACTCTTCCTGTGATGGACTCTCTTCAGTTTTGGAGGGTGGTTACATTGAAAGCTGATAGTCAAAACCATCTTTATTCTTTCCAAGATGATAGCTGTTCTAGGGTTCACTTCTCTGCCTTCCACCTCCATCTCCAGACTACGAGGTCTCTTTCATTGTTCTGTTAGTACCGCCCCTTGGCAGCCAATGCTATTACCTCTTTAGTTTTGGTAGATTTTCAACAAAGGAACTTTAATGTTAGTGTTTGTTTTTTGCAAAGACATAGATTTTTTTTTTTTAAGTGTGATGTTTAAAGTTGTAGCATCTTTTCTTTGGTTTGACTTTGCAGGTCTGCCATATGCATCATTTGCATGACAATTTTGTTGATGCTAAAAAAAATTAGAAATTTCATTTGCAGAGTTTTTGATTCTGTTGACATGTTGGTAGGCCACTGGGGTGATTCTTGGGGTGAGGTACCCTTGAGGAGTGGTTGGAGGAGGGAGAGAGAGAAGACTGCAAAAGAGGGTCTGAAAAGATGAATGTGAGGCTAAGCATGGATGGCTGAAGCACTGGTTCCCCTTCGGCGGGCCGTAGTAGCCACAGCATTTGTGAAGTGCAGTGCTCTGAGCACTGTACTAAGCTCTTCAGATATGTCCCATCATTTAGCCCTGAGAGTAGCCATCAGGGGGTGTATGATGTCCATTTCACAGATGGGAAAACTGAAGGGGAGGTATGTAGATCATATGTTTGTGTTCAGAGAGCTGAACTAGGTGAGGCAAACAAGACACTTACCTCAAGTGTCCCAAAGCTTAGTAATCTAAATAGATCACATTTTAATGTAAGTCTTTAAAAAGTCCCTAACTGATGCAAAATAATTCACATGGAATATACGATTAAAATTTTAAATAAAGACTGGACCTGGACCCTGCACTTGCAAGACTCTCCTCCCAGAGCTGCCCTACTCAGGGCCCTGGTGCACACAGCTATGTGAATGAACAAAAGAATGACTCCCACAGTGCGTCCCTACCAAGTGGTTTGACTGCCCACACACCTGTGTCCCTTTTGCCCACACCTTGGAGAGACAAAGGCAGAAAGAGAGAGGGTTGAGCAGAGGGTGGGGCACAACTCATGTCAGAGGACAGGAAACCCACTGAACTGGGGTGACGGGAGAGGGGTGAGGTTTGAGGGACAGGGTGGGGTACAAGAAGGGCACCTGACTCAAAATTCCTAGAAAAGAAGGGAAGGGAGGTAAGGAATGTGAAGGGGAGGCTCAGGGAGTTATGTGTGTTTGTTGTGGTGATTGATCCAGGCATTCTAGCCTCACTGAAGGAGGCAGTCATGGTGGGCCTGGGGACAGGACAGGACAAAGGTCAACAATAGGCGAGCCTGCAGCTGCTGCCAGAGTTCAGTCGCTTGTGGGGTGGGGGGCAATGCAGGACTCCTGGGGTGGAGGGTGGGCTGAGAGATGGTGAAGAAACCAGGAGGGGTCAGGAAGGGCCTATGGGGCAGATGCATACAGCGACCCAATGAGGAAAGTAGTTGCCCTGAGCTAGGCGTGGTTCTAAATTCTTGTTTTTGTTTTTGTTTTTCTTTATTTTTTTTCTGAGACAAGGTCTTCCCTTGTCACCCAGGCTGCAGTGCAGTGGCTCCATCATAGCTCACTGCAGCCTTGATCTCCTGGGCTTAAGTGATCCTACCACCTCAGCCTCTGGAGTAGCTGGGACTACAAGAGTACACCACCACATGTGGCTAGTTTTAATTTTTTTATTTGTTAGTTTTTAATAGACTGGGTCTCCCTGTGTCCAGGACTGGTCTTGAACTCCTGGCCTCCCAAAGTGCTGGGACTACAGGCAAGAGCAACCACAACTGGCCTGCTCCAATGCTCTTGACCACCATATGACACTGAGAGAAGCCGGGAAGAAACCAGGAGAAACCTAAAAAATCAAGATGGGGAGTTTAAAACTTAAATCGTAGTTGGGCTCTTCTGAATGATATCTAAACAGTGTGGAGAATTTCTCCCTCCCTCCCCTCTCACCGGTCTGGGCTGGGGGTGCATATATTAGCTTTTGCATCAAGTGATAATTAAGACAGCCAGACTTGAGTCCACTTAAACTCTCTGAGCTTCAATTTTCTCATCTGTAGCCTGGGGAGAGTAATAGCTATCTGCAGAGAGCTGTGGTGTGGAATAAACAAGAAAATACAATTGAACATAGAAGATGTTAGTCACTGGAGATCCAGATACAGTAGCTGCCCCAATATTTGTGAATGTCATCAGGAGTTGTATAATCATCATTGTGATTATTGTCTGCCATGTATATAATACCAGAAATTATAATAGTAATGCTGCCAATAAAAGTTAATGTTTCTTGAGTGCTTACCATGCATTTTGGCACTGTATTAATTCCTTTGACTATTTACAACTGCCTTCAAGGTACATATTTGGTATCTTCATTTTATTGTAAAATTAGGCTGAGCACTGATGTTTCAGGCACTGGTTGATCACTGTGAGTTTGGCTTATCCATGACACATTTGGAGATTTGGGAGACATTCTGTAGTAAAGTTGTCTTAGCAGAACAAACTCAATGTCTGCCCACTTTCAGAGCTCATAGCAGCCCTGTTCTCTCTGTGAAGTCTTCTGTGGTCCGCAGGGCTGCAGAATTCCTTCTGCCTATTGACTGTGATTGCTGTCACTCAGCTGGCCAGGATGCCATATGGTCTTGTCATTGTGCTTGTATCTTCTCTTGCTTCTATTCTGTTTGCTGAGAACTATTGCTCAAATTGCAACTTAGGGAGGACACTCTGTTCTTATTACATTGTCTTCTTCACATCTTAGATGAATTAATAAATGAATAAATAGAATACCAGAGAATATTTCATGATTTACTAGATCTGTTCATATTTAGCTACAATTAAATGTTTGTGATTTCCATTCTCAACTGTCTTCCCCTACTGGAGGAGCTAGTGGTTTTTCTGTTTTATGTGGTTTCATGTTCCTCTGCCAGATAAAAACACCACTACCCTGGAATCCTAGAGAGCTTGCCTGGGGTAACAGTTACTTTCGAGTGTTTCTCTTTGTAGTCTCTATTCCATGAGAGACCATAGAACCTGTCTGGGGGAGGGCAGCAGGGAAGATTCCAGAGAATTCAGTTCATATCTCCTTGGCTGAGTGATATTATGTGAAAATAGCTCCTTGAGCCTTGGAAATGTCAGCATGCTGAGTGTATGACAGGTAATGAAAGAGGACTTTTCCCACACATTAGTTTTACAGGATTATTGGCCTAAGTTGTGGAGTAATAGACATAAATCTTGTTTGAAAATAGAACATCACACTTCTAGGTAGACTTAACACCATGAGAACAGTCAGTGCAAGTTGGAGCCTGGCTGGGTGCAAGCACAAGGTAAGAGCTATTGATTTTTAAATCTCTTTGGGTAGCAGAAGCCTGTAAGAAGTGGCATGTATGCCCCATTCCCCACTTTCTTGTCTATGACAGACATCACTAACAAATTATAACAATGTTTCTGACTTTGCCTAGTTCAGTCTCAGAATTCTTCTCATTACAGTTCTACAGGCAGTCATTTCCAATCAGATGGAGTTGAAATGAGGAATTAAACTTATTTGCCAACTATGCTCTTTCTATAGACAGGATCATATTAAGTTTAGTATTGTTAAGTAGCTAAAATAAGTTTGACTTTTAAATGATAGAAAGTACCATCTATATACTATTGTTTGATGTTAGGTATGTTGCTTCATTTCTTTGAACCTTGGTTTACTCATCTCTGAAGTGGGGAAATAATGACAAATGCTGCATGGCTATTGAGGTGATTTTTAAGAAATTTTTAAATTTAAATTTAAATTTTTTTTGGTAGAGATGGGATCTCACTATGTTGCCCAGGCTGATCTTGAACTTCTGGCCTCAAGTGATTCTCCCACCTTGGCCTCCCAAAGCACTAGGTTTGCAGGCATGAGCCACTCTTCCTGGCCCTATTGGAGTAATTAATCAGACAATGTATTTAAAGTGCCTAGTACAGTACTTGGGGCATTCAATCAGTGGTGGCTCCTGCTGTGGCTTGCTTTGTACCCTGAAGGGCTTGAGAATACATTTGGTCTGTGACCCTGAATATAGACAGAATTGAGCTTTTGGCTTTTCTTCTTTATATATCACTCTAAAATGCTGAGGAAAGTTCATCTGCTCCCTTCCTCAGCTTCCTTGAAAATTTTACAAAGGTTTAGATGATAATATGAATTGGAGGAAACTCTCACACTGTGTTTTCCTTCAAGAGGTCATTATTGCTGGAATTGACACAGAGACTTGAGTTTAATGTAGTGACAATAATCATTTGGATTAAATTTGAAAAATGTCCTCTGGTATGTAGAACACCATTCCCTGCAATTGGCACTATGTTAATGGCCTTAAAATTGGTCTGCCCTCACTCACTCCTACCCCCTTTAGTGTTTTGATTTGTTTTGAGTTGTGGTCTCTGTCACCTAGGCTGGAGCACACTGGCACAATCATGGCTCACTGCAGCCTCAATCTCCTGGGCTCAAGCAATCCTCCCACCTCAGCCATCCAAGTAGCTGGGACCACAGGTATCCACCAACACGCTCAGCTAATTTTTTAAAATTATTTTTTGTGGAGATGCGGTCTAGCTATGTTGCCCAAGCTGATCTCAAACTCCTGACCTCAAGCAATCCTCCTATCTCAGCCTCCCAAAGTGCTAGGGTTACAGGTATGTACCACTGCACCTGGTCCCAATGCAATTTTAAAATGCAAATTGGAGTAAAATGCCAACCTCCTTCTTCAAGCTTTTTAATGGCTACTGTACCAGTCAGCAATCTGGTTGGAAGGAGATGGTTCACTCAAATAGTAAACATTTAAAAGTTCACGCAGCTGTAAGGGAAACCAACAAGGAATGATGTTGCACCCCCAGGGCTGCCCCTGGACTGAGGGTCATGGTGAGGGAGCAGCTGTAACTCAGGCATTCTCAACATGGGTAATATCACCCTTCAAGGGGGCAGAAATTGGTTGTGGGCTTTTTAAAAAAAGGTTCTTTGTTATGTACAGAGCACGGATATACATAGGCTACATAAAACTAATTTCACTGGGGAACCATTAGGAACACAAAATGCATTACAAAGTTCCAGGGGTGGGGGAGCAATAATGAAGAAAAGAAAAGGATGAGAAACACTGTAATAGCTAAAGGATTGCACTACTTAGCAAAGTTTATGGTCTTATATAGAGGAATTTTTGCAGCCACAACACACAAGGAGGGAGCCTGGGGAGCAGACGTCTTGACCTCTATGTTCGCCTGTCCTCTGATCATCTGTCTGCATGTGCCTCCCATTGGTGGAACCCAACTAGAAGCCAGAAGGTAGGGGAGCTTGTGGATATACGCCATCCAGATCAGAGCACACTTGGAAAGGGTGGAGGATGGATTTGGAGCACAAAGGGAGATAACCAATGGGACTGCCAGTAGCTCTGGGGATAAAGAGCCAAAGATTTATTTTGACTCACAAAGATCTGCACCACAAGGCTCCTGCCCTGCTCTTCTCTCATCCCTCTCTTGCTTGACTCCATCATCCTATCCTGTTGGTTTCCCCAATACTGAGCTAGTCCCTGACTTAGGACATTTGCACATGCTGTTCCTTTGATATGGTACATGTTTCCCTCCGTCCTTCTCACCATTCACCTCTCAGCTTGATTGACACTTTCTCAGGGAACATTCTCTGACTCCCTGGCAGGGCTCCATTCTCTCCGTTACGGTTTTTTCAGGAAGCACTCGGCTTCTTCTTCATAGTACCAATGACAATTATAATTCAAATGTTTTGTGTAATCATTTGTTTAATTTCTGTCTCCCTCACCAGATAAAGTGCTTTATGAGGGCAGTAACCCATTAGCCTAGGCAAGTGCCTCGCACATAGTGAGAACTTAATAAATATTTGATGAATAGGTGCATTCCAGCAGGAAATAAACATATCAAAGGCACAGAAGTTTCCTGGAGTCAGACTGTGTTAGAAACTTACTGTTAACCACTTGCTAGCTGTGGAATCTTCAACAAGTTACTTAACCTCTTTGTGCCCCTAATTTTATTCATTTGTGAAGTAAGGAGAATAATAATAACTATTTTGTGGGGGCTGGAGAGAGGGTAAGTGGGTTAGTACATGCAATGTGCTTAGAAGAGTACATGGTAACTGTTCAATAAATGACATCATCATCATCATCAAAGCTTCGTTGTGTAATTATTCTATTGTTGACTGGCTGTTTGGTGGTGACATTCACACTAATCAGAGAGAAAAAGGCATGTTAATCTTAGCACTGATTCTAACCATCTCATTTTGAGAAGTAAGAACCCAATTTTTCTGATACTAAATCCTGAAAGCAATTTAGTTTTTCTCTTGTCATATAGTTAGAATCTGGGGAAAAGTTATTTGACAGCTAATCTAGTTTACCCTGTAAAAAGCAAAGATTAATCTTTTTGCTACTGAGATGGGACATGAAGGCCTGGGTTTCTTCCCAAGTCCTTGCGTTGGTTGGCTCTCTCCCAAGTTTTAGCTCTTAACACCGGACAAGGCAGGGACAAAGGGGGAGATAGGGCAGAAAGTAGCATCAGAATCCCTCTGTGTTCCAAGAGACGTGGTCTTGAGACAGTCAGAATTGCTTCCTGGGAGGTCACTGGGAGATGTAGGGAGACCAGTTGAGAAGCAGCTAATTATACAGGGATTGGGAACCAAGGATGAAGATCAGGAAAGGCAAGCAAGGTAACAGGAGCAATACCATGAGACAGGAGCACTGACCACCCCACTAGATTTAGCCAATCAATTTCTTCTGGGTGGTACATCTTTTGTCTGGGAATTATTTATCTAGATTGGGCATACACACACTGGCTTTTGCACTACAGCATTTTACAGAGTTTTTCTGATGTTAGACACAGGCTGGATTATAGAGTCACAGGGTGGTCAGAACCTTCCCATTCTATTTTTTAATAGGAACAGAAAGTGAGGTCTTAGGTCAAGTGGTTGCCTTCAAGTCATGCAGCAATAATGGAGTTGGTAGATGATCTCACGTGCCCTTAGCTCCAGGCCAATGTTATTGCCTTCCTTGACTTTCCTTTCAATATAACCCTTAACTTCTCTTGTGGCCTTCGATTCACACTATGGCCATAAGAAAAAGTTAACTTCCATAGAGTCACACAAGGGAAACAACTTCATTCCTTCAGCCACACCACCCGAGTGATCATCCCAGTAGTCACACAGTCACATATCACCTGTGATCCCAGTTCCATCTCTGGAAACCTGAGCAATGTTAGTACCATGTGCACTTGATTTTTCTGAGTGAACCATACCTTTCACATGGGTGGTGGCATGCATGGCTGAGCAATCACTGTCACAGAGAGAAGAATTTACGTTTGCATCTGTGTTTCACCTCTTTTCACATCTGGTCTTGGTAGGCCTTTGGGAATTTGCTGGAAAAAGCAAAGGAGAGCACTGAAAAGAGCTCTCAGTATGCCTGGAGTCAGGCTGAATAAAGATGAGATCACCCTTCTTCCACTTGCAGAGAAGCAGTGGGGTTTTGACTGGTTAGTGGCTTGATGTCACTGGTGTAAGAGACTGTGTCTCTTGTCAGACATCAGGGCCTTAGAAGTGTCTCATGAGGTCAGTTTCATGTTCTCCCAGCCAGGATTTTTTTTTTCCCTGATGAAGGTCACCAAGGAAAAATACATATATCTCTCTCTCCTCAAGTCAGTTTAGGGATATGTCTTAAATGGCTCTGGTTTCCGTTATTAATCAGGGGTAGATTTGTCACTCATGATTTATCCAGACCCATTTTGAAATAGTACATTATCTGTATCAACTTTTAGGTAAGGTTCCATTCATTTAGCCCATGTTGATAATGTAGGTCTCTTTTTCCTGCAATGCCGATGGTAACCACCATTACTTCAGTACTCAGGGCATGAGTGGCCAAGCCCTTTTAGGTTTTATAAATGCCCATTTAATCCCTCCTCAGCCCTTCCTCTCAGAGTAAAGTGGTCTATGCCCTTTAATTAGACTTCGTATAACAGTATCCTAAGTCCACTGCTTATCATAATACCTCTCACTTCTATCCCAACTCTTTTAGATGCCAAAGACAGAAATATATGCAATATTCTCAGGGCAAGAGATTATCACCAACTAGGAGACAGGAAAGAAGAATGTCTTCTCTTTGGTTTATTTTGATCTTCACGGAAATGCTATAAAATTGGAAAACATTAGTGTTCCTAGGATTTGTTGCCTCTCTTTGCTGTAAGAGCATGGTGGATCAATAACCTCAAGGAGTAAATTATCCACACTAATTATTTCCTCAATGCAGATAGTTTCAGAGTTCATCATCTTCCAAATAGTGTCTCTTCCACATGGGTGTCAGTTGGACACCTGCCTGCTCACTCTTTCAGCGCTGTGGGACTGCACTCTGCTGACCACACTACCTTATTGGATCAGTTCCTTATTCAGCACTGTTTACTTAGCTCAGTGTCTGAGAGCACAGTGCAGATGGCAACCCAGTGGCGAGGTTCCTTCTCCATATGGGTCCATGGATTTGAAAAGAAAGACGATTTGCTGGCAGGCACCATTCTTGCTATAAGCAAATGACTTACAGTGGTATCTCATAGCAATGTATTCCAAACTTCCTTGCTTGCAACTCACAGAAATAAATATATTTTACATTGCAAATCAGTATATACACATACATGTGTACATATACATGCACACACATATGCCTGAAACCAAAATTTCATAAAATAATGCTCTTGCTAATTATGATAAAAAGTAAAAAGTATGGTAGAAAAGCCACATATTTACAAATAATATTTTTAAAAAATGTTAGTTATAACTTACAAAATTGATTTTTGACACATGCTAATGAGACCAGCAGTTGGCAAAACAATGGATTACAGTAATTTTATGTGAAGGACCCAAACTTTTCCTTGTCATTCTTTTCCTTTTTAAAAATTTCCTTTTGTTTTCTTTCTTTCCTTTTTAGGAAATGCTTTTGGAAAGAGATCAAAGTACAAAGTTAGCCACATGCCAATCTGATCCCCACTAAAAGATCTGAAATTCATGCTATTTTCTCAGTCTATGACTCATATCCTAGGTCATAGGCTGTTAGCTTCTTCAGCTTGACGTGATGTTGCCAAATTACTTCCCTAAAAGGTTATACCAATTTACCTTCCCAGTAGCAGTGTATGAGAGTTCCCAAGTCCCCACATACTTGGAAACCGGGTATGCTGAAACTTTCAAAATTTTTTGATGCATGTGTAATTGCTTAAAACTTCATTTTTAAAATTATTAATGAAATTGAATATTATTTCCCACATATGTTGTTCAATCAAACTTTCTTGTAGGTGAAATGACTATTCATATTTTGGTCTATTTTTCTATTAGGTAATTTTTTTTTACTAATAATTTGTAGGATTCCTTGCATATTCTGTATACTAACCATCTGTGTTTATTAGTTATATAAATAGAAAGTATTTTCCCTGCCATATGAAAAGATAGAAATTGCAATTAATTTTTCCCCAGTTGTCCCAAACCACTGATTAGTTTTTCCTCTCCCTTTTGACTTGCTATGACATTCCCATCATTTACAAAGGTTTTTTCTATGCATCATTCTAAGATTTCTACTGTGCTCCACTATCCTATTTGTGTATCTCTGAGCCAATGCCATATTTTAATTACTATAGTTTTATAATTGGTTTTAATATCTGGAAAAGCCAATCTTCTCCCTTGCTCTTCTTGCCTTTTCTTGGCTACTGTTGGCCCATTATTCCTCTATATGAGTTTTAGCATTTTTTTTAACTCCATGACAATTCTTTTTGTTATTTGAATGGAACTATGTTGAATTTATAGACTAATTTAACTAGAATTGCCATGTTTTTCAAATTGTTTTATATAGTCTATATTTTTATTTGTTCAGATTATCTTTTATTCTCAGTATTTTATAATTTTTCTCTATTAAATTTATTGAAAATATTTTATGTTAAATTACTCCTAAATAACTTAAAATTTGTAAATCTTTAGGAGATTATTTTTTCTATAATATTTCCTAATTGGTTTTTCTTTGGTGTATAGGCATACTATTTTTTAATGTCAATCTAGAAATCTTTATGAACTTTCTTATTGCTTCAAAATTTTGCTTGGATTTTCTAATTAGATACTTATAGTGTAAATATAAAAAACATTTTATTACTCTCAAATTCTTATAGTGTTAGACTATTGCAAATAAAGCTGTTATGATGATGATTTATGTACAAATCTTTGCATGGACAAGAGCTTTCACTTCTCTTGGATGAAGAATGGAATGGCTTGATCATGTGGTAGGTGTATGTTTAACTTAAGAAACTGCCAGTCTGTTTTCTAAAGTGGTTTTATGGTTTTCAAGTCTTATTAGCCGGGTATGAAATTTCCAGTTATTCCACACCCTTGCCAACACTTGATATGGTCAGCCTTTTTAGCTTTAGACATTCTAGTTAGTGAGTAGACAATTTTGTTGTGGTTTTCATTTGCATTCTTTTTGTCATTTGAATGGAATTATGTTGAATTTATAGACTAATTTAATGCTTTATGAAGTTTCGTACTTCATATGTACTTATTTGTCATCTGGCCAACTTTCCTAATAAAGTGTCTGTTCACGTCTTCTGCCTAGTCTTTATAACTGAGTTATCTATCTTCTTGCAATTAACTTGTAAAAGTACTTTATGTGTTCAAGATTAAAATTCTCTTTTAGGCAGATATTTAGCAAATATTTTCTCCCAGTTTATGGCTTGTCTTTTCATTTTGTTAACAGTATCCTTGACAAGAAGAAAATTTCAATTTTATCAAGTTCTATTTATTGATTTTTTCTTTTATAGTTCATTTTGCATGTGTGTTGTATTGAAGAAATCTTTGCCAAACCAAAGGTCACTAAAATGTTTACCTATGTTTTCTTCTCAAAGTTTTCTAATTTTTTGCACATGTCTATCCAATCGTTCCAGCACTGCTGAAAAGACTGTCCTTTCTTCCATTAAATTGCCATGGCACCTTTACCAAAAATCAATTGGCCATAAATATGAAGTCTACTTCTGGAATTGAAATTCTGTTCTGTTGATCAATATGCTTATCTATTTGTCAAAACCACACTATCTTGATTATAGTAGCTTTATAATAAATCTTGAAACCAGTTTATTAAGTACTGTTTTTACACATTGTTTTGGCTATTTTAGATTATTTGCATTTTCATACGAAGTTTAGAATCAGCTTTTCTATTTTGAAAAGAATAAATTTTCTGGGATTTTGATTGGTATTATGTTTAACACACAGATCATAGCAGCTTTTTCTGTAATAGTCCCAAACTAGAAACAACCCAAATGTCTATCAACAGGTTAATAAATAAACAAATTATGATATATCCATGTGATGGATGGTAACTCAGCAATAAAAAGGAATAAACTGTTGATAACTACAAAATCATGGATGAATCTCAAATCATTATGCTGAGCTAAAGAGCCAGCCCAAAGAGTATATATTGCATGATTCCATTTATATAAAATTCTAGAAGCTGCAGCCTAATAAACAGTGGCAAAATGTATATAAGCTGTTACCTGGGGCTGGAGGTTGGGTTCCGGAAAGGCATAAGGGAGAGGTTACAAAGGTATATGAAGAAATTTGTGAGTGATGAATATATTAATCATTTTTATTGTAATGATGATTTCACAGATATATATATAGTCAAAACTTACCAAACTGTACACTTTAAATGTGTAGCTTATTATATATCACCTATACTTCAATAAATCCATGAAAGAAATATTATACCAATTATTCTTTTTCTTATCTTTTTTCTCCATTGGCAATCCTCACATAATATGGGATGATGGTAGGCCTCCTTGTGTTGTTTTTGGCTTAAAGGAAATGTTGCTACTGTTTTCTAAGAACTTTTCCTTTTTCCCACCCATTTCATCCTTTTCTTTTTCTTCCTCCTTACCTACCTTCCTTCCTCCCTCCCTGCCTCCCTCCCTCCCTTCCTTTTGTCCTTTTTTACTTCCTTCTTGTCTTTCTTGAGATAGATAAAGTCTATGAAGTTAAAGAGATTCCTAGATCTCTAACATTTTTTTTTTTTTTTTTTTTTTTTTTTTTTGAGATGGAGTCTCGCTCTGTCGCCCGGGCTGGAGTGCGGTGGTGCAACCTCGGCTCACTGCAAGCTCTGCCTCCCGGGTTCACGCCTTTCTGCTGCCTCAGCTTCCTGCCTCAGTCCTGCCATTTTCCTGCCATTCTCCTGCCTCAGCCTCCTGCCTCAGTCCTGCCTAGCTGGGACTACAGGCGCCCGCCACCACGCCCGGCTAATTTTTTTTGTATTTTTTTAATAGAGACGGAGTTTCACCGTGTTAGCCAGGATGGTCTAACATTTTTTTAATCAAAATCAATGTTGAGGTTTACAATTGCATTTTTTTGCATCTGAAGGAGTATCATATTTTTTCTTCTTCTGTTAATGGAAATATATATATATATACACACACACATACTGATGTCTAAATATTGTATTTTTTAGATAAGCCTTGTTAGTCTTGAAACGTTTTTGTTCTTAAAATTATGGATTTGATATGCTACGTTTTATTTAGATTTTTTTGTATGAATGTTCATAAATGAGATTGGACAACATTATTTTCTTGCCCACATTTGGCCAGTTTTGATGTCATGTTTGAGTTTTTACCTTATAAAATGTGTTGGGACACTTTCCTGCTTTTTAGATTTTTCAAAACACCTTATACAACATAGAACTTATCTATTCCTTGAAGGTTTGTAAAACGTCACCTAAAAATATCTATTGACATATTTTAGGGGTAAGGTATATTATTACAGAGTCAATTACTTTAATAATTAATTGACTTAATCAATTACTTTAATAATTGGCTGTAATAATATGGCCTTACTCCTAGAAGATATATTTACTTTATACTATAATTAATATATATGTTAAAGTAATTACTATGTAATTACTCCAATAATACTGTAATAGTTAATTATGGATTACTTAGCTTTTTATTTCTTATTTAGTCAATTTTTGTGGTTTACATTTTCCAGACAGTTCATCATTCTTTTAAAATTTACTTAAAAAATATATTCATATCAATTATATAAAAATAAATGTATACTCATATATATAAATATAAATGAATATATACAAAAAATATATACATACATGAATATATACACTGAAGGAGAGTATGTAGTAAGACACACACACAGAACATCTCTATTGTTTCTGTAGCTTTGTCTTATTTGTAGTCCCTAATATTGTCTCTTTGTGTTTTCTACTATTTGCTTGATTGGACTCACTAAATTTTGTCTTTATTTAAAGAACTAACTTTTAGTTTTGCTGATTTGTTTGGCTGATTTATTACTGTCTGTTTTTTAGTCCATTAGTTTCTGCTCATGTAACTATTAATTCCTTTGTTCTCTTTAGGTTGTTACTGCTTTTCTAATTTCTTCAACTGAAACACCATTTTTCAGTAAATATATTTAAAGCTATCCATTTCCCTATAAGCTAGCTTTAACCTCATTTTACAGTCTTGAATATCTTTATCTTTCTGTGCTGAACCTGGGATAAGTCCTCAGAACTATCTTACATTTCACAGTTTGTTCTTTGTGTCCAATCTATAGTTTGTTTTGGAATCTTGTCTACTAAGTATTGTATTTGAATGTCTATACTTCATTTCTAAGATCTCTAGTAGGTAGGTTCTTTTTCAGCTTAAGTTTGTAAAAAAATATTTTTGGTGAGAAGAAAATTCTAGGTTGGAATATTCCTTTTTAGCATCTTAAATATGTTATTTTACTGTTTTCTGACTTTCATAGTTTCTATTGGAAAGTTAGCCTCCAGCCTCATTGCTGATCATTTGGAAGTAACATACCCTTTTCCACCCCTTCTTCATGCTTTGATATTTATCTCTCTGCCTGCGTCTTCCAGCTGCTTCACTATAACCTCAAGTGTGTTTTTTTCTGTATCTACATTGCTTAAGGTTTCTGAATCCGTAGATTAATATTTCTCATCAGCTTTGCAAAATTTTCTCTAGAAATAGTGCCTGTCCTTATTCTCTCTCCTCTCCTGTGAGACTCTAGTTACAGGTACTTCAGTCCTTTACATTATTTCCTTTACGTCTCTTATGCTCGACTTTGATTCTCCATTCGTTTTTCTCTTTGAGCTTCAGATTGGATATTTCTACTCACATATCTTTAAATTTATTTCTAAAATTCTTAACTTTGGATATTGTATTTTGTAATACTAGAAGGTCCATTTGATTATTTATGTAGATTCGCATATCTAGTACCTTTTTTGTTATATGCCAGACATTTTATTAAAAGGAATTGTAGAGGCTACAGATAATATCTTTCACAAGAGAGAGCTCTCTGTCCCTTATGTTAGGCATATTAGTAAGGGGCCGACCACCTTGATCTAATCACAGCGTAAGCTAGGTTAAGGCTGGTTGCAGTTTTGCTAAGATTTATTTCATTCACCTCTGTTTCCTCTCCATTTCTTGGATGTATCTCTCTTGAACTTTTGATTGACAGGCTGCTGGTTTCTATCTTTTCAATCTTAGAACACTGGGAAAAATTCAGTCTCAACCTTCGAAGGTTTGGATTTTTGCCCCTTTGGAAATTTGGAAAATATTTTGGAGAGGAGAGTAGGTGTATGTTTGCAGTGGGCCACACTCCTCAAGCAGGAAATTTTCTCCCAAATACTGTGAGATCAAGAGATTTTATCCCACTTTGTCAAAATCCCATAGCCTTTTGTACAGCCTTAGAATTTAGAAAATGAAACATAGCGAAAGCCAGCTGTGCATTAATGGCTCCCAAGGTTTCTAAATTGTCGTGCCAGCCCTGCACAACTTCCAAAAGCTTTGCTCATTTCTCTTTTCTCTAACAAATCCCTTTGTGTTTGTTAGATCTGGTCCTCAACCAAATACAAAATTGGCAAATGCACCCAGAGGAAAGAAACAGCCAATAACTGACTACTCTCATCAGAAAGAATTTCTCTTCTCTGGAATTTTAGTTCATTTAATTCTCTTCATTTCTACAGCACTCTAGTATCTTTAAAAGCACAACTTTTGCAATCTATCTGGATTTTTAGCTGTTACAGTAAAATTGGTAGTCTACAACTACCAACTACAGTCTTTCTCAGAACATAATCATATTTTAAAGTCATTTTCAGATTTCTTCTTATTCTCATTTTATTTGGGGTAAAAAGTCTAATTTAATTTTCAAACATCATTTTTATCATTTATTTTCTTTTATATATATATATAATTTTGATTTTCAAGCTCATTTGGATAAGATTTTTTTTTTCAGTCTTGCTCTCTCTCTCTCTGTTTCTTCCTGCTCATCACTTAGCAGCTAGGGGCTTTGAAATTACCTCCCTCTCTCCCCTTGGCAACCCTTAAGACAAGAACCATGTTTTTATATTGATGGTGTGGGGTTCTCATTCCCCTAGGAATTATAAGCCAGCAAAAATGCTTATCTTAAGTCTTTACTATAGACTTCTGTCCCCAGGTCAATGTGGACAACTTCTCCAGCTTTCTGTTATGGGTAGGGATGAACTGCCTCAGTGTCTGCTCTCAACCAAGGAGCTCAGTTCTGCTCTCCTGTTTCATGTGTGTGTGTTTGGGGGTGGGGGATGTTTTCAGCTTGTTAGCCACAGGACACAAATTTCTTCTCACCTTTATCTTTTTCTAGACCTGGAGTTCAGTAGGTCCCTGCTTCATCATTTCTAACCCGTTTGCATTTTGTATTTCTGTTCTTTTTTGCTCTGTGGAAATGGCATGTTTTTGAGCATAGCTTTATCTTTGTAATTTTTGTATTTTATCCATCTTAGCTATGTATATGAGTTAAGAGGAGATGGCTTTGCCTAAAGCTTAACATTACAACACAATTTTCCTGAGATTTTTTTTTTTTGCCAATGTTTTTTGGCTTTTAAATAGCGAGTGAATGCAATCTTCCTTTGGACACACTAGGACGTCACCTCCCACTGATTCTTTCGTGTACTCAAGAAGTCTCAGCATCATTCAAGTAGGCTGGATCAGTCACCTTTTCAGAATAGAGTTTTGAACTCTTCAAAAAAAAAAATGAATAATGAGCAGAACTTTCCACAGAATTCCAAAACAAAGGAAATGAGATGTAAACAAAGTCTCCAAGTGCCCTCAACCCATGATGAGGCACATCTAATGCATGATATTTAGTTACTAAGCAGATCTCTCTCATCATCATCATTAAGAAATAACAGTCCAGGGTTCTCAGGCAAGTTTGGATTTCTCTTTGCTCTTGGACAACTTGTAAAAACATTCGGATTTCCTTAATGTTTCTACCTACCTTGGCATCGCTCATCTCTCGTCTGTCAAATGCTTAGTGAGCACAGTCCTGGCATTAGGATAAGTCTTCTCAGCACGCCGGCGCAGACCCTAGGCGACATCCATTCAGGAACCTCCCACGTTGCTTTTCTAAAAATATCATCTTTATCTTCTTTACTATCTTGAAATGTCTGTTGTTACTCTCTTTTCAGAAAAAAAAACTGTTATAGTCAAATATCATATCACATTTTCTTTTCAAAAGTCTAATACCATAATACCTTGGATGAGAATTTTTTTTTTTTATTATACTTTAAGTTCTGGGATACATGTGTTACATATGTATACATGTGCCTACTGGTTTGCTGCACCCATCGCCTTGTCATCTACATTAGGCATTTCTCCTAATGCTGTCCCTCCCCTAGCTCCCCACCCCCTGACAGGCACTGGTGTGTGATGTTCCCCTCCCTGTGTCCATGTGTTCTTGTTGTTCAACTCCCACTTATGAGTGAGAACATGTGTTGTTAGGTTTGTTGTTCCTGTGTTAGTTTGCTGAGAATGATGGTTTCCAGCTTCATCCATGTCCCTGCAAAGGACATGAACTCATCGTTTTTATGGCTGCATAGTATTCCATGGTGTATATGCACCACATTTTTTTTACCCAATCTATCATTGATGGGCATTTGGGTTGGTTCTAAGTCTTTGGTATTGTGAATAATGCTGCAATAAACATATGTATGCATGTGTCTTTATAATAGAATGATTTATAATTCTTTGGGTATATACCCAGTAATGGATGGCTGAGTCAAATGGTATTTCTGGTTCTAGATCCTTGAGGAATCACCACACTGTCTTCCCCAATGTTTGAACTAATTTACACTCCCATGAACAGTGTAAAAGTGTTCCCATTTCTCCACATCCTCTCCAGCATCTATTATTTCCTGACTTTTTAATGATCGCAATTTAACTGGTGTGAGATGGCATCTCATTGTGGCTTTGATTTCCATTTCTCTAATGACAAGTGATGATGAGCTTTTTTTCATATGTTTGTTGGCTGCATAAATGTCTTCTTTTGAGAAGTGTCTGTTCATAGCCTTCACCTACTTTTTGATGGGGTTGTTTGTTTTTTTCTTGTATATTTGTTTAAGTTCCTTGTATATTCTGGATATTAGCCCTTTGTCAGATGGATGGACTACAAAAATTTTCTCCCAT
Source organism: Homo sapiens (assembly GCF_000001405.40). NCBI lineage: Eukaryota > Metazoa > Chordata > Mammalia > Primates > Hominidae > Homo > Homo sapiens. The sequence continues at coordinate 118,452,246 of NC_000002.12, forward strand.
TCTGTAGGTTGCCTGTTCACTCTGATGGTAGTTTCTTTAGCTGTGCAGAAGCTCTTTAGTTTAATCAGATCCCATATGTCAATTTTGGCTTTTGTTGTCATTGCTTTTGATGTTTTAGTCTTGAAGTATTTGCCCATGCCTATGTCCTGAATGATATTGCCTAGGTTTTCTTCTAGGGTTTTTATGGTCTTAGGCTTTACATTTAAGTCTTTAATCCATCTTGAGTTAATTTTTGTATAAGGTGTAAAGAAGGGGTCCAGTTTCAGTTTTCTGCATATGGCTAGCCAGTTTTCCCAACAGTGTTTATTAAATAGGGAATCTTTCCCCATTTCTTGTTTTTGTCAGGTTTGTCAAAGACCAGATGGTTGTAGATGTGTGGCATTATTTCTGAGGCCTCTGTTCTGTTCCATTGGTCTATATATCTGTTTTGATACCAGTACCATGCTATTTTGATTACTGTAGCCTTGTAGTATAGTTTGAAGTCAGGTAGCATGATGCCCCCAGCTTTGTTCTTTTTGCTTAGAATTGTCTTGGCTATACAGGCTCTTTTTTGATTCCATATGAAATTTAAAGTAGTTTTTCTAATTCTGTGAAGAAAGTCAATGGTAGCTTGATGGGGATAGCATTGAATCTATAAATTACTTTGGGCAGTATGGACATTTTCATGATATTGATTCTTCCTACCCATGAGCATGGAATATTCTTCCATTTGTTTGTGTCCTCTCTTATTTTCTTGAGCAGTGGTTTGTAGTTCTCCTTGAAGAGGTCCTCCACATCCCTTGTAAGTTGGATTCCTAGGTATTTTATTCTCTTTGTAGCAATTGTGAATGGGAGTTCACTCATGATTTGTCTCTTTGTCTATTATTGGTGTATAGGAGTGCTTGTGATTTTTGCACATTGATTTTGTATCCTGAGACTTTGCTGAAGTTGCTTATCAGCTTAAGGAGATTTTGGGCTGAGACAATAGGGTTTTCTAAATATACAATCATGTCATCTGCAGACATGGACAATTTGACTTCCTCTTTTCCGATTTGAATACCCTTAATTTCTTTCTCTTGCCTGATTGCCTGGCCAGAACTTCCAAAACTATGTCGAATATAAGTGGTGAGAGAGGGCATCCTTGTCTTGTGCTGCTTTTCAGAAGGAATGCTTCCAGTTTTTTCCCATTCAGTATGATATTGGCTGTGGGTTGGTCATAAATAGTTCTTATTATTTTGAGATCTGTTCCATCAATACCTCATTTATTGAGAGTTTTTAGCTTGAAGGGGTGTTGAATTTTATCGAAGCCCTTTTTTGCATCTATTGAGATAATCATGTGGTTTTTGTCATTGGTTCTGTTTATGTAATGGATTACGTTTATTGATTTGTGTATGTTGGACCAGGCTTGCATCCCAGGGATGAAGCCAACTTGATCGTGGTGGATAAGCTTTTTGATGTACTGCTGGATTCAGTTTGCCAGTATTTTATTGAGGATTTTTGCATCGATGTTCATCAGAGATATTGGTCTGAAATTCTCTTTTTTGTTGTGTCTCTGCCAGGTTTTGGTATCAGGATGATGATGGCCTCATAAAATGAGTTAGGGAGGAGTCCCTCTTTTTCTATTGTTTGGAATAGTTTCAGAAGGAATGGTACCAGCTCCTCTTTGTACCTTTGGTAGAATTCAGCTGTGAATCCGTCTGGTCCTGGGCTTTTTTTGGTTGGTAGGGTATTAATTATTGCCTCTATTTCAAAACTTGCTATTGGTCTATTCAGGGATTTGACTTCTTCCTGGTTTAGTCTGGAAAGGGTGTATGCATCCAGGAATTTATCCATTTCTTCTATATTTTCTAGTTTATTTTCATAAAGGTGTTTATAGTATTCTCTGATGATAGTTTGTATTTCTGTGGGATCAGTGGTGATATCCCCTTTATCATATTTTATTGTGTCTATTTGATTCTTCTCTCTTTTCTTCTTTATTAGTCTGGCTAGCAGTCTATCTATTTTGTTAATCTTTTCAAAAAACCAGCTCCTGGATTCATTGATTTTTTTGAAGGGTTTTTCATGTCTCTATCTACTTCAGTTCTGCTCTGATCTTAGTTATTTCTTGCCTTCTGCTAGCTTTTGAATGTGTTTGCTCTTGCTTCTGTAGTTCTTTTAATTGTGATGTTAGGGTGTTAATTTTAGATCTTTTCAGTTTTCTCCTGTGGGCTTTTAGTGCTATACATTTCTGTCTAAACACTGCTTTAGCTGTGTCCCAGAGATTGTGGTACATTGTGTCTTTGTTCTCATTGGTTTCAAAGAATTTATTTATTTCTGCCTTAATTTTGTTATTTACCCAGTAGTCATTCAGGAGCAAGTTATTCAGTTTCCATGTAGTTGTGCAGTTTTGAGTGAGTTTCTTAATCCTGAGTTCTCATTTGATTGCACTGTGGTCCGAGAGACTGTTTGTTATGATTTCCATTCTTTTGCATTTGCTGAGGAGTGTTTTACTTCCATTTATGTGGTCAGTTTTAGAATAGGTGCAATGTGGTGCTGAGAAGAATGTATATTCTGTTGATTTGGGGTGAAGAGTTCTGTAGATGTCTATTAGATCTGCTTGGTCCAGAGCTGAGTTCAGGTCCTGAATATTCTCGTTAATTTTCTGTCTCGTCGATCTAATATTGACAGTGGAGTGTTAAAGTCTCCCACTATTGTTGTGTGGAGTCTAAGTCTCTTTGTAGGTCTCTAAGAACTTGCTTTATGAATCTGGGTGCTCCTGTATTGGGTGCTTATATATTTTGGATAGTTAGCTCTTCTTGTTCCATTGATCCCTTTACCATTATATAATGCCCTTCTTTGTCTCTTTGGATATTTGTTGGTTTACAGTCTGTTTTATCAGATACTAGGATTGCAACCCCTGCTTTCCATTTGCTTGGTAAATATTCCTCCATCCCTTTATTTTGAGCCTACATGTGTCTTTGCATGTGAGATGCATCTCCTGAATACAGCACTGATGGGTCTTGAATCTTTATCCAATTTGCCAGTCTATGTCTTTTAATTGGGGCATTTAGCCACCCATTTATATTTAAGGTTAATATTGTTACATGTGAATTTGATCCTGTCATTATGATGCCAGCTGGTTATTTTGCCCATTAGTTGATGGAGTTTCTTCATAGGGTTGATGGTCTTTACCATTTGGCATGGTTTTGCAGTGACTGGTTCCAGTTTTTCCTTTCCATATTTAGTGCTTCCTTCAGGAGCTTTTGTAAGGCAGGCCTGGCGGTGACAAAATCTCTCAGCATTTGGTTGTCTGTAAAGGATTTTATTTCTTCTTCACTTATGAAGTTTAGTTTGGCTGGATATGAAATCCTGGGTTGAAAATTATTTTCTTTAAGAATGTTGAATATTGGCCCCCACTCTCTTCTGGCTTGTAGGGTTTCTGCAGAGAGGTCCACTGTTAGTCTGATGGGCTATCCTTTGTCAGTAACCTGATGTTTCTCTCTGGCTGCCTTTAACATTTTTTCCTTCATTTCATCCTTGGAGAATCTGATGATTATGTGTCTGGGGTTGTTCTTCTTGACGAGTATCTTTGTGGTATTCTCTGTATTTCCTGAATTTGGATGTCGGCTTGTCTTGCTAGGTTGGGGAGGTTCTCCTGGATAATAGCCTGAAGAGTGCTTTCCAACTTGGTTCCATTCTCCCCATCACTTTTAGGTACGCCAATCAAACATAGGTTCGGTCTTTTCACATAGTACCATATTTCTTGGAGGCTTTGTTCGTTCCTTTTCATTCTTTTTTCTCTAATGTTGTATTCACACTTTATTTCATTAAGTTGATCTTCAATCTCTGATATCCTTTCTTCTGCTTGATTGATTCATCTATTGATACTTGTGTATGCTTCATGAAGTTCTCATGCTGTGTTTTTCAGCTCCATCAGGTCATTTATGTTCTTCTCCAAACTGGTTATTCTAGTTAGCAATTCCTCTAACCTTTTTTCAAGGTTCTTAGCTTCCTTGCGTTGGTTTAGAACATGATCCTTTAGCTCGGAGGAGTTTGTTATTACCCACCTTTTGAAGCCCACTTCTGTCAATTTGTCAAACTCGTTCTCGATCCAGTTTTGTTCTCTTGCTGGTGAGGAGTTGTGATCCTTGGGAGGAGAAGCAGAGTTTTGGAATTTTTCAGCCTTTTTGCACTGGTTTTTCCTCATCTTCATGGATTTATCTACCCTTGGTCTTTTATGTTGGTGACCTTCGGATGGGGTTTGTGTGGACATCTTTTTTGTTGATGTTGATGCTATTCCTTTCTGTTTGTTAGTTTTCCTTCTAACAGTCAGGGCCCTCTGCTGCAGGTCTGCTGGAGTTTGCTGGAGGTCCACTCGAGATCCTGTTTGCCTGGGTATCACCAGCGGAGGCTGCAGAACAGCAAAGATTGCTGCCTGTTCCTCTGGAAGCTTGGTCCCAGAGGGGCACCTGCCAGATGCCAGCCAGAGCTCTCCTGTATAAGGTGGCTGTCGACCCCTGCCCGGAGGTGTCTCCCAGTCAGGAGGCACAGGGGTCAGGGACTCACTTGAGGAGGCAGTCTGTCCCTTAGCAGAGCCTGAGTGCTGTAATGGGAGAACTGCTGCTCTCTTCAGAGCCAGCAGGCAGGAATGTTTAAGTCTGCTGAAGCTGCAACCACAGCCATCCCTTCCCCCAGGTGCTCTGTCCCAGGGAGATGGGGGTTTTATCTATAAGCCCCTGACTGGGGCTGTTGCCTTTCTTTCAGAGATGCCCTGCCTAGAGAGGAGGAATCTAGAAAGGCAGTTTGGCTACAAGGGCTTTGCTGAGCTGCAATGGGTTCCACCCAGTCCAAACTTCCCAGCGGCTTTGTTTACACTGTGAAGGGAAAACCATCTACTCAAGCCTCAGTAATGGCAGACACCCCAGCCCCACACCAAGCTTGAGTGTCCCAGGTGGACTTCAGACTGCTGTGTTGGCGGTGAGAATTTCAAGCCAGTGGATCTTAGCTTGCTGGGTTCCATGGGGATGGGATCTGCTGAGCTAGAAGACTTGGCTCCCTGGCTTCAGTCCCCTTTCCAGAGGAGTGAATGGTTCTCTCTCACTGGCATTCCGGGTGCCACTGGATTATGAAAAAAAACTCCTGCAGCTGGCTCGGTGTCTGCCTAAATGGTTGGCTAGTTTTGTGCTTGAAACCTAGGGCCCTGGTGGTGTAGGCACCTGAGGGAATCTCCTGGTTTGCAGGTTGCAAAGACCGTGGGAAAAGTGTAGTATCTGGGCAGGAACGCACTGTTCCTCATGGCATAGTCCCTCATGGCTTCCCTTGGCTAGGGGAGGGAGTTCCCTGACCCCTTGTGCTTTCTGGGTGAGGTGATGCCCCCCCTGCTTCAGCTTGCCCTCCGTGGGCTGCACCCACTGTCTAACCAGTCCCAGTGAGATCAGCCAGGTACCTCAGTTAGAAATGCAGAAATCACCCACCTTCTGTATTGATCTTGCTGGGAGCTGCAGACTGGAGCTGTTCCTATTTGGCCATCTTGCCTGATGAGATAAATTTAACCCTGATTTCAGTGAGACAGAAGTGAACATGAGAGGGAGCTGTTCAGAATAAGGTGTTTATGAGCTATGAAGATACTCTGTGTTGCTGAGAGATGGTCCCACCATTTAGTGGGACAGACAGAAGATAAAACACCTATGTTGAGAAGGAGGAATATAAAGTGAAAATTTGAGGGAACATTACAATTTTGCAAAGAAACAGTTCTGACCTGGAACATCTGAAAAGAGCATCTGGTATGTGCGGACATGTGTGAAGATGCTCATGTAATTGGGGAAGTCAGGGAAAATCTCCCAGAGGGAGACTGGAGCCAGGGCCAGTAGAAACAGTGTGTGCATGGCAGATGCTTCCAGGCAGATGTGTGCGTCCAGGCTCTGGGAGTCACAGCACCAGGACAGCTGGGTGGCTGGGATCCTCCAGCTCCTCCTTAGCTGCCTGGCCAAAGACACAGCTGGCTCTGGCATGCGCATGGGAATGCCTTTGGAATCCCATGCAAGCTTTATGGATACTGATTCTGGTATAGAAGCAAGTGTTGTCTAAAGTGTCATAACAGACAGAAATGGGGACAATTCTAGGTAGACTGTTCCCAGATGCAAATGATCTCCCAGAAAGAGAATAAAACCATGCTTTAAAAGTTAAAATATTTCTTTGTTGCTTGATTCATTTGTTCATGTTTTTCATTTGTTTATCAGATATTTGTTGAGTGTTTCCTCTGTGGCAGGTACTACACTAGGTGCTGAGAATATAGGTGACCCAGACACTGCTTGTGTCCCAAAGGGGCTCACATCCATTGGAAAAGACAGAAGTTAATGAGTAAGCAAGGAAGAGTGGGAGGTGCTGAGGACACCCCCTCAGGAGGGGGGATACAATAATTACACCCAGAAGTATTAAGCGAGTGAATTCTGAGTGACCCTGGATGTCCAGAGGGGTTTCTTTCCTGTTTCCCCTAAAGACAGATAGAGAATAGCAGCCTCTCCCACACAATATAAGAAGAAAATCTAAATCTGTGCAGAGAATCTGTGTTTTGGTGACACACAGCGGTAGGAAACTCTCAGGTTTGTGTCTTCTTTAGCAAACCAGATCTCCCTGCCTCCCATCCTCTGACCCCACCTCTCCACCACTGAGAAGAGCAGTGGATGAGCAAGTATGAGACAAAAGGAGCCTGTAGAAACTTGAACTTGGCTGTTGGTAACATTTATCCAGATATGCAATGCCTTGGTTTGGCCCTCTAGGAACTAAGGCAATTCACAGGATTCAGGAGTGAGTACTAAAAACGACCCCCACTATCATAGAAGTGTGGCAGATGAGCCCACAATGTGTTTCCACAGTTAAAAAATAAATTACCACAAAAAATAACAGAAAATGTTCATATTCTACTGTTCTTGTTTATGTAACATCAAATACCTGAGCATTCACAATATCTCGAGGTTGAACATCCTGCAGAATGACATCAACTATCATGTCTTGAGATACTACCAAATGTCAGGTATAGTGTTAAGTGCTTCATAGGCATAATCTCATTTGAGCCTCATCTTTTATTATGATCTCATTTTATATATTAAGAAACTGGGGTTCAACTGAGGTTTCTTAACTTGTCCGAATTCACACAATGTGTGAATAGTAGATCCTGTATTCAAACCTGAGTTGGCTTTCTTTTCAATACATGATTCTTTCTTTACAAGCACCTAGCTATTCCTAAGAAATACCTGAGTATTTTCTTATGGATTGATGGCTGGGTAAATGCATTATCTTATAAGTTTCTAAAAACAGGTTGCCTTACTATTAATAGCTGTTTTCTATGCTTATGTACACTCTACTGGACTGCGGATGACAATGTGCTGGAAGTCATGTGTCTCATCTCTGTCTTCACATGTCACACAGCAGCCAGCAGAGGGCTGAACCCATTCTAAGTATTCACAATTGACCACAATCCACAAATCAGTGGAATAAAATGTCCACCATTGTAGACTAACTCACTCAGTTTAGGACTGTGCCCAATTCACTGGGAACTCCTTCCTTCTTTGTCTTTGGGAAAAGCCTGGACCATTATTTATTAAACTTTTAAGATTTATTATTTATTGAGGCTCCTCTATGTCAGGGGTAAGCAAACTAAGACATGGTTCCCATCTTTAACAAGGTCATAGAGCAGTTGGAGAAACAGACATTTAAGCAATTACAATGCAAGGCTGTGTTCAACACTGGACAGCTGCATAGCCAGTCTTCTGTCAGAGTGCAGAGGCACAACCATGCCACTGCAGCGGGTGGAGTTGGGGCAGGTCTCTCTGAAGCAGTGGTCATTAGGGAAGCAATCATGGCCAGAGAGGCCTCAAAGCAGAACCGGAAGCATGCTCAAAGGTCCAGAGCTGGGAACTTGATGCCTCCTAGGAAATAAAAAAATCCATCATGACGAGAATGTGCTCTGCAAGGTGGGCAATGCTGAGAGATAAGGCTGAGAAGTAGCAAGGGGACACATTATGAAGGACTAAGAAATAGGGCTTTTTCTGGCTATAAAACAAAGCTAATGAGATTGAGTGTTTATCATCTCCAAATGTTCCCAGCCAACAGGAAGCTTTGGCATTGTTGCTTCTTTCCCATTACTGAGGTTCCTAAAGTTTTTTTCTTGTCCAGGAAATCCCCTCCAATGACAGTTCTTCATCCACTGAGCAGCCAAATGTGCCCCCTTCACTCTGTCCATCACCATGCAGGACAGGGTGGCATGGAGCTGCAGCCCGACGCCTCCCCAGGCTGAGTTTAGAAAAAGGCAGGGCAGCTGCCTGCCCGGCCTCCACCAGGCTCGCCCAGCAAATGGTTTTCTCCAGGCCTAATTAAGGATGACTTGATGTCTATAAGCCTACACTTAAGTCTTTGTTGGCTTGCTATTGTTTCCACTGAGCATGACAAGGTCTAGGAGCTTCAGTCTGGCTGTCTCAGCCAAGTGCCAAAGGCAAAATTAACAAAAAGAAAATCACTACTTTCATTCACTAAACATGCCCATTTACTTGTTTTTCTATTTTATTGCATTAGTCATTGCTATAAACCCAGCGTGGTCTCCTTTTTTATTTTCTTTGTATTGTAGTAATATCCCAAAGCCAGGTGAGTACTCAAGTCATGAGACAGACCTATCCCCCATGTCCAGGGATGCCAGGTGAAACTCCCACAAGCAGCTCCTCCACAGGCACCCCCAGAGGCTCCCAGGTCTAGCAAGCCTGTGTTGCTGCACCCTTCAGAGTCCCTCTGAGAGATCAATGTGATTGGTTGTATCAGTCATTATCATTCTAGTACATGATGTTGACCAGATCATTGCTTTCTTTATTCCAAAAACTAGAGTTGCCAGATTTAGCAAAAAAAGTAAAAGACATCCAGTTAAAATCTTCATTTCAGATAGGCAATAAATAATTATTCAGTATAAGTATACCTCCTATGGTTTTAGGAATAGGCTTATACTACTAACACTTTATTTTATCTACCACCAACTCAACTCTTCAAACAAATATTGAGTGCCATCTCAGTACTGAGCACTGTGCTTGGTGCCAGAGAGTCAAGCATGAATCAGACGCAGTTTTTCATCTTAGGGGGTTCAAAGGCTAGTGAAGGTGAGATTAGTAAACAGCTGAAATATGTACACCCTGATACTGACAATTCCCCCCCACCCACACTCACCCAGATATACATGCACAGGCACAAATTATAGGTGAATATCATTCACAAATATAAACATAAACATAATGTGAATTAATAAAATGTTAGCACATTGGAAACTATTCAGGATTACAGAAAGAAGAGTAATTTGCTTCAACCAACTAAGATTCAACCCTAGAAGACACGAGAGAACTTAAGATTTGAATATCTGTTGATATAATACATCACATTATTATGTCAAAACAAATCTGATAATCTTAACATGTATTAGAAGAGCTTGACCAAGTTCATCCCTGATTTTTAAAAAAACACTCAAAAGCAGGAATATATAGGTAAGTCCTTAATATGATAAAATATAGAAGAAACGTTCGTTTCTAATTATGAGAAACACAACAGAAAGTCTTAAAAAAATGGGATTAGATAAATGTCGTGTGTGTGTGTGTGTGTGTGTGTGTGTGTGTGTGTGTGTATACCAAACCAAAAGTGAGAATCATGCTTAGTGGCAAATAGTAGAATGTCTTCTTTAAAGCTGGGAATGGTTATCATTATAATTATTATTTAATATTATACTGGAAGTGGTTACCATTTCAATTAGACAAAATAAAGAAATAATAGATATAAATACTATATCATGTAATATATATTTATATAATAATATAAATAGAATAAAAATTTCATTAACAATGTCAACCAAAGATATAATATCTACATGCTAACTTATTTAGCATATGTGCAGGTCCCAAATAAAGAAAACTTTAAACGCAAGAGTCTCAAAAATAGTTACGTACCAACAAAAGATGCACTAGCCTCTTGGCATAGAAAGCCTCAATTTTATAAAGACACCATCTGTCTCAAAATTAATTTCAAAATGTAAATGTAATTATAACACCAAAAGGATTTTTGTAGTTGTTGTTATCAAAATTTTTTGAAACTTAACAAAGTTATGCAAAATTCACCTGAAAAAACAAACATCCAAAAAAAAAGGAAAATGAGAGGAGGCAACTTTTACCAGATATTAAAATGCATTTTGCAGTTATAATAAATAAAATACTTGGAGAAAATAAATTCAGGGGTAGAAAATCACCCCCACCCACACTAACCCAGATACGCATGCACAGGCCTTCCATACCGAAATAGAATGAAGAGAACAGAAATAGACACAAATATATGTGGGTCCTAAATACAAGACAAAATAACATTTAAAAATCAGTGGGAGAAAGAGAGATTTTTTTTCATGATTTTGCAAGAACTTGGAGAAATAAGCTAGATTACTCCTTTTAACAAAAGATATTACAATTGGAGTGAAGATTTAAACATTTGACAATACAAAGCTATATAAGTTTCAGAAAACAAAAAATTAACAAGCTTTTATAAAGCAGATACATAATTGAGAGACCATAAAATAATCAAATGATACTGTTGGTGATTTAAAATTTAAAACCTGGCCAGGCTTGGTGGCATCCACCTGTAGTTCCAGCTACTGAGGAGGCTAAGGCAGGAAGATCACTTGAGCCCACGAGTTCAGGGGTATAGTATGGGATAGTCACTCCTGTGAATAGTCACTGTACTCCAACCTGGGCAACCTAATGGGACCCCATCTATTAAAATAAATAAATGAATAAATCTGTAAGCAAAGTTATATACAGAAAGTGAAAAGACAAAAAAAGGAAGTGTTACATCACAAAGGGCTAAATTTTTTAATTAACAAAGAGCTCATAAAATTCAATAAGAAATAAAGTAACATCCAACAGAAACAAATGTGCAAAGTTTGTGAATAAGCAACTAATGAAAAACATGAACAATTTCTCTCATATTTTAATAAAAGCAGCAGTAATTTTCATAATTTATCATCTGGGCAAAAATTAAAGAGTTTCATGGTATCTGGTGCTGGCAATTGTGTGGAAAAATGGGCTTCATGCACTATTGATGGACATTTAAGTTAGTATAACCTTTCTAGACAACAATTTGGTGATATCTACCAGAAGTGGAAATGCATGTTTGCTTCCTTTGGCTGCTAAGATCACTTGTAGGAATTTATCTTTGGAACATATGCATATTTTTGTAAACAATTCCAGAACAGATATACAAGTTTATTCACTGCCATGTTGTTTGTAATTTTGAAGGGGGAGGAGGAAAATAAAAGTGGAAACAAAGTGTCCATCAGTAGGGTACTCACTAAAACTTATTTATGATATATCCATATGGTGAGCAAATATGCAACTGGTAAAAAGAATGAATTATAAGGTTTGTGCTTATGTGATATTAGAATGAAATATCACACAGAGATGAATGGTATATCGTGGCATATTATAGTCTCGTGTTAAATATATGTTTTGTGTGACCATAATGTATAAATATATTGTGCAAAAATATACAGAATATGTATTTTATATATATATATACAGAGAGAATCATAAATACTGATACATGCATGTCTTTCTTGTAAAAAACAAAAATTTTTACTAATGTTGAAAGTAAAAAGAGGGGAAGATTACCTTCCATTTTCTTCCTTTCGCTATACATTGGATTTTCTAAGCACGCATGTGTATTTTCATTTTTCTCCTATACCAGCTGGAGTTATTTCAAGCTGTGGGATTAAAGGTTATTTTTTGTTTTCTTTAAAAATGTACTATCTCTATTTTTAAGTCAGGCAAATTTTTCTTAGGACACGGTGTGATGACCACAGCCAAGGCAATGCTCAGAAGGCTGAGTCTCCTGATGCTGAGGCTCTTGCTTGTTCTCTGACTCCTTCTTTCTCTTCCAGTGTGGCTCCGCGTCCATCATGGTCTTAGGTTCCCTTCCTCTGCCCAAGTCCCATCACAAGTGCAGAATCACTGCAGTTGGATTAACTGGACCCAGCCACAGCTGAGTATTAAATGAAATCATATGTGGCTTTGGTAAGTGATCAAGAAATGCTAGCTTTCCTTTGCTTTTTGTTTTCCTTTTCAGTTTTGTTTTTCCTCTTCTTATGGTGATGAGGAGAGGGGAAAGAAGGCTACTGCTGTCATAACCCTAAGCATCACCTCCCAATGTGACACTTAAGTTTATGACAAGACGTAGCAGTAGGAGCCTTCAGCCTCATATCCTCCAGCTGCAGAGGAGTTAATTCTTCAATCTGTCTCTCCATGATGAGGTGCCCAACCCCAGGGAGCTGCGCAATCCCAGCGGCTGATGGGATCCCCGCAGGCTCTCCTGGGGTAAGCCTGGTCTTCACCAATTCTTATTTCTTCATCACTTGATTTACAGACACACACCTATGACCTGCAGGTCTCTGGGCGTGAGCATCCAAACAGAAAAGAGTCATTAAAGTTCAATCAGACCTGGTGGGTAAAGTTCCAAGTCCGCTGTGAGCCCAGAGCTGGGAAACCTAAGCTCTCTATTAAGGACCGCCGGCAACCCCAGCCCTGTGCGGGTGGAGACAGTCTGTAGTACCTGTTTCGATTCTCCAACCAGAACTGCAGGGCAAGATCTTATTGTTATTATTGCTTGGAGAACTTAGCTTGCATTTTTTTTCCCCTTTGGAATTTTACAATTCTCCTTTAAAATAACTCAAGAAAATTCATAGTTTTAAAGCTTTTTACTATTCAAAAACATATGAAGACAATGAAGAGGGTCTGTAGGACACAGCCTCTGCAGTAGACACATTTGGATGAAATCCCAAGTCTGGCACTCAGAAGCAGAGCCAGAATTTGAGTTTCCAGCTTTAGCTAGCTCATTTGTCAACAAGGATAATAACATTCTCTGCTTCAGGATTAAATTAGGCAACAAATGCAATGCACTTAACAAAAGCCAGGCATACACTAAGCCCACAAGTGATGCTGGCTATTACTGTTACGGGTTGGCACACAGGTGGTGACTTATAGGTGAACTCTAGAGGCAGAGTGCCCAGGGTTTCAATCCAGACTTTGCCAAGTGCTGTTTGCATGATTCTGTGAAGTTATTTAACCTTTTGTGCCCCAGTTTACTCATCTGGAAAATGGGAATGAAAATGGCACCTGCATCGTGTAGTGGTTGTAAGAATTAAATTAGTTAATATATGCAAAGTGCTGTTGAAGGCCTAGCACATAGTAGGTACTAAACTCATGTTGTTGTGCATCAACTATTTACATTTTACATTTTTTTTCTTTTTCAACTTTTAGAATCAGGGAGTACATGTGCAGGTTTGTTACAAAGGTATACCGCATGATGCTGAGGTTTGGGGTGTGATTGAACCTGTCACCCAGGTAGTGAGCATAATAACCAATAGATAGGTTTTCAGCCTTTGCCTCCCTCCCTCCCTCCTGCTTTGGTAATACCCAGCGTCTATTGTTGCCATCTTTATGTCCATGAGTACCTGATGTTTAGCTTGCACTAGTAAGGCAGAACATGTGCTATTTGTTTTGCTATTCCTACATTAGTTCACTTAGGATGGAGGCCTTCAGCTGCATCCATGTTGCTGCAAAGGACAAGATTTTGTTTTGTTTTGTTTTGTTTTATGGCTGTGTTGTATCCCATGGTGTATATGAACCACATTTTCTTTATGCAGTCCACCGTTGATGGGCACCTGGGTTGATTCTGTTTTTGCTATTGTGAATAATTCTGTGATGAACCTACAAGTGAATGTGTCCTTTGGGTTAAATTACTTTATATCTTTGACATATACACCCAGTAATGTGACTGCTGAGTCAAATGGTAGTTCAACTCTTAGATCTTTGAGAAATCTCCAAACTGCCTTCCATGGTGGCTGGACTAAGTTATATTCCCACCAACATTCCCACTGTTATCTTTTGACTTTTCAACAAGAGCCATTCTGACAGGTATGAGAACAGTATCTCATTGTGGCTTTGATTTGTATTTCTCTGATGATTAGTGATGATGAGCATTTTTTCATGTTTCTTGGTCGCTTATATGTTTTCTTATGAGAATAAATATTTTTAAAAGTATTATTGATAAAAAAATCTAATGAAGAAATTCAAAATAGCAAAATAAAACAAAAAAATTCATGCACACAACAAACCCCAAGGAAAGCAAGTAGGAGGCAATAATGAAACAAAATCAGAAAACTAATTTTAAAAACAGGAAAACAGAATTGATAAATAAATTCAAATGAAATACCTCCCCCCACCACACACACACACACACACACACACACACAAACACAAAACACTAAAACACACGAGCCTCTGGTGAACAATGAAGGGATATGAGCCGTAAATAAAATCAGCAACTATGAGCTCAGGTTCCCCCAATTTGAAGTTTTAAATCCCTTTGGGTGGAGGTGGGCCCGGTGTAGCCAGTAGCTGATGGAGTCCTTGCTGGCAGAGGGTCTGCTTTGGTGACTTGTGATTTGTCTCTAGTGGAGTTGTTTCCACCTCTCCTGGCCTGGATATTGGCCACTTGGTGCCAGCCGTCCTGCCCCAAGCCGGGACTTTCTTTGTCATCACCCATCTCTCTATTGGCCTCTGAGGACAGCCCTGATGTCGGCACCATCCTTTCTGGGAGATCTGACTCAGACCTCCTCCTACTGTCCTAGCAGGGCCCGGGACACCCTGTTCCTCAGCCAGCTTCCTGCAAAGCAGCCCACTAGCACACCTGTGGGCTGTCTTAAGACTTGAGACCCAATTTGAGAAATGATGAAAGAGATTTTCCACTCGCCTCATGTAGTATGGTGTTTTGTTTTGTTTTGTTTTGTATTTGTATCCATGGGGGATTGATTTCAGCACCTGTGTCAATGCCAAAGTCCTCAGATGCTCAAATCTTTTCTATAAAATGGCATAGCATTTGCATACAACCTACACATGTGCTCCTATATAATTTAAATCATCTCTAGATGACTTATAGTACCTAATACAATGTAACTGATATGTAAGTAAGCATTATACTCTATTGTTTAGGGAATAATGACAAGAAAAATGGTCTTCACATGTTGAGCAAAGATGCTTTTTTCCCCAAATATTTTCCATGCATAATTGGTTGTTGAATCCATGAGTGCAGAACACGCAGATATGGAGGGTGAACAATCTATCCCCTGGGTCCCCTCTGCATCAAAGACCTTGGGAAATAGATGCTATTCAATAAGCATGAAAATTCATGCTGGGATCTGTGGAATACTGGGCTGGTATGGTAGTGTGTTATGAAGTATAAGAAAAATAATTGACTTTCTACTGCTTTCCAAGAGAAAAAAGAGTTGAAAGGAGAAAAAAATCCAGATATTGGGTACAACCAAGAATATGTCAAAAGAGTAAACAAGAGAGTGTTTGCAAATTCCAAGTGCCTGGCCCCGTTAGTGAGTGTCATGAGCAGGCAGGGAAGGGAAGAAATGGCCCTGTTGTAGTCATGGATGTAAGCCTTGATGGACAGAGAGCCAGGTGACAGACAGAGCCAGAGAGCAGGGGAAGGATCGTCACCGTCAGTAGTACATATTGAGCAGTTCGTCCACTCCATGCACTTCAATGTATTCATTCATTTAGTCTTTACAACTTCCCTATGTGGAAGGTGCCACTGCATGGCCATTTCACAGATGAGAAGACTGACGCACAAGGAAGTTAAGTACTCAGGCCTGTTCTTTTTTTTTTTCTTGAGACGGAGTCTTGCACTGTTGCCCAGGCTGGAGTATAGTGGCAAGATCTTGGCTCACTGCAACTGCTACCTCCCGGGTTCAAGTGATTCTCCTGCCTCAGCCTTCCGAGTAGCTGGGATTACAGGGGCCCCCACCAGACCTGGCTAATTTTTTGTATTTTTAGTACAGACAGGGTTTCACTATGTTGGCCAGGCTGTGGCTCACGCCTGTAATCCCAGCACTTTGGGAGGCCAAGGGTGCAGGCCTGTGTTCTTAACCACCCTGCAGAGCTGCCAGGTAAGACTGTGGTTATATTCAGAGTTGGCCACTTACTCATAGCCTCAGTTTCTTTATCCTTAAAATGGAGGTAGTAATACTAACCTCATAGGGCTGAAGGGGCCAAAATGAAATAACATAGGTAAAGTCTCTGGCATACAGTTGATGCTCAGACATCCCTGGCCATTGCCTCCTAGTCCCACCAAACCTACCTTTGAGCATTATTGACAGATATGTTAGTTCATGCCACGTGTGGTCACCATTTCTGAAATACCCATGAGATTTCTGACTCAATGGCTTTGCTCTGACTCAAAGGCTTCTCTAAATTGGGGGCTTCCCAATTTCTGGAAACCTGGAGTTAAAAGGAAGAGGCATCCCAGATAGAAATGATTTCCTCGAGCTGGAGTGCCTTTTCCTTCTATTTCCAGGTTTCCAGAAGCTGGGGAGCCTCTGAGCCCCCACCTATGTAGCATTTACCCTGTGAAATCCCATCAGTTCCCTCCAGTGTTGAGTCATGTTTCTTCCCTTTGTGCTCCCCTGGCTCTTTGTGGGGGCTGTTCCTGAGAGCCCTGGGTCTCAGCTTTGTCACCTAGAAAAGGGGATAATAACATCCAGTCTGTAGGAACTGTGTAAAGTATGCAAGCTGTGTAACGTTCTGTAACTTTCACAGAACGCAATTAGCACCTAATAAGTGGTGCCTGTTATAATCATTATTGCTGGGCAAAGGCTTTCTCATATTACAGTTACCATTGGGCCAGGTTTATATTTCCTCCTAGATGAGGGATTAGGGCAGGAATGTTATTAAATCATGTTTTGTTCTCCCCACGTTGTCTAGCACACAGCCCGGAGCATAATAGATGCTCAGAAAATGTGGAATGAAGTGAACAAGTATGAAGCTAGAGACCACACAAATGGGGGAGGCTGGTCCCTGTAATAGGAATGAGGCTCTTTCCACATTTGCTGCACGCTTACAGTCCGCAAAGCCTCATGCTACGTGCTCTAGAGGGTATCAGAAGGAACACGTTGAAATGCTCTCTCACCCCAAGGGCTAGCATTGTGGTTGAGCCTAAGTGGGAGGGCACAGCACAGGGTTTATCAGCAAAGCACAGAGATTCCCGAAGCATTGAGGCCACCCTTGGGAAGGTTGAAAACGAGGTCAGGCAGGACACAAGTCCTGTGGCTGTAGGGATGCTGCTCTTTTTATCTACTGCTGTGTGTCTCTTGTCTAGCCAGGTATCCTGGCAGCTGCCCTGATAACAACATTTGTTAAATGGATGAAATGTGGAAAGGCTTCCTGAGGAGGATGAGAGAAATGGTGTGGGGTGTTCGGTAGGAACAGCGTTGATGACAAACTATTGGGAAGAAATTATATATACAACAGTAGGAAAATGATTAGCTAAATTATGATACTTCATTCAATGTAATTATTTATAGTCATTTAAAATTAGGTTTATGAAGACCTTATACCAAGGAAGAATGCTTTTTGTTTTATTTTTAGTGAAAAACACAATGATAGAAAAATTCAGAAACCCTAACATTGTAACTATTAAAGCTATATATAAAGACTAGGAACAAACACACTAGATGTTACTAGTAGCTTGCTCCAAATCCTAGGTTTATGAATAATTTTTTCACCTCTCTTTTGTTCTATTTTTCAAAATTTCTATGACCATGAGCAACTTTGATCATAGAAAAAGAATGAAATTATAAATTGTATAACATATCTACATTGATTAAAGTATTTTCTAGAAATAATTTATGAATTCTATTGGATTATCCATAATTGGTAATCCTCTTCCTTTCCTGATTTTAATAATTTAGAAGATATTGAATATGTATTGTGTACATCATATTTTGGGTGCATTCAGGTGAATCTCTGCAAATACTCTTTAACATGAGAATGTATTTATCGCATATGTGTATATACATCGGAAATACACACACACACACACAGGAAGGGGATATAGTTAGCGTGGAGGGAGATGGACAGGTGGCTAGACTGATGGGGAATAGAATAGGGATAATAGATTCTTAGTGTGTACTCAGAAGTTCAAAGATGTGTTACAGAACTGAGAGAGCCCAGGACAGTCTACCAAAAACACACCCTCTCTCTGGAATGGACTGAGGATTTGAGAGAGAAACGAGACAACAGAGACAATGTATGAGTCCCTTCCTTTCCATCTCTCTCTTGTTCTCTCACTTTCACCTCCCATTCTCTGCCCCCGCCCGACACCCCTTTTCCTCCCTCTCCCTCCTTCTGTCTCTTCTCTGACTGCCTCATGAGCTGTCCAGCCCCAGGGGCTGCTGTCATAAAACACACCATCCATGAGCATTTTGCTGGCTGGGAAGAGGCAATCAGGACTTTGGCAAAACGTTTCTGACAAAGACAAATGCCAAAAGTGGTCAAAATGGGCTGATTTTTGAGAGAAAAAAATATATTTTTTGACCTGGCTGGGCATTTGGGGGTTGTGTTTTGAAAATAGGTATTTAAGGTTGTACGTAATTCATTTAATGTGCAAGGAAGTTACTAATTTTATAGAGAAATGAAGATCCACAGAACTCATATTCTTCTGAGCTCTACCTCAGCCTTAGCCTGGGGTAATTACTAACTGCTTTGGTGAGAAGATAATTTTATTTTAATTCTCATGCAATAGCTGAATAACTTCCATACAAATGCCAACTACTAGTCTTTATGAGTAAATTATTGTCCTCACTATTAGGGTGTGGTAAAGAGAGAATGACATACTTTAGGAGTGATAATGCTTCTTGGATATGAGTTCTTTCTAGTCATTATAAACATAATAACCCTATTTTAAAAATAGTTTAGGTGAACATGTTGAAAGAGCACAAGTAAGAGACAAAAAATTATCATTTAAAAAATAAAACAACTATGCAGATACTACTTTGATAAAGGAGGATAAGATATTTACCTTTTAGTTCCATCTTAGAGAGAACCATGGCTTTCTGACTTTCTGTGCCTTGGGTCCCCACCATCCCCAGCCTCTCTTTTCCAACTCTTTAGACCTATGTTACTCAGCCAAGGGACAGTTCCTGCCTTGAGTATCCTTGCTCTACCTTTAAAAAAATGTGGAATGACACGCCTGTAATCCCAGCACTTTGGGAGGCCGAGGCGGGCGGATCACAAGGTCAGGAGATCAAGACCATCCTGGCTAACACGGTGAAACCCCGTCTCTACTGAAAATACAAAAAATTAGCCGGGCGTGGTGGCGGGCGCCTGTATTCCCAGCTACGCGGGAGGCTGAGGCAGGAGAATGGTGTGAACCCGGGAGGCAAAGCTTGCAGTGAGCCGAGATGGCGCCACTGCACTCCAGCCTGGGCTACAGCGAGACTCCGTCTCAAAAAAAAAAAAAAAAAAAAAAAAAGTGGATTGAAAATTTTAAAAATGTGAACTATGGTATTTTTTTTAAAGACAGAAGGCAAAAACTAAATGGAATAGTTACCATTTGTGCCAAACACTTCGCACAAATGCCGTAATGCTTTTTTATTTACAGAAACCTGCATCAGGCAACCCAGGAGCATTCTGTAGCTGGAGGGGTTTGGCTGTACCTGTAAAAAAATCTAAAATATTATTTTTATTTTTTTCTTTAAGGGAGGAGGGCATAAAAGTTAATAATCAAATATTCTATTTTTCCATTAAGCACTTTGCACACACGTGCTCACATTTGATTAATATGGAAACCTGCTGATGCAGGCACTAACTCTCTCAAATTAGAGGCACCAATGCTCCAAGATAGGAAGCAGCTTGCCTAAGAAGAACAGATGACTAGTGAGTGAGAAAGTGGGATTTTGCCTGACTCCAAAGTTTATATTTTTCCTCCCCAGCCACCACCCTGCTGCAGCCACCTAGAGAACTACCCAGTTTCCAGTTCTGTACCTTGTTTATTTCCCAAGTTTTAACACCTGCACTGGGACTGAACTAGAATTCCGGCTGCAAAACTTCATTATCTCAAAGGGTTTGTGCTCAGAATTACGGAACCGGGGTCTGTCTATGGTGGGTTGATGTTTTTGTTTTTGTTTTTGAGAAGGAGTTTAGCTCTTTTTGTCCAGGCTGGAGTGCAGTGGCGCTATCTCAGCTCACTGCAACCTCCACCTCCCGGGTTCAAGCCATTCTCCTGCCTCAGCCTCCCAAGTAGCTGGGATTACAGGCGTGTGCCACCATGCCTGGCTAATTTTGTGTTTTTAATAGAGACAGGGTTTCACCATGTTGGCCGGGCTGGTCTTGAACTCCTGACCTCCAGTAATCCACCCGCCTCGGCCTCCCAATGCTGGGATTACAGGTGTGAGTCACCACACCTGGCCAGGTTGATGTTTATCTCCATAAATTTACTAGGTGGAAAGATAGATAGCAGTTTAAAGGAAGATATATTTCTACTCTTGGGCTGTGACACTATCTACTTTTTCAAGGACCCTCACTTTCCCAGGCCCCTGTTACTGACAGTTCTGTGAGCCACTCCTCCCACCTCCACCAACACTTTAAAATGTAAAATGTGAATGAATTAATTTTTTTACTTTGAAGTTCTCTTGACACTCCTTGAGGTAACTGGAGTCATCTGTGATAAAAATCAGATTTGGCAAGCAGATTTCTCCAAGCTTTCTATGTTTATTCTTTGCTTTCTTTCTCAGCAGACCAGTTTGCAAGGCCCCACCCATCCACTGCCCCAAATCATTGGTGCAAAACTTCTCCAGTAGAGAAGATACCCAAGCCTGAAATCCAAGCCACGATTTCATTGGATACATGAACACTTGACTTATTTTAAGGCTCTTGGCTTTGGGGTTTTATGAAAATCATAACCAGAATTAAAAAGGACAATGGAAGCCAGATGCTTCCTGTGTTTTATTTATTGATGAAGAAATTAAAGCTAAGGAGCTTAAGCAGGCTTCCAGAGTCACCTGCTGTTAGTGACAGAGCTGGAATTAGAACCTGGCGCTATGGACTGGAGCCCCAGCTTGGAGGGTGCAAGCACAGTTTCTCCTCTGGTGCATGAAGAAAGCCAGAGCGCCGCGCGGAACCAACACAGGGTGGTACCTATCCCAGAGGGTTAAGAGGGATTGAGTGAGTCCATACATGCGAAGTGTTTAGAACAGTGCCTGGAGCATAGAAAGTGCTCATTCTCATTATTATTTGATTAGCCCAGATGAATGTCTTTCAGAGCAGGAGAATGAGGCAGTGAAAGGTTTTTAGCGCTGACCTCCAATGCCAACGTGTGGATGCCAGAATAACTGCTGGTCATGTGTTGGAATCCGTACAAGAATGCAAGTCACTCACTCTTTCTCTAGGTTTTTAACTTCATTAGGCCAGCATTTTGAAAGCAAGTCTTTGAAATTAGAGTTGTTTACTTTTAAAATATTTAAAAGTCCTCCCGAACCTCTCTGTAAAGAAAAAGTAACTGGGCTGATAGAGGGAGGATTGCAGTCATTGTCACAAATACTATAAAAAAGCAGTTTACTTTCTCTGTTAAAACTAAGTATGACTTAAAGACTCTTTGGGCTTCTTTTCCTGGAGAAACTGGATATTTGTTATACAGGACTGATAAGTCTTTCAGGATCCGGTGTAAAGCCGGAACTTTTTGCAGCTTATGTCCTTATTTAAAAGGATATAGGGTACGCCTTTATTTCCTGGATATTTAGGAGATTCCAGAGAATTTGTTATTGTAAGAGAAATCTGCTTTGTGAAAATGAGAGCCGTATTTGCATTTCCTGTTCTAAACTCTTTTCCTAAAATTTGCACATTATGCTAACACCTGGACTGCTTGCTAAATTTCTGGAAAGTTGTCAGCTCTTCCCCTCCCCATGCTAAAGTCTCTGAGTTAGCCCCACCCTTTCCTACTCTTTATCCCCCTACTCCACGCCTAGACTCCAAGTCACAAGGCAAAGACTGAAAGGGGCGAGAGGCTGTAGGTACTACTCTAAGTAGAGGTACCAAGCACGACTCCATCACCTTAGAGGGACATTTGAGGGGAGACTGAAAGGGTGACTTAGGTCTGTGATATGTGGTTGGCCTCTGTGCATAGGTGGCACGACTCACCCCTGAACAGAGGACTCTTGCTTAGAGATTTCTGCTGGGTCAGTAAAGCTGATTCTTACAAAGGAAATGAGCCAGGCTAATTGATAATAACAGCTGTCATTATGGAGGGTTTACTTTGTGCTAGACGCTGTGTTAAGTGCTTTGCACACATTATCCCTTTAAATCCCCTGTAGCAACCCTGCAGAGAGGCCGTTATCACCCCTATTTCTCAGGGACTCACAAGGTGAAGCCCGGGGCAGAGCTAGAACTTCAGCCTGAGGCCCCCTCCCCCACACTCCTATGTGATTCAGGACCACAGAGCTGTTTGCAAATATCTCCTGTTTTCCTCCTTCATGAGAGAGAGATGTTATATGTGAGCTTCAGCCCTGGAAAAGGGGCTGCTCTAGGGCCTGGGCCCATTGGCATCGACCTGTATGACTTGGAACAAAATGCACGGTTCATCTGTGAGATAAGTTATTCTACTGGATCCTGCTTTCTTGGATTGTTATAAATTCTGTCTAGCATGTTGTTGGGATTCGTGACAGCCTCAAAATGTGAATATTGAGCCCTTTGGTCTAAGATGTTGTTTTCTGCTTATGCTTTGCTGAAGTTTGCCTCAAATGGAGGATTTAATGAGACAAAGCTATTTTCTCTTTAAATCTATTTCATTGCATTTAGGCAAAATGAAAATATGCAAATTCTCTTCCGTAGGGCTTGCCCTCGTCTCAACACCAGATTTCAAATGCAGAGGTGAGGAAAGAGGTTTAAAAGGTTTCGAGTTAGGACTTAGTCTTTCCTTCACATGCCCTGTGCCCTGCTGTCCTGCCATAGGCCGATTGGGTATCCAGGCTGGTGTGCTGCCGGTGTCCTGACATCTCCCACGACTTCTATCCCGTAAACATACTAGACACAACTTCCTTTTGAGGTCCCTCATTCTCTCTAAGATTGGGGGTCAGAACTTAGAAATAGTTTCTTTTTAAATTAATCACTGTGCCTTGACTGTTGACCCTGTACCCATTTATCATAACCAGTTCCTTTCCTAACCAGTTTCCTTGTGAGTGGAATTTCCAGTTTAAATTGCTTTGATTTCAACTTTAGTTTTTAAAGACTGCTGTCCCTCCTTCTTTCCCCCATTGAAGTAATGCTGTAGTAGGGCTGAGGGGCATATGAGGGCAAAATGTAGGGGAACCATTTTGGCATAAAATTTGACTACACCAAATGACTGTATCAAGGGGCAAAATCTGACCCTTTGTAGAGCCAAGTCAATGTCATGAGGCAGTTGTTTCTGGAGCTCTGATACAGTGGGTGTTTGAATCAAACTGCAATCCTCAGTCCCACCTTAAGTATCAAGCAGGCTTAGACGCTCTTCATGGTGTGCACCTGAATCTTGTATATGATCTATTGTTTAAAACCCATATCCCAAGAGAAGCAAATACTTAATTATCACCCTTATTTCCCAAATGCAGTTAGGTTATTGGTTTTGACTTAATGAAGAAAATAGTTGGTGGGAATGAGCCAGGCTCTGAAACACCAAGGAAAGAGCTGAGAGTTCTGAAGGAGGGGAAAGGGTGGCAAAGAATCAAATATATGCAACTAAGCACTTTTCATATTTCACATGAAACAGTTTGATACCATTTTTTAAAAGAAGGAAAGAAATATTTTAGATATTCTAAGCATATTGCTTAAACCACAAATTCTGTAAAAAATGAACAGCATAAGCTATTAACAGCCGCACGCGTCATAAACACCTTAGGCGAGACAATCAGATACTAATGCCAAAAGCACCTTGGAGCCATCAGTCTGCACAGGGCTCGACTTCTGCAATTTCATAAGATAAATGCCTCTGCTGTTTTAAGATGATGAAACTACAGCTGAGACGAATCTCCGTGTTTTTCACCAGTGATTTAATAAAGGCCAGCTCAGACTAAATATGGAACGGCTACTCTGAAAGCTTTTTTAGCTTTGTGCTGAAACGTGTTCAAACTTTCTTTTGTAAATTGATTGTATTCAAAGTTCCGATTTGTTTCGACATTTACTAAGTCGTGGACTTTAAATGTTCCATGTAACGCACTGTGGTTTTATGGGGAATTCAGGGAAAGATGCTTTCTTGGGCAAAGCCAGGGGCTGAGGATCCAAAAGTTGACTACTTTTCTTGGCCAAAAATGGCTGCCAAGGGAGACAGAGGAGAAAAAGGTGTCTGCATCATGGATTTTGCTGTCCTTACAATTAGGCTTCTCTTTTTTTAAGTGCTTATATCCATATGATGTCACCCTTGCCCTCAGGTTTATTTTTGTGTCTTAAGATGCTTTAAATACACATCCAATCAGTAAGTAGGTAGACAGTGAGATGGATATGGAGATGGACAGTCGGCAGCTCAGATAGCTAGATAAACACGCTTCAATATATTACAGGCAATTACTTCCAAAAGTATTTAAAATCCTAGGGGACAAGCCTGAATATAATTTTAGAGGATCTATTTAAATCCTATATTCATGAGTAAGAAAAGGTTTTCTTTTTCTCCATTTTTGATGAGCAAGAGAGGGCAAGCCAGCAAGAAAGCAAGCGAGGCAGGCCTGATTTATTAATATTTCTTTGGGCCCCTGTACTTGGCAACTGACTCTTTTAGTATGTCAACCATCCTCTTCCAGAATTACTGATGAGGTTGTGTGTGTGTGTGTGTGTGTGTGTGTGTGTGTATGTGTGTGTGTGTCCATATATGTGTGATTGTCATTGGTCTGCCAGCCCATTTTTCAGAATGGCAAGAGCCTGTTGGGAAAAAAGCAATGGTCCGTGTGCAGGTTTGGCTGGGGGCCCAGCACAGTTGACTCCTCAGAGGTGGTAGAAGCCCCCTGCCCACTGTCAAACGCTGCAGCTGGGGGCTGTGTCCGTCTGCCTGCCTGCCCCCCTGCACTGGGCCCTTCTGACTTTAATTACGTCCTCCTTGGCTAAATTCACAGGTGGCTTTCCTTGGAGGAGGCGTTTACCTCTCCCCAAGCCCCCGGCTGCTCATTTCCTCAGTGGATTAGCAGGGCCACGATGAAACAGAAGCTTGTGCCTTCTCCATTCTTTACACAACCTGGTGTTAGAGGTTGACCTTTCACCCCTGGAGATTCGGAGGATTAAGGCTGCTTTTAAGTCTCGCTCTGGTTACTAATCCACCACTTTCACTTCATGTTATGTAAGCACTTCCTGACTTACCCTTTAAATCCTGTAAACATAATAAAACAGAGTTTAACCTTTACCTTTGGATTTCCCCACTATCTTTTGCTCCATTGAATCAACTGTGGAAGGATCCAGGAACAGAAAGCTAATAAGTGATAGCCTGGATTTTTTTTTTGCCCTGGGACATGTAACAAAACATTACAATATTTAATATATTCAGGTCAAATAGTTGTGGGAGAGCACCAAAAGCTTCAGACTGGGCAAATACTGTTTTCCCCTTTTAACTGCATATATTCCCACAAAACAATGAAGCAGATGGTATTGGGTGTTTCCTCCCAAAGGGAAGCCCTTTTAAGCAAATTAGAACCAATAAGGTCCAAAAGATAGCTGGAAAAAAAAATAGGCTTTTGAGGCAGTTTGCAATAATACAGACTTTCAGTCTGGCTGTCTCAACCCTGCATCCTCCCGATACTAACCTGAGAGTCCCTCTCTTGAAGGCTTTGCTCTTTAATTTTTTGTTTTTTTTTTTTTAGACGGAGTTTCACTCTTGTTGCCCAGGCTGGAGTGCAATGGCGGATCTTGGCTCACCACAACCTCTGCCTCCCTGGTTCAAGCGATTCTCCTGCCTCAGCCTCCTGAGTAGCTAGGATTACAGGCATGCGCCACCATCCCCAGCTGATGTTGTATTTTTAGTAGAGACAGGGTTTCTCCATGTTGGTCAGGCTGGTCTTGAACTCCTGACCTCGTGATCTGCACGCTTCGACTTCCCAAAGTGTTGGGATTACAGGCAATTTATCTTATCTTTAATCCATATGATCTGTGGATGAAACCAAAGTTCTGAGATCTGTACATCTCCAACTTCAGCTTCCATTTCTGGAGCACTTACTATATGCTGGAACCCATGCTGGGGAATATACTTGTCCTTTGATATCTGTTGGGGGTTGATTGGTTCCAGGACCCCTGTAAGTGCCAAAATCTGTAGATACTCAAGTCCCTGATATAAAATAGAGTAGTGTGTGCATATAACTTACACATACCCTCCTGCGTACTTTATTTCTAAGTTACTTAGAATAACCAATACAATGTAAATGTTGTATAAATAGATGTTATACTATATTGTTTAGGGAACAATTACAAGAAAAATTATCTATGTGTTTAGTACAGATGCAACTATCCATTTTTTTTCAAGTATTTTTGATTTTCAGTTGGATGAATCCATGAATGCAGAAGCCATGGACATGAAGGGCCACTGTACATGCATGGTATTAATTTAATCCTTACTATCGCCCTGTGTTGTAGGTGTTAGTAGGTGTCCTCATCCGTTTTTGAAGAGACTTAAATTCAGAGCTGCTAATACAGAACTGGGGTGCCAGCCCAGCTCTGCCTGGCCCTGCCCAGGCATGGAGCCTGCCTGAGTGCTGAGCCACTCTCAGGTAGACACGAGCACACCATGCCCTTTGTCGCTCCTTCTCACAGCAACTTTTTCAATCCTCACAGCTTCCGGGGCAGGTAGCAGAGTTGCTCCCATTTGAGAGTTGAGAACATGAGGAGCCATAAAAATAAAATATTAATTTTCATGTATGAATATTTCAAAATGTTCACAGGAGAAAATGTGACGTGCCCTAGGAGGGGTGGGAATCAGGGATGTGGGGGCTGCTGGCCCATGCAGGTGGTGAATCTCAGTTTCTATGGGGGTTCCCTGGGATTCCTTTAGATTCTCTATTCATCTCTATCCCCAGAGGCTTTCTGCAGGAAGGGACCCCTGCCCTGTCTGCCTACTAGAGAGACGCCTTGCCTTGCCAGTGTCCTCAAAGGGGGAAGGTGATACAGAAGCTGAATGCCAGGTGGGTGGCCAGGGCAGCCTGCTGCTCCGCCATGCTTCTCACAACCTGCCCTGCCACTGTGGGGGAGCTAATGGGCATCGGAACACTTAAGAAATGCCTCCTGACAAGAGACACTTGTGATTCGTGTCCTGCGGTCAATGCCTTCTCAGTGAGTCTCTGCAGAGGTTTACTGTGCTGTTAGTGACGAGCATGTCCTTTCTTGTAAATGGCTGTGTCACTGCTTTGCTCCTGCACAATGCCCACACACGTGGGGATACCTGTTCCCACTTGAGGTGCTGGCCCCCCAACCTGCTAAGCATAATAGCTGGGGAGGAAGGGCACACCCACGCCCAGCAGATCTTTCCTCTGCGTTCCACACAACTTCCTGCAGAGGTGGAAAGACAGAGAAAAGAGGACATCTGAGAGGGAAAGGAGATGCTCCAAAGCAGGTTGAACCCACATCCATCTCGGTTTGGGGTCCTCAGGCTTCACAGTGCAGAGACCCAGGTATGCACACACTGTGCATACTCACTCACACACTCAGCCCTTTTGTCTCTCCTGATAAAGTTCACTCAGTTCAGTCCTTCCTGGGTTCTACCAGATGGGAAGAGGAAAATCCAAGTAAGTCTCTTCATCTGTGAAATGCACAATTAGTACCCACCCTGCCTACTTCTCAAAGTTTTTTGAAGGTCACATGAGGGTGAGTGGGATTAAATTTTGCAGGCATTTTAAAATTGTAATCCAAATTAAAAAACCCTAATAGCATATAAGATCCATGAAGACAAGGACTTTGTTTTGTCCACTGCAATATTTCCAGACCCTAGAACAGTACCTGGCACTGAGTTGGTGTTCAATTAATATTTGATAAATCAGTGAATCGATAATTGCATAATACCAATAATAAGTTAATATAATTTATCACAAAACCATGGAGGCACATGACCATTTTAGATATACTTGCAATGGAATATGCTATAAATGAGCTTACCAGGTAACAGAGCCTTTTTGGTTTTTGCAAACCAATATTCCTGTAAAGGATACTAGGCAGCATCTGAATATTTGACAAGATATAACAGGAGTTCTTGCAGTTGAAATGGCAGACAGTCATAGTAATTACAGTAAAATATCCTTAGCCCAAAGTTGCTTGACCTGCAAGCAGTGATCTGAAATGCAGCTGAGGACCCAAGAGGAAACAAAAAGCTTGAGTGGTTGACATGGCTGTCCTAGAGCTCAATATGTTGGAGCTCAATTGTCCCACTTGGAATCCATTAGCTCTTACTTTGCACCTAATCATAACATACACAGCGATTTATTTTCCCAAACTAGAAGTGAAAAGAAAAGGTGAGAGAAAAGGCAGAAAACCTAATAAAAATAAAAATTTTAAAAATGCATTCTAAAAATATCTGAGTTGGGATCAATTGAGTTAGAGATCAATTTACTTACAAAATCTCACAGTTCTTTAGTATTCATTCACTTTTTAATTTTTAAGCAACTTGAAATTCTTAATGATAGCTCAGCATTTCCATGAAAAACTTAAATGATTTTCTGAATATGCTTTTAAAAGAAACAGATGTGATTTCTAGCCAAAAGGCACTCTAAAGGCATATAAAGGGATAGCTGCTCCAATAAGATGACAAAGAACATGTATCCCGGAGTTATGTTGAGTGTCTCAATCTCAACATCACCATAATAGTATGCAATACTATTATATAAAATACTAATATATAGAATTATAGCAATATATTGTTCTATATAATTCTATATATTAGTGTATAATAATACTAATATAATAATACTAATATATAGAATTATAGCAATAATTAATAATACTTTCAGTTATCATCCTGGGGATGACCTAATAAAAGATTCTTAACAAAAATTCAGCTCTCAGTATTAACAGGATTTTTTTTTCTGGAAATTTTATGTCAAATATTTCTGGCAGCAAATGCATTTGCTAAATTTCATGCCATAAATAACCATAACCACTTAGAATTGTTGTTACATGGCTTCCTTGTAGTTCACACTTATCAATCAGTACGGGTTGCTAAGGCCAAACAGTTCCCAGATCAAATGGCAATGAAGAAAAGAATCAGGGTAGATGTATTTTATGGCATAAGATTCTTTTCAAATTGGAAGTGTGAAAAGAATCAATTTAACCAGGTGTCTAAGTGTCCCAAGAGTCCAGAGAGAGCAATTACTGAAATAACAAAAATGGATGCAAAAGAGAAAAAACAAAAAAGGCCCTTCCTATCGGTAATTCTGGGAAGGCAGTTTATGCCTTGTAAACTTTCTGTTTCCATAGCTCCTCCACAAACAATGGATTTGAGCTATAAAAAACTGCATGATCTACAGTCCAAACACTCAGTGCAAAGATGACTTTTCTGAAAGAAAATGTGACAGAGCTGGGGTTTTGAGTTTCTGGATAATTCTCTTTGGGTAAAAGCCATTTAATATTATTGTGGGTAAGAAGTGGCCCTCTTCTGGCATCCATCTTGCCTTCTACAAACCAACGAGTTGGGTTAGTGTTTGTTAAATTTCTTTTAATTAGGACCCCTTGATTCAGTATGTGCCTGATAAACAGATAAACATAAGTTGCTCTAGTGAGATCTGGGATGGGCGGTTCTGGAGTCTGTTCACTAACTGCCCTCTCCTCCACCCGCAAGGCCCTAAGGACACCTAGAAGAACCCCTGGCACTTGATGGAGACCATCAGAAAATACTTCCTCTCCTTGCCCGGGTCTAAGAGTCTATGGTTATTTTATTACATTCAGATGCAATCCTCTCAGTCAGAAATTTCCCATGTTTGAGGACATGGTTAGGGAATCAGGACTGCTCCAGAATATTTTTAAATTTATAATAAGAAAAAGTCAGCTTCAAAAAAATGCTGAAGGTAGCAGCACAATCACAGTTCTAATGATGGAGGGCACATAATAACTAAGCTCTTAAGAAATCCAGAGCAGTGAGGGCTGGCCTTCAGTCTGGAGCACCGTTAGCGACCATCTCTAAGGCTTGCCCTTCAAGCACATTTAACACCCAGGGTGAAGAAACCCTGAAACTCTACGCTCTTTAGGGACAGAACCTCAACTTATTAGTCCTGGAATACTCAGTCAATAACAGAAGAGTCAAGTTGAAGGGAACCTTGAGTAGTCAGCAGGCACATCCTCTGTGTCCAAGTGGTTTGTGCCTTTGTTTGTTTGTTTGTTTGTTTGTTTGTTTGTTTGAGACGAGGTCTTGCTCTATTGCCGAGGCTGGAGTGCAGTAGTGTGATCACAGCTCACTGCAGCCTCTGTCTCTTGGAATCAAGCAATCCTCCTGCCTCAGCCTCCTGAGTAGCTGGGACTATAGGCACATGCCACCAAGCCTGGCTACTTTTTTTTAATTTTTAGTGAAGATGAGGTCTTGCTATGTTTCCCAGGTTCTCGAACTCCTGAGCTCAAGGGATCCTCCCATCTCAGCCCCTCAAAGTGCTGAGATTGCAGGGATTATGTGCCTGGCCATTCTTGTCTTAAGATTTCCAGGGAAGAGCTTCTGTGACATGCCCTAGTCACTATTATGGGGACTTGTAACCTCCAGGACTGAGAAACCCTTTTTTGATAACAAGCATAAACCTTTCATACAGGGATCAGTACCCATTTTTTGTCTCTACAGAGGCAATGAAGAACTGCTGATGAGTCTTCTCAACACCTTGGAGCTTTCTCAAGTCCCGTATCTTTATTTTTTCCTTGGTGTGGAAATTGCAAGTGACTTCAGCTACAGACGTTGTGAATTAATTTCCTATGCCTGCCCCTGGGGTTCTGGAAGGAAATGGGTGCACCTGCCCCAAATCAAATGAATAATTCATATCGCATCTGGGTCTAAAAGGTGATAGGCAGCATAGAAATACAGAAACAGCTGGAAACAAGGTTAAGGATGTCCTCTCCAAAACAGAGAGGCTGGAAGGCAAACTTGTTTTGCTGTTTACCCTGGTGCTAGTCTTCTGAGCTTGATCAGCTTGAGGTTTTGTCACATGCATTTCTCTGAAAGCTCTGGTTGGGGCTCAGAGGACAAAAAAGTCAAAAGAAGACAAGGCTCAGGGAATGGCCAACTTCTCCAAAGCAACAGAAGGTCACCCAGCATGGAAGCCCAGCGAGCATACCTCTGGGTACTCAGACATCTGTGGACAAGTGTGTCTCCCTCCCAGCAGCAGAGCTGGTATTGCGAGAAGGCAGGTGTTTGGGTATAGCCATAGCAAAGATAGGACTCCAGTTCACATCACTGTGGAAGATTGTTTTGGCAAAGATTTCCAATATATACTCCATCTCACATGCTCTTTTTAATGAAACATTGACATTGATCTTGGAAAAGTGAGAGGTCTTTTTTTTTTTTTTTCCTTCTTGGATCTGGATGGATGTCTGTAATTGTTTCAATGAAAAGAATATGGTGGATGTGGCATGCTGTGACCGCTGAGGTAAGCTCATGAAAGGCAATATATTTTGCCTAGCTCTTTTTCTTTCTGGATGCTTGTTCTTGGTATATTACCACCATGTCGTGAGGAAGCCTAGATCACACGGAGAGACCACTCAACAGCCACAGCAAAGGGCTTTGCAGGCAGCTAGCATCAACCTCCAGGCATGTAAGCGAGTAAGCCTGCAGATGATTCCAGTCCCCTGTCATTGCATGTTCCAGCAGAGGCACTAGGCATTGTGGGAACAGAGACTAGACATTTCTGCAGTGTCCAGGCTGAATTCCTGGCTCACAGAAATTGTGAGAGATAATAAGTCATAATTGTGGCTCCTAGGCACTACGTTTTGGGGTAATCTGTGAACAGCAACAGATAACTAATTCAGCCACCTTTGGCAAATCAGTCACCCTTTTCTGCCTCAGTTTTCTAATTCTCTACAAAATCTGCTCTTGAAGGTCCACAGGTGAAATTAAAAAGGTAACCGATGTAAATGGTCTTCTGCATAGTGTGTGGTGTGTGAAAGGGAGCTGATGTTATGTTATGGGTGACCAAGACAAGTCAGAGACACACCCAGCAGGCTGATTCCCTTTGGGCATCTGTTTATGTCACCTGGGGCCAGTTCCACTTCCAGGCCACACTGTGCATACAGTACCTGCCCTCGTCCTGCTGCCTTTGTTTTCTCATCATTTGCCCTGCTCAGTTCTCAATCCCTGAGTTAGATGCTGAGCGCCTGTGGACTGAACCTCAACACTCTGAGCACCTATGAGGCATGCAGCAATATTGGGAGTTCTGCTTTGCTTTGTTTTTTAACTCAAGAGTTTTGCCAATCCCAGGGAGGACCTGCACTGGGGCATGGGTGGGGTTAGAGAAGGAAGAGGTGGCCTTCCCTTCCTGCTTTTTGTGCTTGATGATTTGTTTTTCTCTTTCCAGACTTACCTCTGGGTTCCTTCTCCTTGGAACCTCTGCTCACCTGCCTCCCGGCTCCTCTATGTCTTCTGGGGCAACCGGTATTCTCTCCTAGTCGTACCACCACACTGTCTACATTATCTCCAGCACCCCATTAGCCCATGAGCCCTGGAGAAATGGGATTGAGTGTCTTATACCCATATCATCAGTAATTTACACAATGCTTGACACAGAGCAGGTGGTCAAAAAAATGTGGGAAGATGAGTAACAACACATGAATGAATGAAAAAATGAATTGATAAAGCCAGATCTGGTTTATTTGCCATTTGTTGCCATGGTAATTTAGGAAAAGTCTATTTATTACTCTTCTGGCTATTTTAATCATCTTCAATTGTGGAAAGTGTTAACACTCTGTTAAAAAGGTAAACTGAGGTGGCTGGGCACGGTGGCTCACGCCTGTAATTCCAGCACTTTGGGAGGCTGAGGCGGGTGGATCATAAGGTCAAGAGATCAAGACCATCCTGGCCAACATGGTGAAACCCCGTCTCTACTAAACATACAAAAATTATCTGGGCGTGGTGGTGTGAGCCTGTGGTCCTACTCAGGAGGCTGAGGCAGGAGAATCACTGGAACCCGGGAGGCAGAGGTTGCAGTGAGCTGAGATCGCGCCACTGCACTCTGCCTGGTGACAGTGCAAGACTCTGTCTCAAAAAAAAGGTAAACTGAGGCATAATACAATTTTTAAAAGAGTCTATTTGATAAAACAATGATTCATGAATTGGGCAGCTCTAAACCAGAAGCGGTTCAGGTGCTCCACTGAGGGAATGCAAGGGGGTGGAGCAGGGTGCAGCTTTTATAGAACAGATACACATTTAAAGCAAATAACGTATTTGATTGGTTACAGTTATACAGTTGCCTCATATGGCCTATCCAATTGGAAAGTCCCTAGTTATATAGTTATAAGATTGTTGGCTATTTCTGATTTGTTGAACTTAAATTCTGTTTGTTTTGTTTGTTTGTTTGTTTTTAATATAGGAGTTTACAAGAAATAGCTCGAGTTAAGTTTCCCTTATGTTTGCAAATCAAGCAAGGCTTAGGTCACTTATGAGGCCTAACTGGTTTTGTCCACTCAGGGATTCTCCATTTTAATTTACTTTAACAACCCCTACTAAAGACAAAATGTGTATGAAAGTAGTCACGAACTGTAAAGTGTTATTCAAATAGGAAGAGTATCGTTTGTTTACTCTGCATAGAAGAAAAGACGGGCTGCGAAGAAAGAGAACAGCATCTTTTGGCTTAGGATTGACTTGGCGATGCGGGCTCTATTTTGGTTCCATATGAACTTTAAAGTAGTTTTTTCCAATTCTGTGAAGAAAGTCATTGGTAGCTTGATGGGGATGGCATTGAATCTGTAAATTACCTTGGGCATTATGGCCATTTTCACGATATTGATTCTTCCTACCCATGAGCATGGAATGTTCTTCCATTTGTTTGTATCCTCTTTTATTTCGTTGAGCAGTGGTTTGTAGTTCTCCTTGAAGAGGTCCTTCACATCCCTTGTAAGTTGGATTCCTAGGTATTTTATTCTCTTTGAAGCAATTGTGAATGGGAGTTCACTCATGATTTGGCTCTCTGTTTGTGTGTTGTTGGTGTATAAGAATGCTTGTGATTTTTGTACATTGATTTTGTATCCTGAGACTTTGCTGAAGTTGCTTATCAGCTTAAGGAGATTTTGGGCTGAGACGATGGGGTTTTCTAGATATACAATCATGTCGTCTGCAAACAGGGACAATTTGACTTCCTCTTTTCCTAATTGAATACCCTTTATTTCCTTCTCCTGCCTAATTGCCCTGGCCAGAACTTCCAACACTATGTTGAATAGGAGTGGTGAGAGAGGGCATCCCTGTCTTGTGCCAAGTCAATCCTAAGCCAAAAGAACAAAGCTGGAGGCATCACACTACCTGACTTCAAACTATACTACAAGGCTACAGTAACCAAAACAGCATGGTACTGGTACCAAAACAGAGATATAGATCAATGGAACAGAACAGAGCCCTCAGAATTAACGCCGCATACCTACAACTATCTGATCTTTGACAAACCTGAGAAAAACAAGCAATGGGGAAAGGATTCCCTATTTAATAAATGGTGCTGGGAAAACTGGCTAGCCATATGTAGAAAGCTGAAACTGGATCCCTTCCTTACACCTTATACAAAAATCAATTCAAGATGGATTAAAGATTTAAACGTTAGACCTAAAACCATAAAAACCCTAGAAGAAAACCTAGGCATTACCATTCAGGACATAGGCATGGGCAAGGACTTCATGTCCAAAACACCAAAAGCAATGGCAACAAAAGACAAAATTGACAAATGGGATCTAATTAAAATAAAGAGCTTCTGCACAGCAAAAGAAACTACCATCAGAGTGAACAGGCAACCTACAAAATGGGAGAAAATTTTCACAACCTACTCATCTGACAAAGGGCTAATATCCAGAATCTACAATGAACTCAAACAAATTTACAAGAAAAAAACAAACAACCCCATCAAAAAGTGGGCGAAGGACATGAACAGACACTTCTCAAAAGAAGACATTTATGCAGCCAAAAAACACATGAAAAAATGCTCATCATCACTGGCCATCAGAGAAATGCAAATCAAAACCACTATGAGATACCATCTCACACCAGTTAGAATGGCAATCATTACAAAGTCAGGAAACAACAGGTGCTGGAGAGGATGTGGAGAAACAGGAACACTTTTACACTGTTGGTGGGACTGTCAACTAGTTCAACCATTGTGGAAGTCAGTGTGGCGATTCCTCAGGGATCTAGAACTAGAAATACCATTTGACCCAGCCATCCCATTACTGGGTATATACCCAAATGACTATAAATCATGCTGCTATAAAGACACATGCACACGTATGTTTATTGCGGCATTATTCACAATAGCAAAGACTTGGAACCAACCCAAATGTCCAACAATGATAGACTGGATTAAGAAAATGTGGAACATATACACCGTGGAATACTATGCAGCCATAAAAAATGATGAGTTCACGTCCTTTGTAGGGACATGGATGAAATTGGAAATCATCATTCTCAGTAAACTATCGCAAGAACAAAAAACCAAACACCGCATATTCTCACTCATAGGTGGGAATTGAACAATGAGATCACATGGACACAGGAAGGGGAATATCACACTCTGGGGACTGTTGTGGGGTGGGGGGAGGGGGGAGGGATAGCATTGGGAGATATACCTAATGCTAGATGACGAGTTAGTGGGTGCAGCGCACCAGCACGGCACATGTATACATATGTAACTAACCTGTACAATGTGCACATGTACCCTAAAACTTAAAGTATAATAAAAAAAAAAAAAGAAAAAAAAAAAAGAAAGAGAACAGCATCATCAGCAACAGTAGTGGTCATCATGATAGTAGCTCACACCTAGCACTAGTTACATGCCATGCTCAGCAATAAATGTATTAAACCTTAATCTTCTGAACAACTCAAGGGGCTAAATGCTGTGATTTGCATTGACACTTTACAAATGTGGAAACTGAGGCACACAGGGCTTAAGTAACTTTCCCAGAGGTGCAGAGCTTGGATTCGAGCCCAGGCTACTTGGCCTTAAGGTCTGTACTTTTAACCACAACCCTGAGCTGTCTCTTAAAATTCACCTGCACAAGGAAGCCTCTGAGACCTCCTCCCCATCTGCCAAGAGGTCCAAAGGCCTCAGTACCCATTAGACTCAGATAAAACATACCAGCAAAGAGATGTTAGGAGGGAGCTTTGTAACAGGCTAGAAGGGATTTATCTGAAACACCTTCCTTACTGGCCAGGCTCTGGACTGGGATTGCCACCATTACAGCTTTGACATCTTTGGATAGACTGACCTTCAGAAGACTTGTTAAAGTGTAAATGTTGGCCGAGCACAGTGGCTCACGCCTGTAATTCCAGCACTTTGGGAGGCCGAAGCATGCCGATCTCCTGAGGTCAGGAGTTCGACACCAGCCTGGCCAACATGGTGAAACATCGTCTCTACTAAAAATACAAAAATTAGCTTTGCATGGTGGCGGGCACCTGTAATTCCAGCTACAGCTGAGGCAGGAGGATCACTTGAACCTGGGAGGTGGAGGCTGCAGTGAGCCAAGATTGTCCCACTACACTCCAGCCTGGGCAACAGAGCAAGACTCTGTCTCAAAAAAAAAAAAAAAAAAGTGTTAATGTTCCTGGGTTGATAGGGAAACTCACTGACATTTTGGCAAGAATTTGTTCTCAGACTTTCCACCTTCATCTATTTATGTCCTGCCGACGCACACTCTAATTAAGCCAGGCTTCATTCTCTTCCTCCTCTCTAAGACAGACCCCTTCTTGCCCCTCCACCTTTGCTCAGTCCCTTCGCTTTGCCCAGGATGCATTTTCCTGACATTTGCTATTAAAGCTTTGCCCTCTCTAAGATGTTGCTCAAGAGCCACCTTCTCTAAAAAATTTTCTGTTATTTTATAATAGTAACACTATTCTTTTCACATAAGGTTGTTAGAAGGACTACATTTTTAAGCAAGTAGTAAATTACACTTTAAAGTAAAAGACTTAAAAATCATTCCTTAGAGATAAATTAGGAAAGAGAAAAAGAACAAAAGCAAGTTGACGTAGTGGAAAGATTTCAGGGCGAGAAGTCCTGGGTTTTAGTCCTGATTTGCCCCTAGTTAGTGGAGTGATTCTGGTACCTCCGCTACCGTGAATGAGAACTTTCAACTAAATGACCTCAAGGACTCCCCCACACTTTGAGTCTAGACTATCAGGAGAAAGGCACTCAGGCAGAGGAGATGAAGAATGCGGAGGCTGAAGCTCTCCTTAGGCTGGGGAGAGGGTGCTGAAGAGCCTGTCTTCTACTTTTTAATCTTGCACCAGACCAGGGCTGCTAGGCTGGGTGGATTGATGGTTTGACCCAAAACAATTATTGTTTTTTAAATGTGAATACTTCTTTCTTTTTTTATTTATGGTGTACAACGTGATATTTTGATGTATGTATAAAAGTTGAGCTCATAGAAGCAGAAAACAATGGCGGTTACCAGAGGCTGGGGTGGGGAGATCGGGGAGGTATTGGACAGAAGACACAAAATTTTAATTAGACAGGAAGAGTAAGTTCAAGAGATCTACTTTATATTATAGTGACTATAGTTAATACCAATATACTGTAAACTTGAAAACTGCTAACATAATAGATTTTAAGTGTTTTAACCACACATACAAAAATCAGCTGGGCGCAGTGGCTCACAGTTGTAATCCCAACACTTTGGGAGGCTGAGGTGGGAGGATCGTTTGAGCCCAGGAATTTGAGGCCACAGTGAGCCATGACTGCACTGCTGCACTCCAGCCTGGGTGACAGATCAAGACTCTGTCTCTAAAAACAAATCAACCAACCAAACAAACAAACAAGCAAAAGATAAGTATATGAGGTAACGCATATGATAATTAGCTTGATTTAGCATTCCACAAAACAATTATGCTAATGGACTGCTCACCAGGGTCAGCTTCAGCCTGGGGGCTCCTTCCTGTCTGCTTCTGAGTTTGTTCCTGGTGCTTATGCTGCACATTTCTCCCTTTTCGAGCCACGCTCCTTTGCCCTTCCAGCTTATATGGCTCTCAGGCAATGTCCTGAAGGTCTGTAGAACCCAGGACCCACCAGGAAACGTGCCCATTCTCTTCACATTTGTATCTGGGACCCGAAGATAACAAAACAGAGCAGGGAAAGCCATCTTCCATGGGCTATAAAACAGGAAGGCTCCAAATGACAAATCAGAAGACCCATTCTTATCCTCCCTTTCTTCCCCCCACACTAAAGTTATTAGCATTGTCATTGTTATTAATGATTCGAAAGCAACCCATGCATTAGCCTTGGATCCTTTGCTGCTTTGACTCCGCAAGGGCTTTGTCATTAAGCTGGGGAATTATTTTCACTGTGGATTCAGTGGGACCAGGTGTTTTTCCATGTTCCGGAGAGATGTCATGGAATTCGGGGCCTTGGCAGAATAGCAGTCTGCCACAGATCAAGCCTGAGGGGTGAGGCCCCTCCTATTTCACTCCAGCTGTGTTTAATGCTGAGGAAACCAAAGTGGTTGGAAGACAGCCTTAACTTTTTCATTCTTATTGTTCTGGCTAAACTCAACACATCCCTCGGGGCCCCGATCAAACTCATGTCCTCTCAGGGGCCTTTTCCAAGTACACTGTCCCTTTTTATCTTTCCTTTCTTTGAGCAACTTGTGCCAGTACCGCAACAGGCAGTATGGCACCCTTGGGTGACCAAAATGGAAAAAGGTTATGGTGCTCACAAAAGCAATTCCCAAAAAGAGCTCTACCAGCTCATAAGATAAAGGCAAGAAAAGCCAGTACAGTTCTGATTTCTCCCCAAATTCCTTTACAGACTTTCAAAATATCAAATTCTACTTTTAATGGTGTTGTCTTCATTTCTTTGGCACGCGGTCTTTGCTGTTCTCTGAGTATGTGCTGTGTGGTCTGTTGGGGAATTCACTACAGGCATTGATGCTAAGGCAGAGGGGAGGGTAAGAAAGAAGAAAAAGAGAGAAGGATGGTTCAGAAGAAGAATTGTTGCCTGTTGTGCACAGACCCTCCACCTTTTAGTCCTAAGAAAGCAGCCTAGAGAAAGATGAAAAGGAAGGAGAAAGACAGGTGTGAGCTCCTCAGGGAACAGCCAGAAAACTGAAAAGGGAGAAAAGGCACTTTTAGACTCTCATCTCCAACTGCTCCTCATGCACAAACCTTCGGCAGCTCTTTGGGAAAATGCAGAGGTACAGCATGGCCAGAGACGACTCATGCAAGTTAAAACGTTCAGATCCCAATTAGCAGTGACCAGTGATGACACCAACTGGAGCAGTCACTTTTTTCTCAAAATAGAAGTGCCTGCATTTCCACATTCTTGGGTGTAAAGCAACTTTTATAAGATTTTCCCAGCCTAGGTATGTTTTATGGCTTCTCAACTCAGCCTGAAAATATTAATCAAGATTTAAAATATCTGACTTGGAAAGGCCTATAAATGTTCAGGGCTGTTGTGGAGGTGAGAGAAAAAGGACTGCAAAATGCAGCCTGAGAATTTCACCGAAAGCACTGCTTTCTGCATGAAAGCAGGACCATAAGAAACAGAAGCGAGAAGCGGATCTTTATAAGGGAAGGGTCCAGAGCACCATATCTTATCTGTTAAAGAGTTTTTCATCACAGGGCTAATAAGCATTCTAGAAAAGAGAGGTTCTGCTGATAAACAATCTAGAAAAATGCTGAATAAAACAAGTAAGTTTTTAAAAATGTTATTTTAATTGTA
The DNA here is from genome assembly GCF_000001405.40 of Homo sapiens. Lineage (NCBI taxonomy): Eukaryota > Metazoa > Chordata > Mammalia > Primates > Hominidae > Homo > Homo sapiens. The sequence continues at coordinate 118,491,910 of NC_000002.12, forward strand.
GGACTGCTCATATGGGCTCACTGCATTGTGACTGATGGGAAATCTTGTGTCAAGCATAAACTTAAAAAGACATTGAACAAACAATGGAACACTATTTGGGAAATGATCAGATGGCCCAGTAGGTGGAGGGACGCCTGTCTAGCTGGTATGGAGTGCTCTGTACCAGCCTAAATTGCCAACATCAATTATTTACTGGGGGATGGCATGAAGCATTTTCCTTGGCTGTTCTCATTTACAGTGCAAGAATCCTGGATAGACTCAACTTAGATTTTAACCCATGAGTTAGAAGAGAATGAGCATTTTGATGGAGGGAGGGATACTGAATTTGGACTATTTAGGGGGACTTGTGCAGAGAAAGAGCCTGGAGAACCTAGGGATGGGGTTGGTTTGAGAGGATGTGGCAGAGAGGAATGGCAGTCAAGGAGAGAAGAAGAAGAAGCAGATGGACACTGCTTCAGAATCACCTGAGAGACTTCCAAAAAAACCAATGCATGGGGTACCACCTCAGATCCATCTCAGGTGTGACCTAGGTCACAGTACTTTTTAAAATCTCACCAGGTGATTCACTTGTGCTACCAAGGTTGAGAACCATCCTTTAAGGTTTTACAATATGCTTGCAATTCTGATAGCTTCCACAAGGTGGTAGTTGATTTTAGTTTCATAAGCAAATAATTAGACTCACTCTGACAACTGAGAGAAAGCAAGATTAAAAATTATGCAAGCTTGTGCTTCCCATTACAATATATTTCTTCATAAAGATGAAAGCATGGATTTAATTAAGCTACAATGCCTACCTAGAAATAACAAACAACAATTTAGAAGATTTTAAATAAATGCAAACACCTAAATTCAAGGTGAACGCTCACCAAATTTTTAATTATAATTATTCACTACTTACCTTTTATCTTATTTCCAGGGAAGATTTCCTGCATTCACCTTCCCACCGGGACTTACACTCAACTTCCACTGGGAATTTCAGCTCTAGCTCACCAAGAGCAACCAAACAGTGAAGGGGGAGCCACCTCGCACTGTAACTGATGGAAATAGTGGTCACAGCAAGAAAAAGATTGTCTATGACAAGCAGTGAGCATCGCTTCAGGGCCTCTAACCCTGTCCCTATGCCCCAAAACAGACTGCAGGCAATTTAAAAGTCGTGAGAAATCTCAGTAATGCTTTCCAATCTGAAAAGAAGAGGACCAGAGCCAAGTGGAGCAGCTCTGAGGAAAGTGAAGAAAAAGTCATTGAGAGTAGGGACTTTGATGCGCTGCCATTGCCTCAGCAGAGGGAGGGTCAGACCATGGCAGGAAAGGCCACCAGAGCTTTCCATAATGCAGATGACTCTGCCAGGTTGGGGAAGAGGGCTCAGCTAATCCCACAGGACAGGATGCACCTCTGGCTGAGTGGAATGGTCGCTGGTACAGAACGTGTAAAAAGATCTCAGAAAAGAAAGCAGAACCGAGACTGTCCAGCCAGGGCTGTGCTCAGCTGCCATTAATCTTTTTTCTTCACTTCTGCATCGCTGAGTCACAAAGGAGCAGTGGATACGTAACATTGTCGCCTCACAATACAGCTCTAAGGAAAGACCTATAACTGTAATAGGTTCCTTGCCCGATGCATACAACAAGTCAATACACTAAAACACTGAGTTGCAGCACAGAAAGAGATTCAAAGGTAGGGTAGCTGAGTGAGGAGATGTTAGGAAACCTCAAATCCACCTCCCCAAGGAGATTGGAGGTAGGGTTTTTAAGAGTTTTGGAGTGGGCCAAAGTGTGGAGATCATTGATTGGTTAAAGAGTGCAGGGTAAAGTCATTGGATACAGAGATTAAGAAGCTGTGTTCTCATGCTGATCACGTTCCTCTGTGGGGGGTTGGGAAGGGGGACTTTAAAGTGGCTACTCGAATTTGGGGCTGGAAAAAACCTTCTTAAGTGATTCTTAAACAAAAACCTTATGATTCTAATGTCAGAGATCCTGTCTACAGGAACAATGAGGATGCAAGTCAGTTCCTAAACAGTCTTATGACCCTATATCAGAAATCCTACCTACAGGAACGATGGGGATGCAAGTGGCCACTATCTAGTGCTATGTGGCTTTTAGCAACAAGGAAGTGGGCCAAGGTGCAGTCTGATTAGTGCTTCACTTTAACTATATTTCTGTCCAGAACCCGGCACGCAATTGTTGTCACCCCTGTGGGGTTGGTTTCAGACAGAGAAGATGAGAAGGATTCAGAAAGAATGAACTCAATACTTCAAACAAACAAGGTCTGGACAAACATGGCCAGGTTAATCATGAGAAAGAAAAAAAAAGAAACGGCATGAGAACTGCTAAACGTACTACACCAGAAACACTAATACAATGATAATTGATAATCAAATGAAAAACACATATAACCTGCAAAGAAGCAGCTGAAGGACCCAGTCTGGAAGAAGATATGACTGAAGAAACAGTAGCAGGTTTCCCACAAGTACTTTATGCTATGGAAGAGCTTAGTAAGAATATTAAAAACAAGACTACAAAGGCAAAATTATTAAGTCTTTACAGTATTTTCTCTTGTTGCCCATAATAATAGCCTGAAGATATAACCTAATATTGGTTATGTTTTGCCCATCCTAAGGACCTAATAATTCTGCAGCATCTTTTCTAGGAGATAACTTTTTCCTATGTGAATCCTTCCTCTTAAAATCTAAACTTACTCTCTTAGAAAAAACATCAGTCTATAGACTGATTCTCAGATGTATACATCAAACCCTGTTATAACATTCAAAGTTAAGAGTTTCTCCTGTGCCCATCAGCCTACTTCACTCTTGTTTTTTAAATCAAACATTATACAGGCCTTTCATTAAGCTATTATGGTTTCTGAAGTTATTTCAGCACTTGAGTTTAGACATCTGCTCTCTTAAAATGCCTTATTTTTGTCTTTTCTCTCTAAACTTTTAGAAACACATTTAAATCAGGTTATAATAATTAATAAATATAGCTCCTCAATGGTTAAATAGTAAAAATAAACTTCAGGTTGGATCGCTGTGGAAACTCTGCTAGATTACATATTAGGTCTAAAACATAACTGAACCAACAAGAGATTATATAAAGGTATCACTGTGATAATAAAGAGACATTGTCTGTTCTATATTTCTGGACTCCAGAGGCATTTGTAGAAAGGGCAATTATTCAGTCTAGAAGATATCACAGTCAACTCTTGCTCATCAGCACATGTAGGAAAGAAGACCATCCAAACATCATTCTCCTGTGCTTTGAGCTACACATTATGTTCTGGTGACAACCAATCAATCAACAGACATTTGGTGCCTGCGGTAGGTTCAGCACCAAAATGAACACTGCAAACCAGCTTGACATCCTAGTTACAGTTGCAGAGGTAAATGTTGTAGGAGTCTGAATGTCATCCAGGAAAATGGGGAGGAAGACCCAGAGAGGGTGGAGTAGTGGAAAAAAACAGGCTGGAATTAAAAGTTGGTCAAACGTAATCCATAAACAGGAAAATCCTCTCCTGCAGAGTTGAGAGTTGACTACATAGATGCAGACCAGGCCAAACTAGTCATGACCTGCCCTGCACTGTGGGTAGCTCAGATCGTGAGCACAGCTGAAGTCATTATTCCTGCAGCAATCCCTTCTGCTCAAGGACAGTACCGCATCCTACCATACAGGCATGAAATGCTGGGCCACAGGGCTGCTGTCATGAGTTTTGCTCATTCTCCCATCCCCGAGCTGCTAGACAATGGAGATTCTGAAGGAAGTGTTGCTACATTTTGTGGCTGGCCCAAACTACAGCATTCAGATTGTACTGTACCCCAGTGGAAACATTGAATGACTGGGAGAGCCTTCCAAGGGGTTTGCCCTCTGACATTTCCTTGGCTTGAAAAGTTTTGTTGCTATTTCTGCAAAGCTGCCTGTTAATGTATCTGAGCTTGGGGGAGGCTTCCTGAGACCATGGTAATGCCTGGTGGAGCCTAAGTAGCCACCCTTCACCCTTTGCCTAAATTGGTAATTTTAACTCTGGGGACTTTTTAGAATATCCTGGGAAGATTTTAAAATATACCTGTAGTTGGGCCCACTTGAATCTCAGTCTCTGGGTGTGCAGGCTAAAGGCTAAACAATTCTTACATGCAGCCAGGGCCGAAAACTGATTATTAAGGGCACTCTTTAAGCTAATTAATCTCTTTTTGTTGTCTTCCAAAAGTATCCTCCAAATCCCTCCTCAAAATTCTATTGGAGGCCAACCCACTTGTCAGGAGCCCCGGGTCACAGCCACCCCACCCTCTGCTGCTGGGCGGTGGCACTGCCATGTATGGGATCCTCATTGTGCATCTTGCTGTCTCTTGGTTGCCTGGAGCCCCCTTCCTAGGACAGAAAGGAACATTAGTGGAACGTACCTGGCCTGTCACTCTACTGGTGAATCACCATCTTCACTAGTTCTCGCCACACTCCTGTGAGAAGTTGCTCGCTTAGCAAAAGAGAAAACTGAGGCCCACAGAAATAAGGAACTTGGGGACCATATTCTTCCACCTGCTACCTCAGTGCCCTGAGCCAAAGGTGTCTCAGGTGTCTTCTCAGTTGGAACTTTTCTTGTCCCTGAGATCTCCTCAGGCGTCTTGTTCTCTATGAATCAGAGAGCGCCCTCATCTGCACCAGCCTCCCTTGAATAGCCACCTACTTTGCTGGCTTGTAGTCACTGCCCATGCCATCTCCTGCAGCTGTGGGATGCGGCCGCCCTGGAAGCCCAGCCTTTTCCATGTCTGGGGAGAACACTCACCTCAAAGGAGCAGCCCTTTCCTACAGTGGTTACAATGTAAACATTACACAACACATAACCATGGCTACTCAAAAGCCTGGTACATTCTCCCAGGAGCCCCACAGTATGCCCACCTGAGAGCAACCCAGTATGGGGGCTCCGACAGTTCCCATTGAAGATATGGAATGAAACACCACCAAGGTACAGGACTCGTATTGCTCATTTCATTGACAATGATAATCAAGTGGGAAAATGTTCCCGAGTTCAAAGCTACCACCTTCTGCTCTGCAGCCCTGATATGTAACAATCAGAGCCTCCTTTTCCTCATCTGTAAAGTGGGGATCATCATGGCATTTTCCTCATTGAGCTGCTGCGAGGATTTAACAAGGTAATAAAAGTTACCTATTACATTTTGTACAGTATCTGGCATGCAGGAGGTACATAATAAATGTGGGTGGTGGTTGTCTTCCACTTGTGCCTTTCACCTGTAATTCTCCCTCATTCCTTCCTGTTCTGTAGGAATGGAGGACCCCGCCAGTAATATAGCTGTTATTTTAAAACAAACTCAGAAGCCTCCTTGCTCCTCTCTGAAGGCATCCTTGGACCAGTTGTGCAGTTGCATGTATAATTTCTGCACCATGAGCCCACACTCCCTGCCTAGCTCAGATCTCACAGCTCTCACCTGCATCCTGCCATCGATCCTCTCCTGTATGGACTCCCTGCCAACCGCCTGTCCCACTTGGCTCCCACACTGGCTGCTGCAGGACATTCCTGCAATCTAATCTGATGTGTGACTTCCCTGCTGAAAAGCCTTTAATGGCTCCTCAGTGCCTTCAGGGTGAGATCCAAGCTGCCCTCCCACCATGTTTGGCCACATTTGCTGACTGTATCCCCACGGAGACCGACAAGCTTCACAGCTATTACTGACCACTCACTCTCTTCTCAGAATGCCCCCTGACCCCATCCACCACCACCATCTCAGTGGACATATATAACATATTCATTGCGTGAATTCGCTCTGAGGGTCTCTTCTTTCCGGAAGTCTGCCCAGCTCACTGCACCCAAAGGAGACTGGCCACGTCCTTCATGTGTGCCTTTCAATAGACTTCAGTCACTGTACTGGAACAAATTATTGCGTTACTTTTTATACACCTGTCTCCACCTCAACAAGAGAAATCGTGCCTGAATAGTAATAGTAATAATTACAGCTTAGATTTATTGAGTGTTTGCCAGTGCCAGATATCATTAAGGGCCTTTCAACAGGTATTATCATCCTATTTAATCCTCACTACCCAGTGAAGAAGGTTCCGTTATTACAGATGAGGAAACCAAGGCACAAGGAGATTAAATAAGGGTGCCAAGATCAAGCAGCTGGTAAGGAGTTTATTCTCAGAGTCCAACACAGTGCTCAGAGTCCAACATAGTAGGAACTGGGTACATTTTGTGGAACTGAGATATTTTGTTTGTGGTTGAACTACACCAAATTCAGTTGATTTAGGGACCAAGCACTCCTGCACTGGTGTGAAGTGCCTTCATCTGTGGGTCACCAGCTGGTACTCGAGCCCGAGGCCACATGGCCTGGGATGTTAGTGAGTGCTCGGCTGGCACACATCCCCCTCCAGGTTCTCAGGTTAGTTGTTCTGTGAATTCACGGCACACAAATATTTTATGCCTGCATTTATTCTTCATAACAATATGAATGAGCAACTGAATAAAAGCCAAATCCCTCGTGAAGCCAGAGGAAGAGTGATTAAATTATAATCATCCTGGATTAATTAATCTATAATATTTGCTCTTTATATGAAAGAAGAAAATCAGCCTTCAACATAAAGGTTATGTACTCCTGAGGTCTGTGTCTTAATAAAGGAAAGGCTTGGGGAAAAAACTTGACAAGCCCCCAAGATACGACATGTTGTAAATGTAGACAGAAGGTTATTACTGATATAAAATATATTCAATGTAATTATCAGCCACAACAAATAATCAGAGTGATGATAATGAATAATTAACATTTTTATACTCCTATAGTAAGGTGTCTAATAGATAAGTGCACAACATTGAATTAATTTATTGTGCCATAGTGTTTTTAGTAATGAAAATTGCCTAATCAAAACATCTCTTCCACAGTATTGCCAGATATTGGCATAAAACACCGATAAGGTTTAGTTTATTTCTTTGTTTCCTGATCTAATTGTAGTAGAGATGCTGTAAAATATCTAGAAGGAAACCTCAGTAGAGAAGTTATAGTAAGAATAAAGTCAAGGCAAGCTATTGATCTCAGTTCAGGAGGAGACAAATTTAAAGACATTGCTTTTGGTTCCTGGAATTAAGGGTTAATAAAGATGTAGGAAGCAATGGTGTCTGCCTGAGAAGAGAGGCTGTACAAAGAAGAGAGAGGATTTTGTGATTTGAAATCCCAGTGGTCTTTCATGGGTGTCTTTTTATTCCAGCTGCTGCCTCCTCAGGTCTGTCTTCCTTACTACAGTGTGGGAAAGGGGTAGGGGACATTTCCTCCATAACACTGCTGGAGAGATCAAAGCCACTCCCTCCTCTTTGCCTTCACATCATTTTGCCCACATGTTGGACTGCCAGGGTGTTTCTTACATCTGCCTTTCTCCTGAGCATAGCAAGGGCCATCTTCTGCTCATTTTCTATCTTCAGGGGCCAGCCCAATGCCTAAATGCACAGTAAAATCATTGATGAATAAAGGAATTGCAAGCCTGTCTATTTCTACGGCCACTGGGAGATACAAATGTTGATGTATTTAACATGGTCACAATCTCATCCCCCTGTAATCGACTATCTAAAGCGTAGCAGCCGAAGATATTAAGGAATGGGACTATGTGAACAGTAACTGCTTCCACTTGTATTAAGGATTCTTATGAAGCATAAATCAAGAAATAAAGGAACTCCCTCATCTTAGTGTGCAGTAAAGTGCTAACAAACAGCGCATGACATCAGTTAAGGTTCACGAGAGGGACCAAATTGTATCTTAGACCACTTGTTGTCATTTTTTAAATGTTCTCCATGGAAGCCCCTTTGCAAACTTTATGTGCACATGAATCACTGTGGATCTTGTTAAAATGCAGATTCTGATTCACTGGATCTGGGGTGGGGCCTGAGTCTCTGCATTCCTGCCAAGCTACCAGATGATGCCAATGCAGCTGGTCCTCAGGTTACACTTTGAGTAGCACAGACCTGTGAATCCTTTCTTTCCCTTTCCCTTTCTCTGTTTAGCTGCTTTTAGAAGTGTTTATATTTACATAGTAGAAGCACAGTTGAGTGGGGACAATATGTTAATCTTTCTGTTTACCAGGGATATGGCTGTCTTCCTAAAGAAGCTATAACAAAAAAATCAACATTGCTCACCTGGTAGCAGAACAGTCCAACTACATGTGTGGTACTTACAGAGAAACAGGTAGTTTCTTAAGTGCTAAGCTTATATAACAAACCTACATCTATGGTGTGACTGTGTGTCTCATTTTCAAAGGCCTTGCATGGCCTGTGGTCTGTGACAACTGAAACATGCTTGCTGGTGTAAGTTATACATCAGTTTCGTGTTAGTAAAAATTAGCATTATTTTCACACCAACAACAGGAAGGATATCACAAGAGTGAAGGAGATAAAAAGAATGTAAAGAAAAAGAAATAACCCAGTCTATCCTGACAATAACCACCCTTTAGTCAACAGTTGTTGGGAGTCTGTTTCTGTACTAAACCCTTTTTTTCTGAAACTGAGGCAAATAGGGCCCATGGGACTTAGGACTTTGACCAAAGTCATAGATCTTAGATATTGCCAAGCTGAGATTTGAACCTGTGCCTGCCTGATGCCAAACTTCATAATGTGGACAACTGTGGTAACTAGACCAGGCTCAGCACCTCTGCTGTGACACATGGCGCCAGGTACTCTAAGTCTGTGAAGTGTACCACAGAGGTGCAGTGTATAAGGGCTCACATTTTGACAGGTGATATAAAATATACTCATGACAAAAGAAATTGCCTAGGCTCTGTGGATCCATTGCTAAACGAGGGAAGGCCCCACATTAAACAGCCTAGAGAAAGAGGAACCATTGCAAACCAGAGTTGCTGCTGATGGCTTCATGAAGTTGGTGAGGACCAAACTTGACACTAGGGGTTGATGTGACAGCAGATTTAAATAGGAAGGAGCAGGAGGAGGGCATGAGCAAAGGTGGGCAAGAATAGGGCTTTGGGGAGTGGGGAATGGAGAATCCACTGGAGCCTTCTTTGTCCTCTAGAAATGAAGTTCCTAAATCTAAGTCTGCATCAGACTCAAATGGGGAGAGGGATTAAGACACAAACTCCCAGCCACCCCTTTCACCAGACTGAGGCATCAGCATCTCCTGGAATAAAGTTTTTGCCAATGTGATGCCCAAGCAGGTGCCTTCCACAGGCCCAAGAAGCTCCAATAGCCCAGGAGCCTGTGAGGATGGAACCACGAGTGCCTCCTCTCAGGGTCTCCAGCCTTAGTGACTCACCTGGCACAGAATAGGGGCTCAGAGCTGGCAGGAGAAGCAGACAGAAGTGGCCTCGGGGAGGAGAAAGAGATAAAGAGGCTGTAATTAGCGCATCATCAGGGAAAGGTGACAGCACTTGGATTCTGCTCGCAAGGGAGGAAATGTGCCGACCTCTTTCCTCAGACTAGTCCCCAGCTCCGGCGTGTGAAATTGCAGGTTTTTTGGCCAGGAATGACAGTGGGCTGCACCACACCTGACTGGACCCAAGGCCTGCCCCTGTCATGCCTGGGATGGAGCCAGGGCTTCGAGGTGAGTGTGGTGAGGCAGGTGGGGCTGGGCTTAATAAAGAATACAGGCTTCTCTCTGCTCCTTGCCCCAGGGAATCTCTAATCTTCCTCTCTGCCTCAGTGAGGACCCCTGATAGAATTGCTTTCATTCTTGTTTTCAGATTTATTGAGGGGTCCAAAGAAATTTAAAAAGAGGGCTGGCACAGTGACTCACGTCTGTAATCCCAACACTTTGGGAGGCCGAGGCGGGCAGATCACCTGAGGTTGGGAGTTCGAGACCAGCCTGACCAACATGGAGAAACCCCATCCATAATAAAAACACACACACACACACAAAAGCCAGGTGTGGAGTCGTATGCTACTCGGGAGGCTGAGGCAGGAGAATCGCTTGAACCTGGGAGGCAGAGGTTGTGGTGAGCTGAGATTGTGCCATTGCACTCCAGCCTGGGCAACAAGAGTGAAACTCCATCTCAAAAAATAAAAAGAAAGAAAGAAAGAAGGAAGGAAAGAAAGAAGGAAGGAAAGGAAAGGAAAGGAAGAAAAACAAAGAAAGAAGGAAGGAAAGAAAGAAGGAAGGAAAGGAAAGGAAAGGAAAGGAAAGGAAAGGAAAGGAAGAAAAACAAAGAAAGAAGGAAGGAAAGAAAGAAGGAAGGAAAGGAAAGGAAGAAAGAAAGAAAGAGAGAGAAAGGAAGAAAGAAAGAGAGAGAGAAAGAAAAAGAAAGAAAGAAAACAAAAGAAAGGAATGAAGAAATTTAAAAAGAGGAACCTCCATATTTAGCCACTATTGATTTATTTAGGTTCTGGTTGGCAGACTTTTATATAAAAACAAAGAACAAAGTGACACTCCAGGGCTGGCCTGAGTTGATTCCATTAGAACCTGTTCCACCTTGTGGCGCTGGGGAGGGCCTGATTTCCATCTGAGTGGCAAGCTTGAGACTGAGGAAGACTAATCCACATCAACAGAGAAAAAGAAAACTTAAAGCAAATATCTGGCTGTTGAGAAGTAAAATTCCACCAATTACAAAAGGGGTAAAGCAAGTGAATGATTTTGACCTGCACCGATTGAATGTATTGCTCATTGATTCTCTGGCTTTTGCCAGTGTTAGACATACAGCTTCAAAAAGGTGTAAATTAGGAACTGCACCCAGCTGTGTGCAACTGGAATCAGAAAAAAAATGGCTCGAACATTTTAAGCGCAAATAAGATATGTGGAGATGGGTAGTGAGGGCTGCTAAAAAGGCTCCATGGTGCCACTGGAGACCCAGACTCCTGTTTTCTCCTCTGTTATCCTTTCCATTTTCTGATGGTCTCATAGGGACAAGATATTTGCTCTGCCTTCACCATTGCTTCCAAGAGCCAGGCAGAAACAGAGAAGAGAGAGAAGGACATGTGCTAGCTAAGTCTGCTCCCATTTTAAGGCAATTGACTTGCAACTTCAGCTTATATGTCATTGACCTGATCTGTTCCTAGCACCATAATCAATATACAAATCATTTCCGTCAACCCAGAAGTTTCTCTTGTGCTCATTCTAGTCAATTTGTAATTCTACTCCCTACCCAAGACAACTACTGATTTCTGCATTTTTGAGGAGTCAAAGCAGCACTCCATTTTGAGAAAGGCAAATCCCATTTCAGAAGTAGAGGATATATTGGGTACTATGCTCACTTTCTGGGTGACAAAATCATTTGTTCATCACACTCCAGCAACATGCAATTTACCCATGTAACAAACCGCACATGCACCCCATAAGCCTAAAATAAAATTTGGAAGAAAAACAAAAGTGAAGGATAATGACTCCAGAAACTGCAGTGAAATGCACAGATGGCCTGGGCACCAGAGGTCTTTACCACTGACAGGACATGGGTGGCTAAGAGAATGGGATTTGAATGGATACAGTGCAAGAAAGAAGGAAAGAGCCAAATGGTAAGAAGCAGGGAAAGGAAAGAAGAGGGAAGAAGAAGGGATTCTGTCTGGTGGGTGGGAGAGAAATTCTGACAAAGCTTTACAGAGTTGATGCCAAGTGTGAGATTGTTAAAAACTGATGGAACTTGCCAGATTTTCCAAGCAGAGGAAATCAAGTGCATAGCAGCTGGAAAGAGCGTGAACTGTAATTAGTTCTAGCAGGCGTGACTATCAGAAAGGTAGGCAGGGACCAAATGAGTAAGGATTTTGTATGCCATGGTAAGCATTGTAAGTAGTAGCAAGTCATTAAAAGACTTAAAGGATGGGGAATCATATAATCAGATTTGCATTTTAGAAAGAAGACTCTGGTAAAATCTTTAAGAAAGACTGGAGGAAGGTAAGATTAAGGTCGTTAGAAACTGGTACAATGACACAGGTAAGAAGTCACACAGTCTGATATAAGGGTTAGAGTGGGAAGAGGGAGGAAGGGACTCATAGTAAACATATTAAGGAGGTAGAATTCACAGGTGGCATAAATTAAGCAAGGTCACATAGCAAAGATGAGGCAGAGCAGAATTCAAACCTGGTCATGTGACATTGAGCAAGTTGCATCATCTTGGGCCTCAGTCTTCTTATTTGTATAGTAAGACTAATAATAATACCTGTTGTTGAGAGACAGTTCTCCAGGGGTCTCTTGACTTTCTGCATTATCTTGTGAGCAAGGCATGGCTTGCTCTTTGTTTTGGCCTCTCTCTTCAAGAATATTTGCATAGTCTTGAAAGATGAGGCTTGGTGCCATGAAAAGAGAGGCTATTGTCTCCTTCCAGAGCAAAGGATAGGTAGGCTTACTACCTCTTAGAAAAGATTCAACTTCCCTAAGCTGAGAGTTTGTCTCCTGTATCTCAACCCACTGTGTGTACGGGTGTCATCTGGCCCTCTTCACACCACTCTGTGTGAAAGCTTGGGGAATTGCCATGCAATTTCTAATACTCTGACTACTTCTATTGTTATGTCCTTTGTCTTTAACCCAGGTCTCTTGTGTCTTCTACCAGCATCCATAAAATGGTGGCAGAGTAACTTGTTAGCTTGCAAGTAGGGTGAATCTGAGACCCCTCTCACTTCTTAACAGCTATGTCATAAAGGCTGTGAGATTAATTAGGTGAATATTATAAAGACCTTGACTGATGTCCAGCATGTAGTAGGCATCAGCAAGAGTCACTTTAATGAGGCAGAAAGCATCATGTCTTTAAGGATGGCTTGCTTCTGAAGTCTGAATGCCTGGGCTCAGACCTGGCTCTGCCACTTACTGCTGTGGGAACTTGGGATAGTTGCTTCAGCTCAGTATCTCAGTGTCCTCAAGATTTTAATGAGATAATGCACATACTATGCTTTTAACAGTGTGAGCTGTTATAAATTATCCCATAAGATCTGTGGATTCAGCAGTACAATGACTTCTTCATGGACCTAAGTTTTGTGCATAGTAAGCTTTTAACAAAATGTAGTCATTATTATTATTGGAGGAGACAGATCCATACAGAACCATTAAGTGACCACATTTCAAGACACTGTTAAGCAGCATTGCCTATTTATGAACATAAGTCCAATTTCGACCTTAGCAGGAGAGGAAGAAGGATTATGAGAATGACACTGGTGATGATGATGGTGATGATGATAATGATGATGATGATGATGGTGATAATGATAACAAGTGCTGAGCATTCCTATGGGTTGACCATTGTGCTATTCTCTTTATATGCTTTATCTCAATTAATATTCAAGGCAATCCTAGATGCCTCGTTAGCGCAGTCGGTAGCATGCCAGTCTAATAATTTTCAATGCAATCCTATGTGATATTTATTAAGCCACATTACAGAAATAATAGAGTAGAGAATTTACCCTGAGTGTATCTGATTCTGAATTCGCTAAGGAGATAAAACATTATTCCCAAACTACAACTGACCCATGCCATCAGTGTGGTGACTTGTCCTCGCTCTATGAATTATATTTCAATTTTACCTAAAGAAACCCACAGATAGACCCTCTAGACTAGTCACACCTGGACCAATACTTTGCCTTTCACATGATGAACCTCCTGGATTACCCTGGGAAAGTTGACCAACATCTTCAACTCTGTCAGGAGCAGAGATGACTTACGGATTTAAAAGAAAAAATGAGAACCCCTTATTCAGTCTTGCAGGAGATGGCTAAAGCAAGTGGCCAGACAGAAGTATTCTTTGTTGGCTAAGCCACTTTCTGGTTAGTTAAACACTCAAAACAAAGTGGCTTAATCAATTAGGAATATCTCTTATCTCATAAGATTTGCTGATTCAGCAGTACAATAATATTTTCATTGACGTAAGTTTTGTGCATCTATCTGTTCTATCATTACCATGTTCACTCTGTTCTTTTCTTTTTTGAGACAGGGTCTTGCTCTGTCACCCAGGCTGGAGTACAGTGAGGTGATCATGGTTCACTGCAGCCTCAATCTCCAGGACTCAAACAATCCTCTACCTCAGCCTCTTGAGTAGCTGAGATTACAGTGATGTGCCACCATGCCTGGCTAATCTTTTTAAGTGTAAGTGTGTGTGCGTGTGTTTGCGTGTGTGTGTGTGTGTGTGTGTCTGTGTGTAGAGAGAGGGTCTCACTATGTTTCCCAGGCTGGTCTTGAATTCCTAGGGTCAAGCAATCCTCCTCCCTCAGCCTGGGATTACAGGCATGAGCCACCATGCCCAGCCTACTCTACTCTGTTCTTTATTTTCTCCTTGTCATGAGAAGAAACCCCCAGCAGATATCTCCCCAATGATTCACTGATCTGAATTTTCTCTCTTGTTCATGCTCCAACCAATCAGTGACAAGGAATTTGATGTTACAATAACTGGCTTAGACCAATCAGCATTCTCACTCAGAGTATGGAGTCCACCTCTCCTGAACTCCCAGGCCACATAGATAAGCATGGAAATCTGAATAAAACTGAGGTACTATTTGGAAAGAATGGATATTGGTTAAGCAGGCAGTAGTGTTTGATACAACTAACTGAAAGCAACTGTGCTGGCTCATTAAATTCATCATATATATCCCATACAGACTGCTTAGTTCTCTACCCAACATTTGATTGGCATAGATAGTGCTTTTCCAGATAAAGCAAGCATATAAATAAGGAAAGGAAGCAAATCTGCCTTCCATGTTATCTGCCAAGCTACCATTAGAGGACTGTCTGGGGGAAGCTATAATACTGAATGCAGAATCTCCCCTTTAATCCAGTGGACCCTTCTAGACATGTTCTAATCATTTTGACTTACAGAGTGAGGATAGATTAGGCTCAAGCTAAGAACACTGCTACACACTGCTGGGGGAAACTGAGGCTCAGGTACATATTAACTTGCATAAAGTCAATAAGTGGTAGGGCTGAGATTCAAATCTAAATACTAGATTATGCATTCCAACCTTATTCACTATGTGGGGAAAGAAAAGAAGGGTGGGAGCAGCTCTGGAAAGAGTTTAACATTTTGTTTCCTGGCATTGGCTTAATGAGATAGTGTATGTAAAGCACCTGGTGCAGAGCAGCCACACAGAAGAGGAAAGCAAAGCCCAGAGGTGCTCAATGAGAGGCACAGAGTCACACAGCAGGCAAAACTAGGATGAGAGCTCTCCCGGACTGGGAGTCATAGAGGTGATGATGAGTGTTTGTTACTAAGCAACACTGCACTGTAAATAATTATTTTTGGTAAAATTATCTGCTTGTGTATCTAAAGGGGAAAGCTTTAAAAAAATTCGGCCTATAAATCAAATGTGAGAGTATTTTTTTCCTTAAGAAAAGCATTCAGAACTCTGCCTGCAGCAATTAAATATTCCCTGCAACCTACCAAGTTTGTTTCCTGTTGACTTTATTGAATGGATGGATACCCAGCTTAGCAAAGTCTTCACCTTCTTATTAAGCACCTTAATAAAATGGTGGCAATTGCCTAAAGTGACTTGAAAAAAAATGATTTGTTGTCTTTCTCCTTCAGATTTTTCCCAGTTTGCCATGAAGATGTCTAGCTGGAAGCATTCCTCAAAGCTAAGAAAAGGTGAAAAGCAAATACTGGTCAAAATGTTAAGATCACTAAGAGTTTACTGTTTGTTCCAAATATAAAGAAGAATTCCTAGATAAAAGGTTTACAAATTACAAAATCTAGAATAGCTGCATAATCCTTAACACATTTTTAAACATTATTCTATTCCTGATGAAGAAACATAGTAGTTTGACGGACACAGGGAAGGAAACATCACACACCAGGGCCTGTTGGGTGGTGGGGGGCAAGGGGAGGCAGAGCATTAGGAGAAATACCTGATGCATGTGGGGCTTAGAACCTAGATGACAGGTTGATAGGTGCAGCAAACCACCATGGCACATGTATACCTATGTGACAAACCTGCGTGTTCTGCACATGTATCCCAGAACTTAAAGTAAAATAAAAATAAAAATAAAAATAAACAGTAGTTTGACCAAGATTTCAATTCTGTATATCTCATCAAATGTCTATATATATTTGATTTTTATTTTCAAGTAAAACTTGAAGTTATAAGGACGGGCTGTTGAAGATTTCTTTTTTTTATCTGAGTCAACAGCATTTATTATCATGAAAAGAATTACTATTACCTTTTATACTTGAGAAGCACCATTCATATTCATTTTTCCAATAAAAGGCCATTGATGATGGATATAAATATAATGCATTGTATGCCTGATAGAAGGCCAGGAGGAGATGTCTAATACCCAGGATATCAGATACTAACCTTGTCCCTACAGATTAGGGAGCAGATGTATTGCGATTTGTGAGTGCTCTCTCAAAGATAAAGTGAATGACACTTGAATTTCCTAAACAGCTTAAATTGAGTGCCAAAGATGAGCCCTCCTCAGGAAGCAGAGTGAAAACAAGAAAATCACTCAGGCCAAAGGGGTAGGAAAGGCAACAACAACAACAACAACAAGAGCTCTTCTCAAAGCCCCTCCATGGAGCCAGAGACACCCAGAATGAAAAAGCTCCTTTGTGATCACTCAGTCCACCTATTTCATTCTCACTTTAGGTGAAACTGAGGTTCAGAAATGTAAATTCACTTACCTGAGGCTCTAAATAGACACACTTTCCCCAGGGAGATCTGTAAATATTCAATGAGCACATGAAAAGATGACATCATCAGTCATCAGAAAAAATGCAAATTTCCCTGATGGAAAAACCCTAGTGAGATACTACTTCACACCCACTAGGATGGTTGTCATAAAAAAAGATGGACCATAAGTGTTGGTGAAGATGCAGAGAAATCAGAACCCTCATACTCCACTGAATATTAAATGGTACAGCTGCTTTGGAGAACAGTCTGGTCTCAAATAATTAGTTCTAGAGTTTCCATGTGAGCCAGCAATTCTACTCCTAAGTACATACCCAAGAAAAATGAAAGAATATGTCCACATAAAAACTTGAACACAAATGTTCGTAACTGTATTATCCATAGTGGCTAAAAAGTGAAAACAACCAAAATGGCTAACAACTGATTAATGGTTAAATAAAATGTGGTTTATTCATATGATGGATTATTATCCAGCCATGAAAAGGAAATGAAGTACTGATTCATACTACAACACAGATGAACCTTGAAAACATTATGCTAAGTGAAAGAAGCTACTAAAAACCTACATACTGCATAGTTTCATTTATTTGAAATGCCCAGAATAGGCAAATCTATAGATACAGAAAGTAGATTGCTGATTTCCTAGGGCTGGGAGGGATGGGGATATTGGGGAGGGATAGCTGAAGGATGTGGGGTTTCTTTTTAGGGGAACAATAATATTCTAAAATTGATTGTGGTGATGGATAGACAGCTCTGTGAATACACTAAAGGCCACTGGATTTTTTTTTTTTACACCTCAAATATGTGAATTGTATGATAGGTGATTACATATCAATAAAGCTGTTAAAAAATAAAAAAGCTAAAGCCCCCTCCACTTAGATTGTTTTTTATTCAAAAGGTCTTTTTTCCTAGGGCCTCTGTATCCTGTGCTTTATGCAAACCAGCCAATGGCTTGATCAGCAGATGCTTATGTGCATGCATATGTGCACACACAGAGATATACAGATGCACATGCACAAGCACACATACACAGACTCACACACACGTGTGCATGCACACACACTCATACACATCAACTACTCTGGCTTTCTGGTTGGAGCAGCGGTGACAGGGGACTGAGAGATAACCAAGGACTAATCTAAGTCTGTACCAAAACAATTGTCTTCCTTTATTTTCCCTGGAGCAGGAGGAGGAAAGTAGAGAAGAAGGGATGAAGGCAAGATATCACTTTGAACTTCTCGCTTACCGCACATGTGGGACCCTGTTCTCACTTCAGCAGCCTCCACGCACAGGTCCCAGGAGAGAAAGAAATAATGAGGTCTGGTTGGACCAGCTGATGCTGCCTTCCTTGTGTCTACGAAAGGCAGCTGCCTCTGTGGTGTGATTTCAGGGGAGCCAGAGAGGGCCATGCCCATAAATCTCTACCTTGCATTCTAACCACCTATTATCGTATATGAGACTAGTAATGGGAACTCACTTGTTGCAGATAGCTTCCAGGCTGTTGTGATTTTGATACTTGACTTCTCAGCATCTGTCCCTTGGCTGTGACCCCCTCAGGAGGTAGACTTGCCTGGTGTAAGTGCAATCTCATCTCCTATTTCAGGAAAGAGCACTGCCCTAATTATGGTCTTTAATACGGAGGAAGACATTTGCCATTGATTTTTAGAAGTTCTTCCTTGCTCTTAAGAAAGTTGAGGGAAGCCTTGGAAAGTTCTTCCTGGCTCCTAAGAAAGCCTAGGAAGGCCTCTTGTTTTCTTTTCCTTGATATGAACTAGGAGATGTGTAACCGACTGCTCCTGGAGGCCATCCTGCAGCCACAAGAGAACTGGACTCAGAGTGAGGATGATTCCACAAATGGCAGAGGAGGTGATAGGATGAAGTTTAGTTCTTGATGACAGCCTCCAGATCAGTTCTGAAGCTTGCTCTATCTCTGGACTTCCTATTATATGCAGCAAAAAATCTGTCTGTGACTGAGGCAGTTCACATTGAGATTTAATCCCCAAGGTTGAAACCTTGAAATCTGCAACCTAACTGTTGCAGAGACTTCTGAAGATACCTAGCTTGGCTTAGAGGGGTCCATGAAAGCCTTGGCATGTGTGTGGGAAGCTGTGAGAAGGGTATCCTCCTACGTTTGCATCTATAAGTGTATGTGAGTAGTGAGTATGAAGACATTCTTGGACAACTAAGTTCACTTACTCATTCATGAAACAAGCCCATAGTAAGCCCTTACTATGCTCGACTCGTCTCTTAATGTGAGGGGAAGGATATAAGTGTCTGAGTATGTGTGTAATCTTTCAGAATATGTGTGAAAATGTGTACACATGCCTGCTTTCTGCTGGGGGATTACTGAAATTGTCTGCAATCTGCTTTCTTGGCTGAAGCCAGAGTCTCCGTTAAAAAGGAATCCTTATCTCCACATCCTCCCTTCATCTTATCATTATTTCTGTGCTGAACAGAAAGGCAAGGATGAGTGGGAGGGAAGGTCAGTGCCAAGTAGTGTACAAATGACAAGCTCTGGCATTCATGATCTTTGCACCAGCAAGCAAGGTCTCAGGCCTTGGAGCGGGCGGTGGCACCAAACACATCCAAGGAAGTTTCATCTTTTATAATTGATTTCTTCTGGCAGGTCTGACCTCCTAATGGTGCCCAGGCCAGGCTGACACTATTGTAATTAGTCTCTGGTCCCTGAGACACCAACCACGTGCTGGCACATAGAGACTGGCTGCCTGGGATTAGAAACTTGTCATAGGTAATTCACAGAGCAACTGATTCCCTTTGCAGAATAGTTCTAGGTGCTTTTAAAATTATAAATTCTAGGTGTAACTTAATATCAAATTGTTAATATTATAAAGTGCTAATATGATAAATAAGAAAAATATGATTATATAATTATATGATTGCTATAGATGCTAAAAAACACTTTGGACTAAATTCTGCTTCTTTTTCTACTTTTAAAATATCTTAATAAACTAGAGATAGATATTTCTCCAGAATGATAAAGAAAACGTTCAAAATAACTACCAGTGTCGTAGTTAATGGTGAATCTATAAAGACAGTTCCATCAAAATTAGGGAAAGATGAAGAAGAACTCTATTAAACAATATTATTTAACATTGTTCTGGAAATTCTAACCAATGGAACAAGATGAGAACAAAATCAAAAGAAGAGATGCTATAAATAAAAGGAAAAAATAAACTATGATTACCTTGTAGGAACTGGAAAACTTTTCTTTTGACAGTGATTGATGTCAATAATTAAATTTGACTTCTGAATGAACTAGATACTCACCAACTAATCTAGAAAGATAAATATTATTCTCTACAATGATCATATAATCTTATGTATTGCTCCAGGGATGACTTCAACAGATAATTACTGTCTGACAATTAAAGGTAACTTATTTCAAAGCCCAAATTATCATGTCCGACAAATGTTCTCCAATATTAAATTGCTTCTAACCAATAATTCTACATATTATCTATGAACACACATTTGCAGATGCCATATTTCTTTGATTTTAAGATGCAATTTTAAAAATTATAAACATCTGAGAAATTGGGGCATGTCTTACAACCCATGTGTAGATTTAATGTTTTAGTGTATCCTTTTTTGAGTGGCCATTATTATTTTATAGTCTTAGAATGAAGTCAACATTTTTCACAATTAGGTATATGATGGGCCTTTGATGTGTTTTTATAAGCCAGGTGGATGCTTGGTAATGTCCACAGTGAGCATTTTCCAGGTTAAAAGCATTGTGGCTCTCTAGGTCAGAGAATATGGGAGCCTCATTCAACTATAAGTCTAACGTATTACAGTAAGTTTCAAACAGTCTTTGAGGAATGTGCTGACCAAGTCTGCAGGTTCTTCTTCAGCCTCCTTGGTGTGGTGTGGAATTGGAATGCCTGTTTTTATTATTATCCATAATTTTCAAAAGAAAGCTTTAACCTAATATAACAAGTTGGTTATCAAAATACATGATGCACCCCTTAATCTGGAAAAAGCTCACCCCATATTTTTGCTGAGGAGAACAACAAACTTGAACTCACTTTTTATCCAAAATCTATCAAGATTTGGTGATGAGAAATAACACCTGTAGATAATTGTCTCAGAGACACACAGACTCAAATCATCCCTGAGAGCAGTTGTATTTAAATGTTTTTTAATCATGGAAATGTTTGTTCAAGTATAAAAGAGATAGCTATGAGCTCTTCTGATTGAAATGAATGAAGGAGTAAGAACCTCATCTACCTCTGTTTTGTTCTTCCCTCCTCGTTCGAATTCCCAGCAGAGTCTGAGAAGATGCCAGAGATCATAGTTTGAAACTGATTACTCTGGATGTCTTTTATTTGTACCTGGATCATTCAAAATCACCAGAGAGATAATTCTCTAGACATCTAGGCAGCTGTTTTAACTTGATTGAGCTGTGGGCATAAGTCATAGATCTGAGTAAAGAGATATTACCAAAATGTTTGTGTGAGCACACACGATTGTACACACATATGTGCACAGTCATGTACACACACAAACCAGCTAAATGAAACTTGCAATAGTACATATTTTGGGGATATTGTTAAGGACGTTGCTTGCTATCGTTAAAAAAATGTAATTTTTAAATCAAATTAAAGTATTAAAATTTAATTAACAAATACTTACATAACACTACATGCCAGGTACTATTCTAAGGGCCTTGCAAATATTAACTCACTTAAGTCTCATAACAACCCTATGAGATAGCTTCTACAATGACCCACATTTTATAGAGGAGGAAACTGGGGGCTTTTTTTTTTTTTTGAGATGGAGTCTCGCTCTGTCGCCAGGCTGGAGTACAGTGACGCAATCTCGGCTCACTGCAACCTCCGCCTCCTGGGTTCAAATGATGCTCCTGCCTCAGCCTCCCGACCAGCTGGGACTACAGGCACCTGCCACCACGCCCAGCTAATTTTTGTATTTTTAGTAGAGACAGGGTTTCACCATGTTGGCCAAGATGGTCTCGATCTCCTGATCTCCTGATCCACCTGCCTCGGCCTCCCAAAGTGATGGGATTACAAGCGTGAGCCACCATGCCTGGCCCGAAACTGGGGGCTTTTAAAACAAACAAGAGTTCCAGTTGAGATTCAGGAGTTAGGGGGAAATGGAAATACACTAATATTGACTGAATAGATCAAGATAATTTTCTTATAGTCTAACTCTCCACCTAGAGAAAATTAAATGTCTGCTGGAGAATGAGAACTTATCCAGAACCTCTATAGTTTATCTAAATACTGGGCTTTGGATGCTGTAGATAGCAGACAAGGATTTAACAATGTCTAAGATTAACATATTTAAGAAAATAGATGAAAATATGGTGCACTTTCTCACGGATTGGAATCTGGCTACAAAAAATAAAATAATATTTGAGATGAGAAAAAAATAAAATCACTGAAAAGTAATTTAAGAGATGGAGTTAATACAAAATTAGACCATGCAAAAGAAAGAATTACTAAATTGAAAGATAAATTATTGACTCAGTGTTCTTTATAGTTTAAAAAACCTAAAAGATAAAGAAAAAATATGTAGAGAGAAGTCCACAGACATAAGAGAAAAAGAGATTCAGACATTTCCATAAGAGACCTACAAAATTGGGTAAATAAATCTGATATATATATAAGAAGTTATATAAGTAAATCTAATATATAATAATATATATAAGATGTTATATAAGTAAATCATATATGTATATATAAAATAATAATTGAAGTCCCAATAATGGAGGAGAGAGAGAAAAAAAAGATAATGACCAAAGATATTCCAAAATCATTGAAAGGCATCAAGCCACACATTCAAGTAGCTCTAAGAATCCCAAACAGAATACATAAAAAGAAAACCATAATTAAGTACATTATAGTTAAATTGCTGAAAATCAAAGAAAAAGAAAAAAATCTTAAAAGTGTTCAGATGAAGATGTCAGCTTGGTGATATCATATATATGGGCACATGCAGAAACATTTATAGATGCATCTTGTAGTCAAGAGAGTAACCAGGTGCTAAAGCAAGCAAACAAACAGAAAAACTACATTAATGGTGATATGGCAAAAGAACACATGAACCCAAGGGCCGTTAGAAAGGGCTATTGATGACCAAAGCTGGAATAGTCTGAGCAAAAAGATAAGGTGGCATTCGATTATACTGAAAGTATTAAAATATCCGAGGATTCATACTGATATAAATACATGATTAGATGGATGGATAGATGGAAGGATGGATAGATAGATAGATACATAGATAGATAGATAGATAAGAAGAAACAAATCTATGAGAATATCTTCAAATAATTTGCATAGATGCTTCAAGCTCAAGGAGGTAGAGCATAACTCCTCACTCTTTAAATGTGGACTGCAACTAGCAGCTTTCTTCCAAAGAGTACAATATGGAAAAAGAATAACTTTACACTGGAGAAATCTGACAGACACTACTTCAGCCAGGTGGTCAAGGTTAACATCTACAGTTATGTCATGTTGATAACATGTACCCTTAATATGATACGACACTTTAACTCTGTGATCTTCTTTTTAAACAATCATAACTTTGTTCTAATCTTGAGAAAAATGTAGGACAAATCCCAACTGAGAGACATTCCACAAAATACCTGACCAGTATTCCTCAAAATTGAAGATCATCAAAAACAAACAAAAAAAAAGCCTGAAAAACTGCCACAGCTAACAAGAGCCCAAGGAGACATAATTAACTAAACATAATGTGACATCTTGGATGGGCTACAGGAACAAATAAATTATAAAACTAAGGAATTTGAATAACATATAGACTTTAGTTAATAATAATTTATCAATATTGGTGTATTAATTGTAACCAACTATACTAATATAACATGTTAATAACAGGGAAAAATTAGGCATGGGCTGTGTAATAACTGTACTATTAGTGTAACTTTTCTGTATATTTAAAAATATTCTAAAATTAAAGTTTATTTTTTAAAAGAGTATTCAAATTAAAATGATATATGACTTTCAAAGAAACAACAAGACAAAAGTAATTCTCTATCATAAGTAAGACACTAGACAATGAAATCATATCATTTATGTGCTGAAAGAAAGTAACTGCTAACTTAGAATTATATATCAACTAAAAATGGTTTTCGGTTTTTTTTTTAAAGACAGATCTTTTATCCAAACACAGAGGGAATTCATCACCATTAATATAAATACTAAAAGGAATTATTTAGGCAGAAAAAAAAATTATCCCGGGTGAAAGCATATTAAATTAGGAAGGAATAGAAAGCCCAGGAAATGGTAAAAATGTGGGCAAATCCAAGTTAATATTAACTTTTAAAAGCATAATTAGGCCGGGTGTGGTGGCTCACGCCTGTAATCCCAGCACTTTGGGAGGCCGAGGCGGGCGGATCACGAGGTCAGGAGATTGAGACCATCCTGGCTAACATGGTGAAAGCCCATCTCTACTAAAAATACAAAAAATTAGCCGGGGTGGTGGCGGGCGCCTGTAGTCCCATCTACTCGGAAGGCTGAGGCAGGAGAATGGCGTGAACCCGGGAGGCGGAGCTTGCAGTGAGCCGAGATGGCACCACTGCACTGCAGCCTGGGTGACAGAGCGAGACTCCGCCAGAAAAAAAAAAAAAAAAAAAGCATAAATAATAATGTATTTTGGTGATTAAAATTTATGTAGACTTAAAATGCAGCCTGGGCTTAGTGCCTCATGTCTATAATCCCAACACTTTGGGAAACTGAGGCAGGAGGATAACCTGAAGCCAGGAAATCGAGACCAGCCTGGGCAACATAGTGAGAACCTGTCTCTACAAAAAAAATTTAAAAACTATTTGGTCATTGTGGCAGACACCTGTATTCCTAGCTACTCTGGAGCCTGAGGCAGGGGGAGCACAAGCTCAGGAGTTTGAGGATGCAGTGAGCTACGATCACACTACTGCACTCCAGCCTAAGCAACAGAGAGAGAGAGACCATGTCTCAAAAAAATAAAAAACAAACAAACAAATAAATAAAATGCACACTATTCTAACACAAAAGGCAGTGGGAGGGGAACGTAAATGAAATATTCTAAGATTTTTGTGTTGGCACAAAGAGAATAAAAGATTTAATTTAAAACATACTCTAAGTCAAGGATTAGTATTGTAAAATCTAAAGTAATTACTGAAATATCTATTTATATCCTTATATCTAATAAGATAAATTCACTAATAAAAGTATAACATTAATCCTTAGAAGATAAAAAATGAGGAACCAATGGACAAAGAATAAATGGGATAAACAGAAAACTAATAGCAAGATTGTAGATTTAACCCCTAATATACCAGTTGTATTACATGGAAATGGAGAAAGCACTCTAGTGAATAGATAGATTGTTGGGCTAGATGAGTAACAAAACCCAACTATGTATTTCATATAACACATATGATTTAAATATATAGAAACAGAAAGTTTAAAAGTGAAAAGATGAAAAAATATACTTCATGAAAGCATTTACCAAAAGAAAACTGAAGGTGTTATTTATATTAGACAAAGTAGACTTTAATGCAATGTATGTTTTGACAGCAATTAATCTAAGTGAGAAATCAGAGACAAAGATAACTCAAAAAACTTCCAAGTGTTGTGAAATGAAACAATATGCTTCCAAATACTCTATGAGTCAAAGAATAAATGACAATTGATATTAGAAAATATTTTGAAGTGAATTTTAATCAAAAGATGGCTTATCAATATGGCAGGATAACGCTGGAGCAGTAGAAGAAAATTTGTAATCTTAAATGCATATTTTAGTAAAAAAAAAAAAAAGATGAAGAGTAATGATTTAAGCACCCATCTCAGGAAACTGTGATCTTACTTAGATTAAATAAGTAAATAAGCAATTAAAGCCACAGAAACTAAAACAAAGAAAATAAGAACAGAAGAAATTAATGAAATAAAAAGCAAACATATAATGGAAAATATCAACAAAGTCAAACTGAAAAGATTAACCAATAAACCCCTAAGATGACCAAAATGAACAAAAACAAAGACAGAATACCAAATGTGAGAAATAAAAAACGGAACATAATTACAGAGTCTAAAGACATTAAAAACTTTAACAGAATATTGTAACAACTTTATGGCAGTAAATTTGAAAATTTAAAGGTAAGATGGACACAATTCCTGGTAATAATTCTTTAGATAAACACAAGAAGAAACAGAAAAAAATCCAAACAATTCCATACCTATTAAATAATTAATTTTTTTATATAAAACTTTCCCTAAAATAACCCAGTCCCAAATAACTATACCATTGAATTACTCCAAACATTAAATGAAGAAATGATATGAATTTTATACAATCTTTCCTAGAGCATAGTAAAAAATATTAATAGAACACTTTCAAACTCATTTTGTGAAACCAGTGTAACTTTAATACTAAACCTGCAAAGGACATTCTGTAAAATAAATTTACAGACTAGTCTCTTTCATTAACACAGATGTAAAAATCTCTAACAAAATACTGGCCAATTAAATCTAACAGCATATGAAAAGATAATCAGAAACACAAACTTGTTTTAACACTCAAAAAGCAATATAATTTATCACATTAATCAAATAAAAGAGAAAAATACATGATCACCTTAATAGAGGTTAAAAGAGCATTTAATAACATCCAACACTCATTCACAATTTGAAAAAAGAACTTTTCACAAAATAAGAATAGAAGGGAACTTTATTAATCTGTTAGAGTACCTACAAAAATCTAACAAACATCTTACATACTGTTAAAATAATCATCTTTCTCCCTGAGAACAGGAAAGAGTTAAGGATGTCCACCATCGTCATGCATATTCATTATTGTACTAGCAGACCTTACCAGTACAGCAAGTCAAGAAAAATAAATAAAAATAAATAGATATTAGAAGGGAAGAGGTGAAATTTACCATATTTGCAGCAAATGTAATCTTCCACATAGAAAACCCAAAAGCATCTACAAATAAATTGTTGGAATTTATAAGTGAATTTAGGAAGATTTTCAGACATAGAGTTAACACCAAGTAAATTGTATTCTTCTATATTGGCAGAAATAATTAGAAAATAAAAATTTTTTAAAAAGCATTTACATTTTTATTCATTTAATTTCATTATAATAAAATCATTTATTCCTAGGTATACAAATAAACCGAAGGTATACAAGACTTCTACACAAAAAGTACTTTAAAATACTGAGAGAAATTTTAAGAGATCTTAGATATATTAAGGAATATACAAAAATGGCCAGTAATGATAAGACTGTTTTAAAGAAAAGGAACAGAGTTGCAGAATTGATAGTGCCAGATATCAAGATTGATTAGGAAGTAACATCAACTGAAACAGCATGCAATTGGCACAAGTACAGACAAATAGACCAATGGAATAGGATAAAAAATCCTATATAGAATTATATGTGCTACTGAAAGGCAGGGGGTAAAGAGTGTCCTCAAGAAATGATGCCTTAGTCAATTGGTTGTCCCTGTGAGAATACGTGAACTTCACTCCCACATCACATCATACACAGAAATCAATTCCAGATAGGAACCCAGATAGGTTTCCTAAAATGAAAAGTAAAACAATTACATTTCTAAAAGACAACAGGAGAGTATCTTCATAACTTTGCTTGGAATTGGAAAAAATATTCTGAACATCACACAAAAAGGAAAACATAAAAGAAAACTCATCTGATAAGTTGGACTTGTTAAAATTTAAAAAATTGTTTATCAAAAGATGCCATTTAAAAAGTGAAAGGGAAAGTATAAACAAGTTATTTGTGAAACACATATCTGACAAAGGACTGGTAGCCAGAATATACAAATAATCCTTATGAATCAATAACAAAATTCAGACAATCTAATAAAAAATGGACAAAACACTTGAACAGGTACTTTTTTGCAATAAATACTAAAGCTGAACTTTTGCTTACCTCTGGACCTAGCAATTTCACTCTCTTGTCTAAACTTGGCTTCCAGAATCTTGACGTGGATTGCAAAGAAAAATTTTATTACCTTGCCTTAAACAAGGCTAGATACGTCAAGTTTACAGTTAGAAGGGACATAGAGAGGATTTTAGGGCTCTTTAAATCAAAATCAAACTTCTTTAGTAAGAAAAAATAAGGTTTTGTCCTATGTAACAGAAAAGAAAAATCCAAGGGTAGAAATAATTGTATTTTTAATGTTTGATCTCAGAGCTGAAATGATGCCATTGGGACCCAGCCATTCCCTCTTGGCTCTGCTTACCATGTTGCTTTCATTCTCAGGCTCCATGTGGTGACAAAGTGGTGCCAACAGCTCTAGTCCTTCTTCTTCAAATCCACTTTAAAACTGAGCATTTTCCCTCAGGAGCTAATAATAAGCTGAAGAATTTCCTCTAATTACAACAATTTGAAGCATGTGTTCAACTCTGAAGCAAAAGGCCTGGGTTGTGTGCTCAACAATGAACCAATCCCCATGACTGGGGGAATGCAAAGTGCTGGCTGGCCAGTCTCAAGTTGTACTCTCCTTATGGAGGCAGGATCCCCACCAGATCCACATGAACTGAGCTAGGAATGGACGAATAAACTTTGGGGTGTTACCTCCAGAAGAAAGGATAATGCCTGCTGAAGAGACTGAAACCAAAAACGTGTCCCCAGAGGGTTGTTCTGAGACTCTCTTGGAGAGCAAAGTGACAGGCCCAAGGTCTACATATTTGGCATCAGAAGGTGAACTTAAGAACAGAAAGCCTCATCTAAAAGCCTAAGAAAGGTGGAGTTCTACTGAAGGATGAAAAGATACAAACAGGTCCTTAGGCTTTCATTCTGCCAGGCATTCTTCCCTCAGGTGCTGGCTGAGTCCAAGGCCAGAGAAGGGAGGCACCTCATGCTGGGGGAACAGGTTGCCAGACAGTCTCCTAAGGTATCTGGATGCAATCCCATACGGCCTTCATGGAGGAAGGCTGGGGTCTTGACTAGGAGCCAGGAGTCTGGTGGTT
Source organism: Homo sapiens (assembly GCF_000001405.40). NCBI lineage: Eukaryota > Metazoa > Chordata > Mammalia > Primates > Hominidae > Homo > Homo sapiens. Next base: position 118,520,406 of record NC_000002.12, read on the forward strand.
TGGCTGGGCCTGGGCATCCAGGATTTGCCGGAGGTGCCTTCCGCACACTATCTCTCTATCGCACCATCTGCAGCTGCCTTCTGCATTTGGCCCAAGGACAGTGTTGCCAGTCACTTCAGGGGATTGCTGGGCCTTCTGTAAGCAATACTTGGAAAAGGCCAAATTTGACACTTGGCTGCTCTCCTTGAAGTTAAAAGTCCAAGCTTAGGTCAAGAAATATGACAAAAAAATGTGGCACAATGCCCAAGAACACTCAGCTTGCAAGACAGCAGAACAGAAAGTATATATACCAAGGAAATTGATGAAAAACACAGAAAGGATCTATGGGCTTCCCAAAATATATTCTAGCAAGTTTGAGGATTTAGGTTTCTTCATTTGTTTTGTTTTGTTTTGTTTTGCTTTTGCTTTTGAAATGGAGTCTCACTCTGTCACCCGGTCTGGAATGCAGTGGTGCGATCTTGGCTCACTGCAACCTCCACCTCCCAGGTTCAAGCGATTCTCCTGCCTCAGCCTCCCAAGTAGCTGGGGTTACAGTCACCCACAACCACGCCCAGCTAACTTTGTATTTTTAGTAGAGATGAAGTTTCGCCATGTTGATCAGGCTGCTCTCAAACTCCTGACCTCAGGTGATCCACCCGCCTCGGCCTCCCAAAGATCTGGGATTACACACTTGAGCCACTGGCTGAGGATTTAGTTTTGAAGCTCAGAATAAGGTCAAGAAAGAAAAAAACAGTGGATTTATTCTTCTCCTGTCTTTTTCCTAAAAGCCAAAGGTATAAGTAAAAAAAAGTGAAGGGGTCACTAATTGATTATGGTTGAAGAGAACAGTATCTAATCCTCCTCTGCTGTCACATGGGGGCCCCAAAAATGATGGGCTTAGCGAGGAAGGATCCAGTGGACAAGGGGGTTGGGCAGGTCATTGTCCCAAAAAGAGGGCCAAGAAAAGACACCATGACTTGGAAGAATTCTGGAGATAATCCTAGAAGAGGAGGAAGTGAGGACTCCTACTGGCAAATCAAAGGGTCCAGCCCAGTTGTTTGTTTGTTTGTCTTTACCTTGTTCTACTCCATACCCTAGCACTGAACTCAGAAGATTCCCATTTCAGCCCCCATCTGTGGAGGAGTCCAAGCATCATCCATTGCCCTGGCACGTCGCATTCATCAGGCCACCAACCTGCACCTCCTTTTCTGGAGAAAGCTGTGCCACCTTCCCTTATGGATAACTCTAGCCACAGGGTGAACTTAGACCAAGCTAATTTGATATCCAGTATCAGAGAATCATCTAGCTTTGGTGGAGAGGGAGGTGAGGAAAGTAGGCAAATGCAACTTAAATAGGAAGCCAGGTCAGGCCTGCAAAAAGTGGTCAGATTTAAGGTTGGCAGGTAGTCTACCGGAGTCAGGGCTGGCTCTCCCTGCCTCCATCCCTCTAATAGCCAAGGAACTCCTTCCAAGTTGGCTTAAAAAGGCCTCCTTCTTATATTCACTTCACAAAGGTAGGAAGTATCAATTCTAGTCCCTGTGTAAGTGTGACAACGTTACTACTTAAGGAAGCCCTGGGTGTCTGGAATCATTCCAGTGCTGAAGATGTCCATCAAACAATGATTGATGGTACTCTTCAATGAGCATATCAGTACATATACATGAGGCAGTGTTTATTTTTCCTCTCTTAAACAATGTCAGACAAACATTCCTGAAACTTTCAGGGATACTGCACAAAAGATTCCCATGTCTAATGAGAGGTTGGATTGATGACGTCAAAGAATTTTTCCCATCTGTGAGTCTATGTTTCTTGGGTTGTTCATTTGCTGGGTGATCAGAGACCTCTCACATCACTTTTCCTGGTCTCAGCTTTTTCATCTATGAACTGGTGACAATTTTACTGGCTCTGCCAGCCTGAAGGGTATGTGAAGAACAAGTGAAATGATAGATGTAAAAAGACATTCATAGAAGACTAAACCTTATACAGTTTTGAAAAAACTATATAAAGAGATTCACAGCTTAAGACAAAAATTCTCATTCGGGAAAATTTGGTCAGAAGGCAGAGAAAGAAAGCAAAAATAACATGTGAAATTGTCATATGTTATAAAATGAGAGCATTTGGAAATGTCCAGGACAGCCTAGGAGAGATGGGTGCTAAGGGTGCTCGGAGCTAAGGAAGAAAAGGGAGAAGTTGAAAATACAGAAAGAAAAGAAGGCACAAGGAGGGTCTGTCACCATGGGAAAGGCCTAAGACATGAGAAAAAGAAAACCCCGGGAAGCAGGTCCCATGGTAGGAAGGCTGAGAGCCTTTAACAACATTAAAGCCAGAGGCTCAGTTTTCCATTGTAAAATACCCCACCTCCACTGTCCTAAGCATAACCCACACCATTCCTTATGCAGAAAATATCTAGGAGAGAATAATGAGAAGAGTTATGCTCCACATTTTGGTTTACTTAGGGTAGACAGAAAAAAAAAGAACCACAGAAAATAAGATTAAAAATGAGATTGAAAGTTCAGTAAGAAAGGGAAGCCAGAGCAAAAGATGGAAACAAAAATTAAGCGCCTCAAAATTCACAATAATCTTTGGAGGAAATTGGATCTAATAATAAATGTGATCAAAGCTTGAAACATTTTTATTTGACTATTAATTATTATTAACATAGTGGACTTCCAAGGTATAAGTGCTTAATACTCATATATGTTTTAGTTTAAAGGGTTAGAAAGGGCTCTAAAAATATACTTTGTTGACTAGGCATGGGCCTACATTAAGTGAACTGAGATGTCAGAACAGTCTTGGTATACTGTAGAGGCAGGTATCCAAAGGCTTAGGAATATTGGAATGGCAGAGTGGATTTCTCATGTGAAACCTACATGCTTACTCTGAGAGGATCCAGAGGATACACGTTTCACCACGACTCCAAGAAATAAATTTGGGAGGGTTGCCCCAGCTTCTTTAAAGAACTCTGTGGTTGTTCTCTGTAGATCAGAAATGACAGTGAAGACTGCTACCGCTGAACCAGCATCCTCAAAAGCAATGGAATCACTTGGTCCCAGAATGACAGGGGCCAAGTGGCAGCATTTAATTAAGAAGGGCAAGGTGTTTGTGGGTCCATAGTGTGGACAACAGAGTCAAAGCCATCATGAGAATAGACTGCTCTGCATATACCTACATATTGGCCAGTTAGTCTTAGCATCTCTAGAAAGGAATTAGATAGGCAGTCTGTGAAACTTCTATCTACTTGATCTGTATAAGCAAAAGAGTTCTAGGTTGAATGGACAGAAGTTTAACTAGAATCACCAAAATAGAGGCACAACACCTCAATCAGTTCCTAGATTTGAGTCAGGTTACATACTCAGAGTTCCTTGAATGAAAGGGAGGTTGGGTCTCCTTGAGGAAAGACCCTGGAACACTTGCCAAGAATATATACTATCAATCTTTCTCCTAGACTACCCCCAGAGGGACTTACAGACATACACTGGAGTAACACGCATCAGGGAAAGGGAAATAATCAGACTTTCAGAGTATTACTGGACTCTGGCTCTGAACTGGCACTAATTTCTAGAGACCCAAAATATCACTGCGGTCAACCAGTCAGAATAGGAGTACTATGGTTTGAATGTTTGTGTCCCCTGCAAAATTCATGTTGAAACTTAAAACACCCATGTGATAGTATTAGGAGGTGGAGCCTTGAGGAGGTGATTGTGTTATGAAGGCAAAGCCATCGTGGATGGAATTACTGAAATAATAAAAGGCCTGGAGGCTAACTAGCTAGACTCCTTCTTGCTCTTCTGCCCCTTCCACTATGTGAGAGCATAACATTCAAGGCATCATCTTGGAAGCAGAGATGTAGCTTTCAGCAGACACCCAACCTACTGGTGCCTTGATCTTGGACTTCCCAGCTTCAATAACTGTAAGAAAATTAATTTCCATTGCATATAAATTACCTAGTTTCAGGTATTTTGTTATAGTAACACAAACCTTATGAAGGCCAGGTGATCAATAGAGTTTAAGCTCAGGGTTATATTATAGTGGGTCCAAGAGTTTCATGAGTCCATCCTGTGGGTATTTTCCCAGTTCTGCAATGCCTAATTGGAACAGACATATTGAGAATCCCTGAATCAACTGGCAGAATTCCAAATTGGTTCCCTGACCTGTGAAGTGAGGGTTATTATTGTAGGAAAGGCCAAGTGGAAGCCACTATAAATGTCACTACTTACAAAAACAGTAAAGCAAAAGCAATACCATGTCTCTGGAGGGATTGTAGAGATTGGTGCCCCCATCAATAACTTCAAAGATGCAGAGGCAGTGTGATTCCTATCGCATCTTTATTCACCTTACCTATTTGGCCTGTGGAAAACAAACAGATCTTGGAGAATAATAGTGGATTACTATAAAATTAATCCAGTAGTGACTCGTGTTGCAAATGCTGTTGCAGATGTGACTTTGCTCCTTGAGCAAATGAACATGTCCCCTGGTAGCTGGTATGCAGCTATTGATCTGTAAAATGCTTTTTTCTTGATACTTGCTAGTATAGGCCACCAAAAGCAGTTTGCTTTCAGCTGGCAAGTCCAGGAGTACACCTTCACTCACCTACCCAGTGCACATCAACTCTCTAGTTCTATGTCATAATATAGTCCATAGGGACTTTGATCACTTCTCATATACATAAGATGTCATACTGGTCCCATGACATGGGAGATATTATGCTGATTGAACCTGCTAAACAGGAAATTACACTACTCTAGACATATTGTTGAGACATTTGAATGTCAGAGGATGGAAAATAATCTCACAAAAATCCACCTCAGTGAAATTTTTAGACATCCAGTGGTGTGGGGCATGTCAAGATACCCCTTCTAAGATGAAGGATGAGCTTTTGCATCTGGCCTATCCTACAACCACAAAAGAACAATACCTAGTGCATCTCTTTGGATTTTGGAGGCAACACACTCCTTGTTTGGGTGTGCTACTCCAGTCCATTCACCAAATGACCTGAAAAGCTGCTAATTTTCAGCTAGGTCTAGAATAAAAGAAGTCTCTTCAGGGGTTCAGGCTGTTGTGCAAACTGCTCTGCCACTTGATCCAGAAGATGCTATGATGTGTGAAGTGCCAGTGGCAGATAGAAATGCTGTAGGTGAATCACAGCACATATTTTTAGGATGTGCTGGCTCCTGCCATCCTCTTCAAACAGCCAGCCTTTCTTTGAGAAACTGCTTTTGGCTTGCTACTGGACTTTAAAAGAGACTGGACACTTAATCATGGGCCACCAAGTTACCATGGAACCTGAGATGCCCATCATGAACTGATCCACCAAACCATACTGTTGGTCTTGTGCTGGAGCACACTATTATCATATGAAAGTGACATATATGAGACTGGACTCAAGCATGTTCTGAAGGCACAAGTAAGATATATGAGGAAATGGTTCAAATGTGCATACTATGGTTCCTGCTTCATTAACTTTCCATCCCAGCCTGCATCTATGGCCTCATGGGGTATTTCCTATGAGCAATTGACTGAGGAAGAGAAAAGTCTGGCTTGTTTAACATATAGTTCTACGTCTTCCTTGGGTGCTACTTAAAAATGGACAGTTGCAACACTATATCATCTTTCTGGGCCATCCCTGAAAGACAGTAATAAAGGAAAATCTTCTAGTAGGCATAACTTTGAGCAGTGTGTCTGGTTGTTCATAGGAAAGACAAATGAGCCAGAGGCATAAGTACATATTGATTCATGGGCTGTGGCCAGTGGTTTGGCTGAATGGTCAGGCACTTGGAAGAAACATAATTGGAAAATTCGTGGCAAGGTCTGGGTAAAATGCAAGTGGGTAGACTTCTCTGAATAGGCAAAGAATAAGAAGATATTTCTGTCCCTTAAGAATGCTTATCAAAGGGTGACCTCAGCAAAGAAGAATTTAATAATCAAATGGATAAGATGATCTCTTTTGTGGATACCAGTAAGCCTCTTTCTCCAGCTACTCCTGTCATCACCTGATGGACTCATGAACAAAGTGGCCATGGTAGAAGGGATGGAGGCTATGCATGGGCTCTGTAACACAGACATCCACTCAACAAGGGCAATCTTGATATAGCCACTGCTGAGTGCCCAGTCTACCAGTAGCAAAAACCAGCACTAGGTCCCTGATATGACACTATTCTCCAGAGTGATTTGGGACCAGTTAGTTAATCTCTCAGCCTTTCTCTGAAATGGGTCTGACAACATCAAGCTTCTGGGGTGTTATAAGGGTTAAAGTGAGCACCTAGCACACACCTGGCTCATCACTGCAGTGATTGTCTTTAGCACTATAGCAACTCATGAACCCCTTAGTCAAATGTGGGAGACTGTCTAGGAGCATATTATAGTCTTCTTTTGCTAAGCTGGTTCTGTTGATCCTCTCATTTTTTATTGTCCCTTTTCAATCAAACACTCTGTGATCTAGGCTAAAATTGATTGCTTCCTTGAATAAAATAACAAATAATTAAATGGAAAAGATATAATCTTTATCTGAAGTTGCCCAATTCAGACTTATCAACAACTACTACTATTAATTTTAAGGAGGGCTTTTTCTCCCCAATAGTTTCTGGAAAGCATCAGCCTCCAATCATTTAAAATGAATTATATATTTGAATGAGTTCTATATACAAAGTTCTATATTTTCAGAATCCTCTCTCTGAGAGTTCTCTGCCTGATGCTTTTTATGTTGTTATAATACTAGCTTATGCTCTTAGATATATTAGCTTATTTAATGCTCACAGCAATCCTATGGCATACATACATATCATTAGCCCCACTTCACAGATGAAGAAATATGCACAAACAAGTAACTTGTCCATAGTCACATGGCTAGACAGTGGTAGAGCCAGGCTTTAAACCCAGCAATATAGCTCCAGAGTTCATGCCCTTAACCATTATTCCATACAGTCTCTGGACTGAGGCTTCCCCATCTGCTGAGAAAAGCAATGAGCTCTGGAAGGACATTGGTTCTGTAACTGGATGAAAACCTGGGTGATGAGTTGAGCTCTGTGGGCACATGGTATTAGATAATGGTAACTTTCTTGGGCACCCCCAGACAAGGTGGCCTGGGAAGAACTCATCCATTTTCTAATGCTGGTTGGCCTCCCTCTGTCCAGATGGGAGATGAGCTCAAGCCATGAAGACTCCTTACATTTTCCTAAGCTGAAAATCAAAATGACAATTTGTTAAAAGCCATCTTGTGGACGTGTTTTTCCAAACATGGAAAGCCGCCTGCTGAAGTTATCACAGCCTCCAACTATTGAGATGGAAGCTGCCCGAGATTCTGAACATCTGAGAGTTCACCAAAGGACTACCGTTTCTAGAGTCTGGACACCTCAAGGAGGGGGATCCAGGAGAAGGGCATGTGCTCTGTCCATGGTATCTGTGGGGCACTGTGACTCTGGACATAAAAGAGGGAGGGAAAGAAGAGAGCAACAGCCCAAAATCCCAAAACACTGTCTATGCCTGGCAGCAAGGCCTGGAACTCAGCATAATAGAGAGCTCCCCAGAACCTGGCTATGCAATGAGCTCTCCTTCAGGAGCCCAGAGACTTGGGCTTGTTCCTCATTCCCATGAAGCACTCCCTTGCTCCACACAAGTGTTTGTCTTGTCTAACCTAGTCATCATCCTCAACTTTGGCTGTCATGGAATCACCTGGGAAGCTCTAAGAAACCCAAATACTCATGCAGCATTGCAGACACTGAAATTAGGATCTCAAGGGGAGGGCCCAGAAAAGTATGTCCTACCATGGGCAGACAAGGTTGAAAACACTGAGCTATGTCTTGAAAAGCACTATGGGAATTTGTATTATCTACCTCCTTGAGTCACTCAGAAAAGCTCTCAACATCATGACCAGTCCCTGTGGATTGACAGATCCTTCTCTGTGCTGTGAGAACACTCTCCTTTGGCAGAGAAGCAGTGTGGTCTGAGCAGAAGCAGAGCAGGATGTGTATGTGTGCCCTGTGAGGGGTGAGAACACATGGTTCTGTTTCTTCCAGGATCCAGGATATTACGGGACAGCTGTGCTGCTGAGAAATTGTTGACCTCCAATGAGTTGGTCCTCTACAGCATTCAGGAGAGCCATGGGTGTGACAGAGATTGCCCTTTTGCAGGAGGAAACACAGTTCACACCTCTGTCCATCTGCTTCTCTACGTACTCATGTCTGAGAACTCCATGTCACCAGCAAAATTGTGAAGCTGAGCCCCACGGATCATTGTTGGAACGAGATGGAATCTAGCCCAGCAAGGACAGGTGAAACATGTGTAGATCCTGTGTTAGGGCTGATTTGTTATGGGACCAACCCCCTGCCCACTGGATACTGAAATTACAATTTGAATGTTCTGAAACATTTTCAATGGTGCAGGTGCACAGCAGACGGACTTGTGGAGGATATAATGGCCAGAGATTTCCCAAGTCTCTACCACTTGCCTTTCTCTTTCTTCTCAGAAAAACCAGCTTTCCAAGGATCCACAACGGGACTGGTGTTGCCTATTTTTCTGAAGTATCCAGAGTGTAGCAGAAAGAACTAACACTTTCTAGCATCTGCGTTTGAAAGTCCATGTGTATTAGATTGTTTAATCCTCAAAATATCCCCATTTGTATTTTAAAAGGATTTTTACTCTATTTTATAATGTTAAAATGAGGATGTGTGGAATTACATACATTTCTCAAGGGGATAGAAGTTTCAGAATTTTGTTTATCCCACCTGTTTCTGGCTCCAGAATCTGGTCTTTTTTCCACACCAGGCTGTGCCGAGGTCTGTGTTGATGCTTAATAAAGTATCTACTGCTAATATTAATGTTACTAACTTTTATTTATCAAACACTGTTTGTACACAGGTATTCTGCATGAATTATCTCAGTTAGTTCACGTGACAGCCCTGGGAAGCAAGTAATATTCTAGCCAATTCACAGATGGGAAATAGGCTCAGAGAAGTTAGGCTGACCTTGCATGTCCACAGCCAGTAAATACAGAGCCAGGACTGACCCTCGGATCCTTACTTGTCCATTTATTACTGAGGGGACTCAGAAGACTTCAAATCCCAAAGAGATAAATGACTGATGATAGGATTTGGGGCTCCAGTAGGTGTAAGGATAGGGATCCTCCATTGACCTCAAATCACAGCGCGGGTGGTTTCTCACTCCTCTGTACAAGGGCAGCTCTGAACTTCAAAAGTGACTTCAGAAGTAGAAGCCTGCTACAGACAAGGCGGTGAGTAGGTAGAATGCCAACAGTCTGACTCCATCACTTACTTTGAAACATATTTATAACATTGCAACTGAGTCATGGTGCACTTATTCTGCACCCCAAATTTATTCCTCATTCATTATCCTAGTCAGGCTGTGATGTGTGGCTAATGCAGACAATAAATACTTTCTTTGCTAATGACCAAAGATGAACCCCTTCTAAAAGGCACCTAAAAAAAGTACACAGGCACCAAGTTGCCCAGATTCATGGGCAAGTTATGAACAATATTTATCATTCTTATTGTATTTTCACACTTTTTAAATGAAAAAAAAAAAAGGCTCTGTTCCTTTAAGGCTTCTACACTTTCACTCTCTGTAGCCCCTCCCTTTTGTCCTTCCTATTTTGGCATTTCATTTGCAAGAAGTCTCCATCTCCCTTATTTACATGTGAAAAAACCTGGAGCATCATGTGGTGAGGGTTCAGGCAGACCCTGAATTCCATTCAATTCTCATTTCCTCTCTGACAGTCACCATTGAATCAATCATGTTCTCCCTGCCCTCTCTCTGACCACCTCGGAGATCCCAAATCGCTTTTCATCTCATGTGTCAATCACCCTCAGACCATGTCCACTTTTCATTACTAACACGCCATCACATGACCTGCTAATCTGTCACTTTCTGACAGCGGTTAGTGTGCCAATTGATTTAATTAGCAATCAATTAGCTTGTTACTATTGGAAGTAATTACCTTTTATAGAGAAAAGAGTGCAGCTGGTGAGGGCAATAAAATTGCAGTAATAAAACTGCATCTACTCCCCTCTGTACCAGCGAAGTCTCTACACTCAGGGGCTGGCCAAATTATGGGTGACATGCACATCTTTTGACTAGTCTGTAGGGATGTATTTCCCCTCCTTATTACATGCAAAGCCACTCTGTCATTGATATTCCCAAGAATTTGTATTTTCAGGGGAAGATTGGGTTAATGATTTATGCTCAGCATACACTTTTCAAAAGGCCTATGTTTTGGAGCAGGAAGAGAACTTGGAAATGCACCTAGACCCTTTTTTCCCCCCAAAAATGAAATTATTGAGGTCCAGAGAGGTTACATGATTTGCCCAAGGTCACACAGCTAGCTAGTGCTGGAGGTCTGAGGAGAGACCAGCCTCCTGATTTCTAGGCCTTGCTCTACACACCTGGAGGCGGGCTCTTTGCACCACTCCTGCACTGCAGACTGGAAGCCTCCATCTAGGACCAGCCCTGTCTGTGAGGGGAAAAAGAATAGAAATAGTCAAGAGGAAAACCTTCATGGCCTTGAAGATAAAAGACACTGGAATTTTACAGAGTCACATTTTAAAACCATATGGGGAGAAAACCAATGAGATGTGGGCATGGTGCAGTCTTGGGTGGCATAGAAGTGTAGACATTTTGGCATGGTTGCCTTTTCTTGCATACACAGACTTCCAATGTACCCTCCACTGCTCCTGACCCAGGGCTACAGTACATTTCCCACACTTTCACTATTAAATTTAACCTCCAAACTGGTCCCCAGGCGCATGATGACTCGCTACATTAGCTCCACGGTGAACAGCAGAAGCAGTAATGAGATGACTAAGGAGACCCGGATTCCATTCATCATCCTGTTTGCTCCAATATAAGTGTTCTTTTATCAGCACTATTGGTACTGATGTCATCGCAGGAGGCATAAATCACCTCACCAGTGACAGGGTCCTATTAAGGGTCACGGCCTAAAATCATTATTGACAAATTAAGGATCACACTTGGCCATTCTGTCAGCATGCCCTCAATTGGGGGTGCGGCCTGGTTCCTCGTATCTGGTCAGAAATTAAACAGTCATTTAGAGTCCTGAACAGCCATGCAAGTTAATTCGAACTCCAGCCACCTCTTCCCCCTCTCTCAACTTTGAAAATCACGCAGTAGACTTTAGCAAAACAAGGCACTCCTCAGCGAAGTCCTGTGTCCTTATCGTGAATTCTCATTCCAGCAGCAGTGCGGACGTATTACTTGGCATTACAGAGTGCATACTGCCACATCCGGCCTTGGATCCGGGGCAGGCAGCCTGGGACTTGTCAGTGATCACTGAGAATTTTCATTTGAAATTCCATCACCTTTGTCCACTGTCACCATCTAATGTGACTGCAGAGGACTCTTTTGGAGTGTGGATGAGATGGAGATGAGGCTTGAAATGGTGAGGAGTTAGTACCATCATTAAAAATATAAATTGACACCCCAAATTAAAAGAAAATGTCTTTTCCCAAAATACTTGACAAGTTTAGTGCCCTTATATTTTTTAGGATGAACACCGAGGTTGGCTCCACAGCTATCTCCAATTTCTAAACCAAAACTGGAATGTAGTCATTTAATGAATACTACTTGAGCATGGAAGTGAATTGAGCACTCCTAATCCTCAGATCCTTGGCAGGTTCTTAGTTTTCCAGGAGTCGTTTTAGGTAATATGGTCCCAAATGATGCTGAAAGATGTTTTTAAAAGGTCTGGATAAATAAAGAGCCATATCAGGTTTGTGGTTCGGAAGAGTCAATATGGTCAAGAACTCAGTTTGCTCCAAATTAACTCACAAACTTAATGTAACTTCTACCAACTTTAATGGCATATTGTCTCTGTGTGTATATGAACTTCACAAAATGATTCTGAAGTTCATATGGAAGAATAAACAAGTAAACCTATGCAGGATAACTCTATAAAGAGTGATAGAGGGCTCCTTGTCCCATCAGATTCTAAACTGTTTTACAAACCTAGAATAATCAAAACAGTGTGGCAGCAGCACCAGAATATATGGGCAAAACAATGGAAAATAAAAGGAAACACAAACATAAGATTTAGTACATAATAAGGTAGTATTTCAAATGATAGAAAAGAGATTAATGATTTGATCATTAATATTATTTTCATGATTAACATTTTGATAAATGATTGCATTAGTAATTCATACCTTATAAAAACTTAAATTCCTTAAAAATATAAGTGTAAAATATGAAGCGATAAAAGTGATAAAGGTACCCACAAGTAAAAATTTACATAATCTGGGGAAAGGGAAGGACATTCTGAACATGACTCCATAAACAAAAACCACAAAGCAATAAAACTGAAAGATTTAATTACATAATAATATAAAATAGCAAAAAATTAAAGCTAAAATCAAACCGCAACCTAAAAATACATAAAGTAGACAAAGAATAGCTACTCCAGGAGGAAACAAAAATAGGCCAAAATATAAAAAGACTATTTACTAAAAAAGAAAAATAAATAGCCAATAAATATAAAGATCTCACAAGTAACCGAGAAAATGGACTTAAAACAAAGAAAACAATTTTTAAAATACATTATCACTTATACAATTGAAAAATTTTAAAAGCAACAATGCAAATACTAGTAGATACATGAAGAATTCAGTATATTCATGTGTTACTAGTGAATATATGAATTGTTACAATATTACCAAAAAACAATTTGATGAACCACCAGTTGTTCAAAAGTACACTGTCCTTTGACCCAGCAACCCAACCGCTCAAAATTTATCCTAAGGAATACCTCAGTAAATAATGCAAAGGTGTTCTTAGCAGATTGTTCATGAAATACCATTTCAAACGTTTTAATAATTTGCAAAGAACTTAGTTTTACAAAAGTAGAGGATAAGGATGTTCTGTACAATATTCTTTATTATAAAAAAAATGGGAAGTAAACTGAAAGTTCAACAGTAGGTCCATAGTTCAATAGATTTAGATCTAATGATATGGAAAAATGTTCACAATCTTTGTGAATAAAGAACACATTGCAAAGCATAAACATATACAGTTTTGCATAAGGGAAAATATATAGGGGTGTGTGTGTGTATACACATATGTGTGTATATGTACACACACACACATATATATAAAATTAAAAACTTTGGTAGACTTTGATCTGAATATCCTCTTTAGTTTACTTCAATTTGAATATGGTTATGAGTTTGGGTATCTTATATTAAAATTTTTTCTTTCTTGAAAAGCAGTGCAAATGATAATTTTGCTTATATAGGCAATCTGCACATGGAAAGAAAATATTAACTAGCAATGTAATAAAGAAATGATTTCTTTGGGGGCCTTAAGCACAAACCTTTAAATTTGCACTGTTTCCTTGTGGAATTATTTGATCAAACTGAAATTAAAACCAAGAGATCTCACTGGCTCTGGTCAGCCTTCCCTGTTACCCCAGATAGCTGCTAGAACTTTCCAATCATCTGAAAAAGCATAAAGCAACAATTATGATAGAAACCTTGGAGGGAATACATTCATTCATTCATTCATTCACCTACTACGAATTGAGCCCCTTTGTTTATCTCAGTGTACTTCCTGGTGGGATAGGCTGTTTTTAACCTGTGCTCTACTCCAAACACACAGACATAGCAGAGACAAAGACCAGGACTGGGTACTAGGAGAGGGAGGGAAGAATACCAGAACCAAAGCTTACTGCAAAAAAGGCCCAAGGCATGGCTCCAGGAAAAATAAATCTAACCATGAGCATCAGCAACATCTGAATTTTTGAGCTGGATTTTTGTCCCATTCATCCAAGAATCTTCAAAACTTATGTACATAATATTTTTGATGCATTCGAAAAAGGAGGTACAGACTCATCTAACCAACAGAGCTGAGATTCTTCATTTAGAGGCCAAAGAGATAACTGACCCTCTGTGGCCTCTAAGTGAAGAATTCTGGCTCTGTTGGTTAGATGAGTCTGTCCATCAGAAGTAACTTCTTTTCTGAGTGGTAGTCTCACCTCCCTGCCTTGGCGAAAGGACTGGGGTCTAGATGGGGGAAGTGTCTATGGAGCAGAAACTGTTGACATGGAGTTTCTTCCCACCTTACTCCAAAGCTGATTCTGGGATCTGGAATGAGGGAGGCCCTTTGCATCGAGCAATTGAAGAAGGGAGATGGGACTGGTAAATCAGAGGTCACCCAAATTGGGCAGGAGGCCCAGCACAAATATTGATGACTAGGAGATGGAGGTTGCAAACTGGAAAGTTGGAGACAGGAAATGTGGATTAAGATAATGTGAGTATCCAGAGGGTCATTTGGGGCCAACACCTGTTGGCAGGGGTTATTGCCTTTGGCTAGTTCCTAACCTCCCTGTGTTGTGATTTCCCAAGTCCCACCTGGAATAATCTTTACTTAAATCAACTTCCTTTTCCACCACATTGATTTATTTAAAATCAAAGTTTTAATTTGTATTATTACAACAGTTAAAAACCAATCAGATTTACCATAAAGAGATGGAAGCTGTACAAGTACATACAATAAAAACCAAACGTTGATATTGAATTGCTTCCTGTTGAAGGCTCTGAACCTAGAGCTCACTATCTCTTTGTTAAGAAGAAACTTGAGCCTGCATTAGACAGGTGTTCAAGACCAGCACAAACAGAGACTTTCTCCTTGAGCTTATCAGAAGGACAGAAAGAACATTCAAAAGGGAGCCACTCTTGCTTCTCTATAGGATTCAATGGCTTTTAGCTTGTTCGTGTAACACCTAAAATCACATGTGGTGTTGACCAAAATTATCTTGTGAGTCCCCCATAATGTATCCTTCTTTCTTAGGACACACTGCGTGGAGGTTCAGGGACTGGCAGCACTCAAAGGCTGGAAGAAAGGTGCACTGAGACGCAGGGACCCATGGCACCCTGAGCCCACTCTCCATGACTGACAGCTGCAGAGGTGATGGCTGGCCCCATTTGCCCAGGGCACAAAGGCATTTGAGGGAGGACCACAAAAGATAGGCTGTGAGTGGATGTGCCCTTGTAAAATTTTGTGCAAAGCCCTCAGCTCAGAGCCCATGGGACATAGGTAGGGTGGGCTCAGTCATGTCTGCCACTGGTATCAGACTTCACTTGGAGATTTGGAGCCCCGGTTCAGTAGGGCAGGAGGAGGGTGTGGGAGCTCTGTGGCCTGAGATTTCTATCTTTACCTCTTTCCTTCACCTACACATTCCATCCTGCAGTGGGTAGCCCCGGTGAGAGGGAAAAGGGAGTGTTTGATATCATCTAATTCCAGTGGAGGGCGTGACTTACCTGGACTACAGAGCTAATTGGTGCTTCCTGCCTTGCCGAAGGACACAAGCATGTTTCCAGCAGTGCTGGTCCAGCCCCTGTTTGTGCTCCATGGGCGCCAGGTGGAGGAGCACCTCTGGTTGTCCCCTGGGAGCAGTGGCAGCCATTGACCTTGAGATGAAAGGACACAGATGGTGGCAATGCTATGATCACCCTTGGGTTTAGGGAGCTCTCTGACAACACAAAATTGCAGAGGATATTCACTTTTCTTTAAAGAAAAGGAAATGAAACCTTCATTTCCAGTTACTTAGTTTCAGTCTCAAATCCTTAGAACCGCCTTCTAAAACAACCGACCCCCACTTTGCTGCCTGCTGGGCCTGGCCCTGATCCATTCTGCTTCTAGAGGAGGCACAGAACATGGCCCATCCCTCTTATTCCAGCCACAGTTCAGGCTCCTGCCCCCAACCCATGCCCAGGATGAGCTGGGAGGGCTTGAACTGGTCATGGTCACATTCTGCCTCCATCTCCACTTCTGTGTATGGAGGGAGATGCATTATCGAAATTCCCAGGCTTTCTCCGCTCTCAAATCCTAAAAACAAAGGTGCAGAGAGAAAGAGGGAGGAAGAGAATGAGGAAAAGAAGTGGTTTCTGGAAAGGACTGAAGGAGATAAATATGAGAGGCATCGGGAAATGTGAAGTGGGAGCACGTGGCATCACACTCACCTCTCCCATGTGCTGCCATACAGGGGCTTCTTCACCAGCCTGCCCTGCTCTGTTACCAAGTACCAGAGGCCCTGGAAGCTGTCACAGCACAACTAGGGGAAGTCAGTTTGCCCTGGCTGACACTGTCCACCTCATTCAGGGCCCCTCCTGGATGCTGGATCTGCTTCTGTTCTGCTCTGAAATGTCAGTGCACACATGCACTGACTCTACTCTCTGCCCCCAAGACCCTTTTGAGGGAAGGGGCTTCACCGTTTCCACCTCTGCATCATCTGCACTTAGCACCATGCGTGGTTCCTCATGGGGGCTGAACCAATGATGAGTGAATGGATGAAGAAATGAACAGGCAGATGGTGTGAATGCATTCAGAGAATGTAGAACTGTCTCGGAGCCATGATGGCTTCAGCAAGCACTCAGGTTGATGCCATCAGAGGGCTAAACCAGAAAAACGTCCTACTCTAATTGCACCACACTGATCATTAGCCCAGAGGCACATGCATCCTTAGCAACTTAGTTGAATTCAGGACCCGACCTGCTATTTGGTCATTAGTGAAGAAGCCTGGTGCCAGGCTCATGATATCTCAGTCTTCTCTACCAGGTTTTACTGATGGCAGGAGAGAATAAGTCCTGGGGTGGTGCTCAAAGCAATTATTTTTGGGATGCTAAATTTTATTATTAAAAATTAACTCCTATTTTGCCTTATACTAAGAAAGCATGCAATAAAGAATAATATCTTATAACCCGACACCTTTTTAAGTTATTTGCATTAAGAAATAAAATTCCTCTTCAGTCCTCATTCCATTCCTTGAAGATAATGACCTATAACAGTTGCTGTATATCTTTCTCAATGGTTCCCTATGCGTGCATTGATATACATGTTTATCTTTCTTTAAAAAATAAGATGATGCTATGCATATCACTCTGCAAATTGCTTTTTTCTTTATCAATATATGGGGATCTACTTTATTTTTGTTCATGGCTATCTTGCTTTCCATTGAATGAATACACCACAGTGAATTTCTCTATTCTTCTATTAATGGACATTTATAATGTGTCCAATTTTGTGTCAGTGTTCTTTTGTTATTTTAAACAATGCTGTAGTAAACATCCGTATATACTTAACCTTATTATTTTTATAGTAATTTCTGTTTAGGAGATTCTTATATGAAATATGCTGGCTCTTAAGCATATTTTAACTGTAATAGATGTACTCAATTGTTATGCAAACAGTGTCCTAATTTATACTCTCACCAGTAAAATATGAGAGTGCACATTTCCCCACACACTCACCAGTATTCTGTGTTGTCAATTAAAATTACATTTTTTGACAATTTGGTAGGTACAAAATGTATCATCATTCTTTTAATTGCATTTAAATATTATTTAGGATATGTTCATTTTCATATACTCATTGTCTATACATATTTTATAAATTTATTGGTTATATTGTTTGCCACTTCTACTGAATTATTTGGTTTTTATTATAGGAGATCATTACATATTAGAGAAATTGACCTTTGCGTATTAAATATGTTGCAAATATTTAGTGATATCTGCTACTCAGAAGCTTTCCCTTTTATCTGGCAAATCATCACTTCTTTTCCTTTTATAATTTCTGAGGATTGTGTCTTGCTTATAAAGGCCTTCCCGGATCCCAAAACTATAGAAAACAGTGAGCGTTGTAGTCATACAATATTTTCATAGTTTTATATTTTATGTTTGTATTTTGTATCTATAATCCCTGTGGATTTTTAAAAATAGAGTGAAGTCAGAATCTAGTTTCCCTAATGGAAAAACAGCTGTTATTACATCATTTACTACATAATCTATTTTTTCCTTCACTTTTGAAATATATTTTTAAATGTGCTTTTCTCTAAATATTTGAGGAAAATTGAGTCTCGGATAGTGGTTCTCAATGTATGGTGCAGGAAATTCTGGGAGTTCCTAAGATCCATTCAGATCAAAACCATTTTCATGATAATATTAATCAACTCATTCTCATTCTTTCATGAATGTGCGCTGGGGTTTTCCAGAGGCTGTATGGCATATGTTGATGTCATTGCTCTGATGGTTAATGAAATGCGTGCTCATGTATTCCTGTGTTTCAAAATTTTCAGTTTTAATTTCTAATAGGGTACATTTTGATAGCTATAACTCACATAGCGAAAGCTCTTTGGGATTCTTAATAATTTTTAAGAGTATAAAGAGGTCCAAGACCAAAAGTTTGGGAACCATTTATCTAGGAAGAGGTAGCATGTTTGCTTGTTCGTTTTGAGATGGGGTCTCACTCTGTCGTCCAGGCTGGAGTGCAATGGCGTGATCTCGGCTTGCTGCAACCTCCGCCTCCTGGGTTCACGCAATACTCCTGCCTCACCCTCTTGAGTAGCTGGGACTACAGGTGCCTGCCACCACACCCAGCTCATTTTTGTATTTTTAGTAGAGACGGGGTTTCACCATATTGGCCAGGCTGTTCTCGAACTCCTGACCTTGTGATCTGCCCGCCTCAGCCTCCCAAAGTGCTGGGATTACAGGCGTGAGCCACTGTGCCCAGCCGGTAGCATGTTTATTCTATGGCCTTACATTTCCCCTAGCACACCTCTGCGTTGTCCCAGAGTACCCGTGCTCCACACTGAGAAATGAACAGTGAAAGAAGGGGTAAAAAGCACAGCTCCACAAGGGTTTTTGCCCTGTCCCTTGTCACCTCCTCTAATTAGTTCTATCAATTTGAACAAGTACTTTAGCCCAAAACAGCTCCTAGAATGTATTATGTCAACGTCCGCCTCTTAATTTACAATTCATCTTTTTCAGATTGAAACACAATCATTTCTGTTTCCTGAGATTTCAGGTTATTTGAATTCTAAATAAATGGGAGCTACCTTAGTCCAATTTTATTTATGGTTTTAACACATCCCATTCCTTTTTAAGAAAGACCAGGTGTATGTGGAGGTGACTTTGTTTTACTGATCAAGACATGCAGTCAAGCTCCCTGGCTGAAGGTCTATGGTCATTTATTTTCTGGCAGGTGCAGCAGTCTGCACCATGGGTTAGACGGACTGGAAGCAGCAGGGATCGGGCCCCTTGAAACTCAGCCTGGTGTCCTTGACTCATTGGCAACTTACAAGCCTGCCTCATGGCAGTCAGCCCAGCCAGCAGGGGGAGATATAATAAGACGGGAAAAGACAAAGGCCATTAGAATCTTAAAATTCAGAAGGCATCTCAAATATTGTCTAGTAACGCTTATCGTGCGAATGAATTGTCAAAAAAAAAAAAAAAAAACGCTCAACAAGCAGCTTAGCACACTTAAAGATTTTCTTTGACAGGAAGCTTACTAACTCATAAGACAACTCTCATTGTTAAACAGCTCACATTATTATCTCTGGTTAGAATGAACTTACCCTTCCTTCTCCACTCATTCTCATTAAGCCTTCCCTGACTCTTCCGCCTCCAATTTCTGTCCAGGGGGTTGGAGGCTCTCCCTTGTGCTCCTGTCACACTTTTGCTTACCTTGACTATGCATTTAGACAGAGAGTATTAGTTGCCTAGGCCTGGTGTATCAAATTGCCACAACCTGGGTAACTTACAACAACGGAAACTTGTTCACTGACAGTTCTGAAGGCCAAAAGTCCAAAATCAAGGTGTTGGCAGGGCTGTGCTCCTGCAAAAGGCTCTAAGGGAGAATCTTTCCTTGGCTTTTCCAGCTTCTCCTGGCTGCTGGCATTTTTTGTCTTCCTTGGCCACATCACTCCAATTTCTGCCTCTGTCTTCAATGGCCTTTTCTCTATTATCTCTTACAAAGACACTGGTCATCAGATTTAGCACCCACCTGGGTAATCCAGGGTGATGTCATCTCAAGATCCTTAACTTTATATCTGCAAAGATTCATCTTTCAAATAAGGTAACATTCCCAAGTTCCAAGAGTTAAGACAAGGACATATTTTGGGGGGAGCCACCACTCAATCTACTGTACAAGTGGGGGTAGCAAAATGGTCACCCTTAGGTCAAATCCAGCCTATAGATATCTGTATTTCTTTTCCTGCATGTTCTATGCATTTGGACATTTCACCTAAATATCTGGAGTTCCATCTTCTTTGGACAAATCAAAAGATCTGCAACACTGGACCTGCCTTCCCAATGGCATCCATCAGGGATCTGAGTGCACGCTACACACCCTAGGAGACATCTGTATTATCCGGTTCACCCAGTCCTTGCCATTTCCCAGACCATTTTACCCACTTGAACCTGACTTGACCCATCAGGTTCCCCTAGACATTTAACTTGTGACCTTTAATTTAGTCTCTTTTAATCTTGCGTAGTACATAATAAGATGGTATTTCAGGGGAAGATTGGGTTAGTGATTTATGCTCAGCATACATTTTTCAAAAGGCTTATGTTTCAGAGCAGGAAGAGACCCTGGAAATGCATCTAGACCTTTTTGCCCCTCAGAATGAAATTATTGAGGTCCAGAGAGGTTAAATGACTTGCCCAAGGTCACACAGCTAGCCAGTGCTGGAGGTCTGAAGAGAGATCAGTATCCTGACTTCTAGGCCTTGCTCAACATGTCTGGAGGTGGCCTCTTTGCAGCATTCCTGCACTGCAGACTGGAAGCCTCCATCTAGGACCAGCACTATCTGTAAGGAGAAAAAAATAGAAATATTCAAGAGGAAAACCTTCATGGTCTTTGTCCATGAATGGGACAAAAATCCATCTCAAAAATTCAGCAGTTGCTGATGTTCATGGTCACATTTCTTTTCCCTGGAGCCATGCCTTGGGCCTTTCTTGCAGTGACTGCGTCAGACTTTAAGTTCTCTTATTTGACTTTATATTATCAGTGTCTAGGACAGTGCCTGATACAAAGTAGCTGGTCAAAAACATGTGCTGGACTAAAGAATATAGAACTTACACTGGAGAGAAATATGCTTTCCTTTAGCTCCTATCTATAAACAGCTCTTGTCTTATATTCAGCAACAGCACATTTTCCTTATGAAAACCCTTCACATTTAAGCAATATGTAACACAGGAAGGGATACCACAGTTGCACTAGCTTTAATACTGATAAATCTCTATAAACAAAGAAAAGTGTTTTAGGTAAGATTTGGTTTATAAGTAAGAAGGGCCTGAAAAATGGTAACTAAATCAAGGTAGGGATTATTTCTCTATCATGAAAAAGAAATCTGGAGATATGCAGAACAGGAGTGTTATGATGGCACTGTTAGCTCATCAAGACGGTGGGAGGCTCTTGTCTTTTCCAGCTATCCTCAGTATGCTGCTTCCAGTTTGGTTATTATTCCTTCAGATATCGTTTCTGTGCCATTCCCTATTTTTGTTATTTCTGGGACACTAATTAAATATATATGTTAGACATTTTCAAACTGCTCTCATGTTTCTCTTATGCCGTTTTCTATATTTTCTGCAGTTTTCTCCTCATTAGTATCAGTCTGAATATTTTATCTTGACCTGTGTTCTGGTTCACAACTTCTCTTACAATATGTCTAGTCTGCTATTAATACTTTGTATGGTGTTCTTAATTTTAGTTACTTTATTTTTCAGTTTTAGAATTTCCCTTTAATACTTCTTTACATCTTTCAGTTATCTGCAAAAATTTCCCATCTTGTCATTGAATTTTTGTTGCACACTAATCACATTTACTTTAACATTTTTGCCTAACTCAAATATCTGTTCCATTTACAAATCTCTTTCTATTGTCTATTTTCTCTTGGTTTTGGCCATGTAGCCCCTTGTCTTCTGGAAGGCCTGACAAATTTTTATTGAATATTGGATATTGTATGTGAAAATGATAGAACTAATTTGAGTCCAAAATGATGATATCTTCCTCCAAAGAGGGTATACTTCTATGTCTGGCAGGCAGTTATGGTAGGGGCTCTTTACCCTATTACAACCAGGATTGAACAAATTTGAAAGCTGTGCTTCCATTTTTATAAGGACTAACTTATCTCACCACCACATCTAGAGTAGAACACTAAGGGGTTCCAACTGAAGCCTGGGGTGTTTGCCATGACCCCTCTTGCTTTATGACCTAGACTCTAATTTCTGGCTATGCCTCTCTGCCTTATAAGATTGGAAGCTCTCTTCAGCTGTCAGTATCTCAACCAATGCTTTTTGCCATTTCTCAGCCTCCAAACCACCATGCTGGAGGAGACAAATGATTTAGATGGGAGAGGGGCAGTGAATTTTCATTCCATTCCCTAAGAATCCCATGGACATGAACCTACATGGATGCAGTGGGTAAAGTGTGAAGGAGATGGGAGAGGATTCCTCAGTGAACTTCATGCCCACCATATGGGAGATGGTAGAGTTTATCAAGGACATCCTTGGCTTTTGTGGCCTTTCTCAGCACACCCAGATCACCCTGCTTAAAGCTGGCACCTTTGAAGTGCATGACCCTTTGTACTTCTCACTCTCAACTGTGGCAGAAAGTTCCAGCAGAAAGGCCAGAGATATCTGGGGCACGGTGACTCTGTACTTAGACCCTCTGACTAAGGACAGAAGCATCCCTTGCACCCCTGCCCTTTGGTTCCTTCAATCCTTGCTGCCTTGATAGCTCCCAATACCTTCAAATAGGTGTTTTGTTGTTATGGTTTGGGTGTGTCCCCACCCAAATCTCATCTTGAATTACCATGTGTTGTAGGAGGGACCTGGTGGGAGGTAATTGAATCATGGGGGCAAGCCTTTCCCATGTTGTTCTTATGATAGTGAATGAGTCTCATGAGATCTGATGGTTTTAAAAAGAGGAGTTCCCTCGCACAAGTTCTCTGTCTCTTTGCCTGCTGCCATCCATGTAAGATGTAACTTGCTCCTTCTTGCCTTCTGCCTTAATTAGGAGGCTTCCCCAGCCACATGGAACTGTAAGTCCAATTAAACTTCTTTCTTTTGTAAATTGCCCAGTCTCTTTATTAGCAGTGTGAAAATGGGCTAATACAGTACATTGGTACCAGTATAGTGGGGCACTGCTGAAAAGATATCTGAAAATGTGGAAGCAACTTTGGAACTGGGTTACAGGCAGAGGTTGGAATAGTTTGGAGGGCTTAGAAGAAGACAGGAAAATGTGGGAGAGTTTGGAACTTCCTAAAAACATGTTGAATGGCTTTGACAAAAATGTTTATAGTGATATGAACACTGAAATCCAGGCTGAGGTGGTCTCAGATGGAGATGAGGAACTTTTTGGGAACTGGAGTAAAGGTGATTCTTGCTATGTTTTAGCAAAGAGAGTGGTGGCATTTTGCCCCTGCCCTAGAGATTTGTGGAACTTTGAACTTGAGAGAGATGATTTAGGGTATCTGGTGGAAGAAATTTCTAAGCAGCAAAGCATTCAAGTGGTGACTTGGATGCTGTTAAAGGCATTCAGTTTTATAAGGGAAGAGAGCATAAAAATTTGGAAATGTTGCAGCCTGACAATGTGATAGAAAAGAAAATCCCATTTTCTGAGGGGAAATTCAAGCCAGCTGCAGGAATTTGCATACGTAATGAGGAGCTGATTGTTAATACCCAAGACAATGGAGAAAATGTCTCCAGGGCATGTCAAAGCTCTTCACAGCAGCCCCTCCCATCACAGGCCTGGAGGCCTAGGAGGAAAAAGTTGTTTCATCAGTCAGGCCCAGGGTCTTTCTGCTGTGTGCAGCCTAGGGACTTGGTGCTCTTTGTCCCAGCTGCTCCAGCCATAGTTGAAAGAGGCCAACGTAGAGCTGAGGCTGTGGCTTCAGAGGGTGCAAACCTCAAGCCTTGGCAGCTTCTCTCTGGTGTTGAGCCTTCCAGTGCACTGAAGTCAAGAATTGGGGTTTGGGAACCTCTGCCTAGATTTCAGAAGACGGATGGAAATGCCTGGAAGTCCAGGCAGAAGTTTGCTGCAGCGATGGGACTCTCATGGAGAACCTCTGCTAGGTCAGTGCAGAAGGGAAATGTGGGGTTGGAGCCTCCACACAGAGTCCCTCCTGGAGCACCAACTAGTGAAGCTGTGAGAAGAGGGCCATCATCTTCCAGACCCCAGAATGGTAGATCCTTTGACAGCTTGCACCGTGTGCCTGGAAAAGCTGCAGACACTCAATACCAGTCTGTGAAAACACCCAGGAGGGAGGCTGTACCCTGCAAAGCAAAGCCACAGGGGTGGAGCTGTCCAAGACCATGGGAACCCACCTCTTGCATCAGCATGACCTGGATGTGAGACATGGAGTCAAAGGAGATCACTTTGGAACTTTAAGATTTGACTGCCCTGCTGGATTTTAGACTTGCATGGGGCCTGTAGCCCCTTTGTTTTGGCCAATTACTCCCATTTGGAATGGCTGTTTTTATCCAATGCCTGTATTTATCCAATGCCTGTACCCCCATTGTATCTAGGAAGTAACTAACCTGCTTTTGATTTTACAGGCTCATAAGTGGAAGGGGCTTGCCTTGTCTCAGATGAGACTTTGGACTGTGGACTTTTGGGTTAATGCTGAAATGAGTTAAGACTTTGCGGGACTGTTGGGAAGGCACGATTGCTTTTGAAACGTGAGGACATGAGATTTGGAGGGTGCCAGGGGCAGAATGATATGGTTTGCTGCATCCCCATCCAAATCTTATCTTGAATTTCCACATGTTGTGGGAGGGACCCAGTGGGAGATAATTGAATCATGGGGGCAAGTCTTTCTCATGCTGTTCTCATGATAGTGAATAAGTCTCACAAGACTTGATGGTTTTAAAAAGAGGAGTTCCCTTGCACAAGCTCTCTCTCTCTTTGCCTGCTGCCGTCCATGTAAGACGTGGCTTGCTCCTCCTTGTCTTTTGCCGTGATTGTGAGGCCTTCTCAGTCACATGGAACTGTAAGTCCAATTAAACCTCTTTCTTTTGTAAATTGCCCAGTCTCAGGTATGTCTTTATCAGCAGAGTGAAAACAAACTAATACATTTGTTTTCAAAAAAAATCCCAGCTTTTGTAGTTGTTCTTAATAGGAAAACCAGTCTGTTAAAATTAGGTCCCAGTACTAAACGTGGGAACAATTTAAGTTTCAAAATCACCTTGTGATTGTAAATGGCTGCAAGTCTTCCAGCCAGTTTATGTCGAAGGCCTAAAGCAAGAGGAGGCATCAGATAATGGCCTTCTTTCCCTTTAAGGAGTCTTCAAAGAAGTACTACACAATAAGCTGCTTACATCTCATTGGCCAAAATTTAATCATGGGGCCACACTGAGAAGAAGCAGAAGCCAAGAAATGTGGTCTTTTCACTTAGTACACAGCAGTCCAGTTAAAACCAGGCTGTGCTGCCAAGGGAAAACAGGAGAATGTATACTGGGGGTAAGCAACTAACACTCACCACCAAAAGCAATGCTCTGAAAATAGTCTTTGTGGGAAATTTTGTAACTTGGGTTAGAAATAACTTAAGAGCTATAAGTATAAGGTTTTTTTGAGAGTGTGAGAGCAGGTTACAATATAAAAATTTACTACATTTATTAAAAAATGATATAAATAATGTCTGATTAGCATAACACATACAAATGCATATCAGGGCAGAAGAAGAAAAGATGGCTTTTGGTATATGTGATTACAAATTTAAATGCCTATAACCATCAGGCTGATTATTAAAATGAGTGGAATGGGTGCAGGGTAGAAAATGCTGCGTTATTTGTGCTAGTGACTGGGCAGAGCTGAGTGGGGACCATTTTCCCTCAATGAGCAGGTGCTCCCCACTTTGCCACAATCTCTAAGGTCTCAGACCATTGAAGCTGGGTCTTGATTTGACAATGGATGCAACTAATCGTGGCAGAACGAAGCCTGGACATTGAGCTGGTTTCTCAAAAAGCTATCTTTAGAGTGCTAGGAATAGTGTCTAGATGCTGGCCTGCCACCTGCTTTCTAACATTGGGCATGCTGTTTAACCTCTTTGAGCCTCATTTTCTCTACCAGAAAGGCAGAAATAATCATCATAGTAAAAACCTCACAGGATTGTGGTGAAGCTGAAATTAGAGGACAACACTCTTCCCAGCAGGCACCTGCAGCAGGTCAACAGGAGATTTGTCCTTCCTGTGCTTGATTTCATGGATGGGACAACATGGCAGGGAGAGCCCAAACACCTCCTTTTGAGGGCACTTATTGTTCGGACAAGTGACTGTCACCTGTCAGGTGGTGCCAATCATATGCAGGCTTAGGGATGGCAAACCTGGTGGTCTGGGCCCTGATAAGTCCTCTTTGTTTTACCCTCCTGCTTATGACTCCTCTTGGCTGGTTCCCAAATCTTCAGTATTAGATTGGATAATCCCACTTTTAATAATGCTCAGGATATTTGCCTCCCTCGGGGGACTGCGATCACAGCAGTGGAGGGTATTAAAATGGAGCTGAATGCCATGCGGAGCACTTACCCTTTAAGCTGTGTGTATGTGGGCACAGCGTTTTGCCTGTGTGCACACAAGGGATGTGTGTGTGTGTGTGTGTCTACGTGTGTGCATTCTCTTGGCCTTCTGAGACTTTTGTGTAAACAAAATATCACAATGAACACCCAGTTCATTTGCAATATTAAAACAAAGCACTGCAAAATCAGTTTAAAACTCAGGTTTCCTCAATCAATAAGGTTATTAACTTCCAAATTCTGTGTTTTTATTTCTCCTAAATGGCATTAGCTCAGCCTTACCCTTAAGGGTACAGTAACACCTCATGAGACCTCAGAAACACTAAGTTAATACATAGTTGAATTTATTCAAAGTTATTTGAATTGTACTTAGTATTTTTAAAAGTTTGCATAAACTGAGTAGTAATCAGGGACATGATTTGCTCCCACTTATAATAATATGTTTTGAGGGCCATGTTTTTTACCCCCTTGACCTGACTGTTCCAGTAATCAAGAGGCCACACTGAAAAATAATTGGTAGAGAACAGAGAAAAGAAATATACAGTTACTAATATACACCAGGGTTTAAGCTGACATGAAATTTTATCTTAATTATCAGACAAATTTGTACTCCCACTATCTAATTCAATTTGCATGCATCGGTAGACACTTATTAAAGGTAATATTACATCTGTCATTTTAAGACTGGTGAGAATTTTATCATATGAGCTGCATAAAACAGCCACTCTATTATGTACAGAACTCTTTTGTACAGCTTAAAATAACCAGCATTGCATCCTAATTAAGTATTTTTTGTAATTGTCTTCAGGGCAGTCATAGTCTTGTCCATTTTGTGTCCATCTTGTAAGTTATTTGGACACAGAATTGAAGTTTCAGGAATGTACTACTCCTCCCCTCTGCTTCCTGATTCGGAGTGAAAAATGAGAGCTTTACTAATAAAATGTAAACTGGAATAAAATGTTCAAATAAGGTTTTATGAGAAGCATGCAATACATAAACCCATCTTAGAATTCTCCACTGGATTTAGAATTCGGCTGTGTACAAATATATTAGGCTATCTGAGGCATTAGCAGTTGAATATGTTGGGGTTATTTTTGAGATGAATTTATGAGATTTGCATGTTATAAAAAATGAATAGGTAAAGTGCTAATATAACATTATCAGTTCAGGGTAATAATGGCAGTTTCTGATCATAAAGCCCTAAAATGCCATTTGATGTTGATATGATACTTTTGAAACAGACCCCAAAATAAGCTTACAGGTTTCTGCTTTGAGCTTCAGGACTCTGAGACACTCCAGATAAAAACCCACTTCCACAAAGCCCACCTGTGAATGTGCATTTTGTTCCCTTGTTACAGCCATCTTGCTTTCAGAACTATTTTGTCCCACCAGGGAAAGAAATGCCAAAAAAAAAAAAAAAATGAATTGAGAAATGAAAATAACCATTGGCTTGAAAGGGAAAAGAGAAAGGAAACTCAAATGGGGTGGATGTGCCCAGACAGGGGCTGCCAGTGCAGGGCTCAGGAAAGGGTACAAAGTGAGGCTGGGAAACCAATGGACAGCTGGGCCGTTGCTCTTCGGCTGCCTTCATTTTTTCTGGGGTCCTGGATGTTCCCAGAAATGGAAGAATCAAGGGTCGCTTCTTTGGACTTGCTCATCTCTGGGTCCGAAAGCACGTTTGACATGGTCTCAAACGCCTTTTAGTCTCGGTAGCAGAATTTGTTTTTTCTTGTCCTGTCTTTAAAAAAAAGCAACCTTTGTGTGTGTCTGGGTAAGAGCTCTGCAGAGTTCAAACCAGATGTCTCCCACTCACGACACTGGTGAAGCATTCAGTTGGTCACAACTGCCTTCTTACACAGGAACTTTTCAAAAACTTAAGCCAAAGCATTTAACATAGGATTTTATTATTATTATTATTATTTTTACTGAGACAAAAACCCAATCTTTAACTGTTTATGAGAGATGAGCAATTTAACTTGGACTATTAAAGTGTTTTTTCAACATTGTTTCATAATCAAGTCTCTGTAATAGGAAGCACTTAGTTTTGGAGGATGGTGCTTCTCATTTTAAACAATCTCAGAATCGAAATATTCTTACACCACTTCAGTGCTTCTTTTCTCCAGCAACCATCCTGTTGCTGATTTTTTAACTCCCCAAATATGTCGCAGTGTGTCTTCCAGGTCTTGGAGGGGAGGGTGGGGAAGGAGAGATTTCATTCTCCCCTCCGTCCTACAGAAGCAGATGAATAATTCATGGAGCCACATGGAGGTCTTCTCTGAGACTTCTCTGGAACACGTCTGAGCAGCCGAAGGACCAGGAAACTTACAAACAGTCACAGTGTGCTGTGTCAAAGAACAGTCAATCAATCTCCAAAGAAATGTGAAGAGAACAGGTTTTTCATGCCTGTGAGCTGGGAAGGAGCCAAATGTGTGTTGCCATTTGATGGTAGAATCAGTGTACACCTGTTCCGACCAGCTGTCAACATAACCTGTATCAGAGGCATGTCTCACACCCGCTGGATCCTCACAGCGGGCCATGTCTGTATGACAGTCAGGACAGACAGCACAAGCAACTTGGGGATCAGGAGAGGAGGAGCTTGCAGAGCCATTGCAGGGACACAGATGTGTGAGGAGTGTGATAAAAGAAGGAAACATCTGAGGGAATAAGCTCAAACAAAACAGCAAATGTCATTTGCATTATATAATTATGGCCAACCATTGAGTCCTTTGTAATAACACTCGGTAGGCCGATGTTAAACCTACAGTGAGTGATAAAAAGGCCTCAGCTTGAAAAAAGGTCAGCGTGAATTAGTATATATTTGCTGATTAATTCAGAGTGTGCCTCCATAAATTTTATAGTCCAGGGGCCCAGCCTGGTTTGAGACAGCCTCCTATGAAATTCAAATGTGTGTCATTCAGCACAGACTATCATTGCAACCTGGCATTGTGCTTTATGGAAAACTCTATCTAGCAAACATGTAAACATACAGGCCTGTGATGAAGTATAGAGATGGCTGTGTTTGTGAACATGTAGATTCCAAAGAGCAAGATATTCACAGGCATAGACAATAAAGAGGCCAGCTGTGTTAACTCTCTGATCACACATAGAAAACAAGACATGTGACTGTGGACAGCACACACCACCTGACTGCACGTCTGAGATGACAGGACTGCTGGAGAGATTCTTGCCTTTTTACCAAAACCTCAGTAATCAGGACTGCTAGTGGGAATGTCAGTCTTCTATGATGCTGTTTAGTTGATGCGCAAAGGGAAAAAGTAACTGTTTGGGGAGGTTTAGATAAAAATGCATATGACAAAAATGTTTAGCCTAAGAGGGGATTGGCCTTCAACTGCTTGGAAGATTGGAAATATAGATTTCACTTTAAGATGGGATTCACCTTAATGAACATCTACTATGTGCAAGTTGACTTGTCAACTTCAATTCTCACAACTGCTCCATGAAATATCAATTATCTTGTCCATAAAACAACGCTCCCAGAATGGCACAGTTTCCAAATGATGCTGTTGGGATGTGACCGTAAGTTTGAATACTTCCAAAAGCCCTGGCTTCCCACTTTACCTTTATTGTCTCTCTTTGCAATTGCTCACTACACACTTGTTGAACTTATTTGCTAAATCTTTTGCCAGATGTTCTGAGTTGGGGACCTGCATGCAGGGCATAGATACTGACAGATTTCAAACACTTACTAGTTTATTTCAACCCAGCCCCTTCCCCAACAAGTTTGGAACTGCAGCTGGCAGCTCCATCCCATGTGCATTACCTCAATTCAAGGACCTTTTCTCCTGCCTCCAAACTTGGATTTCCCATTTGCTTCTACGTAGTGGCTTTTCTTTATATGAAAAATGAAGACCACTACTCTAAAACTCTGACTGAGTTCTTCTGTTGAGGAGTCAACAGTCTTCAAACAATGGACCAAGCAGCTAGTTCTTTAAAACTGGTGAATTTGTTGGTTTCTTTGTCCAACAGAGCCCCTCTCCACAATTAGAGAGGTTTGCTAACACTTTGGAATAGGATAAAGTGGGAGAGGATGGGGGTGCATTCACCCACTGACTCCAGTACCTCATTGGTTGAGGGCGACTCCGCAGTGTGCTAACCCTCTCACCCTCTCACCCTCAGAGCTACTCCTGCACTCAGCCATCACCCTGCTGGGAACACCCAACTGAAGCCTCCAGTTAAGTCATGGAGGCCAGTTAAGTCACAGAGGCCAAGTTAAGTCATGGAGGCCAGTTAAGTCATGGAGGCCAAGAAGAATGATGTGTGGTATGCATAGCACATGCTACACCCTAGGAGACTAGAAAAAGATGAATGCAGAGAGTGAACATGAGTTAGAATCCAAGAAGAGTTCCAAATATCAGGGAAGCAAAATCCAATATAGATTTAAAGGAGCAGATTGAAGTCCAACGGCCCTTATGGATCTTGACCCAGGGTAATGCTGGCCTTGTTTCTCTGTCAGGATTCAGCTCAGGAAACAGAAACCTTCAGAGGATTTTGGATGGAAAAAATTTAACACCAT
This sequence comes from Homo sapiens, assembly GCF_000001405.40. NCBI lineage: Eukaryota > Metazoa > Chordata > Mammalia > Primates > Hominidae > Homo > Homo sapiens. The sequence goes on from NC_000002.12 coordinate 118,551,227, forward strand.
GGAGTTATTGCTTGCAAAATATTTAGAAGGGCTGAGAGGAGCATATGTCAGGAACCACCACAAAACTAGCAGTTTCAAGGTCACACCACCCTGGCTGTGGTCCAGAGGTCGGGGAGCCAGTGCACTATTGCTGCCACTAAGTCTACCTCTCACTGCAGTGGCACTGCTGTGAGATGCTGGAATGCAGAATCAGGCCGCTACATATTCTCATCTCTGCCCAGCCTTCCTTGCCAGCAGCCATGATGGCCACTGGCTGGCGTCTTCCAAATCCCCCACAAATGCATTAGATTAGCAGAACCTAATTTGCATCCAGAATCCTAGCTGCCAGGGTTTCTGGGCAATGTAGACTTTAGTTTTCTAACTTTTCCAAATAAAATGGAGAAAAAATGGAGGTTGAGAAAGCCAATTCCAGCATTTACTAGACCACGTACAAGCTGAGATTGGTACAGCTGTCTTGAAGTAGTTATATTGTGCTATAAGTGGAGCTGACCGAATTCCCACGAGAAACAGAGTAAGACCAAGATTTCTTTTTCCTCTATCTTGTGTTTACAGTCTAATTGACCCATCAAGATAAATGAAGACTTGGAGATAGCAAGGATCACATTTCCAAATGAACCCCACCCTCATGGCTTCCAAGTTGAGACTGACTCCCCTAGTTGCTTTCAAAAAGATAATAGGGCCCCTCCCCATCCTTTATCCAAGAAAGGTCTGAGCTCATCTTAGGCACTGTGTGTTTCTCTTCTGGCTTTGCTCATCAGAAGGTAGTCTCCTAAAAGTCAGGGACTGTTCCTACATTGTCTTTGAATGCCCTGCATAAGCACTGGGTGCCCAGCAGCTCCGTGAATGGACATGGAATGGATGCAGCATTTCCTGCCTTGCCAGGTGTGTTGGGTTTTGCAGGAGTGCCATCCCTCACTCAGCCCATTCTGTCCAGCTACCAGCAGCATTCTTACATGGGTCAGAAGCTGGGCATCAGGCTGGGCTGAGACAGGACGACCATACAGACATGAAACGGTGGCCTCCCAAGCAGGCTGGAACCCACTGAGCTCCCATGCCTCCAGATCCACGGCAGGCAGGTTTCCAAGGAAGTTGGTGTAAAGCCATCCCTCTCAGCTAGGAGTACCCTGGTACTCAGAACATAGCAATGTGGTTTCCTTGGTACAAATTCCACTACATTTGAAAGTCAGGATTATCTATTATATCTGGGGAAACACCCAAGTCCCCACCAGCCTCTCCCTTCCCCATTCCAGCCTACTGTGACATTTACCCACAAAACCCATGTAAGGATCCCTTTGGCAACCACATCTTTAGGAAACTGACATTATAAGAAAAGCAGAACCAAGCCATACATCCACCAGTTTTGTATAATTTGTTTCCAAATTACTGATCCAGTTTCATATCCATCTGTTTTATCCAAAGAAAATAAAACTACCAATTTAAAAATATATAAAAAAATAAGATTTCTACCTGGTTCCAAGCCACCATGCCCAGTGATACGGTAAAATCCCTTTTAACTTTTCTCTCCTCCTCCTCCTCATCCTCCTTATCCTTCTTCCTTTTCTTTTCAGAAAAAAGAAAAAAGAGAGTGGTAAGAAAAAGTGAGTGTTAGGTTATCTCTACATTGTGTGGGAAGCTAAGCTGTTATCAAGTGAGACTGATGGAACCAAATAATACCATTTCATCCTGCAGACTCTTGTTACTCATTTTGGCTTGGGTTGGGTCTGAATTGTTTACGTAAAGGTATTCTACACTCCTCTTCTTCTCTGCAAAAGCCAAAAGCAACCTATGTAAAGTTCTAGCCAGACCACCCACAGCCCAACCTCTGGTGATTTTCATGTCTGCCCCAGCTCCTTGGCCTGGCTTCTGCCATGCTGAGAATGACTATAGCACCTAAAAAGTAGAGGCTGACCAACTGGGCTCCAGAATCTAAGGAAGGGGAGCTTTGCCTATTCTATGGACCTTCCAAAGGCAGACAACAGAAGATTAATCAGTAATACATGAAAAAACCTTCATTGCCTTATGGGGTACCTGAATTACACTATTTAAATTTATCCCTTTGCATTTCAAAGTCTCCTTGTTTTTAAGGAATCCCTGTTATAATAAGATGGGATTTCAGAGTTCTCTACAAAGAAACATGCTTTCTAAGCAACTACTGTTTTTCTTCTGTGTCAATGTCCATGTACACACAGAACATTCAGGTCAATTTACAGAGGTGTCTAGGTTGAAAATGAGGCCCCATGCATCACTGTAAGTAGAGAGAAACAGAGCCGGCCCATCAGCATGGCATGCATAATCCAGTAGCCTTGAGTACTTCTTAGATACTGATTGAAAAATAAATTCTAGCGTCTGGACAGATAGGCTGGCCAGAAAAGGAAAGGAAAGAAGAGGAAGGCAAAGATGGAAATTCATTGAGATGAGCTTTGCTCAATTTAGATCTTTGTTGAGAGTCATCTCTAGCAAAAGACTGTCCATGCTGGGTCACTGCGTATGGTTGTTCAGGCTGTCCTCTATTCAAGCGTGTCGGGTCAAGCCAACAAGTTGTGCTGAAATCCAACTCTGTACTTTGTTTGCCCAGATACATTCATTGGTGGTAGGCTGCAATGGCACAGAAGGAGGGATCCTTTTTCCAATGCACTTGGAGGTGTCATATACCAGGCCCAGGCTAAGATGTGAGAATCTCCTTTGGATGCCTAGGTTGACACGTGGTCCTCAACATTAGTCCTCACTAAATGGCACCTGTGGAATTGGGAGTGAATACTTGAAGACAGTCATCAAAAATAGGTTCTAATATATTTTTGCATGAGCTTGTTTAAGGTGGGCAGAGAATTATTTTGCTGGTTCTGTGGATGGTGGATTATAGAATGGAACATGAAGCCAGAAATCTGTAAGAGGCAGAAGGAGATGAAGACAATGAAGATGACGAAGTCGATGAAGAGTATACAGTACACTCACCTGTTGGTGCAAAGTGTTGGACAACACGACCTCTGCAGTACTTTCCAGATGTGGCTGCTGACCCCTCTGCGGGGTTGTCACATCCACTTTTAATTTGTTCTTGATGGCGGATGTAGATTTTACATCACCTAAAATGCACTGGAAGATCTATTCAGGGATGCAAACTCAACTGTATAAGAAGCCAAGTTCAGGCGCACGAATTGGTCTCCTTAGAAGCAGCAGAAGTTTTTTGTTTTTTGTTTGTTTTAAAAAAAGAAACAAAGAAAAAACACAGTTTTTCTGATAAAATGGCTTCTTTAGCCTGAGTGAGGCAGAGATTCAGACAATAAAATAATGATTTAATAGCCTTAAAGTCAATCAACCGAATACAATAACATTAATTAGCCTTTTATGCCCAACTCACAACTAATTCTGTTGTCTGCTTATTTTTGTTCCAAAAGGATTACTAATGAAATATTTAATATTTCACCAGGTTGTAGATTCAGTTCCACACAGGCTGGTAATTTGCTCTTATATAGCTTGAAATTGTCCTCTCGATAATTTTGCCCCAGAGTGCATCTACCTCACAAGATCACTGACTGTGCCAGGGAAGGCTTCTCAGTCTTTGACAATTGGATAATAGCTTCACTTTTAGCCAGTAGAGGTAGTCAAGAGCCAGAAAGTACAGATAATGTGAGTATAATTCATTATTCAAATCTGCAAGTGATGCACCGAAAACAAAGAGAGAAGAGGAATAATGGTGTCATTATTTTTATTACTCTTGTTGGGCAAACCTAGAATGAAACATTTAAAAAGACGGAGGTGAGCTTTCTGGCTATACGGTGACAAATTAACTTTCGGAGCAATATTGATAAGGGGAAAGTAAAGCAGACAGATTTTCTGTAGAAGGTTTGCTTTCTTATTAGTGGGCCCATTGGCTATTTTCTTGTTGCTGGGTGTTTATCAAAATTCCCATCATTTCTTCTCAGCCATTGACTGAGAAGGAAAGGAGTGTGGTTTCCTGAACTCCTATGAGTGGAGACAGAGGCTCTCCAGAGCCATGGTGCCTGGCATGAGTGATGAAGGCCAGGTGAGCAGGTATGAGGCCTTCAAGTCCTAGACAGCCTCTATGTGAACGAGGCTTTCTGGAGATGCTAATGGGAATGGGAGTACCATGGATTTGTTTTCTCTCACACCTATGAAGTCCCCACACCTTTAATCATTTTTTGAATATTTCTGTTTAGTAATTTCTATTTCTGGGTTCTTTCTACACCAAAATGTATTCATCACCACTCCACCAAGGGAAGTTTTTTAAGCTTTGTAAGAAAATTGGAGGTCTAGATGGGTACACTGGGGAGCAAGCTATGGGCTAGGATGATAGAACCAGGTGGGCAAGAGGAAAGAAGGCCCTCAGGGGAGTGGGCTTTTTAAAAATGAGGTGTGGGGTTGTCTGATTGCTGTGATTTCAGGGCCACTTAGAAGTGTTCTTATATCACTCTTCCACCTCCAATATGAGTTCATTCTCCAAGGTTCATGGTGCTTGGAACTCAACCATTATAGACTTTTTCCTTTGGGGCTCTCTCTACAGTGCTTTAAATAAGCAAATAACTCTGAGAAAGTAGTGAGTTAAACTACTGCTTGCTAAAGTGTTAGTGATGAGTCAACACAGCTGACATGGTTTAGGTCTGTGTCCCCACCCAAATCTCATGTCAAATTGTAATCCCCAGTGTTGGAAGCGGGGCCTGGTGGGAAATGATTGGATCATGAGGGTAGATTTCCCCCTTGCTGTTCTCATGATAGTGAGTGAGTTCTCATGAGATCTGGTGGTTTAAAAGTGTGTAATGCTTTCCCCTTCTGTCTCTTCCTCCTGCTCTGGCCTTCTGCCATGAGTGTAAGTTTCCTGAGGCCTCCCCAGCCATGCTTCCTGTACAGCCTACAGAACCATGAGCCAATTAAACCTCTTTTCTTTGCCTTCTTCCATGAGTGTAAGTTTCCTGAGGCCTCCCCAGCCACGCTTCCTGTACAGCCTGCAGAACCATGAGCCAATTAAACCTCTTTTCTTTGTAAGTTACCTAGTCTCAGGTAATTATGTATAGCAATGTGTGAACAGGCTAATACAACAGCTTTTCTCCCAACTGGAGGGGCAAACAGAGAGAGAGAGGAACTGTGTGACAGAGACATTTCAGAGATCTGGGAAGAATGGAAGATACACAGAAAAGGTGGGGAGGTGAGAGGAGAAAGGGAGAAAATGAAGTGTGAAAAGCTGTTTTTAATCACCTCAGCAATGAGAAAGCCAGCCAATCTGTGATTCATCCAGCCCCTCTAAAGTTGACTGTCCAGCTGATGCAGGGTCATAACATCAGCAGAGATGCAAATAAGCCTGTTCGAAATCTGATGAGGAGCTCACCAACTACTACTGGAGAGGGCCTAATTTATGATAGAAAGCTAAGCTTATTAAGCCTTTGAGTAAGCCATAGACTCTTATTAGGGGGCCTGGGTTCAGGATAGTTCAGGAGCGTATGTGAGCTTAGGAAACGACTTTACATATCTAAACTTCTCAATTTTTGTCATCCACAAAATGGGCTTATCACACCAACCCTCACAGGAACCAAATCATTCACTCATTTGTTCAGCCAATACGCATTGAGCGGTTCCTATGTGCCAAGCACTATCACAGGAACAGTGGATACTAAAAGAAAAACAAAAATCAGGCAAACCTCCTCTCGTCATGAAGATTACTTTCTAGTGACAATGTTTTTGAAAGGAGTTTATGAGTAGTTAGGTGCTGCAAAAAAGGAAGATTGTATTATTTTGTGGAACCAGAAACCATCTCTCTTTTGATTCTAGTTTTGTGTTCTGGGGTAGCACAGAGCAAGTGTCAACCTCCTGTACAGAACTGCTTTATTCAAGTATTTGAAGATAACTTTCACACATACCCTAGCTTTTGCCTCTTTGTACCAAACACCCCTGGTTTCTTCCATTGTTGTTCCTGGGGCTCACTTTGCAGACCCTCCCCTTCCTGGCTGCACTTGCCATGTCCCTGAGAGGGTAGGGCCCTTGGGCAAAGCACAGGACTCCAGAACGTACCATGGCAGAGAGTACTGCCTGTACCGCAGGTCCCGGAGTAGAAGGAACGTGCTTGGTGAGCAACCACTGTTTTCCCTCTGCGTCAATGCCCATGTACACACAGAACATTCAGGTCAATTTACAGAGGTGTCTAGTTTGAAAATGAGACTCAAAGCATCACTGTGAGTAGAGAGAAGCAGAGCTGGCACATCAGCATGTAATGCATAATCCAGTGGCTTCCATAATTTAATAGAGAAATAACATTTCCCATTCTCATCACCAGAAAACAATCACCATATGAATGCACTTTAGCTATTAATACTTATTCCTTGATGCATAAACAATCTCATTTAAAAATTCTCACTCCCGAAGATGCTTATCTTCTTCAAGGGGAGGCATGTGGGTGGGGGAAGGCAAGGTAAGCATGATCCATCACGTACAGCTGAATTCCCAGCCAAACTCACAGTCTTAAGAATAAAAAACAGTTAATGAGTATCACAGAGCCAGCGCCCCAAATAGTGAGATACAGAATTCCATTCACTCTATCATGGCCTGACTGACATTTAATTATTCTCTATTTTTTGGTGCTTATAATTCCATTCTTATCATTCATTGTAAATCCTTTGGAACCCCTAGAAAAAGTGAGATCGAGTGACAAAACAGAGATAATGAAATCAGAGGCAGTAGAATAAAATTATATCTTGTAGGTAAAGCGATGATTCAGTAGAGCAAGTTATTTCATAAGGTTGCAAAAACTGGGGGAGGGAATCAGAATTAATGTAGCAGCCTCGGAGGAGAGCTGAAAGGGACTCCATGGAGTGGGGTGCATAATAGACAGACAGCAAAGCTGTGGAAAGAACATTTCAGTAAGCACTAACCCGGCTAGGCTTCCGCCCGTCCAGCTGCGTGACCTTAGGCGTATCACTTAACTCTCCCTGGGTTTTCATTTTCTCACCTACGAAATGCCACTATGTACTTAGCATTGCTGCAAAACCCCCAAAAGATGCACAATTGCTATACAAATATAGGATTGAAATTATTTTATAACATAAGGCAAAGCTGGAAGGTCATGGACAACATTCAAAGATGAAGAGTGCAGTCCAATTTAACCCCAGAGGTACAGGACTGTGGATTCCTCTACTCTCTTCCAGGGCTCTCTGGGACTCCAGTGCCCTGGCCAGCACCCTGTTCCCACTGTCTCTGACTTGCCAATAACACTGGGGACTGGAGGTCAATGGCCTGGATAGGCTCTGCTGGGTAAAGGTAGAAGAGAAAATGATCTCCAATTCTAGCTGTGGCTGCCACTGAACCCAAGAGAACATGCCAAGTTGAAAACCCACCAGTGTGGAGGTACCAAGGTCACTAAACCAAAGAAAGAAATGAGAATATGTCATCATCCAAGAATCATGGTCCAAGGCAATTATGAAAATTTAAAGTGTGAATGAAATCAAGCGATCAAAGATTCAAGGATCAGGAGTGGGAGTGATGGGTGCAGTGAGCCTTTAGGAAGCTAGCCCAGCTTTGCAAATGGCTGCTTTTCAGATGTTCATGTATCTGCCCAACAGGTTCTTCCTGCCCACTGCACAAAGAAAAGCAACTCACCGAGACCACAGCATTGCAGTAAAGAGTTTAATTACCATGGGGCTGGCCATGTCACGAGGGAGACAGAGTTATTATTCAAATCAATCTTTTCAAAGGCTCAGAGATTTAGGGTTTTTCAAAGATAGTTTGGTGGGCCAGCATGGGGGCATGCTGATTGGTTGGGTCAGAGATGAAATCATAAGGAATCAAAGCTGTCCTCTTGTGCTGAGTCAGTTCCTGAGTGGAGGCCACAGGACTGTTTGGTATGTCCAGGTGGGGCCATCCAGTTGTCAGAAATGTGAAAAAGTGAAAAGACATCTCAAAAGGCCACTCTTAGATTCTACAATAGTGATGTTATCTGTAATAGAAACTGGGGATGTTGCAAATCTTAAGACCTCCAGAGTAATGGCTGGTAATTATTCAGAATTCAAGCTCTCATCTTCCTAACTTCGTGGCCTTTTATTAGTTTTACAAGAACAGTTTAGTTTTTGAGAAGGGCTATTACCATTTAAATTATAAACTAAATTTCTTCCAAAGTTAGCTTGGCCTACACCCAAGAATAAGCAAAGACAGCCAACCTGTGAGGCTAGAAGCAAGATGGAGTCAGCCATGTCAGATTTCTCTTACTGTCATAATTTTGCAGAGGTGGTTTCATTCACAGTAAAAGGGATACATGGGTGGGGCATCTCCACTTAGTTCAAAATCACAAAACCAGTTGCATCAGATACCTGGCACAAGAGTTTACCTTTCTTCTTTGCTTATCTTTTCTCCCTTTTTTCTGTGTGTCTCTCCTCAAGAGGCAGGTTATAGCTTTCCTCTCATTGATTTTCTGTTTAGGAGCAGGTTATGATTCAGTGCTACCTTCCAGAAGGATAGGTAACTATTCTTACTCTTCTGCTCATGAGGTAGCCAAGAGAAGACTCCTTTCAGATCCTTGACTTTAGGAAATATAATTAACTCATGGCCCAGCTGCTGTGCCTTGAAATCCACCATCAAGCTCACTCTGAGACCTGTCTTCCTACAGCTTCTCCCAGCCAATGGCTGGGCAGGGCAGGAGTACTGCGGAAGGTCCATTCCTGGAAGACAGGGGATGAGCTACTGTGGCTTGGGACTCTCTGAAGGCCTTGCCAAACTTTCCTTAGAACCACTCTGGTGTCTGAAATGCTCCCATTGCCCTGCCTTCTGCTCCTCTCTCCTTCCCTCGGGGTTAGATCTGCATCACAATCTGAAGGCTCTTCTAGCCTCTGCCTCCCCATTTCCTTGCATGGCCATTTCCCCTAATGTATTTCTTGCCTGTCTAATCCTATCTTGATGTCTGATTATCAGAGGCTCCAAATTTGCACAAAAATAAGAGTTCCAAGAGTGGGCCCCACTCAGCCTCAGAAATCCCCCTCACCTATGCTGTTTCCCAAGTCTAGAACCCCATAACACTCCACTCTTCTTTTTCAAGCAAATGTTCCAGGGTCCTTTGAATCAGAAAGCTCTCCATGACAGTGGATTATCAAGTTCCACAGTGGAAACAATGAAGGTCATTTCATTCAAAGGAGCTTATTAGAATATTCAAATGCTAGCCAGTTTCTTCCTCTTGTGTTCCTTCCCTTCCTGAGCATTTCAATGCTCAAGCCTTTTGGTTGGGCAGAAGGAAGTAGGTGTCCATGCTGGGGCATGCAGGGGCAGGGCAGCTGCACAGCTCAGAGTGGGGGTCAGAGCCTAGCAGGAAGGAAGGGCATCCAGGTTGGGAAACATGGCCCTGCATAGGGAATTGAACCCAAGGGGGTGAGGAGGGCACCACCTGGGATTTTATAAGGAGAGAGTGGGGTAGATAGGGGGCAGCCCATGCTGTTGGCCATCCCAGGGCTCCAGAGACTGAATGGATTTGGGGGGAATCCTTGGTGGAAAGGGTGGCCATCAAGCTAGGAGATTAGTTGTACACAGAAGGAGTAAATATTACATATTTACTTATTACAAATAAGTAAACAGAGTTAGAGCAATAGGATTCTAGCTTATTGTCAGAAAAGAGAGTGAAACATATGAAAAGGAAGAAAATCAGATTGACTCTTGTGGTGGTGGGTTGGAAATGGAAGGTACTGATACAGGAGTTAAGAAGAAATTACTTAGGCAGATAGTGAGGGTATGGCAGTCCTTGGTAAGGTTTCCCTTTTAACAAAAAGCAGCCCCAAATTATTTTCCTTTGTAACAAAGAGCAGCCTGTAAAATTGCACTGCAGACATAGATGCTGGCAGTTGTGCCAGCATGTTCAAGATGGCGGTTCCATCTTCCCTTCTCTTTGTCAGCCACGTGTACAGTAAGGAGCAGACAAGATGGTCCTGGCCAAGGGGAAAGTTCATTTGCATAATAAGATTAGCGCGGGCTGACCAGCCTTCCCTAGGCTATGTAAACGTCACACCTAATAGAACCAATCTGTGAGCCCTACGTAAATCAGAAATCGCCTCCTTGAGCTGGACTATAAAATCTGGGGCATCTGCTGCCAGTCGCAGATCTTTTCCTCTTGGAAGTACCCTCTCTCTCACTAGAGAGAGAGCTGTTTTCCTTTCTTTCTCTTTCTCTTTCTCTTGCCTATTAAACCTCTGCTCCTAAACACCCCGTGTGCGTCTGTGTCCTAAATGCTTCCGGCAGGACACAACAAACCCCAGGTATTTACCCCAGACAATGTAGCCGCTTCAGTCCCATTGTGAATGGGTTATTTTCAATATATGTAGATAGATATAGCGATAAACATCAATGCAAGTGTGTCTGTGTGTGTGTGTATGTGTGCGTGTGTATCGTTCTCCATTAAAAGTAACCAGGGCCTCTTGGAGAAGAGGTTGGATCCAAGACTGAGAGAATGAATACGCAAGATGATTCAAGAACATCTCACCGGCCGGGAGCTGTGGCTCACGCCTGTAATCCCAGCACTTTGGGAGGCCGAGGCGGGCGGATCACGAGGTCAGGAGATCGAGACCATCCTGGCTAACACGGTGAAACCCAGTCTCCACTAAAAATACAAAAAATTAGCCGGGCGTGGGGGCCAGCACCTGTAATCCTGGATGCTCGGGAGGCTGAGGCAGGAGAATGGCGTGAATCCGGGAGGCGGAACTTGCAGTGAGCCGAGATGGAGCCACTGCACTCCAGCCTGGGCGACTAAGCGAGACTCCGTCACAAAAAAACAAAAAACAAACAAACAAAAAAACATCTCACCGTGGCGGAAAGCAAAGTGCTCAAAGAGTGAGGCAGCCTGATGAAAAGGACACAGACACCAGCTTGTAAGGGCTCCCTTTGCCCAATTTGAGTAGCAAATAAATAATGATTGTAATGGAATATGACCTATTGAATAAGATAAACATATCAAAAATATCAGTGTAAATACATACATTGAAAGTCTGATGAGAAACGGGGTATATTTTCAAAATTCCTCCTGACAAAATACTAATTAGGCCTAAGGAGAAAAGGAGTCACTTCACAGTGAAGAAGCTGAATAGCCACCGCCTGAGCCAAGTGATCAAAGTGAGCGTCAGCAGTGACAGAACAAGTAAAAACCATGTACTGCGATGCACTGAGATCCCAGCGTCACTCCTGTGATATTCCTGCTGAAGACACATCACTTGAATCTAATCTGAAGGAAACATTAGAGAATCTCAGATTGAGGGACATTCCAAGAAATAACTGGCCTTTAACCCTCAGATGAGGAAAAACTAAAGGACTTTTCTGAAAAGGAGGAAGCTAAAGAACCATGACAACTAAATGCAGCAGCTGATTTCAAACTAAATTATTTTCTTTGTTTTTTGTTTTTTTGCTATAAAGAATATTGTTGGTGGCCAGGCATGCACGGTAGCTCACGCCTGTAATCCCAACACTTTGGGAGGCCGAGGCAGGAGGATCACCTAAGTACATCTGTGTAGAGGGGGGAGGTATACCTAAAAATGTATCTGGGAGAATATTCCAGAAATGGTTAAGAGTGGTTGTCTATTGGGAGGGAAAGGGTTATATACCTTTTGTACTGTTTGCATTTTTTAAAATCATAATCATTTTTATCTTTTGTAAAAACAGTAATTAACATTTGACAAAGGCAACAGGAAAATTTGCCTATAATCCCTGCAAAGAGTAAAGTATGTTTGTAATAAGTGTTTGTTTCTCAGGTATCCTGATCTGCTCAAACTGTACGTCCCCTACCCCATCCTCCCTTGTACATCAGTTCATCACTAGGGCCACCACTGTCCCATCCCATGCCTATGGCAGACATTGCTAGATGATCCTGGCACTCATCCCACTGAGCCCAGGCACTGACTAAGAATCCTTTCTAGTGCAGACCACCCAGCAGCTTCTATGTGTTCATCAGAGTTTGGTAAGGAAGAAGCTTTTGCATCCCCGACCCGCAGGAAGCATTTCACAGAAGGTGAGTCTTCAGAGGATTCTGTATATTCAAACAGGCCTAGCGTGGGTTCTAGCACAGTGGCAAAGGAAAGCAGCAAAGTCCAGGGCCTGACCCAGATATTCACAGTCTAGCTCAGCCCTGCTCACTCACTCCCACCTCTATGCTTCATCTGGATGGTATGAGTCCATTCCTTGAAATTGGGAAGAACCTGCTTATAGCTTGGCTCACGGACTACAATACGGACTCAGCAATACCTTCAACCAATAGAGCTCTGTACTTCTCTAACTTTCATAGTCCCTTGAATTTCTGGGAATCCTATGAACTTGAAGATTCAGATTTGGGGGCCAGGATAGGACCTGGGATGTTGCATTTCTCACAAACTCCCTGGGGATGGCTTGCTGCTGGTCCTGTGCCTACACTTTGAATAGCAAGGCCTTAGAGCAGTGGTTCTGTTCTGAAAGCTTGGCTGCAGTCAGAGTCACCTGGAAGGGGCATTAAGACACAAATTGCTGGACCTGTCCCTAGAGTTTTTGATTCAGTAGGTCTGGGGTGGGGCCCAAGAATTTGCATTCTTAACAAGTTCCAGGTGCTGCTGCTGCTGGTGCAGGACCTATGGGTTCTGTTCTCCAACCTCAATCTTGGTGAGAGATCCTCCAGCAATGCCCACCCTATGTCTTCCCAAGAAGCCTGTAGACCAAAAAAAAAAAAAAAGAAAGAAAGAAAGAAAGAAAGAAAGAAAGAAAGAAAGAAAGAAAGAAAGAAAAAAAGAAAAAGAAAAAGAAAAAAAAAAATCAGGGGATTTGGTGGTGCTGGGCACACCTGATCTGAAACCCTCATTTGTCACACTAGGAAAAGTTACCTCGGGAAAGCCACCTAACCATCCTGAACCTTAGTGTGATTGTCAATGAATGGGCCTAGTCAAACCTTTTGTCATAGAGCTGGTGAAAGGAAAATAAATCTTGGGACTCTAAAATCACTAAGCCAAAGGAAAATGTCAAGCTGAGAACTGCGTCAGGCAAACCTGCCTCCCATTTTATTCCCAAATAAGATGGCTACAAAGATTAAAAAAAAAAAAGCTGCATACCTGCCTTACAAATTGTCCACAAGGAAATTTCTTGTGGGCCTTAAGAACTTTACCCTAAAACAGTTCTGTTAGATTTCACCCTAGCTGTGTCAATTGATGGCTTATCTTCACAGGTGCAGGACAAAGGACAGAACTCAAAGTCATCTCTCGGCTCACCTGAGACAAATGCATATGTGATTGTTTCCTATGCCCTATTGTTTATGTAAAAATGCAAATTCACTGAGCCAGACTAAGGCATAAGTAACTATTCCTCTACTCCATTCTCACATTAAAATTGTGTGTTCAGGGAAAGGCTGACCAAAGATTCAAAAGAATGCAACCATTTGCCTCTTATCTACCTGTGACGTGGAAACCCTCCACTTCAAGTTGTCTTGCCTTTCCAGACCAAACCAATGTACATCTTACACATATTGATTGATGTCTCATGTATCTCTAAAATGTATAAAATCAAGCTGTCCCCCAGTCACCTTAGGCACATGTTGTCAGGACTTCCTGAGGCTGTGTCACAGGTGTATTCTTAACTTTGGCAAAATAAACTTTCTAAAGTGATTGAGACCTGTCTCAGATACTTTTGGTTCACAAGCTGTTGCCAGGACTTAGGGAACAAACGTAGCTGAAGGGCTTAGTGTAGTCCTTGGTTCCCTCCCCATCCCTGGGCAGCCATCCTGCAGTTCCCAAGAGTCTGGAAGGACGTGGGATGAATCCTCACCATGAGGCCACACCTCCAAGCAGACATCGGACTGAGAGTTTCTCACCTTTTGACGTTTACAGGTTCCTTGAGTACTAACGTGGCAACATCAGCTGATTTTTTTTCCCTGAAGAGTCTTCCCATTGCTTCCTCCCAGCGCTGCATCTGTGACGTGGTGTCCAGACTTCCTCCTGGACACGTGTCGAGAATGCCTCTCCGCTTTTACAGGCACTTGTTGAAGGAAAGTGTTACCACAGGTAACAGGAATCCAAACCGGTGTTTTCTTGGCTTTTCGCAAAGGATTTCAGGCCCAGGCTCCTGCCCACTCTCACCATCCTGCAACCCTCCTCATAATCAAATCCATAAGCTTTGTTGCCAATTATTGGCCTCTGCAGCAGAATGATGGGGAAGAAAAGCAAGGACAGGCACTCTCTGGCATGAGGCGGCTGGGGTTTCAGTACTGCCTTCTCTGTGTATCTTCCCAAGGCAGCACCAAATAGAGACAGACAGAACCCCTGACAGCATCACAGCCTCGCTCAGACGCCTGGCCATTCCAGGCATGGAACACACCCCAGAGACCCCTGGGGCCAGAATCTGGTGTACCGCTAGTGGGAGGAGAAAGCCCAGGGGAAGGCCGCATGTTTTGTGGGATTTCAAGAAGACTTTCCAGATAACTAAGGGTTAACCCTTTAAGAACCAAAGCTTGACAACCCCTCCCCTCCGCAGATTCACTCTTTTTGTTAGAAACCTTCCCAGATAGAAAGAATATGCACTCCCAGCTTCCTTCCTTCAGTAGAGCCTACACGTGTCATTTATTTTGATCATAATGGCCCAGGGTCATCACCGGAATATGAATGAGTGCATCTAATTGAACCACTTGAACAATCCTCTCAACACTGGGTCCCTTGGCTCCACGTGTGCTTTTTACTTTTTGTTTTTCTTAAGTCCATTTTTCTCTCAGACTTCAGATTTGATAGCTTGGCTTTTTGAAACAAATATTTGGTGTATCCCCTGCTTTGTTTCTTGGCTAACTCATCTATTCTAACTTGGGAGCCAATTTTTTAACTGTCTTGGATTCCTCTGGATTTCACATGAGCTAAACTCCTGCCAGAGAGGAAGATGGATGTAACTAGATTGTATAAAAATATTTGCTTCTATAGTCAATGATCCCTTTCTTCAAGTACTTTTAAATTCTTATGCCAGCTTCTTAATACTTTTCACCTTTTGCATTTCTACTAGCTTGGTGTCAGACTATCACTTGTGCAGCTGCATAAGTACCTGCCCTAGCTGTTTCTTGCCTGCTACAGGGTTTTCTGCTGCAGGCTATAACATCAATTAGCCGAGCATGTTGGAATTGTACACAAACTAAGAATTAGTAAGGTCTGAGCAAGAACTTGGGTTCATGCCTGTGGCAATGGCTTGGAGGCCTGGTTCCCTGTGCCTGGTCGTAGTCTGCATAGCTGATGTGATACTGGGACTTGCTTTTTAAATATTAGTTAAATCATTGCCACAATACATTTTATCCGTGTTCCTATAATTCCCATGTAATGAAGAAATATCACCTCATCACTAGAAGGGACACAGATCATCTATTCAAAGCCAAGCATGTGACAGAGGAAGAAGGAGGGGCTCAAGGTGAGGATAAATGGCTTGCTAGAAATCTCATAGCTTGCTTGGACAGATCCAGGACTCTCTTATATGTTCTGGCTCTCAGTTGAATCTCTTTACACAACGCCAGTGGTTTAAATCTTCATTCATTCATTCACTCGTCATGTATTTGCCGCAGAAGCCCAATATGTATCAATACAATGGATTAAAAGGGATCTGCTCAGACACTTCTTACCCATGGGGAGTGCCTGAAGCATCTCCAAAGAAACCTGGAGCTTTTAGGACCCAGTCTGAAAACGGATACCCTAGATTCTATGCACTATATAATCCTGCCCAGATTTAGATGAACAAAAATTATATTCTCTATGTTTGGGAAATGGTCAAACTGACCAAAGAGGTCAGGTGGTGTGTCCAAAGCCAAAGAGAATTGATGTCACAAAGCCTGGAATCTGGCCCTGCCTCCCAGCCCTCTATGCTTCTCGTATATTCTCCATTCCTCTCTCCACAGCAGAGAGGGATTCTATATCCCTAAGAGGAGCAAGCCTTTGAAGTGGAGGCACTGGTCTGGAAATGATGAGGCTTCTGGATGAGCCACTGGAGAAAAGCAAGCGGTACCTCTTGCTTTGTTCACATCCTAGTTGGTACCCAGATGCTTGGTATTATTCAGCCCTTGGAGCCTTGCTGGATTCTAAAGAATGACTTAAAGCAACTGACATAGGGTGCCTAAAACTTCAGGCAGTTGTGTTAATGGACATTAAGATAGTCATCCACTCCCAACAGCAAAGCCAAAAAATGTACAGAAGTCAAACAATCTACGAGGTCAGGATCCTCAAAAACTGGATTACCACAATAGCCCCATAGCTTGTCCTCTGCCTCTTCTCCCTGTCTTTCCCAAATAGCCTCTACACTGTCACAAAAGTAAGCTTTCTGGTGGCACATGACTGTAATCCCAGCTACTCGGGAGGTCGAGGCAGGAGAATCACTTGAACCCAGGAGGCAGAGGTTGCAGTGAGCCGAGATTGCACTACTGTACTCCAGCCTGGGTGACAGAGAGATACTCTGTCTCAAAAAAACAAAAATAAGCAAACAAACAAAAAACAAAAGTAAGCTTTCCAATTATATACTCAGAAACCTCCACTAACTCTCTGTTGCTTATAGGGAAATAAACAGCTCCACTCTTCATCAGATATTAGAAGATATATGTAGCTTAAACTCTGAACCTATCCAAATTCATTTCTCAATACCCCTATTTGGGTAGCTGATCCCAAACTCAGCTACAAACATACCTCATGTTGTGTTGGTTGGGACCGTTGAACATTCCGTTTATCTACAGAAGAGTTCTTTCCTTTTGGAGCCAAAGACCCAAATCCTACTGATATTCCGAGTCCCATTGCAAATGCCCATGCTACCGAGAAGCAATCGCTGGATTCTCTAAACCCCTTCATATTTTATTTGTACCTCTCTCTAGGCATTTATCACACTCTATTTTGTATCACTATTATTTATAGATATGTCAAATCTCAACTTTCAGACCATTTTTTTAAAAACTAGGATTCTCCTTTGGTTTATTTTTACATCCTTTGCAGGATTTAGTAGTGCCCTGGTCCCAGTAGATTTACTGTGGCAGAGTAGGAATTGCATGGAACTTTTAATCTCAGAGGCTTGGGTTCAAATTCTGACTCAGCTACCCACTAGTTGCATAACCTTAACCAAGTTGTTCAACCATCCTGAGCCTCAGTTTCCTCATCTGAAGAGAGAGAATAATAATTTCTCCCTTTCAGGAAACTTGGTGAGAACATAGGTAAGATGCCTGGCATAGTTCTTTGCATAAATAAATAAATAAATAAATAAATAAATAAATAAATGGGCTTGTTAATAGGTATTTTTGGAAAAAAGTGAGTAATACAGACAGAATGTGTGAGACAAAGATCCAGCTATATAGGCAGTGACATGTGGGAGTTCTCCTCTGTTGAAATTCACAAAACCTGAAGAATAGTCTTTCTCCCTTCTGACTAAAATAAAACAACATCCTCAGATAGGAGATCTTGGTTGGCTCGGCTGCTACTCCTTCCCGAAGCTGACCCTTCACTTCTTCAAGCTTTGGGGTGGTGCATCTAGTTCCCCCAGTTCTCTGTCTAAACCCCAGGGTGCAGATGCTTAAATATGGCCCCCAGATGGTGCAGAGAAGAAGAGGACAGCATCATCCTTCCCTCCCCAGCCTGCCTGCCTCACCTAACAGGCCCAATGAGAAACAGGCAATTGCAGAGGGTACCGGGAGAGGCTTTTGATCTGCCGGCTGCACAGAAGCCAGCTGAGCCCAGAAGAAGCAGTGTCAGATTTATGGCGGCCCTGAGAAGTACAGATATTAGGTTGGCTGTAGCTCACTGACCTCTTCAGGCTTTCCATTTTGGCCTGAGATTTATTACCTCCCTGGCTTTTTAAATTCCCAGGGATCTGTGGCTTTAACATTTCTGCTCGAGCCCCCCAATTCACAAGGACTTCCTGTTTGCCGGGACCACAGATAAAGAAGACACAAACCACAGAACACCAACACTATGTAATTTTTTTGTTCCTGACTCCTTAATTTCTCAGCCATCCTAGGTGTTCTGTCAAGATGCAGTCTGAAAGTCTAGACCGAGAGATATCTATGATAGAAAATGTACATCAGTATTTCAAGTCCTCTGAATTTATTCTAGCCATTTGACAGTTGCTTGGAGATACAATCTCAATTTTTGCAATGGCCCCTTCAGCAAGATATTTATGGCAGATACAACTGTAATTATTTACCTGTAACAAAGTCCAGGTCTGTCTGCTTCAGGTGATTCAGGCAGCAGAGGGACAGGGAGAACAGATTCATCTTCCTCTTGTCCAAAAGTCGACCTCTTACCCTCGGGGCCTCTCCCCACTCATTATGAAAATGCTGATGCGCTGGGACATAGCTGTTTCCTGTGCATCTTCTGGATGCCAGTATTAAAATACATGGACCAGAAAATAAACATATGCAAGATACAATGGTGAAGAGATTAATTTGGTGAGCTCCTTGAAGGCAGGCAGGGACAGTGCTGCATTTTCTCCGTTTTCTAGCTAAGTGACTTCCATGGGATAAATGCTCCATCAGTATTGAAAGATTTAATTTTTTTCTGCAAACATATGCAAATTAATACATAGCAATGAGTGCCAGCCCCCCTAATGGTCTCCTGCAGAGACTGTGCAGTTCTTCCAAAGATGCAGCCCTGCAGATCTTAGGGCCGAGCCTGGTTTGTAGCATCGCTGAGAGTTGTTTACCAGCACTGAGAGACCAGTAGTCTCTGATCTTTCCAGCCACATTCCACTTTCACCCAAAAATATTTCCTCAAGTAATTGCCCAGTTTAAGGGCAGACAGGGTTTTCAAACTGTTTTGGAAAAATCATAATCCATCTTGAAAAGGCAAAGATTTGGCTACACTCCCCAAATCCACAAGCCTGTGCTGTGGATCCATGGGACGATTCCAAAGTGGAGACTAGGACTTTTCTGAGCCATAACAACATGTGGGAATAAATGTATTGTCTGTCTAAATGACTTTGTTTTTTTGGCAGAACTAGCATCTATTTGAAGGAACATACAAATTCCTGGGTGTTTGTTAAAAAAAAAAAAAGGCACATTAATTTATATTCTTAACTTGTGTCTTTTTGTTTTGGTTGTTGTTATTTGTGTTCTCACGGGAGGCTCTGAGAATGAAAGGCATTTGTGTGACACTCAGGGCCCAGTGGTGGTTGGAGATTTTTCTCTCTTGGCTCTCCTCCTGGCATTTGCATGGTTCAGAATCTTCTTGCCATCATGTTGAAATGATCAAGCTGCTGTGCAGTTTAAACTTGCAGATAAAGCATGCCAGCTTGTCTGTCTCAATACAATGGCAAAAAAATTATGCTTTTTTAAAAAATAAATGTTTTCTATTTTAAAATAACACATGCACCCTGTAGAACATTTGAAAACATATCAAAGTAGAAAGCTATTGAGGATCACCTGGAGTCAAAGGATTGATTTCCTTCTAGCATGGTTTTTCCTAAGCTTAGAGTTTACTTATTTGCAATCAAATAAATATACCTGTTTTCATTTGGCATTGTAAGACATGTACCTTCAGATATTCTGGATAATTCTTTATGAGCACTGCTGTGAATAGCTGCATTGTGTCCCATTAAGTGGATGCAGGCCTGCATTTCCTTACTGTTGTCAATTATTGATACTGTTGTCACTCTGATTTTCTACTATTGCTTCTTCAGGACTCCAAACCCAGAGAATACAGGAAGAAGTGTTCAGTGTCTGCATACAAGTGGATGGCCAGTGCTTTGCTTATCTGAGGTCTGGGCCTATGCAAAGGACCTGTCTGTCCTGACAGCCACTGCTCTGAGCCCCTTGATTTAGAATCTACCAGGCATCTTCACTGCTGGGTCAGAGGATGCCCCCCTAGGGCTTCTCCTGAGTCCCCCCAGGTGACCCAGCTTGGCTGATCCTGTCAGCCATGTGCTGTCTTCTGCTCAGTCCTGTCTCAAGACAGGATCTCAGTGATTTGCTCCTGGCTCCTTAGCAGGTTGATCCCAGCCCACTGGCTCCTGCACCAGTGTCCCAGAAACCCAGGTAGAAAAAGCTTTCTACTCCTACATTGTGAGAGAAACCGGGGGCAGGTCTCAGTGGCCTGTGATGGGGTCTGGCCTGGGGGAGTGTCTGGGAGGCCCCGACTCTTTCTGAAGGCAAAACTGAACTGCAAGCTACAGCTGTCTAGCATGATTATATGATGTTCATTACTTGTAGCCTATTCCCCTGAAGTTGTCCTAATAAACGTGCTTGTGCTGATTAACATTGTGGATGTTCAGAAACATGGTTATGCCTAAGTAAAAGATATTAATATTTCTTATGATGATAGAGAAGCTCTACAATAGCAGGCACATGCTACATGAGGCAGTGGAAGTTCAAAGACGGAAACCAGCTTCCCCAGGAGGCACAGAGCTAAGTTTAAATCCCCATCTGCTGACGTTAAACCCAGGCTCTTCCCTTTTCACCATTCTATTGATTCCAGAAATCCCTGGAATTTTCTATTCTTGTTTTAGGAATGAAGAAACTGAGATTCTGAGAAGAAAAGTGAATGCCCCATGGCTACTCAGCTTGTTGGTAAAAGAATCAAGTCCCCAAACTCTGTCCAAAGGTGGCCATTGGTAGCAACTGAAAATAGAACACAGTTTTCAGGGAGTATGAGTCTGAGATTACCAAGGAGCAAAGTGCCACCCGAGAGCCGCCTTTGGTTCTTCCAGGCGCTCTGAGCATTTTGCAAGGTGTTCTGAGCACTCCTGAGCCCCTTCCCTCCCCAGCCTGCATGCATGCCAGGCAGTTTGTACAAGAACAACACGTTCCCATGAATTTGGGAAAGCGGAAAGCTGCCAATTCACCCCAAGCAGGCATTCCAAGCTGGCCTGGAGACCTGTCAGTCAGTGATCAATTTGCCCCTCACCAGAGCCTCCCTGAGATTATTCAGCCTGGGACAGGTGGATCTGGTTTCCAAGCTATGATCTGCAGTGACTCCTCCGGCCTCGGTGGAGGGTGGGCCCTGGGAGGGGGAAAGCTACTATCTCAAAGCCCCAGCAAATGATTCCCCCAGCTGGGGAGGGCACCAGACAGTCCGACACCCTAGCTGAACCGATTTGGCACACACGCCAGCAGCTGACGTTGCTCCCCATTTTCCACGGTGCATCTTGAGAAGCTGTGGGCCTCAGCCTCCCTGGGTAGCAGGGTGGGCACTTGAAACTGGTAGGTTTGCTATCCTTTTGAATCATTCAGGAAGAAAATAATAATAGGATGGCTGCATCTATATTCTGTTTTCTCCCAAATTGCGTTCACATCCATTATCTCCCTTTGATACTCTGCTTACACAAGCACTGCAAGCCTATTTGAGGAGGGATTTGGCCGATGTGGCAGGAAAGACCCAGAGGAGAAATGAGTACCTGTGGGTCATGCCCTAATTGGCCCAGTGGGCCCCGGGTCGGCCTTTCCAGGCTGCGGCTCCCGGCCTCTTCCTGCTCTAGCAGCATTGTTTCTTCTTCTTCTTCTTCTTCTTCTTCTTCTTCTTCTTCCTCTTCTTCTTCTTCTTCTTCTTCTTCTTCTTCTTCTTCTTCTTCTTCTTCTTCTTCTTCTTCTTCTTCCTCTTCTTCCTCTTCTTCCTCTTCTTCCTCTTCTTCCTCTTCTTCCTCTTCTTCCTCTCCTTCTCCTTCTCCTTCTCCTTCTTCTCCTTCTCCTCCTCCTCCTCCTTCTCCTTCTCCTTCTCCTCCTTCTCCTTCTTCTCCTTCTCCTTCTTTTGTTTTAAAACAGAGCCTCGCTGTTGTTGCCCAGGCTGGAGTGCAATGGTGCAATCTCGACTCACTGCAACCTCCACCTCCCGTGTTCCAGCAATTCTCCTGCCTCAGCCTCCTGGGTAGCTAAGATTACAGGAGCCTGCCACCACGACAGGCTAATTTTGGTATTTTTAGTAGAGATGGGGTTTCACCATGTTGGCCAGGCTGGTAGCATTCTTCTTAAGAAAGCACCCTCGGCCAGGTGCAGTGGCTTACACCTTTAATCCCAGAACTTTTGGAGGCTGAGACAGGCAGATCATGAGGTGGAGTTCGAGACCAGCTGGCCAATATGGTGAAACCCCATCTCTACTAAAAATACAGAAATTAGCCGGGCATGGTGGCACGTGCCTGTAATCCCAGCTACTCCGGAGGCGAAGCAGGAGAATTGCTTAAACCCGGGAGATGGAGGTTGCAGTGAGCTGAGATTGTGCCACTGCACACCAGCCTGGGTGACAGAGTAAGACTCCGCCTCGAATAAAAAAAAAAAAAGAAAGCACCCTCGTTTCAAGCCAGCCTGATTATCTGCATCACTGTGTGAACACCCTGACCACAACCCTTCAGTGGCTGCCATCACCTGCAGGATTGAGTCCAAAATCCTTATCAAGGCAAAGAAGGTTTTGTGACCTGACTGACCCTCCCCTATAATTCCTTCAACACCCTAGGGAGCTTCATGCCTCTGTATTTTTCATAAACTGTTGGTTTCTTTGGTCATACATTTCCTTCCCCCATCTACCTGAAGAGCTATTCATCTTTCAAAGCCCCACACAGGCATTAGCTCCTCTCTGCACATCCCTGAATCATTCTTTCTCCGGATCACTTTAGAACTTGGTTACACATGAATATAAAGCCCAAAAACATAGATAGGTCTCTCTCCTAGTCATTAGGCTGCAGGACTAATCTTTTGGTAATGTTTGGAACCCAAAGCACGGCACAGTACCTGACATATAACACATAGCGAATAACAACTGGCATTGGCCTACAGGGCATTCCATTGGCATGGGTCTTCTGAGGGGGTTGGCTGCCCAGGAACACACATCTCTACTTGGGGCTTGCAAGGCTTAACATAGCATTCTTGTAGGAGTGTGGCAGGCTAAGACAGAGGCTGCTTCTGCAGCTTGTCATGCTTCTCGGAGACGCTCATTCCTGAGCCCTAAGATGACAAATATCAGCATGTGTGGCCCTGTAAGTGAGGTGCAGCCTGAGTTTCTGTTGCACAGCCAGATGCCAGATCCCATGCCCCACCAGGCCTGTCTGAGTCCACACACACCACTGAACATTGCTCCAGGCATGTGGAAAAGTATGGCATGATAGTGAAGGACCAGCCTTCACAGCATTGACGTCCAGATATCTGGCTTCACCCTCAATCTGGAATCATTGTCCATTTTCTAGTTTTTTAGTCCTGCCCCCTGACTCCTAGCTTCTATCCATGATTTCCATCACCTAATTGTAGACAGTAATGACCTTCTATAAAGGCCCAGTCCCAGGATAGACCTTTTATAGTAGCACAGCCCAGGCTAGCTCGCTCTCTGTGTTTCCTCAGCCCAGGGAAGCTCCTACTGGTCATAGTCCAACCTAGCAAAGGGTTTAGATACCATGTCCTAACTCTCTAAATGGGGGGACTCCATTGCTACTACTTATGACTTTGGGGACTGACACCCAGCTCTGGCTTCCCCAAAAATCTAGCCTTGGCTGTAGTCCACCAAGATCTGGGGATTAGCAAAGCAAAATACCCCATTTGGGGTCTGAGTCTCAGATGTTTCCTGCTGTCCGGGGAAGATTTCCAGCCTGGGCGAAGGTCCACTGAGCCTGAGAAATTTGTCTGAATCCATCAAAGTCATACTGGGACATAAAACTCAAAACCCCTCTCCCCAGCAGGAAGGCTCCATTCTGCCAAGACACCAGCATGCCATGCCATCAGCAATAATTGCCAACAAGAAGAGAAGAACCGTGTAAGATCAAAAAGATTTTAAATTGTTCAGCCATCCAAAATTGTCTGTGGTGATGGTTTTCAGGAGTCAGAGGTAGGGAAGGAGACCCGCCCCTCTGAAATTCACCTGCTACCCACACCATACACACACATGCCCTGAAGATCTAGATTTTTGCTACCTGTTACCCATACTGTGCTCTGCCTGGGCTGTTCCTTGCTCAGCCTAGTTAAAATTAACCCCTTTATAACTTGGCCAACCTGCAAGGTGGAGCATTTAAAGGGCAGAAGTGGGTAAAAGAAACAAAAGGAAGAGAAGAGCTGTTTGTGTTTACCATTGTGTTGCTTTTGAGCTCCTGAAGGAAACATTCCTCAGTGCTATAGGATTAGCTGGAGTTATTTTAAATGGCTTATTTTAAAAGACTATTGTTAAACCATAAGTCACCTATATTTTAACAATGCATGGGCACTGAGGGCCTGCATATTTAACAAGTGCTGTCGTCACTACTGGAGAAAAGTGAGCCACCGGGCGACATTGTTGACTCTGCCTCTTGGGCCACTCAGGACTGGGTGCTGGGTGGAGGACATGGGATGGGGCAGGGATGGACAAAAGGTAGTAGAAGACAATGGCCCATTTGAGAAACTTAGAGTCTGTTTGGGAAGAAAACCTGGAATGCATGAAAAACTCAACTACTGTAAGCTGTAAACAGGCATCTGAGGCTGAAGTGTCCGTTCCCCCAACAGGCCTGGTAAGGCGGGGGGCTCCTGGGTGAGGTAGGCCATGAAGGCACAGCAGGATCCTCTGGGTAGGGAGGACCAGGAGGCCTCTGCCTCAGCCATGGAATCAAGTGACAGAGGAGAGGGCGGCTAGAGAAAGAGAGAAGACACCTGGAGGACCCTGGCCTTCTGAGCTGGCCTTGTTGAGGTGTTTGCCACAGGCACTGTTTTTCCATTGCTAGGCTTACCCCCTGCCCCCACCACCCAAGATTTATTTAATTTATTTCTTGATATATGCTGGTTAAATTAACCAATGAATTTGTAAAGAAGCAGAGTCTTGAAGAGTGAGTAGAAATTAGGTGGAAATAGGAGAGATGATGTCGCTGGCAGAAAGAACATGGGGTGCAGAAGCCCAGAGGCCAAGTGCGTTGGGTTTACATAGGGGGCTGCATGGTCAGTGGGTGTGGAAAGGCACAAGGTGGGAGCCAGGATGGTCAGGTCTGGGGCACTGGGCAGAGACCTCATCCCGGAGGGTCTTATGGGTCTTGAAATATATTTTAGCCTATTTCAGGAAATATAGAAATATTTCCCTTTTTTTTTTCTTTAGTTTCTAAGCTGTCTTTTCCTAGCAAGGAGGCAGGATTTCCACATTAGGTTTAGTGGTTGAGAGTGGTTTGAGGTAACAGAGGCCAGACAGAGGCCCCCTCTCTGGGCATGAGTCAAGCAGCCCGAGGTTTTGGTATTGATGTCTGCATTGCCTTTGCATGAGTCTCTGGATTTGAACTGCTGTGTTAGGTGGGCAAAGTATCAAGCTTGGGACTGGGCTTCTCTCTCTCCAACACTGTGACTGAGACTGTGGCTCAGTGGCCTGGGTTCACAGGCCCTGGCTTCCTCCTTGTGATCTTTCTTCATAGGAGACAGGACAATGTACCTGGGCCCAGAACACTTCTTTAAACAGAGGACTCTAGGCTAGGCTCAGCCCCAAAGTTCACTCTGCAATTCCCCAGGCAAGGGGTTGATGCCTGTTTGCACTCCAGCTCGGGCTTGTGGATTTGCTGTTGAGTTTGGCACTGATTTGCAATCTGCAAGTTGATGGATGCTGAGGCTGCTGGCAGCTGGGCGAGTGAGAAGTGACTCTGAGATAAGAGAACCCCTCCTGATATTTACAGCAGGGCTCTGAGAGTCCAGACAGTTTTCTGAGGCCTCAGCCAGATCTGGGGAGGGGAGCCAGAACTGGGTGGGTGGCCCAGGGTCTTGGGATGAGTGAGGACATCTCAGGCAAAGGGTGGAAAGCACTTCAGGCTCGGAGTCCTGGAGGCCTGGGTCCTTTTCCTGGCCCCCTCAACCTGAACAATCTGTGTGCCACTGGGAAAACTATTTCCTCTCCCTGAGCTCTCTATACCACAAAGTGAGGACAACAATTTGGGCCTTGGTCTCAGCCATGCATGTCATGAGGATCAAATGAGATGACATCTGTAAAAAGACTATGCAAGAACTTTAAAGATTCATGAAAATATTGTAAAGGTCATTAAATTACAGGAATGTGTCCCCTGTCAGCTGACAATTGCCCAGCATAACACTACAGAGTGCTTAGGAAGACTTGGGGAATTACGACCTCTCTGTTCTAATGTATATTAAGATAGGCATGAAATAAGACTTGGGATTTTTGTGGCCCTTCTTGTTTAGATCTGGTTAAAGCATAGATGTAAATACAAGCATCTCAAGTGCTGGTGTGGTCAGTATTATGAAGTTGCTCATCAGTGCCTGAAGTTCAGGAAACCTGAGCTGGGCACAGAACCAGGCCTTTCAACATCAGCATTTCATTAAATCTTAGTGTTAGGATGTAGGCATTGCTGGCCCATTCCTCAGAGCCAGGCTGTCAGCCTCTGCTTAATCCACGATGACTGGAACATACGGGCTTGGAGAAGCACACAGCCTATGAGAGTTCACCAGCCACTGTGCTGGGTTCCCTCTAGGCCAAGGGGGCTCCCCCTCAGGCTCTGTGCTTTTCCTGCTACTCCTGATGGTGATTTTCTTGCTTATTTGCATGTACCTCAGGGGCTTGTGCCTGAATGACTCCTGTAAGCTTTATCTTACGGGGTCTTCACCATAACCCTGAGAGGTGGGGGTCAGGGAGAGGTGTTATTATAATGACTTACAAGTACAAACAGAAAGGGAGATTCTGGAAAAGGAAAGAAAGGAGGAAGGAGAAAGAAGGGAAGGAGAAAAAACCTTTGAAGTTTTTGGTGTGTCAGGCACTTCCACATTTACTACCTCATTTCATCCTGCCTACCCATGGGGCTGGAATTATTATCCCCTTCTTCAGATGAAAAAGGGAGGTCCTGAGGATGTAGACAACTTACCACAAGCCACATGTGTAATAAGTGGCAAACCTAGACCTCTGAGGCAGATTGCATGACTATAAGGTCAGACCAAATTAATCAGTTTTGGTTTTTTGGAGTTTTATTCATGTTGCTGGTTTCCCTTCTGGAAGAAAGAGGAGGATATTACAATTAAGAGCAGAAGTGATGTTTTTAAGTTATCCTTTCTGGAAAAATAAACAAACACAACCTTTTGAAATAAAGCCAAAGTGTGGGGGGAATTGCTGAAGGTGGAAGATAGCTTTTATTTTTTAAATTATTTCATTATATATATTTTTTGTAGACACAGCATCCCACTATGTTGCTCTGACTGGTTTCAAACTCCTGAGCTCAAGCAATCCTCCCACCTCAGCCTCCCAAAGTGCTGGGGTTACAGGTGGGAGCCACTGCACCCAGCTTGAAGGTGGAAGACAGCTTTTAAACTGGAAATTGCTTAGTGGAAACATTTCCTCACTTTGGTAGAGCCTCAAATAGAAAGGATCAGGGTGTAGTGAAAGGTGTCATCCCAGTGCAGAGAGCTTAAGCCCAGAAAACCAGAGAACTGGGGTGTGTTTGGCATCTGTGGGCAGCCCACTGGAGGACCCTGGACACTTTATGTGCATCCTGTGCCTTGTTATCCACATCCTTAAAATGGATTTACTAATATCCCCAAAAGCAGATAAGAAATGTGATAACCTGATTAAAAATCTCTCTGTCCCAAGCTTTATTTTTCTTCATAGCTCTCCTCACCACCTGACATATCACATAGTTAGTTTTCAACATCCCTTCCTAAGACGTAAGCAGCCTGAAAGTAGCCACTTTGCTCTACTGCAGCCCCAGCACCTGGATCAATGGCATTATATAACAGATACTGTGTAAGCAACTTGTGGAATATAGCAACCAATGAAGAATGAATGAACAGCTTGTCCTGTAAGCATCATGGAAAGGATCTTTTGTTCCCTTATGTATCACCTAGCACAGAGCCTATACATAGTAAACGCTCAACAGATCTTCAATGAACAAATTAATACAAGAAGGTGTAAAAATGCTTTTGTGAATAGGAAGGAACACAGACACTAACACATAAGATACACAAATATAAGAGTAACAACCCCATCAAATAGCAGTCTCCAAAGGGAAATGGAGATAGTAGCTTGACACTCAGCATGTTTTGTTGCAGCTTCTTACTTTATTCAACCAACAGGTTATCCTGAAAACAATCAGCATGTGATCTCTTAATAACAGTCACTTCTAAGGATGAATTTGGCCAATAGCTTCCAAATCAGTGTGCATGTGGAGACACAGAAAGACTCCAAACCAAAGGAGAAATTACAAAGGTGAGCCCAGTGCCCAAGGCCTGCCAGAGAGAGAAACCAGGAAAAGACCATTAAATCCTGAGAATGGTCTCTGTGCTAATAATCTAAGCTACTATTAGCGACTTACAGCAGAGAATTTTTTTGAAATGCTAGAACACATATGATTTTTATCTTGCCATTATCCCTGTAATCATTGGTCCTGATTAAAGACTTCTGCCCTAAAAGATGGATGGGCTCGAACACTTAAATATATAGTAATCGTTCACTTCTTAAATGCTGTTTCTCCCAAGACATCCTTCCATGCACTTCAATTTAACGAGCAGCAATTGTTTCTCTTCAACTATTTGAAAAACACTGGAGAGTTTGGTTGAAGGGGGATGGTATAAAAAAATATAGTAATAATTCTAACCACCTCCATTCTTCCCAACTAAGGAAGTTAACTAAGCAGTTAAGAGACTTGTTAGAATTTTTTGCAATGAAGAGGCATATATTTGAAAAAATGCCAAAACATGTTAGTGCCTGTTTCTCCATAAATATGCAGGGCAAGATAGTCATCAAAAAGGAAACGTTAGGGTATCATTCACTTCACTCCTCTCACATCTAGTTAATGCCAAATGGCCTGGGATTCCCAGGACATTTCTGTGACATCTGATTCCCCAAGTTTCCCTTCCCATCCTGACCCAGTTGTCACCTCACTTAGCTCACAGTCCTTCATGTCAAATCCCTTTGGGACAGTTGTCATCTCAAGCTTGGGTTTAAAACCATAGGAATTGGGGCTGCGCATATCCAGAGAGTAACATGAGTTCTTTGTGATGGATGGAGGTTGAAATTTTTTTTGTACCGTGTCTAGTAGCAAATCTTGAACTACAACAGCAGCAATCACCTTATCAGTGAAGGTGAAGAGATACGGTGAGTATCTTTGTGTAAATCTCAATGTTTCTTTGTCAAGTTTGCCTAAAGCAAGACTCCTCTTCAAGGCCTCCCCGACAGTCCAACTTCAGACTAGAATTTCAGTCTCATGGCTGCATTTCTTTAAATAGAATCCACCTGCTAATAATGTGTGGTCATTCACTCTTCCCAGACACCCTGTTCAATGTCATCTTCAGTTTCCTTGCTCCTGCTCTCTCTCTTCCCTAGAACATCCTAACCCCTGT
The DNA here is from genome assembly GCF_000001405.40 of Homo sapiens. Taxonomy (NCBI): domain Eukaryota; kingdom Metazoa; phylum Chordata; class Mammalia; order Primates; family Hominidae; genus Homo; species Homo sapiens. The sequence continues at coordinate 118,580,388 of NC_000002.12, forward strand.
CTCTATTTGTCAGGACTGTACTCATTCACAGCCATCCTGGGTAAAGGAGATCATCTATTCCAAGTTTTCTCCACTAACCAATCTCAAGTTATCAGCCCTCTTTCTTCTCTCCTTTGTCTGTCATTGCACTGAGGATGTGGGGCTTGTAGGAGAAGCATCTGGACACATCTGTCCCCCCCAGCTATGAGCTACAAGAGACTAAGGAAGTGGTTTTCTTCCTAGCACCCCAGTGCCCAGCATAGGACCTGGCACATGTGCATTGTCAGTGCTTGCAGACTGAAATGGAATTCCACTCTTGGAATTTAGAACCTTTGGGAAGAGACATCCATTTTTTATTTCACCCCAAAACCTCATCATCTCCCTTTCCAAGCTAAACTCTCCTAGTTCCTTCCAGCTCTTCTGCCACATCATTTCCACTGGGGGAGGGGATGCAGACATGCCTGAATTTGAATCTTTACTTCCTAGTGACTCATTAGCCATGTAACTTTAACAAGATCTTAGCTGGTCTCTGCTGGAGTTTCCTTAGCTGTGAAATGAGGATAAGGTGGCAGAGGAACGCCTAGGAGATGGATGGAGATCAACAGATGTAAAGCACTCAGCACATGGCAGCCTCCATCCTGCCCCCTGTTCTGCTCACACCTGGGGGATTTCTGTTGGCCAACATCCTTCCAAAGGAGCCCAACACTCTCAATTTTCCCTCGGAATTGGTAAAACAGCTGTGCTTTCATCTCCCTTTAACGGTTGCATTTCATTGCTAGCAATTCCTTCTAGCTCAGAGAACCTGGGCTTCCAATCTAATGATGTCCCTAAAGGGCTGACAAATAAAGCTCTCCAGTGCTCAACTGCCATTTAATATTAACACTGAAGGATCCTTTTTGAGTTAAGGTACTGACAGTTCTAATGAAACATAAATACAAGAGAGTAACATGTATCTTATAGGTATCCCAAGCTTACCATGACACAGTGGTTCCTACCACCCAGTCTGGAGAGCACCAGATCTGGACTCAAGTCCAGGACCCAGAAGTGATAAGCTGTGTGGCCCCAATCAAGCTATTTAGTGTCTCTGAGCCTTGATATGCCAGGAGCCCCTGCCTCATCTGATTATTATAAGAAGCAATGCATGCAAAGCACTTAGTACTGCACCAGACAGATAGTAGGCACTTCACTGGTGGGGGATACCAAACAAGGCTGTTCTGAGAGTGAAATGAGTTAAGATCTATATTAAAAAGTGCTTGGAAGTTATGACAAGTTTATTCATTGCCTCTTTCTGTGTTTGGGGTCCCAGTGATGCCATTATCCTCAGAGTGCCCAAGTCAGATACCTGGACCATTCCCAACTTATTTCTCTCTCGCTTTACCCTATCTTTCCTGTCTCCCGCCCCAAACCACTTCAAGTCCTGTTGACTTTGCCTCCCTACTGTCTAGCCTTGCTTCCCCTCATAGTCTTTGGACCTTATCATGGGCCCCCAAGCTCCTTGTTCCTCTTATTCACAGCTGTTTTCACAATTTGTGTTTTTCTATTTATTTCTGGCACTATATGTTTCTTCCCCACTAGTAGACCAGATGTTTTCAGAGTCAGGGACTCTGTTTTGCTCACCATTGTTCATCCCCGGTGCCTAGCACAGTGCCTGTTATATGGTAGGTACTAAATAAAGATTCTTGGGTGAATAGATAGATGTATGAATGGATAAGTGAATGAATGAGTGAGCACTGGACTTAGACCTCAATGCCTATCCACCCTGTAACCAGAGCGATCTTTTTAAAAATAAATCTGATTGTGTCACTCTCCTGTTTACATCCTTCTGTGACTTCTCATGTGATTAGGATGAATTCCAAATTGCTTAGCCAATCTCACCAAGCAGTGCCTGCTGCGGACCAGCTTGTTTTAGCCTATCTGCTGAGCTTCTACAGTGTGCTTGTTACACCAAGCCACTGAAACCACCCCCAAACCACCCTGCTGCCTTTGCACGTGGAGCTCCCGCATCTGGGTCTCTGCATTCCCCCTTCTACACCAGCCCCACTTCAGCTGACCAACTCCTAATGGTACTTCAAGATTCTCTCCAAGGTCCCTACTGCAGGGAGCCTTCCCTGCCCACACAGGCGTGTTTGGGGAGCATCCTCTGAGCACGCCCAGGACCTCCTGGTTGCCCTAGCAGAGCACTTTGTCTGCTGCCTGCCCGTATCACCCATTAGCACATGAACGTATGGAGGACAGGGACCATATATTCATATTAGTCTTTCATGTCTTCCACTGAGCTTGTCTCAGAAGAGGAAGTTAGTACTTTTTTAGTCGTGGGCCAGGGAGTGAGTGAATGAAACCACAACTCCCCACTAACACTGTAGACAGGAATTTGTTCTGTATGGGAGCATCTCATAGAGAGTAGCACTTCAGAATAGACTGCAAATCAGCATGGTGGAGAGCAGAGAAACAGCCCTCCAGGACTGCAAATACAGAGCACCCAGGCCTGGGAGATGCAGTGAGGTGGGGCATTGGGGGTTAAACAGTCTGTGCTGGGTGATGAGAGCAGGACCTCCGGTAAGTCTGAAACTTACCTTCTCCTGGGAGAGACGGACACAGGCGATGGACAAATGAGCAAAACAGATCAATGTAAAATAATTACAGATTACTGTAAGAGTTTTGAAGGAAACAAACCTGGGAATTTGAATAGTATGGTCACAAAAAGCCCATCTGAATAGTGTTATTTAAAAGGAAAAGATGAGAAGGAGCCCCATGTGAAAAGCTGGAGGAGGAGCAATGCAGGCAGCAGACACAGCATGTGCAAAGGTCCAGCTGCTGACTTGTGTGAGGATCCATAAAATAAACATGACAGTGTTGTTAGGACCTAGCGTGATCGTATCAGACACACACACACACACACACACACACACACACACTTGAGTTCAAATATGGTCTCAGGACTTCTCATCTCAGTTTTCTTAACAATAGATGGCAAACATTAAACCTAAATAAAATAATCTTCCCCTGGGAACTGCCTTGTCCATTCAAGCTGCTGTAACAAACTACCATAGAATGGTGGCTTCTAAACAACAGACATTTATTTCTCACAGTATTGGAAACTGGGAAGTCCAAGGTCAAGGTACTGGCAGCCTGGATGTCTGGTGAGGGCCCACTTTCTGGTTCACACAGAATTGCCTTCTCACTGCATCCTCACATGGCAGAAGGGGTGAGGGACTTCTCTGGGATCTCTTTTATTTTTACTTTTTAAATTTATTTTTATTTTTATTTTTCAGATACAGTCTTGCACTGTCACCCAGGCTGGAGTGCAGTGGCACAGTCTCGGCTCACTGCAACCTCCATCTCCCAGGTTCAAGTGTTTCTTCTGCCTCAGCTTCCCAAGTAGCTGTGATTACAGGTGCGTGCCACCACGCCCAGCTAATTTTTTTGTATTTACAGTACAGACAGGGTTTCACTATGTTGGCCAGGCTGGCCTCGAACTCCTGAGCCCAAGCAATCCACCCACCTCAGCCTCCCAAAGTTCTGGGATTACAGGTGTGAGCCACTGCACCTAGCAGGGGGTCTCTTTTTTAAAGGTACCATTCATGAGAACTCTGTCTCCACAATCTAATCACCTTCCAAAGGCTCTGCCTCCTAATACTCTCACACTGGGGATTAGGTTCTGACATATGTATCTGGGGGAGAGGGGAGAAAATATTCCATCTATAACAGGAACTGAAATATAGGCCCGGAGCAGGCTTTTGGTTGAGGTTTGTGGGTAAAGAGTGGAGGCAGTGTTCAGGGAGTGAGCCATGGTCAATGCCAAGGCTCCATCCCGGCAGCTTTACTGATTTGCTAAAGCTGCCTTTTGTATCCCCTATTCCACATGCAAAAGCATTTTGTATCTCATGAATGTATGTGCAAACACAAATACACATGCACATAATCCACATATGCATACTCAGGGGAAATGGGGCATATTGGATCAAACACAACACGTATTTCCACATTCAAAGAGTTTGCTTTATGCTTTGAGGTTTTTTTTTAGAAGATCCATTCAATAATAACCTCAGGAGTGGAAACTTTTGTTTTACAGGCATCTTTAAGACAAATTCACACAGAGGAGTACCAATAGGCTTTAGCTTTGGGGAATGCCCTCCTGGCTTTTGGAAACAAGAGTCCTGGCTATTTTGATTAGGAGGCTCAGATTACATTGCTTCCACCCTGATCCCTGGGAACTGAAAGCCAGCTGCTGTCTTGTCACTAGATAGCATGTCCCCATCAATGACTGCTCTAATGACATAAAAGGGCAGAGAGTGACTGCCTCTCCTGTCTTTTGATTATCTTGCTCGTAAAAAGAGGCTAAGGGACATGCTTTGCTAAATAATTGGAAAAATGTGTGATGTTCCCCCAACCACTTCATAAAATGTTTGCATCTGTTAGCTAGCGTCTAGCATTCCAAAACTCCCAGGTACCCTTAATTATAGGATCCAGAGAATTCCAGATGGGAACACCCCACTCCACTGTTTTCTCAACTTTCATCTACATGGTAAAGAATGTGCTTTTCCTTATCCAAACCACCAACAGGATAATCTTCGGCATTTTGCTGATTGGTCTGCAAATGTAATCTTCAGTGGCAAAAACCTTGAAGGGCTGCCTTGAGATTTGAGCATTCAATCAGTCTTAAGAATTTCTTTTGGCAAAAATACTTAGGCTTGGTCAGAACTCGTGGGGCTGCGGTTGGCTCCGTGTCTCTGAGGCTGGGTATGCCCAGCGGTGTGGTTAAATATCATCAGTGCTGAAGTCTGCCACGGGGTCTGTTGGAGGTAATCATGCTGATGTGATTTTGAAGAAAGATTAAAGGAAATGGTGCTATTTAGTCTGTAGAACACAAGACTGAAGAGCAACTAGATTCCTGTCTCCAAGTTCAACAGTGTCTGTAACGTTTAGCACAGCATGGAACTTACCTCAAGATTCTGTAATTGTCTTTTTGCCACTGCACGGGAGGCTTGTGCAAAGTACAGCAGCATTCTCTCACCTCCACGTCCTTAACAGGCCTGCAAGTGGCTGCTCAGAGGGTGTGTGCCAACTTCAGAATTTGTGAATGGAGAGGAAAAATGATACTCTCTTTTCATTAGGAACTAAACAAGAGGGCACATGCTTAAGCCAAAAAGTGGTTTCGTTTTTTTTTTGTTTTTTTTTTTCCTGAGACGGAGTTTTATTCTGTCACCCAGGCTGCAGTGCAATGGCGCGATCTCGGCTCACTGCAACCTCCGCCTCCCAGGTTCAAGCGATTCTCCTACCTCAGCCTCCTGAGTAGCTGGGATTACAGGTATGCGCCACCATGCCCAGCTAATTTTGTATTTTTAGTCGAGATGGGGTTTTTCCATGTTGGTCAGGCTGGTCTCAAACTCCTGACTTCAGGTGATCTGCTCACCTCAGCCTCCCAAAGTGCTGGGATTATAGGCATAAGCCACCACGCCTGGCCCAAAAAGTGGTTTCTGATGTACATCACTTAAGCACAAAGTGACTTCTGTGCTACATTTTTTATCTTCACTTGGTGAAATGATGACCAAGTGAAGATAGAAAATGTAAGTGAGATTTCTGGAAAAGTTGAAAAAACTCTATTCTTGAAAATATTTTAGAGTTCTTATTCATGCTGAATGCCTAAGTTTATTTACTTTCATCTAGATAGGAGGCTGGGTATGTCAAGTCCTCTCAAAGCTTTAGCCGCCAATGAGTATAACTGTAAATAAACTCCATGGTTGGATGAATCTATACTTGTGAAATTTTTGCCTGCAGCTCCATTAAAGACTGAATATAGGACAGGCTCTCAGTCCATCAGTGGGGACTCTGGGCACTCACTGACAGGCAGCAGGCACTTGGCATCTGAGCCCACACTCTCCCACACAGAGCCAATGGCAGGTGTGACTGGTCCATCACAATACTCCCAATGAGCCCAGGTAGAGCCTCGAAACCCTTCTTGAGCACTTCCAAATAATCAGTGTTACAACATAGGAAGAAACCTATTAGCTATTAGGTTGGTGCAAAGTAATTGCAGTTTTTTGTCATTACTTTCAATACTTTACATCTAACCTAATTCTCTATGCTTTTGGAAGAAGGATTTGTTTAGCCCCAGGGATTGGAAATTGTGCAAGGGAGTAAGTGAATTTATAGAAGGAGGAAAGGGCTCATAGTAATTAACTTTACTAAAATGTTGAAGGGATGGAGAAAGATTTTTGAGTCTCTATGCTTTGGGAATCAGTGAGTGAACAAGTTTGTCTTGGGTGTCTACTACAGCAGGCACTGCACAAGGCATAGGGCAGCAGGGTCCTGACAAGCAGAGGCCTGGCCTCAAGCTGCTTCCATTCTGTAGTGTGAGACAGACAATAAGCCTATAAACAAGTAAGTGCATGTTATAATTTCAGATTCTTAGAAGTAACATGAATACAATAAAGGTGGGTTAGAAGGTGGGAACAGAAATAGAATTGTTGTTTTAGCCTGAGCGTGAAGAAGGCCCACTGAGGAGGAGGTGACAAATGAATTGAAATCTGAATGGTCGTGGGGAGATGGGGAGGAGTGGAGACAGTGGAGTCAGCCATGAAAGGCCAGAAGAGAAGACAATAAACAGAAGAGTGTAGCCAAAATCCTGGGAACAAACCGGGAATATCTGAAGAGACAGCAAAAGCCTGAGGCAGCCGATATGGAGCCACTGTTAAGTGGGAGGTGGCGTCCGAGAGATGGGGAAGGGGGAGCTCAAACAGGGCCCATAGACCCACATGGGCATCTAGTTCTGGGGGCTGTGATACTGTTCACAGCACAGGAGTGATGCGCTATAATTTGCACTTTAGAAAAATCACTCTGGTTGCTGTGTGGAAGATAGTCTTAGGGACTGTGGAGGGATCAGACTGAAGAAAGAGAAAGAAGCTGTGGCTGTAGGCAGAGCAGGAAAAGATGGCAGCTCTTATGGGCTGAATTGTGTCCCCTTAAAATTCATATGTTGAGGTCTTTACCCCTAGTACCTCAGGATGTGACTGTATTTATAAATAGGGTCTTTAAAGAGATAATTATGTTAAAATGAGGTTCCTGGGGAATGCCCTAATCTAATATGACTGGTGTCCTCATAAGAAGAGGAAATCTGGACACGGATATGCACAGGGAGAAGACCATGTGAGGACACAGAGAGAAGGCGGCCACGTATGAGCCAAGGAGAGGGGCCTCAGGAGAAACCAACCCTGACAACACTTTGATCTTGGACTTCCAGTTCCTCCAGAGCTGTGAGGAAATAAACTTCTGTTATTTAAACCACCTAATCTGTGGTGCTTTGTTATGGCAGCCTGAGCAGACTAATACAGTGGTGTAGGCTAGGGCCTGTGTCCTAAAGCCAGTGAGACATGACGTAGTCAAATCCAGGATATGTTTTGGAGGAGAGTCAGCAGTTCTTTCAAATGAATCGGATGTGGGATGTGAGAGAAAGAGGGTAATAAAGGCTACTCCTAGGCCCGAGCATTTGGTGGGTGGCATTGCCATTACAGTGATGGCAGAGAAATTTCAAGTTCTGTTTTGGCCAGGTTAGGTTGAGACACTTCTTTTTGGAGACCTCAGAGAAATCTCATGTGCACCACACCTATACACTTTCAAGGGTTACAAGTTTCCTCTCCTCTATCATGAAGCATTCATTCTCCAGCTGAAATGTTGAAGAAACATCAAAAACAGAAAGCTCTCAGTTTCAGGCACAGTCCATTTGTTACTGTTAGGATGATTGTTAGCAAGTTATTCCTTTGGTTTAGTAGAAATTAGGTTCTTTGTGAATTCCATTCATTAGACTTTATCTGACCACTGGACAAAACAGAGCAAATCTGCTCTATCACTTAATGGCTTCTAGCAATGACAGACTTGAAAATTAGGACCAACTTTCCTGCTGAAGATAGGGAGTAAAACTGAGCAAAATGTTTTTAAAAGGCACTGAGATAAAAAAGAATTTCCAGCTGAAGATCCAGGAGAAAATCAAAATCTAGAGAGTCGATTTTGGTAGGGGTTGCTTTTCCCCAGGAGCAGATGTTGATTGGGGGTGAGAAGTAGGGAGGCTGATCAGTACTTCAGCCTCATGGGGCTGAGGAGACCAGGGTGAAATTCCAGAGCCAGCCAATGAGTAGTGACAAGGAGCTAGTAAACTCCCCACATTTTATGCTGGCTCCTTAAAGGACTCTGCCCTAGAAATGAAGATGTTTTGGAAATAAACCAGCCATAATATGCACAGCTTCAAGTCATCTAAATCAGCAGTTCCCAACTTTCTTTGCACGGTGGACCAGTTTCATGGAAGTCAATTTTTCCACAGACCAGGGCAGGAAAATGGTTTGGGGATGATACAAGCAGATTGCATTTATTCTGCACTTTATTTCTATTATTATTACATTATAATATATAATGAAATAATTATACAACTCATCATAATGTAGAATCAGTGGGAACCCTGAGCTTGCTTTCCTGCAACTAGGTGGTCCCATTTGGGGGTGATGGAAGACAGTGACAGATATCAGGCTTAGATTCTCATAAGGAGGAGGCAGCCTAGATCCCTTACATGTGCAGTTCACAGAAGGATTCACACTCCTATGAGAATCTAATGTCGCTGCTGATCTGACAGGAGATGGAGCACAGGTGGTAATGTGAGCAACGGGGAGGGGCTGTAAATACAAATGAAACTTCGCTCACTTGCCTGCCACTCACCTCCTGCTGTGGGGCCTGGTTTCTTTTTTTATGAGATGAGTCTCACTCTTGTTGCCCAGGCTGGAGTGCAGTGGTGCAATCTTGGCTAACTGCAACCTCCGCCTTCCTGGGTTCAAGCGATTCTCCTGCCTCCTCTTCCCAAGTAGCTGGGATTACAGGCACCCACCACCACGCCTGGCTAACTTTTTTTGTATTTTTTAGTAGAGACAGAGTTTCACCATGTTGGCCAGGCTGGTCTCAAACTCCTCACCTTGTGATCTTCCCGCCTCAGCCTCCCAAAGTGCTGGGATTACAGGGATGAGCCACTGTGCCTGGTGGCCTTGTATCTAATAGGCCGCAGACCAGTACTGGTCTGTGGCCCAGGGTTGGGGGCCCCTGATCTAACTAGCCCTTACAATCTCAAGCTATAAAACTGAATTAAAGTGTTCCCTAATTGTTAGTGCCCTTGGAGTCTGGCAGAACTAACAAAACCCTTTCTGGAGGAAGAGAACGTCATCTTTGGTCTCAACATCTTTTCACAAACAATGTTTTAGTACACTGTACAGTACACAATAAAAAGAAAACCAGGTACACAAAGATATAAGGCAAATGATTGATAACCCGTAGAAACAACAAACGATAGAATCCTATCCATAGAGTGTCCAGATATTGGAGTTATCAGGTAAAGACTTTTAAATAATCATGCTTTTTATGTTCAAAAAGATAAAAGGCATAATTGAGAATTTTATTAGAGAAATAAAAATATTCCTTTGGAATACTGTGAAAACTGCTTTTCATGTGCCGGAAGTGACCCCCTCTCCCTACCCCATCCCCCACCAGGTTCCGGCTGATCACAGTCATTGCTCCAGGTGAAGCATAGGTGGCCCATCAGCTCTCTGAGCAGCTTCTTTAACTACTCAATCTGGCTTACAGCCTGCTCTCTGGAATCACAGAGCACTTAAAGATGGTATTGTGATCATCCTCCTCTTGTTTGTTTTCTCAGATGAACTGCATGCAATTTGAAGGTGGGGAGATGCTCCCATGCATTGCATCTTATGCGCTAGTGCATAATATAATGCCTGGTATATGTAACAATTAGGAAACTGGTTTTCAACTTAATGCTGAAAATGTTAAAAGCTAGAAGGCTGCCGAAATTCAGTGAGGAGGAGAAACGATGAGTGCAAAGAGAGATCGTTTGCAATTCCAGGAAAAGAACAGAAATATCTGAGGTTCATTTTCATCAACTGCAGGTTATGGTAAGTCTGCATCAATGCAGGATCTACCTGATTTAAAAGGCCTAGGAAATAATCGTGGATGTGCCTGATGAGTTAGTCACAAGGATGCTAACCTCATTATGATTTTGAATATAAGTATTTACTGAATGTAATACTATTTGACTAATTGCATAATCATTATGTGTTGTTATATAATATAATGATAACTGATTTGATTGATTAATACATAAAATATTTTAAATATTTTCATTAATTAACATTGAAAATGATTTAAACATCTTACACTAGCAGATAGGTTAAATAAATCAAACTGTGTTAATACAGTAGAATAGTATGTACATGCAGTCATTAAAAATGATTATATAACTGTATTTATTGATGTCTGAATATTTTCAGAATGAATAATAAAGAATAAAAACCAATATATTGAAATTTGTAAAATAGTACACATAAGTAAAATATAAAGTAGTAAATTAAAAGGGAAAGATACATAGCTTTATGATAGGATTATAGGTGATTGAATTCTTTTCCTTAACATCTGTATTTTCTGAATGTGTTCAATAGACACAAGAGTTTTGCAAAAAGAAAGAATTACAACTTTAAAAAGTTTCAGGGTCAGTGCCTACCGTATCTTCCTGTCTACTTTACTGGGTTATTGCAAGACTCAGGTAAGATATATGTGCATGAAAGCACTTTGCAAACAAATTTTAAAAATGTTTTTTGAAGCATTGTTATTAACATTATAAATATGACAAATAATACTTTTGGTGACTTGGTCTCAGGGAAAACAAATCCTGTAATATAAAGGTGAATGTGCGGCAAGAGCTTGTTGGATTCCTAATGCAGAGCTAAGAAGAAAAATGTAGCCACAGAATAATTGCCAGCTTCTGCTCCCTGAGCCTGCCATCTTGTACCAGTGGCTTGGGCAGCAGCCACACACATGCTCCCAGCCAATCTGCAGAGAGAACCTTTTGTGATTCTGTAGACGCCGCTCTTCTGTCACGCTGACTTCATCTTCAAAGGCCAATCCCTTGGATTTGCTCAAAGATGCATCACTTTAAAAACCTGAGCCCGCTTTACACAGCAGCCTCTCTTCCCTGGATAGGCTGATCCATGGCTCATTTACGCCAGGGGAAATTTACGCATCTCTTCTCACCAGCTCACTTCAGCCCTTGCTAATTCCCTAATCATATTGAATTATTTGGAGTTTACTATGTCATCCCTGGTCACCTACAGATTCCCTCACTTCATTACTCCTTGGCAAAACTGTCTTAGGAGGGCTCCCGTGACAGATTTATATTCTGAGCAACAGACAGGAATGTGTTTCTCTGCTTTTCCTTTGCCTATACCACATAAACATGTCCAGGGACGCTCCTGAGCAGGAGCTGCGGATCAGACCTTGATCACAGAGGGGCTCTCATAGAGGAATCTTCTGAAAGAGGAGGTTGAGGCCACTTACCTCAGTGAGTTTTCCATGGAAATGTGAATGCCCACCCAGGGCCTCATTCTAGAGAGGTGTGTTTAAACTTCAATGTGCCTTTGATTACCAAAATATCTCATTGTCTTGTATAAACATCTATTAGTTAAATACATCTATTGGAGTCACTGATATCTAAAAGAAGCTATTTCAACCTTTAGATTTCAAACAGTACCTTTAGATATGTGCCCACACCCTTTAGCTAGATTTATCACATGGAGAATAGTAATCATTGATTAGTAGTTTAGGAGAAATACATGTACGTTGAAAGTTTCCTAGCACATCCTTATAAAATTATTAAGGCTACTAAGGTTGTATGTGGTTACTATTTTGTTGTTGTTGTTCCATAGAAAACTCCCTCTTCTTAATTATAAAGAGTATTATTGATGTTGATGTTCTTGCTGCTGTTGTTTCACTCCACCAAAGCTTGGAATAAGACAAGGTCTTCACCTTGAGGAGTTATAGTCTACTAAGAAATATGGCTATATGAATAAATATGTTATAACATTCCATGACACACATGCCATAGAATTCTAAAGCATTATGGAACCACAGAGAAAGCAGTAACTAAAGTTACAAACAGTGACTAAAATACCAGCAAGACTTCTACCTGGATAGAAAATACTTGTAACAAATCTTAAAGTGTAAGCAGAGTTAGCCCAAATAAGGAGAGAGAGAAGGCAGCCCCAGAAAGAGGAATCATCACAAGAAAATGCATGAAGGAGTCAAGGGGCAGAATGTTTCTTGAGAAATGTTGAGACATTCCGCTCATTAAGGACAACAGACAGTCAATAGTAGTTTTTGCAAAATAGAGGGATGGGACCAAATTCCTTTTCTAGGTCAATAGCTCTGGCATTTGTGTGAAGGTTGCACTGTAGTTAACACGGAGACTGGTGGAAGGAAGAACATTTAGGAAGTGGTTGCAGGAGAGTGAAAATAAGGACCTAAATTAAGGCCAAACAGTGGGAATGAAGAAGAGAGCTGGATTCAAGCCAAGCTTAGAAGACACACTAGGCAGGACTTGGGGCTAATTAGAAGCAGAGGAAAGGGGAAAAGGGGCCTAAGATGGCTTAAATAATGAGTAGATCGAACAGGAGGGGCACATTCATTGGCCACTCATTCTGTCCCAGTCACTATAACTGGACTCAAGAATTCAGGAGAAAGAGACAGCTTGGAGTTTATGTAGTGTGTAAAATTACAGTTATGCTAACTTGGAAATGCCTCATACAGGTAGTCCTTCTTTGCATGGTAGCACAGGGTTATACAGGTGACTGGAAAGCTGAAATCATGCAAAACAATCTAAGTAATCAATGGGGAAAAATTACATTTGTTTCACGACCTTTAAACATTTTTATCAAAACATTAAAAACTCTTTACTGTCAGCTATAACTGTATAGAAAAATGAAAAGAAGTTGTATAAGTAACATTTACTTAATACACTGTAATTTGTACACTTGAAGCATTAATTAAAGTGCTTTCATTTCATTGTAAAAATAAAATCCTATTGAGAGTGCTTGCCTTCTTCTAGTGAAATAATTTGATACAGGGGATCATCTTTTCTGAGCCTTGGTGAATTTTCCGATTTCTTTAAGTTTGGATCAGTGTCCAACACTTTATCCTTTGTGCCTTCCATGTTGTGAAATATCTCAGAGCATTCCTTAAATGTGAAGCTCTTTGCTTATGTCACTTCCTCTGGGACATCTTTATCCTTTTTGTAACAGCCACTTTCCTCATGTATGATGTAAGTCTTCACTAAGTTCCTCTGGTTGCACTTTTACAGTCTCTTGCAAAGTCTCAGTGTCCACATCCCAATGATCAACTATTTTTTTTTCTTTAATCCCATTTACATTTAACTAAAATTTCATTTCCAGTATTATCACATTTTGGTTTTTTCCTGCACTTTCATCTTTCTTGGCCGATTTCCTCTTTTGATTATTTATTTTTATCAAATATCGTGTAAGTTTATCATTGGAAAACAAGGAGGTTACACAATTACATGCTTTGCTGTCTGTGCAGTGATGAAACCCCTTAGACTTTGAAAGAAATGGTATGCATTTCTAATCATGGTCATATCTGCTTTTCACATAATAATTTGTGGAATGATGAAGTAACAATGACGCTTGTATTTTATGCAATCAGTCACAGCCAATATGTCATAGGAACTAAAATTTGAATTATGTTATTGAATCATGTTATCATGTTATAGGGATTGGTATTATTTAACTAAATTGTGGTAACCAAAACCTATGTATGTTGGAGCCATGCAAAGAGAATTGCCAAGAGTTACCCAGATAACACAGGAGTGGTTAGGCCTTTGGGAGAAATGAAAAGTTTTAAGAAGTATGAATTCATCATCAGCATCAACTACTGACCAAGGAGGTCAAGGGAATGAGTCTGGAAATATTTTCTTGTTTTGGCCATTGGTCATTGGTCATATAGACAATCTTAGTGGTCAAGTTATGAGGCAACAATCTAATTGAAATAGGTTAAATAGAAAGTCACTGAGAAATTTAATAATATTTTATAATAAAAATAATCAACCCTTTTAAAGACATTTTTCAATAAATAAAGGAGGGAGTTAAGATATCAGGATTAAAGGAAGATATTTAACTTTGGAGGTTAAGAACTTTTGTTTTCTAAATGTGCAGGTATGATTCTAAGAGATTTAGTCAACAACTTCCTGAAATTCAGATGTACCTTATCTATAATTGTTCTCATTTATATAAATTCCTATGAGTTTAGTCATTTTAATCAACAAAAAGAAATGAGACCTGGCCTGGCATTTTTTTCTCACCCTCACCATGGATCCCCTTCCTCAGAACTCTTAGGTTCTTATTTTGCCAACAGAAAGGTCAGCATTGACCAAGAAGGGGGTCATTGTTTTAATTAACTTGATACTTGAACATAACAATAGCATTCTGCCTGTTTTGAGATAATTCTAGGTGAGTCATTAAGACACTTTTCTAGAATCTGGTAACCTGGAATACCAGAAATCAATTAAAATGAATGCAAAGGTCTCAGTGACGACAAAATAGACACCATCAAACCAGAAATAATATGAGATGAAAAATTTATTTACCCTGGACCACTGTTCAATTCCCATTCTCATCACCTCAAATGAGTGATGAGTTTAAAAGGAACACTCAAAGTCTTTAAAATTTACATATCAACTCTACCACTTAGTAACTGCAAAATTCTAGATAAATTATTGAATATCCCTCATCCGTAAAGTTGCATACCAGTATCTACCTTGTGGAGTTGAGATGAGAATTAGGTGACATTACATAAGAAAAGTCTTGATTATTGTATTGTATTATCTTGGAAGTTAAACAAAAAAATGTCACTTCCCTTCCCACCGATAAGAATGACAAAATAGAGATTTGAGCCCAGTTCTCAATGCATGCATTAGGATGACAGACCCACATGGAAATGTCACTGGAAGATCAATGGTTTTAATGCCATTAAAGTTGAAACACATTGCACATGCCCAGATTGTTTCCATAAAATATCTTCACAATAGGTTCCACAACAAAACTGGTACAGTCGTCTTATTTTTGTTTGTTTTTCCTCACCTTTAGAGAGTATTCCATCAAGTTCACTTCTGCACACCAGGATTCCAAGGATTTCCTCATCCAGCTGCTCTCCAATGACATCAGGGCAGCACCGTGCATGGGCACAATCGTGCCCCTAATCTGTTCAGAGGCTCTCCATAGTTGCAACCTTACTCTGTCCTCACCATAACTACATGACATATTTGCTCACTTATCATCTCCCCACCATCCACTCCATCAAAGATATGCTCATGCAAGTAGGGACTTTGCAGTGTTCTCTGCTGTACCACAAGGTATGTGGGTGGAATCAATAATGGAATGAGAAACTCTGTAAATAACACAGAACTCTTGTAATGTCTTCCCCATTTGAGAAATCAAAGCAGAGAGGATTCATGAATTGCCTAAAGCCTAGACTTGACTCACCTGGCTCCTGTTCTAGCGCTTTTCAAAGCTTTAGACTCTCCTCTACCTGAATAAGGTATTGGGTAGGGCACAATGTGTCAACACCTCCATGCAAGGCCACCAGCTGGAACAAACATAGCCTGCTATGTGGGTGCTGCCTTTAGGCTGGAGACCACATCAGGGCTGCTTTGGAGGCTTGTGCCACCCCTAGTGATCACCTTTACCAAGAATGTGCTGGAAGCTAGGGGTGGTTTCTCCTGCCATGGAGGGGAAAGCCAAAGGCTCAGGATGAAGCGTGGAGAGACTAAATTTCCAAAGGCATAATGGGTGTCTTCTCTACACCCCCTCCGCACCACTATGAAGTATTGCAACTGGCCCTGTCAGCTTGGTATTTGAAAAAAATGGGTCAGGCAATGGGACTGAATCAATCATAGCAATTTGAAATGTCACTTTGTTCTCCTATCGTGTTTTAATTTCTTCCATGTTACAACAGATCTTCTCTCCATGCCCAGACTCAATTGAATCCCTCTTTTTGTATTGTTGAAGAAGCTTGGAATAAGATTTCAGGTGCACTAGTATTTGGACAACTCCCAAAAGCCATCTTTCTGCTCCCCTCAACTCCCCAGCAGTCTCTGCCTCTCTTGCCCATCACCAGAAAAGGCTTTGGAGTTGTTACCAGTTTGCAAAACATCTGCTTTTACTATTTGGCATAGTGTGGTGTTGGGGTGACAAGGGATTTGATTGGCCTCCCAGGACTTATTATATTTGATACATTGTGTGTCAGACTGGGGACCCTTCCCCTCGGTTGTTCCTATGCTCTGTATAACCCTGTGGTTGGTTTGTTGTCAGCTTTCTTTTTCCAGGGCCCAATTCTAGGGCTAACTGTCCTTTTTCTGCCAGAGCCTCCTGGTCTCACACTCTTTGCCTCTTAATAAATATGAGAAGCTGCCAGCTTCTTTGTTCTTGGTCCTCTTCTGGGCTTGAGTGGAAGAAGTTGTCCATAAAAGAAACTTCTGATTTACAGACCTTCTCCCCACGCGCAATCGGGGCCAAAATTCCTCAGCACCGTGGCCACATGTGTGCTTGGCTGGCCAGATGTCCATCCAGACAGCAGGGGTGGTGGCTCTGGGATGCAGCAAAACCAGCCACTCTGTGGCCTGGAATGCCCTTCTGCTTTCCCGCCAGCCATCTGTGTCTAAGACGTCCAAATGTTCCTACCCAGCCCAATACTCAACTCATCCAGGAGGCCATGCTAGCCCTCACAATTTCCTCCATCAAATCTAATCACCATGCACATCACTCATCTGGCTCCTGCCTAACTGTCTCCTACATCTCTGGCTAATCTTTTCCATGGTACACAGAAAGGGCCAGCCAGGGCCTTGGAGTTAGTCACACCTGGGTCCAAACCCCCATTGTACCTTGTATCAATTTAATAGGACTGCCATAAAAAAGTGCCACAAACTGGGAGGCATAAACAATAGATATTTATTTTCTCATAGTTCTGGAGGCTAGATGTCCGAGATCAAGGTGTTGGCAAGGGTGGCTTCATCCTGGTCTCTCTCTCCTTGCCTTGTAGCTGGCTCCCTTCTCCATATGCCTTCATACGGTCAACCCTCTGTATGTGTGTGGGTCCAACCTCTTCTTTTTGTAAGAACACCAGTCATACTGGATTAGGACCTACCTTACAACCTCATTTTAACATAACGATCTCTATAAAGGCCCTGTACATTCTAAGGTACTGGGGATTCGGACTTCAACAGGTGAATTTTGCGGGAGGACAAATTCAGTCCATGATATACCTTTAGTTAGAGCAGGGGTTTATAACCTGAGGTTAACTTTACCTCATCTATAAAATAGAGTTAAAAATCATTCCTAGGATTATAAATATTAAACAAAATACTGTAGGTCAAGAATCTGACACTGAATAAAATTCTAGAAGCCTATTTTTTTTCCCACTGTCCCGATACCGCCTTGACTCCCCGACCCCACAGCAGGGGCTGTGCATCCTCATGTCAACCAACCAATAGATATTTGTTTCCTGATTTCAGTGAAGACAAATTGAGTAGCCTATTGATATCTGAGTGCCTCCCTCTGCTCCTAATGAAACATAAAAGATGAGGTAACACCGTGCAAGGAAGGCAGGGAGCAGAGTGACTATGGGAGCCAACGCTGGATGGAGTCAGCCTTCAGGCAAGTCGCTAAAGCTCCCTCTGCCTCCATTTCTCCTCCATGGAAGAAAGTTAAGAGTAATGCACAGCAGCAGAATTGTTGCATGGATTACATGAGAAAACTGTCATGTGGCTGGCAGAGTCCTCCATGAATATGGCTGTTACTACTGTTGCTGTCAGGATGTGTTCAGCATTGTCCACAAAGATGGGACAAATGTATTATCTCACATATTTGTGACTTTTTTCTAGCAAGAACATTTAAATCTACTCTCAAAGATTTTCAAAATACAACACATTGTCATTCATGTTAGTCGCCATGTTGTATAACAGACTTCTTGAAGTCATTCCTCATATCCAGCTGAAGTTGTTTCTTTAAATCTATCCCTACTTCACACTGGGACCTGCAAATGTGAGGCATGTTCATACTGATACTACTGATGTAGTAGCACCATTAAATGGGCCTTTTTATCATTAAATGGGCCAACCAAACAAGGGACTTGGATAATGCTTTTGCCCTACAGTCAGGGTGCTGAAGGCCAGCCGACCTTGGGTGAAATTGACTACTATCTACGCATCATCATATAAAGCCTCCTCTATGCTGCTTCTCTTATGTCCAAGCATAGCCTAATAGCCCTACCCTCAGCCTCTCCTTTGGATTGAAGTCACTAAGGCCTTTGTGAAGTTTCAGTAACTGGCCTGGAACAAAGGGGAGTCTTTCAGCTATTAACTTAGCTCTAGCTGAGAGCAGGACCTGAGCAATGGCATTCAGGATGAGTAAATTTCAGAGAGAGGAAAATTGGAGTGCACCTACAAGTTAGGGAGTCCCCAAACCCACCCTTACCTTTGACATCAACTTCAAGTTCTGAGGTTCCCAAGACTTTGATCATTCACTAGAAGGACCCACAGAATTAACTGAAAACTGTACACTTAAAATTACAGTTGATATGCTGAAAGAATACAAATTAGAGTCAGCCAAGGGAAGAACACATGGGACAGAGTCCAGGAGAGTTCCACATGGCTTCTCTCCCAGTGAAGCCATGAACAGCCAGGCTACTCCTGAGAACTGTGTAACAATACACACCAAATGCTACCAACTGGGGAAGTGCACCTGTGTCTTAGTGTCCAGAGTTTTTATTGGGGTTTGGTCGTGAAGATATGGTTGATTATGTGACCATCAGGTACTGACCTTTAGTCTCCAGCCTTTCTGGATGTCAAGTTGATACTACATAGCCCAAAGTCCCCACTTTGGCCAAGACTCTCTTGTGGAAAAATAATCACATCTGTTTTAGTGTCTGCATTTGTTATAGCATTTATATCACAGATATAGGAGTCGTGTCAGTATGAACACACCTAATATTTGGAGGCAGGCCTCAGTGTGAAGTAGGGATAGATTTAAAGAAACAACTTTAGCTAGGTAGAAGGAATGACTTCAAAAGGTCTGTTATACAATATGCTGACTATCATTAATGACAATGTATTGTATTTTGAAAATCTCTGAGCATGCATTTTTTTTTTTTTTAAGCAGAGTTTTCACTCTTGTTGCCCAGGCTGGAGTGCAATGGCGTGATTTCAGCTCATTGCAACTTCCGCCTCCCAGATTCAAGCAATTCTCCTGCCTCAGCCTCCCAAGTAGTTGGGATTACAGGCATGCACCACCACGCCTGGCTAATTTTTTGTATTTAGTAGAGATGGGGTTTTACCATGTTGGTCAGGCTGGTCTTGAACTCCTGACCTCAGGTGATCCACCTGCCTCAGCCTCCCAAATTGCTGGGATTATAGGCATGAGCCACCTCGCCTGGCCAAGAGTAGACAAAAACGTCATACTATGTGAGATAACACATATGTTAATTAATGCAATTGAGCCATTCCACAATGTATACATATTTCAAAACATCATGTTGTTCACAACAAATATATAAAATTTTTATTTTCAATTAAAATTAAATTTTAAAAAAGAAACAACTTATCTATCTAGAAAGTCATTACATACATTTTCATATTTTTGTCCTGATATGATGACTTGTTCTACTACCATCTATATCTCATGATACACTTGTGCAGAACTATTGTTTTGTTTTCGTTTTAGAGACAGGATCTCTGTTGCCCAGGCTGGAGTGCAGTGGTGTGATCACAGCTCACTGTAGCCTTGATCTCCCGAGCTCAAGCTCAAGTGATCCTCTCTCCTCAGCCTCCTAAGTAGCTGGAAGTACAGGTGCACACCACCATACCTGACTAATTTTATTTTTCAGCTTTTAGTTTTTGTAGAGACAGGATCTCATTATATTGCCCAGGCTGGTCTCTCAAACTCCTGGGTTCAAGTGATCCTCCCACATCAGCCTCCCAAAATGCTGAGATTACAGGTGTGAGCCACCGTACCTGGCCAGAACTATTTAACATAGCAATTAGATGACGATTAATGAAATCTAGTGTTTCCTCAGGCCAGTCATTTTCCATCAGTATTATATCCTGAGGAGGCTTTCACTTAGCTTCTTGATATATTTGATCATCAACAGCAGTACCGTCATTAGACTTATTCACATAAGGGGACGAATCTTACCCATGATGCCAGTGCTACACCGTATCGCAGTATGGTTGCAGATGTAACCTGAAAAGTAAGTCAAAAGATACAGGCATATTACTAAAATCTCACTCAGTCATTATCAATTTGGTCCAGGTCACAATCATATTATACGACCAAAATGTCTCCCAGAGCAATGCCACCCACTCAGGTTTGCAGGTTTCCATTCAACCTTGTCAGGTTCCCAAAAGCAGGAGTGGTCTTTGCAACACATGGCTTCATCCTTTCAGGCATTTGCATGAAGCTAAAAGTCAATATCATCTTTATCAAGGCACCATTGTAATATTGGAATTCCCTTGTTGCATAACCCATCTATTCATTCATTTACCCTCAGCTACGATTCTTCCTTCTATCCATTTATCATTGTTTTTCGTTTTGTTTGGTTTTGTTTTGTTTAAAAAAAAAATAGGATGGGGTCTCTCTGAGACTTGCCCAGGCTAGTCTCAAACTCCTGAGTTCAAGAGATCCTGCCACTTCAGCCTCTCAAAGTGCTGGGATTACAGGCATGAGCCACTGCACCCAGCCTATCATTGGTTTTTATCCAAACTTTTCTACCTTTGGAAGGGCTGTTAGTTTTAGCACTGTTCTGATACACACTGCTGATAGCAATACTGGTCTAGCAGGTGCTTCTCTCTCAGTTCACTTCTGTTTAATAGGGTGAGTTTACACACATACAGAACTAGTGGGCTATCTTGACCGCTAGGTAATAATATATCTGCATTCATCATCAAGACCAATTTTGCCACATGGGCTGAAGGCACAGTCTACCCCATCAGGCGCTTGGGAATTCTGACATAAAAGTTCAAAAGTACGGTTACAGTTTCCTGCTTAGGGATTATCCCTGCTCTTGCATCCAGTTGCAGCTCTGGTTCTGTGGTCACTGAATCAGGTAGAAAGAAGTGTTAAAGTCATGCAGGGAAAAGAAAGTTGCAGTGATGTGAAGAAGAATTGTATGGTCATATTAGCATTGTCCTCCAACCCCTCTTCCTGGATGGCACCCCAGAAATGGTCTCTGCCAATGAGAGAGCTGACACACAGTAAATACAGAATAACCACTCCTTTCTCGTTCCCCTGTTGCTGAGGTCTTAGCTGATGATAGCAAAGATGCACCATTTGCCAGGAGTGTGTTTGTGCTAATCAGATGTTGGCCTCAACATTTGTCTTTCTATAGTTATCCCATAAGGCAGGCAAAGGCCTTCACCCCCATGGGAAGGAGAATGTCCAAGGGCAGGAAGTGGGGGGTTCTCATTCACCAGGGCAAGAAGCAATTCCTTAGGGAGAAAATGGAGCCTGAGTAGGGAAGAGATTCAGCCTCCTTTGATGTGCATTTTGAGTGGTCTAACTAGAGAGTTCCTAGGAGGTGAGGCTTAAGGATAGTGCAGCAGACAGAATAGCAGCCTCCCAAAGAAGTCCATGTTCTAATTCCTGAAACCTGTGTATCTGTGACCTTTTATGGCAAAAGGAACTTTGAAGATGTGATTCAGTTAAGGATCTTGAGATGGGAAATCATCCTGATGAGCCCATTTAATCAAAAGAGCCCTTTTAAGGGAAAGAAAGAGGCAGGAAAGTCAGAGTCTGAGAAGAAGATGTAACAAAGGAAGCAGAGCTCAGGGACAGAGGTTTGAAGATGCTGCACTGCTGTCTGTGAGGGTGGAGGAAGGCGCCACAAGCCAAGGAGTGCTGGCAGCCTACAGTAGCCAGCAAAGGCAGGGAAACTGGTTCTCCCTTAGAGACTCCAGGAGGAACACAGCCCTGCTGATCCCTTGATTTTAGGACTTCTAACCCCCAAACTATAAGACAATAAACTTGTATTGTTTTAAACCACCACGTTTGTCAGTAATGTGCTACAGCAGGAACAAGAAACTCATACCAACAACATCAGCTGAGGAAGTCAGGAAGCAAGCTCCCCTGAATGACTATTTTCTGCTTTCTGTGGTCCCACAGGGTCTGTAAATAAAGAAAGCAAGACCAATTTTAGGACTGCTTAACCTGGAATCCATAGCCCATAGAAAAGATTTGAGGAATCCTCATAAGCCATGAAATTGTAAAATTTTACATGGCCAGTTTTGGTGAGAGATGGTCCAGGAATCCATGACTCCTGAAAGGTTAAGAACTACTCACCTTAACAAAGAGAAAAATCCAAGCCAAAAAAGAGCCCCACAGTCAATACGGAGAAGTGATGTCAGGAGCCAGATGAAAGAGAATATGGAATCTCTACACTCCAGGAGAAAGGTGAGGGGAAGATCTGGGTGGCTGTGAAAGCCTCAGGCTGGTGACCAGGCTGAGCATGATGGCAAAGGTGGCCTGTTCCTCTTTGGGGGTTGAGGATATGATCCTGGTTTAACGGAGATGCATAAACAAAAGTAAACAGAAATTCAGCTTCAGTCATCCTGAAAAAGGAGAATTTGCTTAATGCGCCCCACTATGCAGAATAATAGACACCCCAGCATTTGTAGGAAACATAGAGAAGTGGTTTATGGTCTTTCGTTCACCTTTCACTCTTTTCCTATCCCAAGTCAAGTCTCTGGGCTGGATCCAGGGAGGCAGAACATTTGTGCTGAGAAGTCATCCCAAGGAAGCCCTGTCAGCCATGGTTTCCCTAATCCCATTAAGACCATACCTTCAGGGATGTGGGCCAGCTCAGAGTCAGTGTAGAGCAAGTTACTGCTGTTAAAAACGGAGGCTCCCAAAAAGTTCCTGGCCATGAAAAGAAGGTCTTTTTCTTTGCCCATTAACTGCTAAATTATCATTTCATGACCTAAGAGTAAACAAACCAAAACCACATGTCCCTTTGTAATTCAAATGAATAGAGTATTCCAGATTAGAGAAAATCATACCTGAAGACAGAGCGATCTAAAATCCAGGGTGAAAAACTTCTAGTAATACCTGGTGGATCCCAGGATTCAGTGGAAAGGTCACTTTACCCGGTGTCTCTGTCTAGCACATAACCAGGCAATCTTGAAAAAGATGAAGATGGGTCACCCAGGGAAGTGACCACATTAGAATCTTCTAGTATAGCGATCTCAGGACTCCCAGGAGTGTGTGTGTTGAGGGCAGAGGGGAGAGGGGCAAGTGCCACTGGCATTGTTTAACCTATGCCACTTGAGCAGTTGTTAATGCATGACCCTGACTCTATGGTTGTGTTAAACACATTCACAAAATGTTACTCAGCATGATTCTAAAATAAAGAAAAGTGAAGTATGTGTGAGTGAAGGGAGTGGGGGAAAAATGACGTCAAATATGTGAGAGGGGAGTGCGTGTCTCGGCTGCAGGAGTAAAATGTGTTTTCTCCATTAAAAAAATAGTTTTTCCATAAAGTCACAAAAATGTTAGCTTGGAAATCTTGTCTGATGGACTCATTTAATGGGTTGGTGAGGACTCCTAAGTGCAAAGAGAAGAAGGGCTCTCTTAGGTCCATCAAGGGAAGGCGTTAATAGCCCAGCACTGGCTTTCTAACCCCAGGGCATTTGCACTGGCTGTTCTTGCTACCTTGACTGCTCTTCTGCAGCTATCCTCATACCCCATTCTCTTATTTTATTCAGGTCTCGGCTCACAGGTGCACCTATCAGAAAGACCCTCCCTGACCACCCCCTCTAACACACACACAAGGGCAGTGAACAGTGTCTCACAGGCAGTAGGCACTCAATTCATGTCTGCTGAAAGTTATTGACTGACCAGCTAATGATGCTTCACTGCAGCGCCTTTCCAGGATACATGACAGTTGGAAACTCTAGCATCTTAACTTGACATCACCATGTGACAATATCTGCAAGACATCAAGATGGGAAGACACTGGCCTATATTCAAGGCCTATGTATCTAGTTGGTGATACAAGCATTGCAGACAGGAAACCAAGTTAACACAGCCTTACCCACTACATAAGCAAGATTCTGTAGGGGTGATAGAAGACAATGCAATTATGGGATAGTTGGTACAGTTGGAAAATTCTGAAAGTTCAGAGAGAGAGAACAATGTGTGAGACAGGCAGGCTGGTTGATTCCCTGTTTTAAAATAATCTGGAGGAAAAGGATCAAAGTCCCTCACTCAAGCTCTAGCTTTTATCTAACTCTCAGCTAATCAGTAATGAGAGACCCAAGAAGCTGTTAAATGCAAGCTCCTATTTCAGGCAGCTAGAGACTTCCCTGGAACGCCACACACCAGTTAGACTTCAACTCTAACCTAAAGTTACCTCTTCCTCATTTTAACGCTAAAATTCGCACCCAGGGCTGGAGATTTACAATGCTAATGCTACACCCAATGTATGAAGCAGCATGTTGAGCCACTGCACAAGCGTTAGAAAACTTTCTTCTACACATGCCCTGATGTAATTTTTTTCCTATTAAGAGACCCCATAAAACGAACCCCCCCACAGAGTACCCTCGGGGAGCAGTCCACTCCTTTTTCCTCTCTCAATGCTAGCTCCCTTGTGCACAAGCTGGGATAAACTTAAACTGACCTTTGCTGCTATGTTTGGTGATATCTCTTGATTTCTAATCTGGGAGATTGCCAGAACCCCAGGCACCAGTAACATGTGGACCAGAAGAGTCCTTCCCATGTGAGCTAAGCTTTGACAGAAAAAAAAGAAAAAAACACACACTAGTCACATGGGACCTAACCCAGGGTAAGTTATGGGCCAGGCAGGCACCTGCTCAGGGCACCCATTTATAAAGAACTCTAAACAGTCACTGGAATAAGTTGGAAGTATGGTGCCAGCTAATTTGTAATTCTTTAAACATGGCAAAATTTCCATTGGTTTCCACTCTTTTCTGTGGCTAAAAAAGCCCTGTTTTTCATTTGAACATGTAACAGGAAAATAATTATTTATAGTCTCTCTCCACTTTCTATGACACTTAGAAAATTTTTTTTCTCATTCAGTCAGTTAATAAGTATTTATTAACTGTCTTTTCTACACTCCAGGACATTTTTCTAGATCCTGGAATTACACCTTGAACAAGAGAGCTAGAGCTTCACCTTGAGGGGTATGTTCTCACCGCCAGTGGTTCACAAGGAGCAGAGTCCACTGAAGGCTTTAGTGGGTATTTCTGTGAGCATCGTTCCCAAGAATCTACCCTTGGCCTTGGGGGACTTGAGAGTTTTGCATTTGGATCTATGCATATTACACTTTAGTTAAATGTTTATATAAAAAATAGATTATAAGGAAAAAAATGTTAATGCTCCTTAATTGTCCCCAAAAAGGGTTAGGGTGCAGACATCCCAGGGTGTGCTCAAGGTGACAACAGTCTATTTAAAAAGACATTTGCTAGAGGTTGGCATTAGGGGAAGCTGGGAAGGTTATATACGAGCTCTTTGTACTATGTTTGCAACTTTGCTATAAATCTAAAATCGTTTATTTTTTTAAAACATTTGCTAAAAAACGTATATGGAAAAATGCAATTGCAGATGAATTGCCTTGCCCAATTAAAATACATCCTCTTTAAGTACTTTATTAGCACTTATTCATTCAATTATTTAACATTTAAACAACAAATGTTCTGCTTATAAACATTCCATCTAAATAGAGCCACACCATCGGAA
This sequence comes from Homo sapiens, assembly GCF_000001405.40. Lineage (NCBI taxonomy): Eukaryota > Metazoa > Chordata > Mammalia > Primates > Hominidae > Homo > Homo sapiens. The sequence continues at coordinate 118,605,995 of NC_000002.12, forward strand.
TGTGGGAAGAAAATGTTAGAACTATTTGTGTTTATTTTTTTCCCAAACATATTCTTTTGTGTGTGTGTGTTTCATGATGTACATAACATCTTAGTATAGTAGTTCAAATATATCATTTATATACAAATAAATATACACATTAGAAGGATACACTCCCAAACTTTCTGGTAGAAGTACTTAATCAAAATAATCAGGAGACCACTGAAAATGTTATTAATGCATAGCATCCCAAATATTTGTCTGCTATCTTTCCACTTGTCCATAAGGGAAGGAATCCCGGTTTTTCATAGGACTACGCACGTAGTAAGTATTGGGTTGTATTTATGGAATGCCTGTACTCTGTATCCTCCTGGCTACCTTTGTGTTTTGAGAGCAAAGGAAGTGCAGTCAACCTGGGGATCAAGTACAGAAACTAACTCATCCCAGGTATTTAAAAAGCCCATCTCCTCTTTTATAATCACTTTCTATTGCCTTTTATTTTTCCTTTTTAAAATTTTAATTGCCATGGTTTGTATGTGTTTTCTGCTTTAAGCTGCCTCAAATCCTTTTTTGGAGGAGACAGAGCATAAATCATAAATAGTTATAGGAACATTCTATGAAAAAGCACTAGCTAAATGACTGGAAAGGATAAAGGCAATTGCAAGAGGATTGCTCAACCTATTTAGCAGAAGTGGTCCTTTTAAGCACTTTATAAGCAAGCAATTACATTTTAACAATTAATGTTCTAATTACTAACATTCTATTCACATAAAGCCAATTCCTTTTGGCAATGATTTGTAGCCTAATACATAACCATTTATGTTTGAACTGAATGCAACAGCAGGCTTTTGCAAAAACACTGACAGTGTGCACTACAGTATAAGACAGCATGTGCCTTTGCAAGACCCAAAACACTGCCCTGCTCAGGGTGGGTGCTGGACAAATATGCAAACGATAGACTCTGAGAAGGAAAGGGCTCTTTATAGATAATTTATTCAGAACGCCACATTTTGTAAGTCAGGAAACATAGACACATAGAGAGGAAGAATCCCACCTAAAATTATCCAATAAATGAATGACAAAATTTGATCTAAAACCTGGGTTTTCACCTCCTTGTGTAGTGCTCTTGTAACATCAAACTCTCTTTCAGTCATTGAATTGGATTTAATTTAATTTAACCCTTTTGGTAGTTCTCACTGTCTGTCAAGGTAATTAATTACCAAATTACTACAGCTTTAGAGGGATTATGATGATTTCACCTTTGCTCATTATTCTGGGGCAGGACGTCCTGTCCATGTGAAGGAAGTGCCCATTCTCTATTTTTGCCCAGTTTCTGACAGCTCCCTGACATTTGAAATGGGTAGAAGTTACAAAAATCTTACCCCCATCATGGGAAACTCTGTGGCCAAATGTTGTAAAGAACCAAACTGAGCATCATCCTGGAAGCCAACTTCTTCATCCAATTGTCTATGAAGAAATCAACAGCTACTGTTTTTCTGAGACCCATCATGCTATTGCTGCTCCTCCCTGCCCACCACCAAGACACACTCTATGATGAGAAAGCCCAGGTGACAACTGTTAATAATGCAACAATGGGCCTTTGCCTCATCAAGGGTGGCTCCAGGAAAAATAATTACAAGCAGGGATGCTCTCCAAAACCCACAGATGGCTCCACCAGTTCTTTCCCCAGAGTTAAAGACAGACCTGACAAACACTATCAGCCTCAAGGATATCAAAAGTGGAGAGAACAGGAGAAAAGGGAGGAAGATGAAGACATCGCTAGCTGGACCAAAAGAGACTTGGAGGCAGTGAGCGGCAGGAGGGGGGACTCTTGAGGGAAACAACATCACATCTGACATCATCCACACAGGGCAAGCCGAGAAACAGCTGAGCTAGCAAAACAAGCTCCCAGAAGGCTCTAGAGACAGTCCGGCCGCACAAAATAATCCTGCAATAATCGTTCTGCAGCACAGGCAATTCCAGCAAAGCAGAGGCAGGATCCCAGTCAAATAAAATATTACTTAAAACAAAGCAAAGCTGTATGGAGACATTTACTCTCATTCTTTGGCCTGGATGGGTCCTACCCTCATCCAAATGATCTCAGAATAATTAACAATAGTCGGCCAAGAGAGGGAGACCTGAGTTCTGAGCCTACCACTACGACTCATCTAAATGCCAGGCACTCATTCCAAGTCTTTAGACCAGTTATTGTTATTTATAAAAACAAAGAGTTGGGTCAAATCTATGGTTTTCAATTTTTAAGCATGAAATCTTTTTTTATAATAACCACATAACATTTTACATGGAAGGTCATGATTAAACAGATCACAGGAGAGCCTTGAAGTGGAAATGGAAGTGGGAAGTACAGAGCTTGGCTTAGAGGGCCACCCATCATCACCATGCCACTGAGGCCCCTCCTTAGACCCCAGTCCTTGGGGGATTTGAAGCTACTGGACTAGAAGCTCAGAAATGTTTTCCAGCTGTCTGGCTCTGTGACACCATGTTCCTGAGAACCTGTGGATATTGGATGATAGACCACTGTGAACTACGTGAGGTGGACTTTGAAGAATAAGCCAAGCTGGGACAACAAAGTGAGAGAGGAGGAAGCATCCTAGGCAAGCAGCAAAAACATCAGGAAGCAGCAGAAGTGGCTCTCCAGCTTGAGTAGAGCATTTGGGTAGCTACTATAGGCTTGACAGTGTAGAGTGAGTGTGGAGTCAGTGCTTCCCAGGAATGTTTGCAGTGAGATCCTACTTCCACTAAACCCTATCCCAGCCTATGAGAAATGCTTTCTTACGAAGTCACAGGGAACAGCTTGGCCAATAGCAAGATAGCTCCTCCCACCTCGGGTGTGCATGGAAGCCAAAGCTTGCCCACCTTCTCATCTGAGAGAGAAATGGGGCACCCATGAAAGTCTGGTGCTTTCACATAATTGCTGCCTTTATAGCAAGGTTACACAAATGGCTGTCCCCATTTAAAATCATACCAGCTTCCTGAAATAGGAGCTGTAGCTCCTTTTCTTGGAAAGCTTCCAGTTTGTCTAGAGAAAACAGACATATATTTCTGGCAAGAGAAAAACACAGAATGAACTAAATAATAAAGTCCCAAATATGTGATAGAGTTTGCAGGTGATGTGGATGTGTCCTTGGGAAATTGGCAGAACAATATGAATTGTGAGGAACAGGGGTACACCGACCTTCTGATTATCTTCATGGTAACATACAAGAAGAAATATGTTAGAAAACAGATTCTTGAAAAGAAGGCTGTAAATGCACAGGGGATGCCCCAGGAGCTCGTTGCTCTTGGTGGTACAACAGGATTACCCTTAATACTGATGAGTCATCTTGCATTTTGCAAGAACCTGGTGGTAGAATGTTTTCCAAGATAGCCACCAGCAATCCTGCCATCCCAGTATGCACCGTAGCACTCCTCCAATCCAGACACAGAGTTTATCTCTTCTCTCTTTGAATCTGTGCTGACCCTGCAACTTGGTTTAACCAGCAAAATGTGGTGAAGGTGACACACCCGGTTCTGGGTCTAGCCCTTAGAAGACCTGGAAGCTTCTGGCTCATCACTTAGAAGTCAACCACTTGGGCTAAACTATTGATTCATGAGAACCCACATGGAAAGAGATAGTCCTCTCTCTACATGGAGAACTAAGCTACTTCAGGTGACAGTCAACACCAGGTTTTCAGACATGTGGGTGAGATCATCTCAGATATTTCAGCCCCAGCAGAGCACCTAGGCGAGCTCCCCATTGAATGTAATTGTATGAGCAATCCTGGCCAACACCACATGGAATAGAAACATCACTCAACTGAGTCCAATCTACACATAGAATTGTGAGAAATGATAAAATATTGTTTTAAGTCATGAAGTGTTTGGGTGGCTTGTTACACAGTAATAGATAACTGTAGGTAACTGATACACTTGGACTCAATGATAAAAGACTGTATTTAAGAAAGAGAGGATACGGTCCCTACTCTCCAAGGCCAAGGTACTGAACTGGAAATCCATGGGCTTTCGGGGACTCTGAGGGTAGACTTCAGGGAGTCCACAACTGTCTCTGAAACTGCATGCAAAATCGTTAAGTTCCTGTGCATAAGTTCATTTTTCTAGGGAATGAAATCACAAAATTAATCAGATCCTCTCACCTCAGGAGTTCCGAAGCTAGTTGGGGCCTGCAAGGAGCAAAGAAGACAACATCTCCTCACGGTGACTCCAAATACTGTTTCATCTGATTTAACACATTCACACTTTTTTCAAGTGTAGAAGTTTTTCAAAGGAACCAAACCTTCCTTCCTAAAACAGATAAAAGTGAAGCTGCTCCAAGTGAAGTAAAGGCTTAGATCCCACCCAGTGCTATTTTACCATCATCTCCCATGGAGGCCCCCAAGACACTTCTGAGGTTAAAAGCCACTTGTAGTGGGAGTGATTTTTCTCAATCACTTTACCTTTTCCAGAATGCCATGTAAATGGAACCAGACGTTGCATAGCCTTTTGAGTGTGGCTTCTTTCACTTAGCACTATGCTGCTAAGATTCATCCATGTTGTTCCATCTATCAGTGGCTCCTTCCTTCCTATTACTGCATCATAATCCATCATTTGGACAAGAATTTCCTTATCCATTTACCTGTCAATGAACATTTGAGTTGTTTGCTCATAAGTTTTAAGTACTGAAAGGAGTTTCCGGGGACATTTGAGAACTTCCTTTCCTGAGCTTCAAAATTTGCTTGAGTTTTCTGTGAGGGTGACAAAGGTAGAGGAAGAACCCAGTAACCTGGATTTTGCCTAGGTCAGGCTAACTGCATCACTGAAATTGACAGCCTAGCTTCCTGCTGCTGATTCCCACCAGCATGTCATTTGATGGGTGTGGGAGTTCTACACAGCAAAGCAGGGGAACACGAGCCAGTCTGACCCCTCCCTCCCTGTGCCCACCCACTTTGGGGTAGGTTGGCATCGTTGCACACACGAGGACACAGATGAATTCCCAGACAGTTGTGTAACAGCATCAGTGTAACAGATAGGCGGGTGTCACAAACCCTGGGCGCCCTGAACCAAACCATACCGGCTTTATCGCATTTCAAAGCGTGTCAGGCCTCCCCTTCCCATCTGCTGTTCCATACAGGGCCCTGAAATCGATACATGCTCTGGGGATCCCAGGAGAGACCACATCCAAAACTGCCTCTGCAGGCTGTGGCTTAGTCCTGCTGCCTGAAACAGGCCTCCCAGCAGCCTGGACACTTGAGAAACAATTGCAGTTGGAGGGCATTCTTTCCCCCCGATGCCAATAGTTTTACAGGCATCTTTTCCTGCTTGGAAGCCCCCAGGAAGTGGACACAACATAGCCTGTGAATTCTGCCTGTGGGATTGTAAAATATGTGCAGTCACTTGTAATGGGACAAGGAAATATATCAGCCCCCAAACATCATTCTATGGGTTGGCACCAGAAAGGAGAATCTCCCAGTGGAGATGAGGCTGCACTTGGAAGTTCACCATTCTCTGGATTCCCTCCTTGCCTGTCCCTGCTGCCACCATTACAATGACCTTCTGCCATGCCAGTCTGGCCCCAGCTGAGCAAACAACATTCCTGATGCCTGGCCCACTAAGATCCCACCGAACAGCATGGAGCTGAAAGGTGTGTACTGCAATGCACGACTTCCTGCTTAGCTCTCCCAAAAGCCATCTTAGCCACAGCACCGAGGAAGATGTATAGACATCTCTTGACACTTGAAGTCTGTATCAAGAGTCAGAAGCTGAGCTTGTTCCCTCAACCTGCTAGGACCTGCAGGCTTCAGGGTTCAAGTTCTGGTCTCAAAATGCTCCTGTTACTTAAATGAGTTCCACAGGTGAGGCTGCATTAGCTGTGAGAAACCCAACCTCTGACTCGCAGGGGCATGGCTTGACTGTAGAATTCCTTGAAGAAAACCAGCCTGTCAATTGTGCAACATGCTCAGTTATGGCATGGGTGGGGTTGGGAGGCCAGCATGGCAGAGAGGTTAAGGACGGGGTCTCTGGAATCAGACTGCCTGTCCTACCACCTCTCCATTATGAGGCCATGGGCAAGTCACTCAACTTCCTTGAGCCTTAGTTTCCACATCTGTAAAATGAGGCAATAGTAATGCCTATCTCCACGGACTGCAATGGAGTAATAAATGTATCAATAAATTACATATCTTGGTGCTTGGCACATAAGTAATTAACCTCTAAAACATATTGTTCTTGATAGGTTCTTATGGTGCCCTCCTAGGGATAAGTTTCTGGTTGAAAATAATGCTTCCACGGATCAGGTTGCCTTAGCCATCCAGCACCCTCTTGCTTTCAGGCTGAATCTTGAGGCTCTGAGTCTAGACTCTGAATAGACGCTGTCAGAACAATGGGGGATCGCTGGCCCAAGGCACCAAGTGGAGCCACATGCAGCACAGGGGGAGAGGTGGCTAGCCAAGCTGGCCAGGCCATCACATTGGATTCTCAGTCCCAGGGCCTGAGCAAAGAGGGCATCTAAGTACAAAGCCAAGAAACTAAAACAGCCACCTCAGGGGAAAGTTGCAGCAGCAGGAAGAAAGAACTCATCACCAACCCCATCTCCACTGGTTAGGTGTACAGCCACCAACATCCCCCAGCCCTTCCCACATGCTCTTGCCTCTGCTGCAGTGCTCCCCGCGTGCTTACCTTGGCTTGCACCAATGCAGGTGTCTGTCTACACAGCATTGCTCCCGAGGAGCCCGCCTTGGTTTCCTCCATTATTCTTCTGTTGCCCCCAAAAATTCCACTGGTAGTGTTTTTCACACTTGAATTATTTACTTACTTGAACATCATTTTGTCTGCTGCCTTTTACTCTTAGATCTTAAGCTCCAGATATTCTTGGTTTATCACTGCACCCTCAGTATCTGGCAGAGCAGTCACTTCATTTGTTAAATAACTGAGAGAATAAATGAATGAATTCCAGAGTGCTATATTAGCATTAGCTTGCATCATATAAAATTGCTGTTATTCAACTATTTTTGACCTCCAAAAACAGCAATTTTATGTTCTGACCTAATATTTACCATTTGGGGGATTTACCTTCATTTCTCTAGAATAGATGTATAAATGCATAGGAAGCCGTTACAGGCTCACCCCACTGGCTGGGATGCCATACCCCACCTCCAGAAATGTCACTTGTAAAGTACATATAGCTATCCCTGACTCACATGTGATGAAACTGAGCAGAGTAGTTAAATGGCCTACCTCAAGTTAGTTTTGCTCATGGTTTACATTATATACATATCTGTTTACACATACTTGCCCTTTTAAAGCCCACATTCAGGAGCAAACGAAAAAAAATCTTGGCAAATTGGCCTAAGGTTGGAGAGAAATGTAAGGGAGAGGACAAAACAACCGAGGGGAACATATATTGTTGAATTTAAAACAACACAGTTAATAAAATGCTTTCACTGTTTTTGAACTTAATGGCAAGTGGGGTTTTATTGATTTAATTCTTTATACTCACCATTAACTCAATAAAATTGCTTTTTAAATGGACTCAAGTGCTTTTAGCTCACAATTTTTGAATTCAATAAAAGTCATTTTAAAATTCGCTTTATTGCTTTGCACATTCTGAATTAAGCACTTCTCCGAACTTGAACAACAGCTTTTGCAAATGGACAGGTTTGTAGAAATACGATTTCTCATATGCTCGTTGCCATCTGCTATAATTAAAATCTGAGCGTAAGTCAATGGGCACAATCACCAGTGATTAGTCAGAAAGTTGTGGCTGATAGCAAAGCCTGGTAAGAATAGAAGCTATGTGATTATTAAATTTCGACAGGTGTTCTTCTAACCTTCATTGTGATAGTAATTGCTGTAAGACGTGTAATCTTAGTCAGTGGTGTTGAAATTGTTAATTGACATCTGGAACCTCAGCAGATGTAAAGATTAGCTAGTTACTGTTAACATTAGCATTATCTTGGACTTTGTTCAGAGCACTGGGTTCCCTCACTCCCCACCCACAAATTCCCAAGCTAGCAGTAATAGTCTATAATCAGTTCTGACAAAAGCTGCCTATGTTTGCTTTAGGAATCTTCTTTAGGCACTCTGATACAGCAATTTGCCCTGAAAAGCATAGATTTGAGGTTACAATACAAGTTCTACAAGTGGCATTGTTACCACATAAAAACTTTATTAGCAACTTTGCAATCTTAAACTTTTTATAATACTAAAAATTCCTCAATATTGACATTCCTGTAAACAATGGTAAAGAAAAAAAAAATAATCATCACTCCTGTAGCCTGCTAAGTGCAAACATATTTTCCATGTGTTCTTCATCTTGCCATTCCCATTAATGCCTATAAGAGGCAATGGCTTTACTTCCATTATAGAAAAAAAAATTTGAAAAGGAGAACATTTCCTATTTTCTTGGGTTCTGGTGTAAATGCCAGCATACATTCATTTTGCGAAATCATTAATTATTAATGCATCTACCTGCTTTCCACACAGTGAGAAGTGAGTGTTGGAGTGACATTTTTCACTCCATTTTATACCAGGCACTCATTTTGCATGAGGCAAAATGGTTTTGTAATGATGATTGTGAGGTAGAGGATTAAGCTAATGACATTTGTTTAAACTCCAGCCACAGACACTCAACCCCCTCTAAACACAGCTTCAGTTGGTCCCAGGCTTCCAGCTCCCTTCATGCTGGGAAACTTCTGTTTCCCCAGGCAGAGGACCTAGAGGGAAATGCTGATGAGAACAGTAAGGCACACAGCTCCTTTTCTGCCCTTTCTCTAAAAGAAAAGAAAAAAGCAAATGAAAATGTGTAAGAGTCTATTGGTGAAAGCAACAGACCAAAAGTTACAAAAAGCAGAAGAGGAGGAGCAAAAATAGACATCAGGTCCATCTGTTCTCACGGCCAGGCAGGGGGAAGGGGAGATAATCGTAAAGGCATGCGTGAAAGTCAGTGTGTCAGGTCCATCGCAGAGCTGGCTCTGATGGGGTAGAGGAAGCGTTTGTAGGAGAAGAAAGGCAAAGCCATGAAATAGCACACAGACACCCCCCAAAATGGGACTGAGAGTGTCTGGCCGGTAATGTGGGAAGCAACTGACAGCTCAGACCGCAAACATCAGCAGCAACATCAAAACTTCTTTTAAAAGGCATCCAGTTGCTCAATCTGTGAAAATGGAAAGCAGCTAACTTTTTCCCAGACCACATTCTTATTACGGCTATCTACACCCAGACCCCAGCTCTGCACATACCAGCAGCTTTGCCCTGACAAGGAATGGACATCCAGAAATGGTCCACAGATAAAAAACTGTTTCTTACGCACTTGAAGATTAGAGTTTATGGGTTGAACTTGTGACTACAGACTGTTAAGTGTCCTTAACATCAGATCCTTAGAGCAGGCTTCATAATGCAAGAGAAAGAGCAAGCACAATCTCTCCGCCTTGCATGCTGGCCATCCCTGTGTAGGCAACTCACTTTCCAACACGTTCCCAAAAGCTCAATTGTTAAGAGCCTCAGCTAGAGACAGAATCCTGGCTCCATTACTTTCCACCGATAGGATACTGAGCAAGTTACTTAAACTTTTCTGTGCCTCCATTTCTTCATCTGTAAAGTGTGAATAGTAGCAGAAGCCTAGTTCATGGGTTGCTATAAGAGTTGAATGAGATCTTCATTTAAGATGCTTACAGTATCCTCTGGCACATAGCAAGCATTCAGTAAACGTGAGCTGACATCACTACACTTACAGCTGTTCCCATTGGCCAGGGCTGCTGAGAACCCAGCCTACTTCATACCTCCACTCTGATGAAAGGCCAAGAAAAAACTTTTCTAACTGCTTTTCATTCTAATGCTAGTTTTTGCCTTTTCACCCTCCTCCTTTACCTCTATCATTTTCCTGACTCATTTTCCCTTTGCTACGGTTGCCTGGCTTACTGTTAATAGCCATTCTCACCACCTCCACCACCATCACCTCCACAATCATTTACTGACCTACACATTTTGTATCCTTATGTTGTATGTTCATCTTGAAACAAGGTAGGGTATAAACATAGACTATAGAAAAGCATAAAGACGATACAAGCCATCTAAACTGGGCTATAAATCTCCGTGATTTTATCAAGAGTAAATTAGAAAATAATGCTATGTATTACTGGAAGTAAACACGCATGAAACTTCCTTTTTTCCATTTTTTGTTAATGATGTGTGCATACTCCCATGCAGGTTCTTTAAATTCTAGGAGCCTGCATTCCCCCTTCTGTAAATTGGGGATAACAATTCAGCAACAACATGCTTTTTGAAATTGTTTTTAAGGTAATGGACATGAAGGTATATTGGTAAAAATCTAGCCTATGGTACAAATGTCAGACTATACTCATTTAGGCAAACATCCTAAAGGGTCTCATTCTGAACCACATCTGCTGGAACGGGCCTTGCCCCATCCCATTTTTTCGCTAAGGTGAATTCTTAAGTGACCAATGGACAAAGTGGTTTCCATGGAAAGTGTGGAGCGGCAGGGACCCTCAGGGGATCAGCTGGCACACACACCTACTCCCTGCCACTGTTAAGACTGAGGCCTTAAGTGCCCTACTGCACTCCTACGTTGGCAACAGACCATGGGAAGAAACGTGTGTGACTGCTCAAATCCCTCCCTTCACAGGGGGCCAGGCTCCGCCCCAGCTGGGCACTACCTCCTTGGTTTGGGGGTGTAGAGCTGGAGCAGGGAGATCCCAGCTAAAATAACAGGAGATGCTGGGGCGGGAGGAATGGGTAGGCCACATTCCGGGATCCAGGGCCAAGAGATGAACAGCGTCAAAGGCAAGAAGCAAAGTCAACCTCAGAGACAAAAATTGGCAACTTGGAAGGGGAGAAATTGAGATCTGGTGAAATTTTTTGCCAAGTGGATGGGAGAAAGGGGTTGGGATGAGATGGGGCTGAAGGGAAAGCCTATAGCAGTTGCCCCAAACAGTAGTGAGGGTGTTAGCCCTGCCTTCCTGGATTAACAAGGGTCTGATAGATAGCTCCACCTAGTTATTGCAGGTTTCTTATTTACGTATTTAGACACATCTTCCTCCAGGGAGTCCTCAAGGAGGTTCAGTCTTGTATGGCAAACACCACCACAGAACATTCTAGAATTGATTTTTATCCTTTCACCTCAAAATCAGTCATATTCTACCTCTCTAATTCTAATAAATTCAGGGGAGGATCCATCTACACTAAAGGCTTGTCTAAGTCAAAGAAAACCTTTGAAGAAACACCATTTGGTAGTGAGTTCTTCAACACTGCTTGAAGTCACAGGCTAGAGGAATATTGGATGGGATGTGAAAGCAGCAATTTAGGCATTAGTTTGGAGTTGGGAAAGGGAAGGAAGGGGTTGTAATTATTGACTTTTACAATCTTTTCCTTGAGATTCTGAGATCCTGGATTCTTAGTGCAGATAAAAGCACTCAAATATTTATGCCTACAAATGTCTAGAAGAATAATGAGGCTTGTTTTGGATGGCCCACTGCTAAAAGTAAGGAAACAATTTTGGCTCTACCAGGGAAGTACTTTCTGTTGGAGCTATCCAAATAGTCAACTGCCTTGAGAGTAGTGTGCTTCCCTCCCTGGAGTATCCAAGACATGGTGGACATTTGTAGGAAATGTAGAGGCTTAAGGGGGAGTGGTCATACCTAAAGACCTTAGGTCCCATGATTCTGGAAAATGACATATAAATCATCATCGCACTGATTGAAGAACTTGAAAGTAACAGGCTCAGAACCCTTGTCAACTTGATTGTATAATTAATTTGTTTAGTAAATTCTCCTTTGCGTAAATAGAGCTCAGCCTTGGTCAAAACTACTTTCACATTAATGGCATTTTTAACTCATGAGGATTTTATTGCATCACCAAATAATCTTATTGCAATTCAATATGCAGCCAGCCCTCATCCCATAAAAAAATAAAAATAAAAAACAGAAGGGGAGCAAGCCCCTACTTTCTGCTACTAGGATGTAGATGTAAACAACAGACTGATTTAGCACCACTCAAAACCTAGTAACAATCAGGGAAATTTGTCTATTTAAAAAGGGGCTGAAATGAACTTAGTCATTACAGAAATGTTGATTGCATTGTCTGTGGTGTGGACATCACCCCCATCCTAACAAGGACCACACCACATTCACCTTCATCCTGGGAAGCAGATGAGATTAGCTGGCTAATTATTTTTTGGCATCTTCTGCCACTAATGCTGACTACAATAGGATCAATATTTACTCCATAGCAAACGCGTTATATTCGGAAACTAAGAAAAAATAACCAGAGCAAACATGCAACTCAATTCAAAGAGCTGTGGAATCCCCTACTTTGGGTTATTATCTTTCTCCGCAAGCAAAGGCAGAAATATTCTGCTCCTACCTGTGTCTTGGGCGCTCGGAGGCCCCGAGAACACAATCACACTGCAGCAGAGGCAGAGCTGCAGGCAGGTGTAAAGCCCACACAATTGTTGCGGATTAGTGACTCCTCAGCACCCGGGGACAATAGGGACAGAAAGCAGCCCTGCCGTAGAGTCTGAACTCCGGCCGTGTGCAGGGCTTCTCCAGATCTCCCCAGCACAGCCCTGGCTCTTGATATTATTTATCCCCCTGAGCTCCGCGTGCCAAGATAAAGGCAGCCAGAGACGGCACGTGCATTTCACAGTAGGCCAGGCTGGTGGTGAGGAGTTCCTGAGAAACAAACTGGGGAGCACAAGAAAATCCGGATGAGAAATGGCCCCTGTAGGTACCCATCCAGCCTGCCTCCTTTCTTACCTTTGCACAGAGAGCTTGCTGGGCTAGGAGCTCCTCTTCATCCCCACATTCTTTCTTTTTTCTTGCACCCAATGAGGACTACACACTCCTCCAGCTGGCTCTCTCCTACCCTCCTTGGAGATTCAATGAGCCTTCCCTGACCCCAGCCCCTGCCCCTCCTGCTGTGCCCCCATCTCACCTGGCCTTCTTCCAGTTACAGTTTAGACCCTGTGGGGCAGCATCGGACACTCGCCCGTGTCATTACCAGCTAGACAGGAGCTCCTCAAGGAGAATGATGGTGTCTTGTCATTTCTGCACCCCCAATGTCTGGCACATAGTAGGTGTTCATCAAATATGTGTTGAAAGGATGAATAGGGCACTTTTTAATTAACCAGTGATTAGCATTTTAGATGAAAGTGTTCATTTGAGAGGAAGGAACATCATTTATGCCTTCCTAGGACCCCCTTGGGGTGATTAACTTCCCAAAGAAAGGGTCTGGTGACATATCTGCCCTTGAGGTCCCTTCTGGAACACAGTGTGGTTTCTAAGAAATATCCCCACCACCACTACCCTGGAAAGGAGGCTACCAAGTTAACAACCCTGATGCATGGGTCCCCATTATGTGGTGGACACTGCTTCCCACCAAGCTAGGCTCTGGCACAGCCTCCTGGGTGCCTGCCTTCCTCTCTACGTGAAGAACTGGATGACTCAGACCATTTTAGCAGTGGTCTAGCCCCATGTACCCAAGTGTCCAGCAGGTTGGCAGTCCTCTGAAATGCCCTTCTCTTTAATAACCAAATAAAGGACCTAAGACCCCACTTAAAAGCATGGTTCTTGCACCTCTTCTTCCTTAAGAGTCCTTCTCATTTAACACCACTTTCCTGCAGGCTTGGGTGTTAAGAGGAGACCCAGCAGCTCTGTCTCTAAAGTTTCCCGTCCCATACATTTCCACAAGGAATCCTGCAGCCTGTCTCTCTCTTCTGAGCCTCTCATGCCTTCATGTTGTGGGGTCTGTTCCCAATTGCACGTCTTTTCTCCCCTTTTCTCTTGTCAGTTCCAGAATCACAAAATCTAGGCTCCTGATCTATAAGAGAAGCCCTAAAATCACTGCAAATTAGGAAAACAGTCTGCTCGAGCAGGCTACCCTATAAGTAGCATGCAGAATAATGTATTTCTTTATCACTGTAACTCTTGCTATTCTGGAAAAAGCTCAGGCACTAACCCTGCTGTCACCCAGCAGCCCCCCAATGGTCATTTTCCCAAACAAAATAGAAGTCTTCCCTTTGCCAAGAATGCCCTTCTGCAGCACACTCCTTTACCTCACCCTCACCTAGACTGCAGAAATGACTCCAGATTCTTTAAGCAGCAAATGCTACTTTTCTGTTTGTTGATACAGCTTTTATGTGGGTCTGTATCAAGGAAGCTGGGGGAGAAAAAAATCCACAACCTCCCTCTAGCAAAACTTTCATAGCACCATCTGCCACAATAGGGAGGAAAACTCCATAGGAGAGCTTGAAAAGGAGACACTGAGGATTCATCTCATCCATGCTCCTGCCCCTTGAACACACGCTGCTGTGCCATGCCGAGCAACAGACTTCTTCCCTATTCTGAACTCTCCCCGCAAGCCTACCTTGATTTAACCTCCTCACATCACCTCTTGCTAAAGAAACCTCCTCTTGTTTGAACTCCAACCCTATCCTTCCCACAGGAAGGATAACCAGTCAGCAACCTCCTTCTAGTTACTCTTTCTTGACTATAAGATTAAGGAACAGTTAGTCTTCTGGTTCAGGCTCCACCCTCAAGGAGCTCAGTCAGAGACAAGAGCAAAATCACTCCTGTCCTGGGAAACACCAATTCCAATAGAAGACACATAGGGCATCAAGGCCTGCGCATGTGAAAGGAGGCCTGATATAAATCTCGATTGCTGGCCTGGCGCGGTGGCTCACACCTCTTAATCCCAGCACTTTGGGAGGCCAAGGCGGGTGGATTGCCTGAGCTCAGGAGTTCAAGACCAGCCTGGGCAACATGGCAAAACCCCGTCTCTACAAAAAACACACAAAAATTAGCCAGGCGTGGTGGTGCAAGCCTGTAGTCCCAACTACTCGGGAGGCTGAGGCAGGATAATCGCTTGAACCTGGGAGGTGGAGTTTGAAGTGAGTTGAGATTGCACCAATGTACTCCAGCCTGGACGGCAGAGCAAGACTTCATCTCAAATAAAAAAATTAAAAATTAAAAAATTAAAAAAAAAAAAAAAACCAGAAATCTGATTGCCTTTTTCTGGCTGTGCCTTCATTAGCATGTTCAGCTCCCACAAGTCAGGCTTGGATAGCAATATCTACAGTGATGGCTAACACTTTCACAGCCTTACTATGCGTCAGACAGTTGTTTCCAACTAACTCCCCATTAGCATTAACTCCATTTTACTTATGGGGAAACTGAGACACTATAAAGTGATGATTTATATGTGGGTAGGTAGTTGTAGATACCCATCCAGTTTCCCCAACCAGATATCAATCCTAGAAAGAGGAGCCTTGTTAGCGGGGAGTGCCTGCTGCATCTACAGACTGGTAGCAAGGGACTCAACGAATCTACAGTCTGTGATGACCCATTGCTCTCAGTAAGTCTTTCTAGCCAGGTTCTCCCTCAAAGAGCAAAAGGCCTCTCTTATCCAGATCCACTCAGATATTGAAGATTTGGTACTATAAGCTCCATCAAATATCCTTGGTATTGGAGGCAAGTCCAAATGCAGAAGGAAATAAAAAATAAAAGAGCTTATCACTCCCTCAAATTGTAAGTTAACGGAAGAGGTAAGACAAATCCCCGTTGACTAACAGCTCTGAATTTGGCCCCAGAATACCTGAAAATGGTCAAATATACATAACAATGATTACACATTTATCAGGATACATTATAGTCATTTATTTGCCCATCTTTGCCTCAGTGGATTTTGAGTTTAAGGAGAGGCCCCAAGCCTTATACATCTTTAGACCCCTGATGCCTGGAGTAATCACTTAGTATTTTTTTTAATGAGCGAATAAACAAATTAATAAATAAAAGAATAAATGGGTAAATGCATGTGGATATACCTCCAAACATCCACATGTATGTCTTGTATGTAAATTATATACTAAGAAAATCTCAAAATTGAATTATATAAATGCTAATGAACGGTTTGACTTTAGTCTTATTATTTTCTAAATTTCTTTTTCCTACAGCAAGATGGCTTCTCAGAAGGGGCCCCAGGGCCGCCAGGTGATTGATTGCCTGCAGGACCAATTGGAGCTCCCACTTGCTCCAGAATTGATGGTCCCAGCCCCTCTGTGGTAGTGCAGTTTTTCATTATATGAAATGGAAAAGTGATTTAATAATTCTTTCTGTCTTATATTGCTTTAAAGAATTTCAGACAGTTAAAAATTGCATGGATTTTTTCACCATCTGTGTGAGAGTGGAGGGAAAAAATGCTGGTTTTGTTTTTCCTATTTTTAATATAAGCCAGATGAAACAAAAAGATTGTTTCCCTGCAAACTCTAGGTCAAGTATGTATAGAGACTCAGGGATGCTCTGTAAGTTATCATATTATCTTTCTGCCTTGACAGGATACCATTAGGTGGTGTATCATTTCAACATTTATTATCTTTCATGTCCTTTTATCTTCACACTAGGATTTCTTTTAAAATTCCGATCTGTGCGTTTGGTTTCATTATATAGCACTGTCTTTTACCAAACAAATTTTTGAATGGCTTTCGATATTCTTCAGTTCCACATTTGTCATCTCAGCCTGAAACAGTGCCCTAGTTATGTCTGTTTTAACTTGTTAAAAAGAAACCTATCCAGGGAATGAAGTGTTGGGAGATCACACCTTCAGAGGTAAGTGTTACGCGTCCTGGAGAAATGGAAATCATTCATTGAGGAAAGTCAACCATTACAGAAAATAAAACAAAAATGTTGAAACCAAATGTAACAACTGGTGTTTGTTTTTAGAATATCATCAATTATTTTAACATCTGGAAACATTCCATAGACTGTAGCAGTTTTCTCCTACAGCCCATGTGGGGATATCTCCTGATTCACAAATGGGTTGCCCTGTACAGTTGCAAAGTGGTCCATAGTTTTCCTTTGTGTTCAGAGTCAGCAGCATAAGGAGCTTCTAGTTGAATATAAAAAAAAAAAAAAAAAAAAAAAAGCTTTCGACTTACCCCACTTATTTGCAAATAGGGCAGTCTGACTGCGTGACTACCAGTGGCCTTCCAAAGCATCTTGACAGTGTCTCAGGAAGTTCTGAGGACTTTTTCAGAATCCACTTGGATGTCTTTATTTCTGCTATAGCTTTATTAAGCTAAAGGGATTTGCATCACAGGAAATTTGAAGTGTTTTGAAGAAATGCTTGCAAGTCTCTGTTGCAATGTTGTCAATTAGAGTTGCATGAAGCATAACAGATGGGCTGGACTGGGAAGTGTCATTTCAACAGAACCAGACACCAGCCAGGGCTGTGGAAGATCCTGGTGTCATCTTAAACACGAGTTCCACAAGACACTGTTCCTCCTGCATCACACTGACGAGAGAGCGTCTACAAACCTTCTTCACTTACCCAGATGAAAGGACAGATTTGGCCTGCTTCACTAAAGCAAGAAAATTCAGGTTATGCATTCATTCAGTAAAAGGTAGAGTTGCACAGTAATTTTTATGCATCAGAGTGGAATGAAAATTTTAGAAAAATGAAATTTAGAATAATGCCTTATTCAAGGAGTTGGGTGTGAATAAACATCCAAGGTGAGACAGAATCATGTAAGGAATGTCACCAAAACAAAGAAAAGGTGATTTGAAATGTTGGAGACTGCATTAGTTTCCCAGGGCTGCCATAACAGATTAACGCAAACTAGGTGGCTTAAAATAACAGCAATATTTTTTAATAGTTCTGGAGGCTAGAAATCTGACACCAAGGTGTCAGCAGAGCCATGCTCCCTCGGGAGGCTCTAGGACAGGGGTCCCTAGAGCCTGTCCATTGCTTGTTAGGAACCAGGCCGCACAGTAGGAGGTGAGCACAGGTGAGCAAGTGAAGCTTCATCTGTATTTACAGATGCTCCCGTAGCTCACATTATCACCTTAGCTCCGCCTCCCGTCAGAGCAGGGGTGGCATTAAATTCTCAAAGGAGCACAAACCCTATTGTGAACTGCGCAGGTGAGGGATCTAGGTTGTGCACTCCTTATGAGAATCTAATGTCCGATGATCTGAGATGGAGCTGAGGCAGTGATGCTAGTGCTGGGGAGGGGCTGCAGATGCAGATTAACATTAGCAAAGGTGTTTGACTGCACAGAGACCATAATAAATAAATTGCATGCAGACTTATATCAAAACTCTGTCAGTGAGTGGCAAATGACAATTAAGCTGCATCTGGTGGCAGGCTTTATGGCAAGTGAATTGATGTACTTCATTTATACAGCTGCATCTGGTGGCCTTAAAAATGTGTTTGAGACAACTTCAAATTTCCATACGCTCCGGATTAAAGTCAAGGTGGAATATCCTGAAATTGCCACAAAGCACTGAAAAGCCTGCTTCCATTTCAAACACCCTATCTTTGTGAAATAGGGTTTTCCACAGTGACAGCAATTAAAATGAGATTATGCAGTAGATTGGACATAAGACACTTCGGGTGTCACTCTCTCCCATCACCCCCAGATGGGACTGTCTAGTTGCAGGGAATCCACCCAAAGCCATCCACCACCCCCAACAACATCTGTAGAAAAACTGTCTTACAGGAAACCGGTCCCTGGTGCCAAAATGGTTGGGGACTGCTGCTCTAGGGAAGTATCTTCCATTGCTCCTTCCATCTTCTGCTGGTTGCCAGCAATCCTGAGTGTCCCTTGGCTTGTACCTGCAGTGCTCCAATCTCTGCCTTCTTCAACACATGGCCTTATTCCCTGAATGTGTCTGAGTCTCTGTATCTCTACATCTCTCTGTATAAGAACACCAATCACTGGATTCAAGGCCCACCCAATCCAGTATGACCTCATTGGCAAGGACCCTCTTTCCAAAGAAAATCACATTCTGAGACGTGAATTTTTGGTAGACACTAGTCAACCCAATACAGAGACCAGACATGATCCTGAAAAGCTTTGTGAGCTTTCTCAGTCCCAGTTGAACTTTCAACATACAACACACAACAACTTCTCTGACATGTTTCTTCTAAGTTCTTAAGTTTCATAGTACTCAAGGCAACAAAGATAGATTTCTAAATTCTGAACAACACACTCACATTGGATTTGGTGCTGTCTTTGAACCAAGGATAGAATGAGGTTTCCTACTTTGGCAATCTAATCTCTAAATGGCTTTGGCTAGTAACTGCAGCCAAGTTGATATCAGACCTTAACACAAGGTAGGAATGAGATGCAGAGACATTTATTAATGGCATGAGAATTCCACGTACTTCTTTGTATTGAACACTAATCAGTAGAAAGCATTTATGAAAACATCACATCTAATACACAGAAGGTGTTCAACAAAAGTAGAATGAAAGGCT
This sequence comes from Homo sapiens, assembly GCF_000001405.40. Taxonomy (NCBI): domain Eukaryota; kingdom Metazoa; phylum Chordata; class Mammalia; order Primates; family Hominidae; genus Homo; species Homo sapiens. The sequence continues at coordinate 118,625,235 of NC_000002.12, forward strand.
AAATAATGGTTTGGATTCTGTTTGGAGAATTTTAGATTATTATATTAGGTAAGTTCAAGTTAAATGATTAAATAGTAGTAACGTTAACAATGCAGGTTATTTCTCACTTTCTCTAACATAGAAATCCAGAGGTAAGCAGCCGGCTATGTTGCATGGGACCCTTAGGGACTGGGATCCTTTCAGCTCACCACCTGCTATCTCTTGCAGGATGAGCTCTCATCTTCATGGTCCAATATGGCAGCACCTGTTTTCCAACATAAAAAGGCAATGAAAGGGCACATTCCAGGTAACTATTAACTTTGGATTCACATGGGCCAGATATGCTAGGTCAGTTGGTCAATCCTTCCCCAGAACCAGTCAGTCACTTCTTTCTTTTCTTTTCTTTTCTTTTCTTCTTTTTCTGTTCTAGATGCTTGCATAAATGGACTCAGGCAGTATGGGCTCTTTTATGCCTGGTTTCTTTTGCACAACAAAACATTTTATCCATGTTGCTGTGTGCATCAGGGGTTTGTTCCCTTTTAATGGAGAGTAGTATTCCATTGTATGGATGTACCATAATTTGTATATCCATTATATTTGCTGATGGACATTTGGGGTGTTTCCAGTTAGGGGCTCTTATGACAAAGCAATAGTCAATAGTCTTGTATAAGTCTTAGCATAGACATGTGTTTTTATTTCTGTTGGGCAGATACTAGAAATGGAAATGCTGAATCATATAGCAAATATATATTCAATTTTATAAGAAACTGAAAAGCTGTTTTCTGAACTGACTGTACTATTTCATACTCCCACCCACAATGTATACCCATTTTTATTAGGTTGTTTGTTGTCTCCATATTGAGTTTTAAAAGTTCTTTATATTCTCTAGACACAAGTCCTTTGACATATATATGCATTGTTCATATTTTCCGCTAAGATTGTGAAGATTTTGCCTCATATTTTCTTCTGGAAGTTTTAAAGTTTTAACTTTTATAGTTAGGTCTGATTCATTTCAAGTTTATTTCAGTAAACGATATGATACTGGGGTTGAACTTTTTTTCCTTATGGTTGTCCAGTTCTTATAGGCCCATTTGTTTAAGACTATACTTTCTCTGTTGACTTGATATCTTTGTTGAAAATTAATTATTCAAATATATGTATGTCTATTTATAAGCTCTCCATTCTGTCCTATTGCACTATGTCTATCTTTATACAAGCACTACAGTGTCTTGTTTGTTACGCCTTTATAGTAAGCCCTTAAATCTGGCAGTGTTATTCCTCTAACTTTCTTCTTCTTTATCAAAGTTGTTTGGGCTCTTGTATTTCTCTTGCATTTCTGAATAAAATTTAAAATTAGCTTGCCAATTTTTAAAACAAAAAGTCTACTGGTGATTTTTTATAAAAACTGACAATGCAATTCTAAAATTATTATTGAAATGCAAAAACAACTTTGCCAAAACAACAAAGTTTTTATCAAAGTTGCCAAAAGAACTTTGATTAAGAAGAAAAAAACAAAGTTGGATGACTAACACTATTTGATTTCCAGACTTATTACCAAGCTACGGTAACCAAGAAAATGGGATGTAATGCATACCAAAACTGCATAAACAGAACAGAAAAGGGAGATTGGAAATAGACTCATACATATAGGAACAATTACAACAAAATTGCAAAGGCAATTGGATTAAATGGTGCTGGAACAACTGGATATCCACATGCAAAAAATAATAATAATAAATTACATTTCCAATTTGAACATACAGTTCACCAAAGAAGATATATAAATGGTAAATAAGCACATAAAAATGCTTAATATCTGTTATGGAGGAATGTTTGTATCCTCCTAAAATTCATATATTTAAGCCCTAATCCTCAACATGTTGGTATTTGGAGACTGAGCTGTTGGGAGGTAATTAGATTAGGTTATGAGAGTGGAACCCTCATAATCGGATTAGTGCCTTAATAATTAAAGCAAGAGAGCTCTCTTTTCCTCCTCCCTTCCCCCTGTCTCTTCTCCTCCCTCCCTCTCTCATCCACATGCACACACTGTAGAAAGCCCACGTGAGGACCAAATGAGAAGGCAGCCATCTATAAGCCAGGAAGAAAGCTCTCACCAGAGCCTGACTATGCGGGCACCCTGATCATGAACTTCCAACCTCCAGAACTGTGAGAAAATGAATGTCTGTTGTTTAAGCAACCCAGTCTATGATATCTTGTTATGGCAGCCCAAGCAAACAAAGACAGTATCACTAGTCATTAAGAAATGCAATTTAAAACCACAATGAGATACCACTACACCTTCATCAGAATGCTAAAATTATAGAGTGACCACACCAAGTGTTGATAAGGATGTGAAGGAACTGGAACTCTTAAATGCTGCTGGTGAAAATACAAAAGAAGAGCAAACAAATGAATAGTGACAGAAAGAAGACCAGTGGATACCTGTGTGGGAGGGTTGTGGAAAGAGATAGAAAGGAGGAATTAAAAGAAATATGAAGAAATTTTAAGAGTAATGCATATGTTCATTATCTAGATCAAGGCTGTCAAATGTTTTTCTTTAAAATACCAGATAGCAAACATTTTTGGCTTTGCGACTATACACTCTGTCACAACTACTCAACTCTATCACTGTAGAGCAAAAGCAGTCATAAACAATATATAAACAAATGGGCATAACTGTGTTTTAATACAACTTTATTTGCAAAACCATATGTAGCCTACAAGCTACAGTTTCTCTACCACTGATCTAAATTGTAATGATGGTTTCATAGGTGAAAAATGTACTAAACTTATCAAATTCTACATTTTAAATGCATAGTTTACTATATGTTAATTATACCTCAATAAACCTGGTATTTTATGTTATTTTTTTTTATTTTATTTTTGGAGACAGAGCCTTGTTCTGTCACTCAAGCTGGGGTGCAGTGGCCCCATCTCGGCTCACTGCAACCTCTGCCTCCCAGGTTCAAGTGATTCTTCTGCCTCAGCCTCCCAAGTAGCTGAGATTACAGGCATGCACCACCAATTCTGGCTAATTTTCGTATTTTAGTAGAGTCCAGGTTTCACCATCTTGACCAGGCTGGTCTCAAACTCCTGGCCTCAAGTGATCCACCTGCTTTAGCCTCCCTAAGTGTTGGGATTACAGGCATGAGCCACCGTGCCTATGCAAAGGTGGTATTATTCTTATTATTATTTTTTATTTTTTTTGAGACAGAGTCTCGCTCTGTCACCCAGGCTGGAGTGCAGTGGTGCCATCTCGGCTCACTGCAAGTTCCACCTCCTGGGTTCACGCCATTCTCCTGCCTCAGCCTCCCGAGTAGCTGGGACTACAGGTGCCTACCACCACACCCAGCTAATTTTTTGTATTTTTAGTAGAGAGGGGGTTTCACCATGTTATTCAGGATGGTCTCGATCTCCTGACCTCGTGATCCACCGGCCTCAGCCTCCCAAAGTGCTGGGATTACAGGGATTACACTGCGCCCAGCAAAGCTGGTACTTTTAAAAGGGAGTGAGAAAAGACAAAATTCCTGTATATTACATTGTTATATAACAATATAATAATATTGTTATCCATGGTGAATATAACATTATTATATTATTATTTACAACTAACCATCTCTCCTTTCTAGGAGAGACTATATCTCCATTTCATTTAAATGGGACTTGTCCAATGTCCCCCTGTAAGCAGAGTATACTTCCCAATCCATGTCTAAGCCAAAGCTTTCAACCCAGTGATGTCTTTTGGCTTAACTAGGCATGCTTTGTCTTCTGCCTTAAGAACAGGGTCCCAGATGAGGAGACACATTGGGCCAGTCCTCATTTGCACACAGCTTGACTCAGATTCTTAGTCTACCCATAACCCACATTAAAGTAAATGAGGAATGGACCTTGTAAACCACTGAGATATGGGGATTATTTACCACTGCACTAAAAGCACTAATACACTTCCCACCGAGTTGAAAATGGACTTCTTAATTCCTTCCTGAATGATGTTGTACACACATTAACTGTTTCCAATTTACTAAATACCTCCTCTATACCAGTCACTCTGCCAGGGACTATTGACACTGAATATATCCAGTCACCACTTATACGAAGCGTATAGTCTAATGAGGAAAACAGACCACAATGATGAAAGTGGATAGCAGTGTTGTGATAGTTGGAAACGCGGGGACTCCAGGAGCATGGAGGAAAAAGCACTGGACCAAATCAAGATGGTGAAGGCAATAAGGGGCAGACCCAAGAAGCTTCCCCATGGAATCTGACATCTGAGTTAATCCTGAAAAGTTGAATACAAGTTTGTCAGGCTAAAAAGGAGAAAGAAGTTGTCCTGGACAGAAGAAACCTCATAGGCAAAAGCTTGGAAGTAACAGTCTGGTTTACTCTATTCCCTATTTCCCTTTTAAGGACTTTCCACCACAAGGGCTCTTTAAAAATGATACCATTTCAGACAACACCTGCTTTCCATTCAGCACAACAAGTTGTTTACCCCAGAACACCCTCAATCAATATAATATAAGAAGTGAAATGTTGACATTGTGGTTTCAGGCAAAAACTCGCTCACCGATGTACTTGACACTGCAGTTTCTAGTTAAAGAATATCATCGGGGACAAATCTGAATTCATGTTTGAATAAAGCCAAAGCATTTTGCTTTACATACACCATGCAAGGGAGATAAAGAGGTAGCATCTTCTATAAGTTTTCAGTCTGTTAAGAGTGTGTTATTTCCACGTGCTTCAGTGCACTGGCATAATTAATTTTTATTTTGTTTAAAGGTGTTTTTCTGTGCTATTACTTTTTTAAAGTGCAGCCTGAGTATAACCACAGTTGCCCGAGAGTTATAAAGAGTTATAAAATATCTAGGGAAATGGCACAGAAAAAGAGAGAGCATTTTCTAAAGAATGACTCCCTGGCCTCCACCATCACCTACCGTCAAGCCATTTATTCTTTCTTTGGTGAGTGCAATAATTCTTTGCTTTATGAATAAAAAGCATGTATTTACTTTCAAGTTGTTCTTACTACTAAAATTTGTTTTCATTGTTTAGTTGATATATTTTTCTATTTGTGAAAATTGTCGGATGAAATGTCCCTTAATGTTTCCCACTATAATAATGGAAATATTTCCTTCATTCAATAGCTTTTCTCTTAGAGATAACATTTTGGGGAACAAATTAAAGATGCTAGGCCGGGCGCGGTGGCTCACATCTGTAATCCCAACACTTTGGGGGGCCGAGGCGGGCGGATCACCTGAGGTCAGGAGTTCAAGACCAGCTTGGCCAGCATGGTGAAACCCTGTTTCTACTAAAAAATACAAAAATTAGCCAGGCTTTGTGGTGGGCACCTGTAATCTCAGCTACTCAGGAGCCTGAGGCAGGGAGAATTGCTTGAACCTGGGAGGTGGAGGTTGCAGTGAACTGAGATCACGTGCACTCCAGCCTGGGTGAAAGAGTGAGACTCAATCTCAAAAAAAAAAAAAAAAAGGATGCTAAGCAAGGGATAGGTATATCGTACAGCCTAATTTAAATTAACGGACACACAAAACGACCTCTCTAAAGTAGAATTCCAATTTCTCCCAACTCTTTACAAGGATTCAGTATGTGGTCCCCAACACCTGGGAGCCTCTCAACCTGCCACAGAAGCTCTCTTCTGGGCTATCTTGCTCACATCATCTTGACCACTTAGCTCCACCTCTTACCCCTACCAGGTGGGGGACTGTGGATCTTCTTTCAGCCTGATTCTATCTCCAGGGAAGAAGGGAAGAAGGGAGCAGCAAAGCGGACAATTCCCAAAGAGCTCTGTTGCAGGAATGGAAGGGGAAACCTCTGAGGTTACTATTGTGTGTGTGTGTGTCTGTGTGTGTGTGTATTATATATATTATATTGCATGTAATACATAATGTGTATACATGTATATACACATATTGTATATACATACAACTATGTATATATTATATATAATAATGTATATAATACTCATACAAAATTGGTAAGTGTACTATTTTTCTATAGTATCTCTTGGTTTGCCTGCCACATCAGATCTCCCTCTAACCTGATCCCACATTTCCAGTTCTTCCATCTCTCCCTGTTTTCTCCTCACACATTGTCTCTGGTCCAATGAGACCATCCCAACCAGTCACCTCACCCCACTGCGATTCATACCTCTCAGCTTAGGGCCCCTCTGCCCCTTTCCTCATCCTTTCTGTTTGAAAATTCGGGGCTTCAAGACCCACAGGGTGCCTTTCTTTCTACAGCATTTTTGTAACATATAATGAATACACATATCATCCTGACATGATTTGTTTACCTTACAATGGTGCAAAACCATTATTTTTCATGTTCAGTATCATATTCAACAAATTACATGAGTTATTCAACAGTTTATTATAAAGTAGTCTTTGTGTTAGAAGATTTTGCCCAACTGTAGGCTAATGTATGTGTTCTGAGCATGTTTAAGGTAGAGTAGGCTAAGCTATGATGTTTGATAGGTTAGGTGTATTAAATCCATTTTTGACTTACCATGTTTTCAACTTACAATGGGATTATGGAGATGTAACCTCATTGTAAGTCAGGGGTCATCTGTAAATACAGCTCTCAATTGTTCTACAAGGGTTTCCTTTTGGCTCCCCAATCAGATTCGATGGAGGTCAAGGTTACCTGCATTCCATGGTGCCCAGCCAAGTGTTCAGTGCATAGTCAATGCTCTGTTGTGTTCAGAGAAGACAGTAGGAGCCCCACGCACAATCTTATATTGTCTGTAATGTTACCAATTAGCTAGGTAACTTGCTTAACTGCCTGGGACCCAGTTTACCCCACTGGACAGTGCAAGATGAAAAAACAAAAATAGAAAGGGTGATTTTTGATGTCTCCTCCATCTCTGAATGGCCTGATGCTAGTAAACAACTTCCTGCTAAACTGAACTGGCAGGAGGCATTGCCTAAAACTAATTTTTTTTTTTTTTTTAGATCATTCTTATCGGGCAACTCCTGCAAACCAGAATAGGTTGGGAGATTCCTAAAAGTAATTTTTAATTATAAAATTCTCTCTTTTTCCTCCTTTCCAGAATTGTCTCGAAATAATTCAACCTAAAAACTAGCCCTCGAAAGCCCGTGAGACTCTATGACTCCCTACGCTTATGGCTGAGCCCCAGTGCTGCACCATCGCCATCACCGCGTGTGCACACACATGGACTGGTGCCTAGAACACAACTATTGTTAGGTAAATGCTCAGGAACTGGCTTTTACATATATGTACTTGGCAAGGTCATAGGAGGAAAGAGATGGAGCAAAGGATTAAGACCAAAAAAAAAAGGAAAGTATTATGCCACTGAGTAAGTGTTCCGGAGGTGCAGAAATCAGAATATTTGATAGTCTGGAGAGGAACGTCGCTAGGGGCAATGACCTGAAATCAAGCGAAGGAAATGTGGAGCCGAGCAGGAAATTTCCCAGTTGGTCTGTCACACTAGGCTTGACAGCCCCGAGGAGCCAGCGGAAGTGCATGTCATTAAAAAGCTCTCGCAGTTACACGCTGCTAATGGGAATAATCCCATTTTGCTGGGATTAGAGAATGTCTGTTAGAGCTGACAGTTCTTCCCCTTCATTTTTCAGGTGAGAACACTGGGACCCAGAAAGGGAAAGCACCTTTGCAGGATCACAACATCAAACTTGAACCTGATTCAGTGCACTAACTCCACCTCCCCACCTCCCATTCCCTAGCCAGCCCCTGGACTCCCCCAGGGATTTCCCTATAATGACCTCCAGGCAACCGTGGACAACTTGCCGCCTACATCTTACTTGCTGTGAGCGTCTGGCACCTTTCACCACTCTTCCTCTGGAAACACCCCTTCTTGCCACCACGCCCCGCCCCCGCCCCCGCCCCGCCCCGCCCCGCCCCGCCCCTGCCCAATGAGGTCCCCACTCTGGTTGTCTTTCTGCTTCTCCAGCAGGTGCTTCTCAGTTGCTTTCAGCAGAGGTCTCTCAAGGCTTGTCCTAGCCCTTCTCTTCTCCCCACTCACACCCACCCTGTGTGATTGCAGCCTCTACCATAGGGTTGGCATTCCCAGAATGATAGACCTATCCCAGGTCTCTCATCTCATCCCAAACTCAAGACTCCAGCTTCTCGGTGGGTCTCTCAAAATCAACACAGCCGCACCTGAACACCCATGCTGCTCTGCTCCATTCTTTCCCACCCCGGAAAAGAGGCCACAATCCACCTGGTGCCTAAGCCAGAACTCTGCACATCATCCTTGACCCCAGCATCTCCTTGTCCATTCCGCCTCCTCTCTCTCTCTCGCTCTCTCTCTCTCTCTCTCTTTCATCAGCCCACTTCTTTCCACCATCATGGGCCACACCCTGGCCAGCTCCTAGTCCCTGCCCGGCCCACTGCCACAGCCTGCTTCCAGCTTCCAGCCCGGCCTGTATCCCCAGTGCCGCAAGTCATCCTTTGTGACAGAGAGATCTTTTGAAAGTGAAAAGCAGAGTCTGCTATTCTCATCCAAGATTCTTCATTTTATCCCACTCCCCTTAGCATAAAGGCCAAAGGCCCTGCACTATCTGGCCTCTGGGGACCTTTTCAGCCTCATGATGTAACACTCCCAATCTCCCTCCAGTCCCTCCCATCCTGTCCCCACTCCCTCCCACACACACACTTACTTGGTTCCAGGCAGTTCAGGTTTTTGAATTTAACCGAGATTTTTTCTGCCTCCGGGTGTTTGCACAAGTCCCTCCTTCTCTTACCCTACACCTCCTCCCTACTCCAGACTACTGTTCATCGCTCAGATTTAAGCTTAGAAACCTCCTCCTCCAGGCAGCCTCCGCTGGCCCCCAAAAGAGGTTGGATCTGGTTATATTCTCCTTTTTCTTTATCATCCTTTTCCAAGGACCTAAAATTATCTGTGTGACGGTGCCTTACTCCTCTAAACCATGAGCTCCAGGAGGGTCGGAGATGTGCCAGCCTAGTTTGTCACTGTTCCTGGGAGCCAAGCACAGAGCAAGGCAGGCAGCAGATACTCAACAAATATTCTGACAAAATGAGGGAGGTGATCACTGCATGCAGATCTAGCAGTGGGGGCTCTTCCCACCCTTCTCTTTTGTCTCCGTTTAAGAGGGAGGCTTGAGTGGGTAATGAAAAGCACCACAATGGAACCTGGAGAAGCTACTTGACTCACACACTAAGCAAACGCTGGGTCCAAGTCTGGGGACATGTCAAGGTGAGCAGATGGCTGGGAGACTGGGCTCTACAAAGGCAGATGTTCAGTGAGCAGCAGCACCGGGCAGACCCAACGACTTCACGGGTGATTCCTATGCAACCGGAGAGGCATTTCTTAGCTAGAAAAGCTTACTGTTCTCAAGGGAGCATCAGACTGAGACCCATAGAAATAAGAAACTTGGAAATAAGAAACCTCATTTTCAACACCTCAGATCTGCTAACCCTGGCATACTGCTGCCGTGTGTCCTTGGTGAGCTATTCAACCTCTCTGAGCTTGTCTCCTCACTCATAAAATAGAGACAATGCTGTTCAGTCTGCATCAGAGGGCTGTCATGAGAATAAAATAAGCTGTGTGTCTGTGCGTGTGTGGGAAGCAGTTTTGTAAACTATAATCCACAGTTCAAAGATGATGGGGACTGCAGCAGCTGGGCCCAAACTCTTGCAAAAAGAAGGAGCATGCAGACAGAAGAACTCACTTGGGTCTCAGCCTAAGTGAATGTGGCAGGGGTTTACTTGTCTGCCCAGAAAACTCAAGTGTTCCTGGCACTACAAATTACCTGGGCTCTGGACAAATGCAACAGCAGGGTTTCAGATTTTATGAGGACTCTAGGGCTTCAAGAGCTCTCTGGGGGTAGGGATGACATCCTTCACAGAGCAGGCAGGACTGTGCTCACTTCTCTCTGAAAACAGCAGGACACACATGTGAGTTGGGCCGTGCGACTTGTTTAAAGCTACCGCCTCTCATTACAGCCTGCTGTAACAGTCTCCTTTCTTCCTCCAAGTCCCTTGAACCCCAGGTCTGTCTACTTGACAACAACACAAAATCTTCCTGGCTCTTTTTCTATCCCTAGTCTAACCTAACCAGGACAATCAGAAATATCCTGAATTTGCATAGGTTTGCTGTTCCCAGGAAATTCAAGGAACCACCTTTACTTCAGCATTCAAATAACAATGGCTCCATACCTTCATTCTGTCTACAATGGAAAATTCAGCGTTTCCTACTCCCAGTATTCCCCAGAATCTGGGGGAACTTCTTCGTCATTGTTGTTAGCATCTTGCTTTTCCATACTCCTCTTCCCTGCTTCCCTCAAATTGTCTCCACATCCGTGTCTCGCCTCCTGCATCTAGTCTCTCCATTGCGTTCTGATCTAGACCCAGCCTGGAGCATGGCCTCTTTTCCTTTGATTTCCCAAAGCAACCAAAATGAAAGTTTATATGTATGGCTGAGTTGTACTATAGGTTTAGGCATCAGGAAGCAGAAGAAATTTATGGCCCATCTTAGCCCAGCAAACACCCAAAAACTGAATGAGCACCCAACTTCTTAGAAGTCCCTGAGCCATTACCACTGCTGGATTTTCCTCACCTCAGGCCACCAGGTACCTTTGCCACATTGCTTAGGCCCCCTGCATGAGGCACTGCGGTGTTGGGTTAAGAGAACAGCTGCTAGAGTTACAATGCCTGTGAGCAAATTCTTACTTAGACCAGTGACCATGAACAAAATACTTAACCTATCCATCACCCTATTTTCCCATCTACAAAATGAGCATAATATTAGCACAGACTTCGTGGGGTTGTTGTGATAATTAAGTGAGTTAAAATAGCCAAAGCACTTACAACAATGCGGGGAATGCCAGCCATGACTATCGTCTATTCTCTATCCACATTCTGCCTCTCAGCTGCCTCCATAAATTACAGATGTTCCCGACTTCCTATGCAGAGTGCTTCAGCCCTTTGTTTCTCCTGAATTCACACGATCATGTTCAGGGGAGTCTCATCTTTCATGTTCAAAATAACCCTCAACACAGCACGACCCATCCTAGAAAGGAATCCTACCCTTGCTACTCAAAGTCCCATCCTTGAGCCAGTAGCTTCTGTTTCCTCTGGGAGCTGGCTAGAAAGACCTAATCAGACTCTGCTGTTTAACAGATCCTCAGGTGATTCAAATGCACATAACTGCCATGTGAGAAGCAGTGGACAAGACTGCTTTCCTAGAAGGGAAATGCAGCTGCAGCAAGCTGTGGGCGTAAATAGCATTATTTGTCTCTGTGCCAGCCTCACTGAGCAACTGCTTGGTGGAATGGTGATTTTTTTGTATTATTATTATTTTTTATTTTAATTTAAGTTCCGAGATACATGTGCAGAACATACAGGTTTGTTACGTAGGTATACGTGTGCCATGGTGGTTTGCTGCACCTATTGACCCCTCCTCTAACTTCCCTCCCCTCACCCCCCACCCCTCAACAGGCACTAGTGTGTGTAGTTCTCCTCCCTGTGTCCATATGTTCTCATTGTTCAACTCCCACTTATCAGTCAGAACATGTGGTGTTTGGTTTTCTGTTCCTGTGTTAGTTTGCTGAGGATGATGGCTTCCAGCTTCATCCATGTCCCTGCAAAGGACATGATCTCATTATTTATTATGGCTGCATAGTATTCCATGGTGTATATGTACCACATTTTCTTTATCCAGTCTATCATTGATGGACATTTGGGTTGGCTCCATGACTTTACCATTGTAAATAGTGCTGCAATAAACATATGTGTGTATGTGTCTTTATAGTAGAATGACTTACATTCCTTTGGGCATATACCCAGTAATAGGATTGCTGGGTCAAATGGTATTTCTCATTCTAGATCCTTGAGGAATCGCCATATTGTCTTCCACAATAGTGGAACTAATTTACTTTCCCACCAACAGTGTAAAAGCGTTCCTATTTCTCCACAGCCTTGCCAGAATCTGTTGTTTCTTGACTTTTTAATAATTGCCATTCTGACTGGTGTGAGATGGTACCTCATAGTGGTTTTGATTTGCATTTCTCTAATCAGTGATGTTGAGACTTTTTTCATATGTTTGTTGGCTGCATTCACATGGAGTCAAAGAAGACCCCATTAGCCATGACAATCCTAAGCAAAAGGAACAAAGCTGGAGGCATCACGCTACCTGACTTCAAACTATACTACAAGGCTACAGTAACCAAAACAGCATGGTACTTGTACTAAAACAGACATCTAGACCAATGGAACAGAACAGAGACCTCAGAAAAAACACCACACATCTACAACCATCTAATCTTTGACAAACCTGACAAAAACAAGCAATGGGGAAAGGATCTCCTATTCAATAAATGGTGCTGGAAAAACTGGCTAGCCATATGCAGAAAACTGAAACTGGACCCCTTCCTTACACCTTATACAAAAATTAACTCAGGATGGATTAAAGACTTAAACGTAAAACCCAAACCATAAAAACCCTAGAACAAAACCTAGGCAATACCATTCAGGACATAGGCATGGGGAAAGACTTTATGACGAAAACTCCAAAAGCAATTGCAACAAAAGCCAAAATTGACAAATGGGACCTAATTAGGGGCTAAAGAGCTTCTGTGCAGCAAAATAACCTATCATCAGACTGAACTGGCAACTTACAGAATGGGAGAAAATTTTTGTAATCTACCCATCTGACAAAGGTCTCATATCCAGAATTTACAAGGAACTTAAACAAATTTACAAGAAAAAGAACAAGCAATCCCATCAAAAAGTGGGCAAAGGGTATAAACAGACACTTCTCAAAAGATAGTGTTTTCATACTTCTCAGAGCTCAGCAACAGAGGCCAGTTAGTTCTTTGCCCATTTATTCACTAAACAGGAAGCAGCTGCTTGAGGATGAATACAAAAAATCTAGAAGACCAGGATGGTTTCCTTGAAGATTTGGACTTTGTGTCAAGAAGCAGGGTACCTAGACAGAGGCATTGGCCTTAAGGAACAATATAAAGTGGAATGAAATCAATTGGCTTAAAAGAGCACTATAAAAGGTCAGTGATCTTAGATGAACCTCAATGTACCTTCCAGCTGCCAACCTGTGCTTTGATGATGTTAAGCTTAAGTTTTTAAAGCATGATCTAAGGACTTTATGAACCACTTAAGAAGCTTGCTAAAAATGCAGATTCTGAGACTGGAGAAGAGGGTCTGGAGGCAGGGAACCTAAGGCTGTTTCATACCAACTTCCTGTAACTAAGTTGAAAGAAAACCCTAACATTCCACACCTAAGTAACAAAAGGACCAGAGGCTACTCCTTTTGCAAACCCTCCACCTTTTCTGCATGGCAGATGGGAAATTGACTGTCTGCAACGAATCAGACTGATTGCAGGCCAACTCTTCGTTGGCAACTTTGTAACTTCACCTTAGCCTCTGATTGGCTGCTTTTTGCAACCAATCAGATGTCTGCACAGGAATGTGACCTTTGTAACTCCACCTCAGCCTCTGATTGGTTGCTTTCAACCACCAATCAGACCAGTTGCAGGCTCCCACTTCATTTACATGAGGTGAGCGTGAGGTGGCCATAGGGGAACCTATTGGGGGTATTTGGACCCAAGAAGATTCGGTATCTGGGCCCTTAAGCCACTGCTGGGGCCCGCTCCCACACTGTGGAGGGTATTTTTGTTTTCAATAAATCCTTGCTTTTGGTTTTTCGTTGCTTCATTGTTTCTTTGCTTTGCAGGGTGTTTTGTCCAGTTCTTCGTTCAAAACGCCAAGAACCTGGACTACTTTCAGTCAAGACCCTCTTGACTAGTAACAATTCCTAGCCTAACTGACCTGCTGAGTCAGAACCTGGCATGGAGCTCAAGACTCTACATTTTAACCCCCATTCCCCTCCATCCATATTCACTCACCCAATCCAGTGTATTTGATGCAACCTAGAGTTTGAGACCAACAGGTCCAGTATGCCAAGGTTAAAAAAGAGTAATGGGTTCAGAGCCAGATGCCTGAATTGTAATCTCAACTTCGCCATTCGCTGGCTGTATTAGCTGGGGCAAATTGCTTAACCTCTTTGTGTTTACATTTTCTCATCTATGAGATAAGATGTTAGGAGTCTTAGATTAGCTAAGACATCTAGAAATCAGAACAGTGCTTGTTTAAAGTAAATGCTGGATAAATATTGACGATTTTGTTACAATCAGAAGAGATGACATCCCTAAGAGCTGAACACTCTTTGTGCCACAGAGTCCTGCATGCCTGGTTTTAGGAGCCAGGAGACAGCCTAGAGCCTCCTGGCCCACAAATCTGCGGATGCTAAGCCCCACAAAAACCTGTGGAACTCATATTTTCTTTGCTCCCATGTGAACATCTCTGGTAATGAAAAATCCCCAGCCCCACTATTTGGCTGGGAAATGCTTACCCAGTTAAGAGCGTAAGGCAGTGGTTCTCAACCTTGGCTATGTACTAGAATGACCTGTGGGGTAAGTGGGGAAGGAGAAGGCTAAAAATACTGATGCCTTAAAAATACTGAGGCCCCAGCCCCAGCCCCAGAGATTCTGCTGTTCTGGATATTCTGGGATTTGACCTGGGCATTTGGAATTTAGAATGCTTTCCAGGTGAATCCAACATGCAGCCAAGGTTGAAATGACTGACATAGAGTGAAGTTACAATTCAGTGGTAGGAGGTAGAGTTTCCCAGGGTGGGGAAGGGATGTATGATTAGTCTTCCAGGATACAGATGGACCCTCAGCTAGGACATCTCAGCAACTTGGAGGCTGGTCTTAAACCTCTGAGGTGGAAACTGTCATCTCTTTCTGGGCTTTATGGTCTTGGATCTGCCTGTAGAGGTCTGGACAAGTTTGAGGTGTCAAGTTCAAAGGTAGCATCTGCCACAGGAAATCAGGCTGACAGCCAGGCATGGTAACAGTGGCATGGAGACCCCAAAAGGAAGGTAGTTAAGTCAACTATCTATTACGTGTGTATCTATTTCCTCTTGAGAAAACTTATTTGAATATATAAACCTTAGGAAAATAAACAGGCTGTGTCCTACTTGAGATTGAACATGAAAGGCTAGTTTAGGGTTTGCAAGAGGATCTTCATTTCAACCTCTTAGAAGGGAAAATGAGTCCCAAGAATAATAAGTCAGAGAGGTGAGGGTCAGCCCCCCCACATATATTCTCCTTCCATTGATAACCTCAGACAATTGACAGGGGTGGTGGGCGAGGCTTCAAAAGGAATAGTAGTTTTTCTAATAGCATCTTGAAGTACACAGTCTATTTGGGGGTCCTATGGTATAGTCTGAGGCCTCGTTCTAGGAAAGCTGGGCCAGTGCATTTCAGGGTCAACTGCTGGAAGAACAACTGGTCAAGGCCTAATTTGTGGGTAGAGACTGAGGCCCGGGATATGGACAGCGGTGGTTGGGTTGGGCAAATTATTGGGGCATAGTGGAAGAGGCTGATGACCTTTCAGGGTGAATATCTTCGTCCAGCTCATCCTGATCCTTCCCCTGAGCTTGGTGATGGTACAGAGTCAGGAGCCCTTGGGAGTCTGAAACCAACACCTCTGCCAAGTCCAGAAGTAGATCCAGACATGAAAACTGCCAAGGAATAACATCTCCAAATGTCCAGAAATAAGCCAAAATTAGCTGTGGGTAGAAAGTGTAGATTGCCTGCCCAGCGTCAATTCTCCTTGTTCTTCCTGAAAGAATCCATACCCTTCCCATCGCATGTGAGATGGGAACTGAAGAGAAGCTGACTCCATCCCAGCCCCAGTGGGTGTGTATCCTGATTAGTGAGGATCTCATCTCTCTTGCCAGTTATAGGATTAGATAGGCTAAAGCCAATCTGCTCATGAAATTAATTTGGCTGAATTAAGAAAGGTGCACATGCAATCTAAGGTGTTCTAATATGATTGAAGGGAAGTATTTAAGGTCCGTGATAATAGAAAAGTTTGTCTTTTTTCTTCTGTTAGACACAAGCAAGGATCTATGTTGCTGCTGAGAGCTGTCTTATTATCATCAGAAAAGCTAGCTTGTAGGTTGGGCATGATGGCTCACACCTGTAATCCCAGCACTCTTGGAGGCCAAGGCGGCAGGATTGTTTGAAGTCAGGAGTTCAAGACCAGTCTGGGCAACAGAGTGAGTTTTCCATCTCTACAGAAAATATTTAAAAAAATAGCCAGGTATGGTGGTGTGTGTTTATAGTCCCAGCTACTTGGGAGGCTAAGGTGGGAGGGTTGCTTGAGGCCAGGAGTTCAAGACTGCAGTGAGCCATGATCATGCCACTCCACTGTGGCCTGGGTGACAGAGTGAAATCCTGTCTGTCCCCCCTGACAAAAAAAAAAGCTTGTGGACAGAACCCACCCATGGAAGAGCAGAGCTAGGACCCTGATAAAAACCATGCCTGTAACTGAAACTACTACTACACTTCTTATTAAGGGAGATTATAAAATTGTAGATTATTTTAAGAAACTGTTTATGCCAATTTGAGTCAGGTTTTTGCTTTGTTTTTTTTCTTTTTAACCTGCAAGAACGCTCACAACTGATACAATAGACAACTGGGTAAGAAGTCAGATGGGTCTGCTATTGCCTAGGCCATGCCACTCCCCAATTGCCTGTATATTCTAACTACATTGAACAGAGTACTTTCTGCTTTGTGTGTGACTAAACACTATTTGTATTCATTAACTACTGTTACCTATTAAATTATCTCAAAACTTAGCAGCTTGAAACAACAAGCATTTTTTGGTTCATAGTTTCTGTGAGTCAGGAATTCATGATTGTGGCTTGGTTGGGCAGTTCCTCATCAGAGTCTCTCAATGAGGTTGCAACCATGACATGAACTACAGCAGCGTCCATCTGAAGGCTTCACTGGGGCTGGAGGATCCAGTTCAAGGGTGGCTCATTCACATGGCTGTTGACAGGAGGCCTCAGTTCCTCATAATCTCCACAGGGCTGCTTCAGTGTCAGTAACAGGCAGCTGGCTTTCTCCAGAGCAAGTGATGAGAGAAGTGAGAAGCTGTAGTACCTAGCCTAGCCTTGGAAGTCATACACCATTACTTCTGCTGCATTTGGTTAGTTAGAATTAAGTTACTAAGCTGAATGCAGTAAAGAGGAGAGGAATTCGTCTACCTTTCGAGGGGATGATTGTCAAAGGATGAGTGGGCATGTTTTACAACCACTGCATGCTTCATCCTTCAGGTTTCAGCTGAAAGGACCTCACTGCCAGAAATCTATCTCTGACCCAGAAACATCAAGGGATTTAGGGCTGTCCTCTGGCCTTCCACAGCACCCTGTGCCCACCTCTATCACCACGCTTTGCTCTCTGCCTAATTGCTAGTTTCTAATCCACCTTCTCCCGAGCTCACACACACAGAAAACTGGAAACTCCTAAAAGGCAAGGGCTGAGTATTATTCACTGTCATATTCCCAGTGCCTAACAAAATGCTCATGCCTGAGAAGAGTCTCAGTAAATTTCTACTTTAAAAAGGTACCCAGCTCTGGTTCTTACTAGCTGAGTGTTTCTTGGTGAGTCAATCCCTATCTGTTGGGCTTCATATTTCTCACATACAGTTCATGCTTAAACAATTTAGGAGTTAGGGATACAGTCAAAAACCTGTGTATTACTTTTGACTCCTCCAAATCTTAACTACTAACAGCCTACTGCTGATCAGAAGCATTACCAGTCACATAAACCATCGATTAATATTTTTTATATGTGATAGGTATTATATACTGCATTCTTACAGTGAAGTAAGCTGGAGAAAAGAAATATTACTAAGAAAATCCTAATGAAAATAAAATATTGATTAAGTGGACATGGATCATTATAAGGTCTTCATCCTCATCATCTTCACATTGAGTAGGCTGAGGAGGAGGAGGAAGAGAAGAGGAAGAAGACCCTTGCTGTCTTCAGGGTGGCAGAGGCAGAAGAAAATTCACATATAAGTGGACCCACACACTTGAAACCCATGTTGTCCAAGGGTCAACTGTATACTATAAAGGTGATGAGTTATATCATCATTTCCCAGTGGGTCTGCAGTGGGATCTGCCGATGATAATAAATGTGAGACAAAAAACTAATTCCATGGTTGTATCAGTTATCTATTACTGAGTAATAAGTCCTCATGAAAGGCAGGTCTTAAAATAACAATGATTTGGTTTCCTTACATTCTGTGGATTGGCTGGGTTCAGCTGGGTAGTTTTTCTGCCTCATGAGAGACTCCAGTTGTATATGTATCTACATTCACCAGGGAATGTGGCTGGGCCTGGAATATCCAAGGCGACCTCTTATCCTTCAGAGCCTCCCTTCATTTGACTCATCATCATTTAGGAATCTAGACCAAACTTCGTTACAAAATAGCAGGTGGCTTCTAAAGGAGCAGAAGCAGAAGCTGTCAGGCCTCCAAGGGCACACCCTAGAACGAACACAGTGTCACTTCTGCCCAATGGTCGGTCTAGGTTTAAGTGTAGAGGAGAGTCTAACTCATGATGGGAGGAGTGGCCTGAGTATAGAAGGATAAGAGGGATCATTGATGGCCAATAATCAACAAATCTACAACAGTGATCAAAGAAATTTAGAAAATAAGTGGTTAAACAAAGAAAAGAGGTTGATTGCTTTGTTTTACTTGAAGGAATTTTCGAAGTTTTTAAAATGCTTATTGGAAATTTCCAAAAAGACAATATTGTATACAAAGTTTTCCAAATGTATCAGACCATGGACCTCTTTTTTCTTTTTCTGTTTTTTGTCTTTTCATCTTGAAAAATTGATATTACTCAAACCTGAAAATATTTAATGACTCTTCCAGACTTAAAAACCTTTTGATTTCCAGACAGAGTAGGTTTTTTTCAATTTGAATGAGGGGGGAAAATGGCCAGGTCAGAAAGCCCCTGGCTTCAAGTTTCTTTTGTGCTGTAAACTACGGAAAGAGTGTGTCCTCCTTTCTTCCTGGTTCCTTAACTGGCTTCTTTTTGGCTAACTGAACTCTCTTATCCCTTATTCTCTCCTGCTGTGAGTGGTTCTTGCCTTTGCTAAGGGTTTGAATATGCATTCAAAGTGAAAGGAGTGGATCTTTAATTTCAATGATAAGAAAGTCACTGTGAAACGTTGCAGACTGCAGAAAATAGACCTGTTCCTAATACCTCCTTGGTAAGCTAATACCTCCTGGAAAGCTGAATTGTCTTTGTCGGCTTATCAGTTGGAGTTAGGCCCACCCATCAGGGTGGCTCCATTCCTGGTACATATTCTGCCCCATTCCCAGCTCATGCTCTGCACGGGTGGGGACATCATTGTCTGAGTAGAGCTCCCTACCTGCTGAGAAGACCTGACAGGGACACAAGGCTGAAGTTGGGTCCTGCTGTCTTCCCATACTCCGGAGGCCACCTGGTGCTTAATGATCTCCCAGGAATAGAATAGAAGACAAGTCATTTTGTTATGTTTCTCTTTAACAAATACAGGTTGCTTTTTCATCTTTTTCCATGGATAGGGAGGTAGAGGGAAGAAATGGGCAGGAATAGAGACAAAAGGGATCTGCGGGTTTTCCTTATCTGTGTTCTCTGGGTTCCCTACGACCATTCTAGTTTTATTCTAGAATCTTTGGAAAACACAGAGAAATAGAATGAAAATAAAACTTGCTCATAATTCCATCATCCAAAATTAATATTGTTAATACTTCAGGTATATTTCCTTTCAGAACTTTATTGTTTGTACATATACAATCTTGCATACAATAGTCTGCCCTTATCCACATTTCAGTTACAGTGCATAGCACAATAAGATATTTTGAGAAATAAAGAGAGAGAATACATTTTTGTAACTTTTATTGCAATACGTTGCCATAATTATTCTATTATTGGTTATTTTTGTTAATCTCTTACTGTACCTAATTTATAAATTAAGCTTTATCACAGATATGTATGTATAGGAAAAACATAGTATAGATAAGGTTTATTGCCATCCAGGGGTTCTGGCATCCACTGGGGCCCTTAGAAAATATCCCCTGAATATAAGAGGAAACCACTTTATACACACACACACACACACACACACACACACACACATATTTTTAACAAAATTGAGAACATGCTGTATGTAATTTTGTGTCCTATTTTCATGAAGAGAACTTGGTTATTTTGGCTGTATCATATTCCATCTTCAGTTGTATCTTTCCCTGTGTTACTTGTATATGTCTGTCACTTTGCATGTCTGCCATCAATATTTGTTCATAAGCCTTTGTGTCTGTGATTATTTCATGAAGCAGTATTCCTAAACAATGGAATTACCTGAGGATATAAAAAGTTTCGAGGCTCATGATGCACATGAAGAAATTACACTTGAGAAAAGTACAACATTCTATTTCAATTAGCAATATGTGATAGTGCCCTTTCAATCACTGCATTACTGATATGACAGATTATTTTATTCTTCTAGTATGAAAAAGAAAATTGGTATTTGTCTTCTGTGCTAATTTCCATCTCATTGACTAGTAGCAAGAATGACATTTTTATATGTGTATCTGGTCCCTTTAATTTATTTCACCAATTATGTAACCATATTTTTATTTGTTTTTGAGACAGGGTCTTGCTGTGTCACCCAGGCTGGAGTGTAGTGGTGTGATCGTAGCTCACTGCAGACTCAAACTCCTGAGCTCAAGCAATCCTCCTGCCCCGCCTTCTGAGTAGCTAGGACTACAAGGTGCATGTCACCATGTCCAGCTAATTAAAAAAACAAAACAAAACAAAACAAAACAATAAAAAAAAAACAACTGTGTGCAGACAAGGTCTCTCTATATTGCTCAGGCTCGTCTTGAACTCCTGGCCTTAAGCGATTCACTCACCTCGGCCTCCCAATCACTCCTGGGATTACAGGCATGAGTGACCACACCCAACCTGGCTCTTTTAAATTGTTGTTTTTGTTTGTTTGTTTTCCGGAGACAGAGTCTCGCTCTGTCACCCAGGCTGGAATGCAGTGGCGCTATCATAGCTCACTCAGCCTTGCACTCCTAAGCTTAAGCGATCCTTCCACCTCAGTTTTCCAAGTAGGTGGGACTACAGGAGTGCACCACCATGGCCAGCTACCTTTTTAAAAAAAAGTTTTTTGTAGAGACAGGGTCTTGCTATATTGCCCAGGCTGGTCTCAAGCAATCCTCCCACTTCAGGCTCCCAAAACTCTGGAATTACAGGAGGAGGTGGGTGCCCAGCCTCATAGCAGTCATGTTTTTTGCCTAAGAATTTATCATATTTTTAATGTTTTACTTACTAATTTTAAAAGCTTTTCTTATATATAAAATATTCATGCTTCAATAATCTTGAAACTATTTTGCTCAAGTTGTCATTTGTCTTCCAAATTTTTCATGTAATCAAATTCTTTTTCTTTTTGCTTTTTTAAATTTTTTATCTTTTTACTTTAAGAAAAGTTTTACGATTCCCATGTCAATTAAATGTCTGTCTATATTTTTTCTCATTTCGCAGTCTTCTGTATCTATGTACATTTATCCTATGTAAAAGGAGATTTATTTTAAAACTAGGAGCTACTTTGAAAGTAATGAACATCTTTGTCATGTATAATCATTGTATCCAAAACCATAGGGTTTATTCAGAATTTCTACATCTTCCCATGAAATTACATAGTTTTCTTCCCATGGGTCCCAGGCCTTTCTTGTTATTGTTGAGCATAGGACCCTGTTTCCTTTTGCTGCTGAGATTTTTCTTTTTACCCCTTTATACCTTTTTAACAGGATATGGCTAGCATTTGGGAAATCTAGTGATTGTTGCCAATTTGTTTCATATAAGGCAACTTTGCTGAACTTTCTTATTAATTCTAAAAGATTTTCCATCCATGATCTAGGGTTTTCTAGCCATGTAATCACACCATTTGCAAATGGTGGTTAGTACGCCTCCTCCTATCAGATTGTTACTCCACTACTTTCTTTTGTTTTTGTTCTTACAGTGTGAGTGGGCATTCTTGTTTTATTTCTGCTATTTAATGGAGTTTTTTTTGTATTTTATTATTAACTGATATAAAATGTTGGTATGAGTGTGGTATTCTTATAATATTAAAAAGTATCCTATGATTCATGGCTTCCTAAATATTTTTAAAGCAAAAGTCGTTGTTTAATTTTGTCTACTGACCTCTTAACATCTAGTGAGATTAGCACAAGTAATACTATCCTGTCATGTTTCCTTGATTATAAAATACACTGTAATTTGAGACATGCTGAAACATGAAAAAGAAAGGTACATTTTAGAATGGAGATAGATGTCCTCAATATTAAACCATTAAGAATGGGCTCGACTACTTCAAGGAGAAATGTGCTTTTTATTTTATTATGTTGTTGAGTTTGGTTTGTTCAACTTTAATGTGGCATTTTAAAATATAATCACTTATGATATTATTTTGTGGTTCTTTTATGTATTATATTTACAGGGTTTTTTATATATTCACTACTTTCATAAAAAGAATTACTTAGCTTCCCCATTATTTTTTCCTCAGGAATTGTTTATATAGCATGAGAATTATGCTCCTTGAAAGACTGAAGTATCAAACTGGTAAAAGTTTCTTGTCCCATTGTTTAAGAAATAGTATTTTAATAAATTATTTTCATGTTTATTGAGCTCTTCTGATTTTCCCTTTCTTTAAAGTTGACCTTTTATATTTTTCTGAAAAAATTATCATTTCCTTTGAGATTTTTGTTGACAAAGAAATATAAACAATATTTGCTTCATCTTTTAAAAAATATCTGTATCCTTTGATTTATCACCTTTCTTTTATTTGTGTTATTTATATTTATGAGAAACTTGTCTCCTTTTTAAAGCACAAGCCATTATATTTACTTTTTGTGTCTTTTATTCATTCTTAATCCTATAATCTTTCTTTCCTGGGCTGTTTTACTTGTTAGATCTTAATAACTTTTGACATTGACTACTGATTGATTTAGCTTAGTTTTATTATGTAATTATGCTATTATTATGTTATTTAAAGCCATGAATGACAGTCATGTCACTCACAATCTGGTACATATTTTATACTTTCATTGTAGATTTCACCTTTCATCATTATAAAGAAAACTAGTCATGTTATATTCTGAAATGCAATATTTTCATATTTATTATTTTCTAAAAAAATTGTTCATTATTTTTTAAATAGCCTGCTTTGATTTCCTTTTTGAATAAATAATTATTTAGATGTGTGTGTATTTTTTTAGTTGCTACCTTAGGGTTTTGGTTGCATATTTCTTTCTCTGTGTGTTCCCCATTCTTCTTACATTTTTAGCTTTTCTACAATGCAGCTGCAAAATTTTTGCCTTTGAGAAGGTTTTAATTTATTTTTGTTTTGAAGGGCCTATTGTGTGATCAATTTGATGTGTTTTATGCATGTTTAAAAAGAAGATGCAACCTATTGGTAAGGTATAAAAGCATTTATTATACTAATTAATGTGGTCTTTTAAATTGTAAAGACTCTCGGTATATTTATTTGTACTGCACAGCAACTCCTAAATACCAGAAGAAGCATTTCTCACAGTTAGAAACTTGTGTTCCTCTACTATATCTCCCATTTTTGCTTTTTATAGTTCATGACAGTCATGTGGTATATACTGGTATATACTACGTTGATATTTTCATTGTAAATTTCACCTTCCAGCATTATAAAAGGACTCTTTATATCCTATGTAACACAATTTGCCCTGCAATCTACTTTGTGTGAAAGTTATATTGTCACCCTGATTTCCTTTGGTTTACATTTCCCTGGTAAATCTTTTCCATTTTTTAATTTTATTTGATGATATTTTATTTTTAATAGAAGGTAGGTCATTTATTTTTATAGTCAAAATGATATGCTTTGTCATCTGCCATTGCAGACATTTCAGCTTTTGCTTTTGCATTCCCTTTACTCTTTTCTTTTGTTTGTTATTAGGATTATACTTTTTTTAACTTTTTAAAAAAACATTTTGTCATTAGGATTATATAATATATAATTAGTACATTATAAATGATATATATGCTATTTTTATTTATATCAATAGTTACCTTTAACCATTTTTTAGATGATTTTTTCACCATATGTGTTTCTAATTTTAAATGGTCCCTGACTTACAATGGTTCAACTTACAATTTTTCAACTTTACAATGGTGTGAAAGCTATATCACTTTAGCTTGGTTTTAAATAACACAATAATACCATAACTACATAATAAAAACTAAAATAAACCAATTAGTAGTCGATGTTGAAAGTTATTAAAATATAGCATTCAGTACGCTCCTTTTTTATGATGAGGTTAGGTCAGGATAAGCCCATGCAAGTTGAAAATATCATAAGTCAAAAATACACTTTAGTGTTTCCAATAAAAACAGTCAAGCATCTGTATTAATATTTTTACTCCTTTGACTCCCTGATTCAGAAAAAATAATTTATGTATTTACTGCCTTGAATTTGTGCCCCACTTCCACTTTCCAATCTTTTATGTAGTCTTGAGTTTAGACACAATCATTCTTTATATTTTCTTTCAGTTTGGCAAGGAGGCTTATAAAAGCTACTTAAACCTGATTGCATTAATTCATTTATTTATTCAATAAATATATACTGAAAGTATACTACAGACCAGGTACTAGGGATAAAACAGTTAACAAGATTGACAAAATCCTGACTTCATGGAGCTTAAATTCTGGTGCAGAAGATGGACAATATATTTGTAATAAGCATTAAATTAACAAAATAATCCAGCTAATGATTACTGCAGTGAAGGAACAACAACAACAGCAACAAAAATCCCAGAATAATGGAATAAAAGAACTAGAGTGTCATTACCCTGGATGATTGGGAAAACCTCTTTGAGAAGATAATATCTGAGCAGTCAGTTGAATTCTCAAAAAGGGCCAGTCATGTGTCAATCTGGGGAAGAACTTCCAGGACGGAGGAGTAAGTGACAGCCTGGCATAATTTAGAAAAAGAAGAAGAAAAGACAATAAGGTCAAAGAACAATGAGATATGAGGATGGTGGTTGGCATCTCTGGTGCAGCTTATTGATGCCACGTTGAGCAATAAAAACCTTGATCTCTAAGAAGCAGTGTTGTGTTTTTCAATCTGCCTGATGGGTCACTGAGGAACTGGCACAGTGACTGGCCATTATTCCAACCCCCATGGACTGAGCAGCTTCCTGGTCAGTGTCTATTCAAGAATTTTAAAAGACAGAACAAGTTTCAAATTTATTTTCTCTTTTCTTATTAGATCATGTCACTGGCTGACTGCAGATGTCATGTAAAAGAGACTTTAGTGACCACACATGACAGGAAATATTGTCCTTTCAAAAATGGTTTGGAAAAGTCACTAAACACATGTGTAATTGTACTCCCTAACAAGCAACATCAGCAATATCTGGAAAGGAGGGTCTTATTTCCAGAGTTACCACATTACAATATTCAAAATGTCCAGTTCTCAGCAAAAAATTCAAAACACACAAAGAAATAAGAAAAGAAGGAACCAACAGAAGATATCCCAGAGGAAGCCCAGACATTAAACATACTAGACAAAGACTTTAAATTAACTGTCTTAAATATGCTGAAAGAATTGAAGAAAACCATGGACAAGAACTAAAGAAAATTAGAAAAACAAGGTATGAACAAGTAGGAAATTTCTATTTAAAAAATCAAATAGAAGATCTTAAGTTTAAAAGTACAGTAGTTGAAATAAAAATTGTTATAGAGGATCAACAGCAGATATGAACAAACAAAAGAAGGAATCAACAAAATTGAAGATAGGGTGATTAAAATTATCTGATATGTGAAGTAGAAAGAAAAAAGAATGAAGAAAATAAACAAAGCCTATGAGACCTGTCAAGTATACTAATATATGGGTTTTGAGACTCCCAGAAGGAGAAGAGATAGAGAAAGGAAACAACAAGATATTTAAAGAAATAATGGCTGAAAACTTTCCAAATTTATGGAAGACATGAATATACATGTCAGAGAACTTCAATAACTCTAAGTAGAATAAACCCAAAGAGATTGACACCAATACACATTGTAATAAACTGTCAAAAGACAAAGAGAAAATCTTGAAAGGCACGAGAGAGAAGAGACTGATATTGTTCAAATGATTTTCAATAAGATTAACAGTGAAATTTATTGTCAGAAATCATGGAGGCTAGAAAGAAATGGGATGATATATTTAAAGTGCTATAAGAAAAAAATACTGTCCACAAAGAATTCTATATCTGACAAAACTATCCTTCAAAAATGCAAGGGAGTAGAAATAAGTTGAAGAGAACTATCGTACAACATAGTGATTATTGATAATAACAATGTATTCTTGAAAATCACTAAAAGTAATTTTAAGTGTTTCATTACAAAAAAAGGTAAGTATGTAAACTAATGCATATATTAATTAGTTTTATTTAGGTATTACACAGGTATATACTTTTTGAAACATTGTGTACATAAAAATATGTATAATTTTGTCAATTTTAGAAATTTTTTTAAAAAGAGACATTAAGACAGGTAAACAACACTAAAGGTGTTTATTGCTAGCAGTCCTGTTCTATAAGAAAAGCTAGAAGTAGTCCTACAGGTTGAAATGAAAGGACACTAAAGTAACTCAATGTAATAAAGAAATAAAGATCTGATAAAGATAAATACATAGATAAATAAAGC
The DNA here is from genome assembly GCF_000001405.40 of Homo sapiens. Lineage (NCBI taxonomy): Eukaryota > Metazoa > Chordata > Mammalia > Primates > Hominidae > Homo > Homo sapiens. The sequence goes on from NC_000002.12 coordinate 118,651,812, forward strand.
TAATATTATTGTACTTTTGGTTTGTAATTCCTCTTTTTCTTCCAATAGGGTTTAAAGACTTTAGTACTCCACTTCAATAATGGACAGAACATCTAGACAAATGATCAAGAAAGAAATGGAGGAATTAAGACATTATAAACTGACTATGTCTAACACATATACAGAACACTCTCCCAACAACAGCAGAAAACACATTCTTTTGCAGTACACATGGAACATTCTCCAGGATAAACTATATGTTAGATCATAAAACAATTCTCAATTAATTTAAAAAGACAATCATAAAAAGCATTTTCTCTGACCATGATAGAATAAAGCCAGAAATCAATAATAGAAGAAAAACTGGAAAATTCACAAGCATATGAAAATTAAACCATACTCAAACAACAAATGAGTCAAACAGGAAATACTAGGAAAATTAAAGATGAATAAAAATGGAAGTGCAATATACCAAAATATATGAGATGCAGCAAAAACAGTGCTCAGAGGGAAATTTATAGCTGTAAATGCCCACAATAAAAAAGAAAGCTCTCAAATCAACAACCTAACTTTACACCTGAAATAATTAGAAAAAGCTAAATCCCAAGCCAGCAGAAGGATTAAAATAATAAATATTAGAGCATATATAAATAAAATGGAGAAAAGGCAAATAATAGAGAGAATTTTTAAAAAATAAAAACAAAATCTGGTTCTTTGAAAAGATAAAAATTTGGCAAACTGTTAGCTAGATTGATGAAGAAAAAAAGAAAGAAGACATAAATAACTAAAATCAAAAATTAGAGTGAGGATATTACTACTAACTTTACAGAAACTAAAAGAATTAGAATATTATAAACAATTAGGGACCAAAAAATTACATAAACTAGAGGAAATAACAAGTTCCTAGAAACACACAAATTACCAATACAGATGCAAGGAGAAATAGAAAATATCAAAGCACCTATGATAAGCAAAGACATTGAATGAGTAATCAAAATTAGCATTTAAAAACCTCTGCTAAATGAAAAATCTAGGACTCAAGAAAATATTAGCAAATTAATTGAACAGCTCATTAAAAGGATTATACATATGACCAAATAGCACTTACTCCAGGAATGTGAGGGAGGTTCAACATAAGGACAGGTTAATCAAGCCAGGTGTGATGGTGTGTGTGCTCCTGTAGTCCCAGCTACTTAGGAGGCTGAGGCAGGAGGATTGCGTGAGGCTGGCCTCAAGTTTGAGAACAGTCTGGGCAACATAGCAAGATCCTGTCTCCAAAAAACCTTTTTTTTTTAATTAGGTATGGTGGCAGTACCTGTAGTCCCAGATACTTAGAAGCCTAAAGTGGGAGGATCACTTGAGTCAGGGAGTTGAAGGCTGCAGTGAGTTATGATCAGGCCACTACACTGTAGCCTGGGTGACAGAATGAGACCCTATCTCTAAATAAATAAAAAATTAATCAATGTAACACAACATGTTAGACTAAATGGAAAAAACGTAATCATCTCAGTAGATGCGGAAAAAAATTTCACAAAATTGAACACCGTTTTGTGGTTTTTAAAAATGTTTCTGCAAACTAGCAATGGGAAGGAATTTCTTCCATTTGATAAAGGGCATATATCAAAACCCCATAACAAACATCGTACTTAATAGTGAAAGACTGAAGTGTTTCCCATAAGATCAGAAATAAGACAAGGATGCTCATTCTCACCACTGCTATTCATCATTTTACTAGAAGTTCTAGCCAGAGCAGTTAGGCAGGAAAAAGAAATAAAAGGAATCCAAATTTGAAAGAAAGAAGCAAAATATGTTCTACCTGTAGATGACATGATTCCACATATAGAAAATCCAAAAGAAGACATATACACACAAAATACTAGAGGCAATCAACAAAATCAGCAAAGCTGCAAAAATCAGTTGTTTTTCTATATATTAGCAATGAACAATCCAAAAAGAAAATTAAGAAAATAATTCCATTTACAATAGCATCCAAAAGAATAACATACCTAGCAATAAATTTAACCAAGAAGGTAAAAAACTTGTATATTAAAAACTACAAATCACTTCTGAAAGAAAATTTAAAAGACCTAAATAAATGGAAATGTATATGAATTTCATAGAAGACTTAATAATGATAAAATAACCATATTTGTAGATTGATGAAACCCCATCAAAATTCCAAAGGCCATTTTTGCAAAAATAAAAAAGCTAACTTTCAAATTTATATGGAATTGCAAGGAATCCCGAATAATCAAAACAACACTGAAAAAGAAAAACAAAGTTGGAGGAATCACACTTCTTGATTTCAAAACTTACTACCAAAATACAGTGACCAAAACCATGTGATACTAACATAAGGCTAGACATATAGACCAAAAAAATAGAATTAATGTTCAGAAATAAACCAAACATCTATGACTAGTTGATTTTTTTACCAGGGCACCAAGACTATTCATGAATAGAATAATCTCTTCAACTGGTGATGGGATAACTAGATAATGCCATGCCAAAGAATGCCACTGGACCCCTACCTTGCTCCATATACAAAAATTAACTCTAGATAGTCCCCAGATAGCCAACCTGGTTTTCCCCCTTATTTCCCTCATGTATGTAGTTCTCAGAACAAATGTAGAATATGCTAGAAATGGCGATATGCTGAGAGAAGCAGGAAATACCCAAAACAGCCCAGCCTTGTTCACGTCCTTCCTAAGAAAGATAACATCTTGACTTAAGGAAGAACTGCCAGAGACAGCCAGGACTTTGTTCCTCTCCCTGGAAACAAGGTTTACTTCAAAGCTTTGACCGGTGAGTCCTGTTGTCCCTGAAGTATATAAATATGAGTTAAAACTATATAACTATTAGAATAAAATGTAGAAATAAATCTTTATGACTTCAAATTTGGCAATGGATTCTTAGGTTTTTATACCAAAAGCACAAGCAATGAAAGAAAAAAGTAGATAAATTGGACATCATAAAAATGAAAAAAATTGTACATCAAAGGACACAATTAACAGAGTGAAAGGCAAACTACAGATTGAGGGAAAATATTTGCAAACCACATATCTGATAAGGGGTTAATATCCAAATTACATAAAGAACTCTTACGATGCACCAACAAAAAGATAAACAACCCAACTTAAAATGAACAGAATTTGAATAGACATTGCTACAAATGGCCAGCAAGCACACACAAAGATGTTCAACATTTTCAACATTATTGGCCATTAAGGAAATGCAAATCAAAACCACAATAATATATCACTTCACTTTTACTAAGGTGGCTATAATCCAAAAAACTGAAACAAAAATAGCATGTGTTGGCAAAGATGTGGAGAAATTTGAACTCTTGTACATTGCTAGCCGAATGTAAAATAATGCAGCCACTGTGGAATACAGCTTGGCAGTCTCTCAAAAAGTAAACAGATAGTTAAGAATAAGCATAAGCATATGGATCATAGTTATTGTATGCTCCAGCAATTCTACTCCTAGAGTATGTATCCAAGAGAAATAAAAATATGTCCACAGGAAAACTTCCACATAAGTGTTTATGGCAGTATTATTCATAAGAGCCAAAAGATGGAAACAACTCCAATGTCCATCAATGGGTGAATGGATAAACAAATTTCGGTATAAACATATAATGGAATATTATTCAACTATGAAAAGAAAGAAAGTACAGACACGTGGTATAACATAGATGAGCCTCAGAAACCTTATGTTAAGTGAAAGAAGCCAGACACAAAAGGCCACATAGTGTATCAATGCTTTTATATGAAACATTCCAGAATAGACAAATTTATAGAGAGAAAGCAGATTAGTGGTTTCTAGGGGATGCAAGGGGTAGAAGACAGTAAGATGGGGAATTGCTATTTTATGGGCAAGGGATTTTCCTCTGGAGTGATGAAAAAGTTTTGAAATTAGAGATGGTATTGTGAATGCACTAAATGCCACTTAATTATACTCTGAAACAGTTAACTGTTACGTGAATTTTACCTCAACTTTTAATAACTACATATGAGTTTGCTATTTTGTAGTTGTGGAGGTCAAGTCCAAAATCAGTTTCACTGGGCTAAAGCCAAGTTGTCAGAGGAGCTGATTCCTTCTGGAGGCTCTGAGAGGAAAATCATTTCTTTGCCTTTTTCAGCTTCCAGACACTGCTTACATTTCTTTGAGTCATGACCTGTATCTCACATTACTCCAACCTCTTGCTTGCATTGAGTTACATCTCCTACTACTCTTGCTCATTCTGATTCTTCTGCCACCTTCTTATTAAGGATCCTTATGATTACATTAGGCCTGGATAATCTCCCATCTCAAAATTCTTAATTGAATCACATCTGTAAAGTCCCTTTTACCAAATAAAGTAATATATTCACAAATTTCAAGCATGAGGAAATGGACATCTATCGGAGACCATTATTCAGCCTGCTACAAGGGCCAGAGATCTCAATGTGGGAGTCTTGTCCATAAGGATGCCCTTTAAAGCACAACAGAAGAGTATGAATACCCAACACCTCCTTTTATATTGACTGCCTCATTACCAAGGTCTTATTTTTGATTCATCACTCTTTGAAAGAAAGACACAGTGGTTATATTGTCTAATTTCTCTAGTACATGGACATTAAAATTCTTGACTTACAATGTTTTCCTTGAAAAGATTTACAAACATCGTTCTATTGTTTTCTGTCATCCACTACAGCAGAGAATAAGGATGAAGTCAGAAAAATTTTTGTTAACTTGTAGTCAGGAAAACTGATTATTTTGTGTGGGGGTAAGGCATGGATGCCTTCGGTTATTTCATTTCCAAAAGTTTGGCAATAGGTATCTAAGAATGGCTTTCTTAGTTAATGTTACCTGATACTGCAAGCCCCTCTGATATGTCCATTCCAGTATTTCTGTTCAGCAGGGGAGTTTCTTCATTTATCCAAGACATTTTTTAAGGTCTATGACAATGGCAAAGAGAGATTAAGGCCTTGAACTCACAGCACTCATATTCAAATGATAGTAAACAAAACAGTAACTTATATAATTTCAAGTGGGGATATAAATGGTGAAGGGAAATGAAGAGAGTAGAGGAAAAGATAGTAATGAGAGCAGCAGTACTCTCTCAGATGGGGACACTGAAAACCATTTAGACATAAGTCCTAGGCTGGAGAGCTGGTGGTGAACAAAGTAGGCTGCTTGGAACTGGGAAGTTAAAAATAGTAATTGTATTTAAGATTGTTGCTGATCTAATTACTTGCTTTTTCTTACTGATGGTTAAGTTCTTGAGTTTAATTGTCATCTTCTGTCTTCCATGTCTGTAATCTTCTTGTTCATTGTTTCTATGTATTTATCAAATATAGCATTTGCTATATGCTAACCCCTGGTTTAAGCACTATACCAATAGAAGTTGATTTAATTTAAATATAAATCCCTTTGAGGCAGGTACTGTTATTAGTCCCATTTTACAGTTGAGGACACCAAGAAGTTATGTAACTAGCCCAATGTCACACTGCTAGTGTAAATAGAGTCAGGATTTGCACCCAGGGAGTACATCTTCAGAGTCCATACTCCTGATTCTACCTATGTTGATTCTCCACTTATCGCTGTGTCAATTTTTCTCTCCAATCTGGAAAAAACAAACTAGTTTGTCATCAATATCATTGCTTCAGTCTTCTGCATTGTCAATTTTGATATTTTCTGTCTTCAGTGAGGATTAAATTATTCAATTGTATGTTTAATTTCTTTTGCATTTTCATTATTACCATTTCAGGCTATTTCCTCCTCATAATTTTTGTTCCTGTTTCATGGAAGCCAAAACTTCATGCATCCTTCAGAGGATTTCAAGAAGTTTCTCAATGTTTTATTCATCACTTCTTATGCAATCTTTTTAATATGTTCCATGTTGGGCTTTTCCTGTTCTCCAGTCTTAAAATTAAAAGAGATGCATCCAGACTTAGTGTTTGCCAGTAGGTGTGGTGTGTGTAATTCCCTTCATCCCACTTGCTGACAACCTTGATTTTGGTAAAACCCCGTCCTAGTATATATTAAATAGTAAGAAGGCAGGAAAATACGCACAGCTATCCAGAGCTCCATGGGTGTAGCAGATGCTCACCTAGTACAGCCATACTGCAGAAATGCCATTTTTGTATTTCCTGGCTCATAAAGACTCTAAAATAATGAAGTATGCCCAAATTAAGTCCAGCATGCAATGCTACTAGTTCTTTCTACCTGCAGAGCTTTACTCTCTGAAACTACTTCTTCCATGTAATAATATAAACATCCATTATCCATATTTCCTTCCTTCTCTGAAGTTTTATTGGAGTTTTATTCTCTCAGGAGACATGGAAAGGAGAATTATTGGGTGGGAGAAGAGGGAAACCATATTCTGACATGTCAAAGAACAATCAAACAGGAGAAGATATAGGTGTTTAGGTGGTGGGCTCCAGTTCTGATTGTTCACAGCAGCCTCTACTTTGAGCGCTGGTGACTGTGTGGTCATGGTCATTAAATATTTTGAATATCACCCCTGGATAGAAACATATTCTACATGAGATCAAGGTTCCTTTAGGCAAAGCATATGTCGGCCCCCAACTGCAGTTCTCATTTTAGTTTTATAGGTCTTGTGATCTTTGTGGGTATTCTCACAGATTCTGATAGTACATTGGCTATCATCTTTGTTGTCGGTGTGGTTCATTCATTCCCCAAATACTAATTAAGAAATTACAATGAGCCAAGCACTGTGCTAGACCCTGGGGCTACAATTCTGAGCCAACAATGCATGCCTCTGTTCCCACAAATTTTCATCTTATGTCTTCATAGTTGGAATCTGGAGAACTTTCCAGAACTGCTATCCAGAAATCATTTTAAACTGGAAAATGATAATGCTCTTCTAATGAGAATCATCAGCAAAGCAGGATGAAAAATAGTAAAAAGCACTGGGCTGGAAATCAGACAGCTTAAGTTCTCATCCTTGATCTGCCACTAATATCTGGGAGCTTTGTGTGACTCACAACCCCTCACAGTCTCCGTTTCTATGTGTAAAATGACTGGGTTGAACCAGGTTCTCTCTAAGATCCCTTCCAGCCATAAAATTCTATGTTCCCAAGATAAATGTTCTTCCGATTAAAGTGGATGTTTTGAAAGCCATTTTTTATCAGTGGATCTCAAACCTTATGTTTACCAATACAGTAGTCTGATTCTCCTGACCCTCTTTATACCATTCCTAATAAGAAATGTACCAGCCATATGTGAAACACATGGGGTCTGTCCAAAGGCCATGAAAGACACATAAATTTCACAAGTGAAAGATGCAAAACACATGTTGACACATCTCAAATCCACATGTACATTTTGGTTACGGTTTAATGGTAGTTAATTTTGAAGGTTCTTCAGAAGTCCATTTAAGATACTTCTACAGAAGTGGCTTTTAGTTGGGGCCCAAAAGGTCCTTGTGTAAAAACAAGTAAAGTTGTCTAAATTTTTGGGAGGTAGCCAGGGAAATGGAAGCCTTCTGAAGTTGGTCATAGAGTTAGGCATTTCACACCTTGCAGCATCGTGATAAAGTCAGGATAAAACAGAAGGCTAAGCGAATATCAAACTTAGGGGTCTGCAGGCTCACCTATGAACCCACAGTGAAAAGACACAGCTGGGCCATCTGCTTTGGCCATCAGCCCTTATTTGGGGCTGTCTTCCAGAATTTTGCATGTGCTGACCACACAAGTGTAAGTTCATGCCCTTCTTCCTGCCTGCTGAATACTCATTCCTCAGGGCCCTGCTGAAACATCACCTCTTCTGTGAAGCCTTCCCTAACCTCTCTACACAAATGGGCCACTTCTCCATTTGTTCCCTCACTCTTTCACTCTTTCTCACTCTACGTTTATTACTGGATCTGTCATAATGAACGGCATATGATATATATATATAACAAAAATATATATATGTTATATATTTATAACAAAAATATGTATATATATTGAGTAATACTTATTGAGTAATAAATATGCTTTTGTGATCTGTGGAATTCCTGGTGCCTAGCAATATGCCTGACATGTGGTTAATGAACCTGTGAGCCAATCAATGAATGTCTGTTGACACTCAAAGTCAGATTCAATTGGATATTGATTTTGGAGGAGAAAAAGCCAATATCATGTATCAAAACAGAAACCTCAACTTTGTGAATTTTCTACTATGGAAGAACTCAAACTCTATTTGAAAGAAAAGCATAGTCAGCCAAGAAAAATATAGTAAGCACCTGCTGTATGGTGTCCCATACATCCTGCATCCAGGAGAGTTTATAAGAAAAGAAAAAAAAAATGGGGTTACCTTCAAGTTGCTCACTGTTAAAGTCAGGAAGAAAGCTGTAGGTTCATCTTACAGACAATAATGTAAGACCTCTCTCAAGCCAGTGGTCACTGACTGATATACAGCTCTAGGGTACCTGAGAGGGGGGGAAATCAAGGCCTGGCCAGCTATCAGCAAAGACTAGAAGCAAGCCAATAAAGCTTCCATAATGCTGATGCTCCCATCTATCTTTGAAATCCTCACTGTCCAATCAGGTGGCCACTGGCCCCAGGGGCTATTGCACACATGAAACGTGGTCAGCCTAAACTGGAATGTGCTGTAAATGTGAAATACACACCAAATTCCAAAGACCTACTTGACAAGAAAAAGAATGTAATACTACCTCATTTATTTTTTATATCGATTACATATTAAAATGTTAAAATGACAATATTTCAGATATATTGGGTAAAAAAATATTAAAATTAAATTCACTGGTTTTTAAAAACTTTTTACAATGTAGCTGCCACAAAAGTACAAATTACATGTGGCTCACACTATATTTCTGTTGGCCAGTGCCTTTCTAAACCATAGATTTCCTTAGTGCCAGTGACTGTCACCTCAACTGCTTAGTTACCTGTGATCTTTGGGCATGGTTACCAGGAAGCTCTTGAAGGACCAACTGTCTCAAGGCCCTGAGTATACACTTGCATAGAAAATTAATATATATTCATCAAGGCCTCTTGCCTTGTTCAGTAGCCAACTTGATGGACTTCATGTCAACCGCCATTGGTGTCTGTGTGGTTCCCTTCAGTTCTGCCTGAATTTCCTTTACATGGCTCGGAGAAAATTATAACGAGGGGTTGATATTTTCCACAAGCCTATACTGATAAGAGCAAGTGGTCTAGTCTGACAGCAATAAAGCCAAATGACTGCTAAGGCCCGGCAGGTAACATAAAAAGTGAAGCAAGCCTAGTGTATTCTTTTGATACAGTCTTGTGCTGCCTGGATATGAAACACACAGGAATTTTCTTCACTTCCCCAAAGAAATATGCCCTCTTCCTTTCCTTTTCTCTTTGTTTTGGAAACTTATGACGTTCTTGGCCAACCTTTCATTTTTCTGCTTTTGCTATAAAAAGAAATTTCACTCAACTTTTAACTCAATTTAAGAATAAAAACAAAATAGTTCAAACAATGATAAATTGCAACTGACATTTGCCTCAGTGCAGGGGCTCAGTAGGGAATTGTGGGGACTGTGGAGAAGTGGGGAATGCAGGTCCCACACACAGCAGCAGCCCTGACTCAGCGCCAGCCAGTAGGTGCCAAGTGGTAACACAGGCCCCCAGTGGCCATATCTGATTTTTCAAGAGAAGCCAGAAACCTGGATATTTATGTGAAATCTCCTAATTTTCAAGTGTCGCCAAGTAATTCAAAATCTTTTTAAAACATAGTGTAAGTCAGAATTCTGTGATCTAAACAGAACATATCTACAGACTAAGTCTGGCTCATGGGCCACCAATTTGCAATCATGTCTAGTTCCAGACTAACATCATCTACCTAGCAGGGAAAAAAAAGAGGAAAAAAAAAAAGAGGAAAAGAAATTAATATTTTTTTCAATAGTTACTATATTCCTGGAACTTCATCTCTTTTCCCTCATTTAATCATCCCAACAGCCTAAGAAGTAGTATTAACCTCATTTGCACAACTGAAGAAACAGAAATTAAAGTGATTTGCTCAAGATAACTCAATGAGAAGCTTCCAAACTGAAAGAAGTTGTTAACTTCTTGTTCCCTAAACATATTTTCATTCCTGTGCTTCCTGTTCTCTCCCAGTCTGGGAGACCTTGCCCAGCTCCCTGACGTCTAAGACCTTCCCTAATCAGCCCAGCCCTCACCTGCCTGCTCATATCTCCTGGGTGCTCACTCCCTGGATGCATTCTTAGCAATCAGAAACCGAGCATGTCTTTCGCATGTCTTCCAAGGCAGGCAAGAACTATGACCAATGTTTTTGAACCCTCAGCATGAATCACGAGCACCTTCATTTAATACAGGCACAAAATATGTTTGCTGGTTGTAATATACATCCCTTGGCTTGCCCACTCTCCTCCCACCCCACTCCTTTTTGTGTGAGTTCTCTTCATATCCTTCATCTTCTTTCATTTGAATAGTTTGCATCAATTCTTTATTATAATGCTGATTAAAGAACCCATAGAACATGAGAACAGGTGCTGAGGAAAAACAGCTTAGAGACCAGCCCTTAAAAGCCTTCATTGGCTCCACAGGAACCAGCGGCCCAGAGGAAGTCAGGGTTGGTTCAAGGTTACTGAAGACTGAAGTCACAGTACTAGAAGGAGAACCCAGTCTTACAGACAGACTGAAAATGAGAAGTGTCATCTCAGCAGGTTTATACTTTCTGGGGCCCTCTTACTCCAACTTTTTGATCTTTCCCAGAATAGCTTTATTCCTTTTCTCTTCGGCACAGTGAAATTATTTTTGGCCAGACTTGTTAGACCCCATTCAAACAAAATGGCTTCAAGCTGGGAGAAGCTCCTTCTCTCCTTCTCCAGATTAGGTTGCCAGCTGACCACACCTACCTGAGGGAACCTCTAGCATCCACTTTTGCATCTCATTAAGAGGAGCAAATATAGTAACAACCAGGATCTTGCACATTCCTGAAGCAACTTATTAGTAACAAAGCATTTTCACATCCCTTATTTTGTTTGACATTTACAGTAGCCTGATAATAACCAAGCAGATGTCATTATGGCCATTTTACAGATGAGGAAACTGTGAACCATAGAGGTTAAGTGATTTACCTACATCATAAGGCAACACTAACACTTGAGCATAATCTTCTGAACCTTTAAGTGGTTTCCTCTTGGGATTTTTTTTTATTTCACAATAATTTTTATTCTTCTGATTTGAAAAGTTTTACCTCTCTATGGTATAAGATCGGGAAAATATAAAAATGTTGAAAGAAGAAAATAAATGATGGTTGTACTCTTAAAACTCAAGATAATTATGATTAACATGCTGGTGTATTTTCTTATTTATTGTCTGTGTATATTTTTTAACACAGAATATTAAAAAGTATTTAATGGTATGAATCAGGAGAATGCCATTTATATGTAATTGCATTATTATTATTATCATTTATTTATTTAGAAATGGAGTCTCACTCACTCTATTGCCCAGTCTGGAATGTAGTGGCACGATTAAGGCTCACTGCAACTTCCGCCTCCCAGGCTCAAGCGATTCTCCTGCCTCAGCTTCCTGAGTAGCTAAGACTACAGGCATGTGCCCCATGCCCAGCTAATTTTTGTATTTTTTAGTAGAGACGAGGTTTCATCACATTGCCAGCCTGGTCTTGAACTCCTGACCTCAAGTGATCCATACTCCCCGGCCTTTCAAAGTACTGAGATTACATGCAGGAGCCAACACACACAGCCTAGTTTGTATTATTTTTACACTTAACGTTATGTCAAGAGAATTTACTGTCATGAAATACCCATTGAAAAAATAATTCTTAATAATTGCAAACATTTCATCCAACATAAGAGCCATCCCCTACTTTGACATATTTTTCCCATACTTCAATTAAAAATCATATTATGATAAACATCCTTATAGCTACATTTTGCTCCAGATTTCTGAATGGAATAAACAGTGAAATTTTTCCTTAGGATGTGTAGTGAACCAAGCAATTAATCAAGAAGAATTCCAGGACAACAAACTTGAGCATTTCATAAGTGCCAGATGCTGGGTTCATGGGGACCAAAAGCTATGGGCACCATTTTCTGAAGGGCTTTTGCAATAAACTATTTCCCAAATTGTATCACTCCCTACTGCCCCTACCTTAGTCCAAGGGACTCCTACCGTTGTTTCCTAACTGGTCTTCTGTCCCTAGCCTCCTCGGTCCCAAATTTAAAAGTAAGTTCTGGCACATAGCAAGCATTCAATAAATGTCCCTTCCACACACATTTTTATCTCTCACCCTGTAGACCTGTTGGTGCTCATAAATATGTTCCAAATGTTTTCCTTTGTCCAATTAGGCTGGAAGTTCCCTGACACAGATCTCCCAGTCTGTCTCTCTCTGCAGCCCATCACAGCTTCCAGCAAAGACCTCTTCCTTTGGGAAGAGGGATTTTATGGAGTTCTAGAAGAACTGATTATATACATTTAGAAAGGAGTCAAGACCTAAACCAATAATCAAGCCAATCTCCAAGGGAAACGCTACTCAGAGAACCTTAGAAATGGCTATGGCTTAAGCCAGAGTTGTCATCAAATTTAGAAAATATATTAAAAACACAGTTTTAAAACCATCATCCTTTTATTCAGGGATAAGCATCTCACCCCATCTTCTGCCCTTTTGCTGATTTTTCAGCTTTGAAAGAGACCACCCAAGTTGTAAAGTCTCCAGCAGCAGTCTGATCAGTTCTGGTTTAGGGTGGCTCCCAGTAATCAGTTTGAACAGAATCCTCAAACTACATTCATTTCCATGTCTTCTTTAAAGGGAAAACAAAACAAAAAAAAAGTGAAAATACAATGTCAAAGAATGCTCCCAGTGGCAAGGCACAAGACATCTGCACTGTTCCACTACCCTATGGGGCAACCCTTAAGCCCTGCTCCCTTCCTGGTATTCTAAGGTATCTTTCTTAGAAGGAAATCTGTCCTTACTCTTATGTTGTTATTCCCTGCATCAGATATTCCACCACCCCAGCAGCAAGAGCTCTGTGACATGATAATGATGATAGTTTATTTATGGTTCACATCTACTTTCTCATTGGATCCTTACAACAAGGTAGCTAGAGCAAGCATTATTATACCTGTAAAGTGCAGACGCAAATACTGAGGTTCAGAATATGTTAGCAGCTTGGCCAAAGCCTTGGAGTTAGGAAGAGGTTCAGTCAGACTCTACCCAGCCAATGGGCACTTTGGTGTAAACGTGACGCATCCTGGTTGGCGGGGGGCCACCACCTCTTTTTCCTTGCCTCAAGCTTTGCCCCTCTAACTGGTGAAGAATCATGTCTCTCACTGGCCCTTGTGGAGAAGCCACATGGACAACCAGGGTAAATCTCTCAAGATCTTTGAAGGCAAAAATATTAGTCATTCCAGGAGTTGGCATTGTAGACCTCACTCCCTTCCAGGCAGCCCCTGCAGAGTTGAGGGGCTCCCTGGATACCTGCTGCACTGCAATCCACATCATCATCTCATCCTGAGACTTTTCTTCAAAATATCCCAACTGGTGCTCTGTTTCTCATCATAACTCCCTCCAATCCTTCTTCCAACCAAGTTATCTTTGTTTTATCTCCTCACTCTCCTATTTTAAATCTTCAGTGGAGCTCCATCCCCTGCATGAGGAGGTAGACACCTTAGGCTCGCATTAAAAGCCATCTGCATTGTGCCCCTTCCCTATAGGCCACTCCATCCCCACACTTTCCATACATGGACTGTGATGCTGCTCTTTCTTCACCCTAAACCCTCCTCACATACTGTTCCTTAAGGCTTCTGAGCCTTTCTCAAGTCCTACTCCCTTCCTGGAATTTCAAACCTCTGCACCTTCAAAACCTGCTTTAAGCTCTACCTCTTCCATTCATATCCTCTAAGTGAACCAGACTTCCCCAGCTTCTGCACACTCTGATGTCCTGAGGAACTGGTCCACTGCTCCACTCACATCACCTCTGAACTATAAGCTGCTATTTACTATAATGAGGATCTTGTGTCTGTGTGACTCCCCAGTTTGCTAACAAATTCCTTGAAGACCAACACTATGCCTTAAAGACCAAGCAGCTTACCGCCAAGTACAGAACAAGTGTTCAAAAGTCCTCACTGGATATGTAGATATGCAGATTGAGGCTAGGACAGCAGGTATGAAATAGGGAGACTGGAATAGAGTCACACAATGTGGTTAATGATAAGGCCTTGGGGAACTCTCTTTCTCCTTCCTGAGCTCATGCTACTCATTTATAAAATGAAGAGATTAGACAAGATAACCTCAAATGCTTCTTCAAACTCTATGAATCACCAAATATGTGGGATAGATGGGAAATTTTCAACTGTGAGACCAAAATAATTTTGAAGGCCTTAGTAATTATATTGAAGAACTGCTTTTTCACCAAATGTTGACCATGCCTCCTGCAAATCCACTGATTTTTTTTTTTATTAAGCCCACCAGACTCAATGGCCATAATGAGATCCACACACTTGTCAGGTGCTGAAGGCATTTGGCCTTTGGCCTTCATCTCACCAGCCCCCAGCACATGGGAGTGGGCCACGACTTTCACACACGTGTTCCCTCTTACCTAATCTTTTAAAAGGAAACACAGCATTATAAAATTTAGAGAGAGGCAGGAAGGGAGAAGACAGGGGGTGGAGAAAACAGAACTTGAGAAATAATTTTCCAACCAAGAAAATAATATCAAATACATGGGTCGTTAAACTGAAAAGCCATTCTGAATCTGGAGGACTATTTTCTTGAATGTCTGGGATGTAGCGGTTATAACATGCATACTCCACTTCTATCTGAACATAAATAAAAGGTTTATAAGTGAAGCATATTTGTCAGGCACCAAAACAGTGATAATTAAATTCATGGGGCATGTATGCATTACAAAAAAACCAGAATCGCAGCAGCTTGAGATCTTATAAAGTAGCTGATTATCATCAAAACTATAATTACTCACGAGCCCAAGGAATGTACTCCAGGCCTCCTCAGACTTGTCTAGTATCAGACAAGAGAGCACCATAATTATATTTCATATTTTGAGCCAACCCTAAAAATGTATGTACAGAGGGAAATGACACAACTCTCTGTGCCCTCTGAGGTAAATGCAGATACTAAAACTTGTCTTAGAGGAAAACAGTAAATCTTTATTGATCTAAAACTTTTTAAAAATCAGGAAAATATTCACAGATGTCAAAGTTTCATTAAGTTTTAACTTAATGAAAAGGTGAGTGAAATTATAAGTGAGAAAAGTATGTTATTTAAGATGCAAATTATAGTAATAAAATTAGGTAGGTAGATGGTGAAAGACTCAACTCCCATCATTACAGAATATAGGACAATTTCATCACAAACATAAAAGTTTTATCAATTGGAGTCTATAAATTTTGCAAAGAATTTTAATTCAACTATTTCTCTTGATTCCAATAATATCTGAGCAGTAAGCAAAGCAACCTTATTTAACCGCCCATAAACCTGAAATCATAAGAGGTAAAGTGACTTACCCAAGATCACACAGTTGCTTAACAATGGGGTTGCTACTAAAGTCTGAGCTCTCTGTGATCAAACATCTATCTTACTCTCCCACTTCACCCTCTGGGGTTGAAGCCATGTTGATTGATTTCTTGCTTCTGTAAGCTCTTGGCTAGAAAAAGCTAATACATTTATATGGGATTTGGATCCAGCACAAATTTTTTAGTGTCTACCTAAGCAGTCTAAAAAAGCACTTTCACCTACTTAATCTGTGGAATATCAAAACTCTAAAAACTTCCCATGAAGATTAATTAATTTTTTTCTAGCGTCACATGTCTAAAACCTCAAAATGCCATTGCAGTGATCTGTAATAATAAAGTACCACAATAATTAAATCTTTAAAATCACTCCAACATGGGATTCCTAAGTCTGAACCACAGTTCTGCCACTCGTTAGCCATATGACCTTAGGCAAATGATTTAACTTCTCCAAGGCTCAGTTTTCTAACCCTAAAAATGGGACAATACCTATTCATCCAGCACGCAAGAAATTTCTTGTTGCACGGTAAGGGATCAACAATTGTTAGTTTTCTCCCTTCCCTTGCTCAAGTCTTTTTAAAATTTCATTTGTTAAAATAATGATTGTTTTTCTAGGATCATTGTGCTCAAAAACCACTCGACTATTGCATTAATTGATTTTTTATTCAGAATCTTCCTGTGATACTATCCATTCATTCACAAATATTTATGTGCAGCCACTGTTCTGAGTACTGGTCATATGGTGGTGAACAAAACAAACAAAGCTTTGGTCATCAGAGAGCTTCCATTCAACAAACTGGACAACTTCTTGGCTTTGGTCAGTATTTCCACATGTGGAGGGTAAGCAACTTCACTGGTAAAAGCCAGAAGACTCATCCTGTGACTTGGCCTTACCAGACGCTCTCTGGTCCACTCACTTTCTCCAAGGCAAAGATCAGATCCCTGGGAGGCATGCTCCCTGATGCACAGAAAGGTAGCAAGCGCCTGCCGTGGACTCCTTTGCGGCCACTATAGCAATCTGACTCTGCTCCAGGGGACTTGGTCGCTGGGGTCAAGTTCTTATCCAGTCCCATACGGTACCCCCACCAACAATGGGGGGGACTTGGAGGTGACTTGGTGTCCCTGACAGCTTGCCCCAAAGTTGGGTTTATCCTAAGTGTGGTTCTGAGTCAGCTCTCCTGACTTTTCCTAAATGACAGATGCATTTCCAGCAAATGAGAGGTGGTGACAAATTACATCACCTCAAAAGCCCCGACTTATGCCAGCATCCTCTCCCTTCCCTCTCTGCCACAGGGCTTACTTCCAAGTGGCCTTTATGAGCTAAAACAAAACAAAAAGCCAGCCAAGTCTGCCAAAGTTGTGTGGCCTCCCATGCCCCTTAGGTCTGTCCATATTCTAAGACCTGGCCTGGAGTCCCTGGGGATGCCCAGCATCAAGCAGGTTACAGCAGGGGACAAGCCACGAAAGCATCTGTGTGGCAGCATGATCAGGCCCATTTTTTCCTTTTTTTTTCCCTTCTCAGTGGCTCCTAACCAAATCATTCTCTAGGTTTGAAAGGGCTCTGCAGGAATGCAGAGAAAAGGACGGTGACTCAGAAGATGGTGACCGCGTCATCTGCTTTGCATTGTCGAGTACATTTTTCACATGTTACTGGGTGAAGTTAGCAATAAAGGGCACCAAATGCTAGAAATAGAACAAAAAGAGATAAAGAAAGGGGAAAAAAAAAGAAAAAATTCTTATTTCCTCCAGAGAAATCTGTCTTGATTCAGGACCACTGGTGTTATAGGAAAAATCATTTTGCTTTTGAACAGCTCTTTCTGACTCACTTGTTGGAAAGAATGTGCTGAACAAATAACCCCCTTCTCCCCCCAAACAGCTTTGCTGAAATCCGAATGCTCTAAGTTCTCCTTGTTGACTTGTGAAAGAGATCTCTCTATATTCATTTGGGCTCTGTGCACGTCACATGATACCAATACATTCCAAATGCTAAGATACAAGATTACTACTTAACCATAGAACAAACCAACAGGAATTTTAATCAAGACAATATCCAATAATGAATAAAGATGGAATGTTTTGGAAGGATTCCAGAATACACATTTGGGAATTTTTAATCTTGCTCGTCTTTGAATCTAGCAAAAATACTTTAAACTTTTCTGACTATGCCATTTTAGGCTGCATCCAGAAACCAGCTACTATCTAAGGTATTAAAGCGTTTCATCTGCACAGACATTGAATTTCCAAATCTATTTCAATAATTGATACCAGATTAACTGAAATATGAATCAACAGACAACTTTCTTTAAAGACATTCTATAAGCTGAGTTATTTTATGATATAAAAGATGAAAAGAAATCAAGATAATAGTGATCATTATGTGGCAAGAATATTTCTATATTTTAGGATTTGTTTTATTTTAATGTTTGTATTCAGACCAGGTTTATTTGTAATAGTTTATCACATTGCTTCATTAAGCCATACTCAGCTATTGGTGGCCAAACATTTAGCATGAGTTTGAAGGTTATCTGAATCATCACTAAATGTAAAGGAAGCTCTTTTATAACAATAATTAAAATCAGCTGTAACTTACCCAAAATGAGAATTTTGGCATATTTTAACTGGTTTTGAAAGAGTTATGGCTGTAAGAAGGCAGTGGCCTAGTAATGAGTTTACAAGTTTAGGATACTGAGGCTCTTTTTCCTGATGGGTGGGGATTTTCCACACCCACCCTGACAGCTACCACCAAATGGAACCAAGACAATTCCCCTTCCACAAGGCTGCTTTGAGCACTGGTGTTTGGGTCTTTGAAAGGGACCAAGCTATGGCTGGAAAAAAGATGCTAAAAGTGGAACATAGATTAAACGTGACACGTTACACTATAGGAAAGGTATTTGTGAAGACCATGCAGTAGATCAAAGACTCCACTGCACTTATTTTTGTCTTCACACACCTACTAAACCTGTATTTCTGCTGATTAGTGAAATTCTAGCTCTTTGACAATCCCAGGACCCTAAATTGATATATCATCCAGCAGCATTAAAATGTTGGTTTTGCATGATTAAAAGTGTGGGTGCACAATTTCACTGGGAGGAATGAGAGTCGTGAGCCATTTAAAGTAAATCAAGACTAAACAAGGAAAATGAGAAAAATGGCCTGTGCAATTGCCCGGTTAGTCATCTCAGTATCCCAGCTGAAGGGGAGATTAGAACTAAGGTCTGAGCTGGGGATATTTCCCAGGGGTGGATGCTAGTTTTAGGGCAGATTCTCTGGCATACTCTGATTAAGCCACTAATTTGGGTCAGAAGGAGGGAAACAGAGCTAGTAATGCATTTCTGAGTCCATCTCAAGAGAGTAATTGATCAATGTCTGCTTTATTTCTTTTTCACTTTATGTATTTGTTTTCCAAAAAAAAAAAGGGAATTATTTTCAAATCATTTTGAATATTACAGATTTTATCTGGGTATCCTAACCAAGAATTCCAGATAGAATCTAGTATATACAGTGAAAGTTAAAACACTGAATAACTGTAAGCCAGAGAACAAACTCATCCCAGAAAAGATTTTACAGTATTCCCAGAGAATAGGAGACGCTAATAGAGTTATATATGTTTTAAGAGGTAGATACAATCACGTGTGCACAATATAAAACAGAAGGTTTTTAATGATTGAAAAAGGAGGGGAAAAAACGCTATTTGGTAGTAGCTTGGTGAACTTTGGCTGAACTTCTCTGTTTGGCAGGCTCTGGTGCGGACAGTCTAGGATGAGGCATTAGGGCTCGCATCTGAGAAGTTGACATCAAGCAGACAGCAAGACATGATATCTTATTTTCCTGAGCCATGCTGACACAAATTGAACTCCCTTATTATTTTCTTATGCCTGTAAAGTTGCACTTGGAATTTAAGCATTTTGTGTGCAGATGTTGAGGGCCGGGTTGGTTTAATTTAAATAATTTGCAGATTGTTTAGTAGCACTCCAAAGACGGCAGTGTTCTTCATCTGAGTTCAATTTTATGAGCTTTGGTTTCTGATCTTCTGCAAGGTAAAACTGGAGCTTTAAAAAACCCCAGTGCTCTAAAGACCCTGCTGCTGCTGCTGTTGCTGCTGCTGCTGGCTTTGTCATTGGAAGAAAATGAAGACCCGGCAATGTTGTCTCTAATTTGCTCAACTTTTTACTTTCCCTGGTTCTTTACTTTGGAAAAAACAAAGTGCCTTAGGAAGAATTGGATGGGGGCTGGGAGGATGCACTGAGATGGTAAAGCATCAAAATCAAAAATCAGAAATAATGAGGACTGACTTGTTATAAAATACTTGTTCCCGTCTCTCTGACTATAGAATCACTTGGTTTCCAATTTTTTCCGGGCCATAGCAATTATGCATTTGCACTGTTTATGCAGCCCCTTCTCCATCAGACATTTCTTTCACTGATGTTTACTTACCCACTTTTTCTAAAGATTATATGTGACCTCCCTGGAGCCCAGGCATAGATGCATGATTGTATTCCCATTTATATACGAGTCAATTGCCTTCATTCTCCAGCGTAGGATTTGTTTGCCCAGCTAGGCCCCACATACTAAACAAAATGAGGGAATGCTTCTTGGAAGAAAGTAAGATGTCAGTGTACATTACAACCCCCCTGGGGTAAATGGAGAGCATTCATAAAGACTAAAGAAATATGCTTTATAATGAAATGTACCTCATATAATTTATGACCCAATACTCAGAGATGAGTTTTTCTCTTTGGGAATGTATGTCTGTATGTGAGAGAGAAGACAGTCTGTGATTATATAAAATTCTTAATAATAATCTGGGGAAAATATGTTCTTTCTAGTTTGGGCAATGACCAAAAGTGATTTGCAATGACCTCTATGAGTTCCCAAAGAGGATGTGAAGTTCTCCCCTTTGTCCACTGCGGTCATAGTGCTGGGTGTGGTCATGGCTTTGACCTTAGACACAGAGAAATCTCTCTCCCACACAAAGGGGAGGGGAGAGTGGGATATGCAGAAAGAGGTGAATGGTATGTTGGCGTGGGGCTGGGGAGTGCGGGTACATGTGTTAGAGGGGAGAGATCCATTCTTCCCTTCCAGCTGCAGTTGTCTCTGAGCTCTGGTCCCTAAACCAGCCCTCAGCTGTGATGGACTAAATTGCAAGAGAAAAAGACCCACAGTTGGAGTTGAAAGTAGTGAGGTGTCAGCACAGAGTCTCTATTTCTCCCTTGTGATGGACAAGTAAGAGTGGCTCTGACCAAATTCTTTTTTCTCTAGAAAACACCAATAAAACATGTTTTTGCATTAACTACCATATTGAAAATTCTCACAGAGGCCTCAATTTTGACCTTTTGAATAAGAATTGAGGTAACTTTCCTACCAATGCAGCTAATGTGGCAGGAATTACAGTTTATCATAAGGTTTTAGAGTTGGAAGTGATCATAGCAATAATCTAGGCTGAGCCCCTCATCGTTCAGATAAGAAACTGACATGTGAGGAGGAAACATGACTCAGCCAAGGTCACATGGCTTGTTAGTCGAAGGGTAAAGCCCAGAGGCCAGGGCTTCTGATACCCTGCCCAGTCCTCCTTCCTTTCCTGCTTCACCCAAGATGACCATTGCGAAAAAGGAGGGACAGAGGTCTCCATGCTGTACCAGGAAAGAAAGTCCAGAGATTGCTAACCCAGCTTGACAAGTGAATTGATCTGTAAGTCCTCTTTCTTGCCACATCCAACCCAGAAAAACTCAAACAAAGCCCCACCTGGCCAGAACACTGAGGTAAGGTGAAGGACTCACACACCTGGGGGCATCACTAGGGCACAGCTCCAGCTCTTCTCTCCCACTAAGTCACCTTAAGTCTTAGCCTGGGTTCTCCAGAAAGGTGAGCCTAGGGGAAGGCTTGCCGGCTATTACTTTACCAAGACTGCAACCCAAGGGATCAGGAGTGGAGGAATATGGAGACAAAATTGGGAAAGTAGACACAGTCCATATGTAGGTGTATCACTAAGAAGAAGGGGCCGATTGATGCTTTGCTCTGTCCATGGGACTGCGACCCCTAGAAGTCACATAGGCTGGTCTCCAGACTATCTCTAATGCGGGAAGCGAGGACAAATGTATCCACTGGACCTCACCTTCCTTAGATGGAAAACTTGCTTCTGCACTCTGGTTTGTGCGTGTGTGGTCATGAGCACAGAGCATGAGCACTGATGTTGTTCCCAAGAAAATATCAATAGGGAAGACTGGCACTGCACTCGAGAGGTGAGAACCACCTGTCAGGGACCAGACGCTACTGACCCTTACAAGGCTGGACCAAGAAGAAGGCGAGGCCCAGAGGCTCAGAAGGGATGCAAAAGAGGTGTGTGACATACCCTGGGAAGTGAATTCTGCCCTTTAACATGCCCTCTCACTATAAATGTAGATGAAGACATCGACAAAGACATGGATGTAGACAGGTGAAAAGGAAATAATTCCCCAGAGAGAAAGTTTATAAAAGAACACAATTCAACCCTCTCTGTGTGTTCATCAGTCCTATATGTTCAGTTAATACCAAATAAATGCTAGTTGAATAAAAGAATAAGTGCCAACTTGTAGATTAGATGACTCCATAATGAAAAGTAAGCCAAAGCAAATTAAGTCACAAACACAATATGCTGTATAAATGGTTTTGTTGCAAAGGACATCAACAGACACTTTTTAAAAGAAGACACGTGGCCAACAATCATATGAAAAAAAGCTCAACATCACTGATCATTAGAGAATTGCAAATCAAAACCACAATGAGATACCATCTCATAGCAGTCAGAACAGCTATTATTAAAAAGTCAAAAAAAAAAAAAACCTGATTCTGGCAAGGTTGTGGAGAAAAAGGAACACTTATACACTGTTTCTGGGAGTGTAAATTAGTTCAACCACTGTGGAAGACAGTGTGGCGATTCCTCAAAAACCTAAAGACAGAAATACCATTCAACCCAGCAATCCCATTACCCAAAGGAATATAAATCATTCTATTATAAAGACACGTGCACATATATGTTCACTGCAGCACTATTCACAATAGCACAGACATGGAATCAACTTAAATGCAGATCAATGATAGACTGGATAAAGAAAATGTGGTACATATACACCACGGAATACTATGCAGCCATAAAAGAAAATCAGATCATATCCTTTGCAAGGACATGGATGGAGGTGGAGGCTATTATTCTTAGCAAACTAATGCAGGAACAGAAAACCAAATACCACATGTTCTCACTTATAAGCGGGAGCTGAATTATGAGAATACATGGACACATATAGGGGAACAACACACACTGGGGCCTACCAGAGGGTGGAGATTGGAAGGAGGGAGAGGATCAGGAAAAATAGCTAACGGGTACTAGGCTTAATACCTGGGAGATGAAACAATCTGTACAACACACTCCCGTGGCACAAATTTACCCATGTAACAAACCTGCACATGTACCCCTGAACTTAAAATAAGTTAAAAAAAAAGTGATTTTGTTTTGCTCCATCCTTTACTTTTACTTTTTTAAAAAAAATAGCTTTGATGGCCGATTTTTAAAAAACCTTTCAATTACATCCATGATGGCCAATGTTTTGACATCATATAAATCCCCTCATCCCTTGTCAAGTGCTAAAGTTCAAAGTGATTGATACAACTGATGTCACCAACATCCCGCAAGGAAAAAGAAATCATTAAACAACTTTTATCCCAATACCAGAAACTCCCCCAGCAGAATCTCTCCAGCTTATCCTTCAGCCTTCAAAGTACCTCTACTTTGACCTTAGTAAGAGAATCTTGAGTTTGATTTGCTTTACTGGTGAGGATTCTGTAAGCAATTATGTATGAGAGAAAAGTTCTCCAGCTCAAAAATACTTGAAAACCACAACGCCAGCTGATTGCTAGATTGCTATTGTCTCACCCTCTCTAATAACCTAAGATTTCAATAAGATAGTTATCAGGAATGGGAAACCAAGACAATTACGTGATCTCCAAAGGATGTATCCATGGAGGCATGACTACTTTAGAAAAATTTCTGTTGGTTCGGGGATGGCAGAACCATATGGCTATTTGGAACAGATTGCTAACTTCCAGGACTATGATCAAGGGGGATCACTGTGTTCTCCCCAACATCTTTCTTGGGTGCTTCAATTAGAGACAGAAACCCAGAGTGTGAGAGCTGAGATGGCCTTTTAAAGATGCCATGTCATTTAACTTTGTGGTATGAATTGAATTGTGTCCTCTCCAGAGATATATTGGAGTCCTCACTCCCATTATCTCAGAATGTGACCTCACTTACAAACAGGGTCTTTACAGAGGTAATCATGTTAAAATGAAGTTACTGGGGTGAGCTATAACCCACATGACTAGTGTCCTTATAAAAGAGATTTGGACACAGAGACATGCATGCTGGGAGAAAGCCATGTGATGATGAAGGCAGCATGAGGCAACATATTTACAAGCCAAGGAACACCAAGCCATCAGCAGCTAGGCCAGAGGCATGGAACAGATTCTCCACCACAGCCCACAGAAGGAATCAGCCCTACTGTCACCCTAATCTCAGACTTGTAGCCTCCAGAACTGTGAGACAATGCATTTCTTTTATTCTAAGCCACTCAGTTTTTAGCACTTTGTTATAGCAACCCTGGGAAACAAATATACTGCCCCTATCTATTGTGCTGTGGAAGTAAATGCAGGTAACTGAGGCCGAGAGATTAGAAGTGGCAGGCCCAAGGTCACAAACCAAGTTATAGCAGAACAATCAGGAGTCCCTCCTCACCCATGAAGCCGGATATCCATGAGGCTGACCCAAGGGAGCCATTCCTGTGTTTTCCAGTATAAAACACTCATGCTGCAATATGGGTAAACAGAAGTCCATAGGAGAAGATCTTTCCTCCTATATTCCCTTCAGAGGAAAGAGAATTAACCCCATGTCCTCTCAACAGGACAGAGCTAGCACATCTTGAAAGCAGCACCCTTAGGCCTCCCCCTCATATTCTCTCCAGCACCCTCCTCACATTATTGATGACTAATCAATCGATCAGCAAACACACAGCTACTTTGATGGTTCATGTTCCATTCCGTGGCCCACTAAAAGAATGGCTGACTTTTTAAAATGAACAGAGTGATCTGTGCTGAAGACAGCTAGAAACACCAAAATGGTGGGGGGGGGGTGGGGAATAACAGTGGAGGTGTGGATTGAAAGTGGAAGAAAACTAAGACAGCTAGTGGGCATTTCCTGGCATGCCCCATGGTGGGTAGAGGGACTCGACTGTGGTAGCCTGGAAACTCAAATTGAGTCCAGCACTAGATTTATAAAATGGAAATGTCTGGCTGGCCCTCAGCAATGTCCCTTAGTTAACAGATAGCTCTGGGTGCCTTGCCAAGCCCTTGCTGACCAGTCTATCAGGAGATCCCAAAATGAGTTGGAGTGTCTCCTTATCTGGGGAGCAAAGGAAGGAAAAACTACAATTTACATTGTCAAATAACTTCCAACCCAATGGGAAGATTCACTCTCCATCCTCAAGGAAGGCTCAGTTTGATGTAGTGGAGAGAGTGTGGCTTTTGCCGGCAATCAGACCTTGGTAGGAATTCCAGGCCCAGCATTTAAAAGTCTGGCTTAGCTACCTTCATGGTAAATGGAGAGGTGCACCACCAAGACCCCACTTCACAGAAGGATTTTGGGGGTCATGCCTTTCCTGGGACAACCACATCTGGTGACTGGTCTAGGTATGGATACAAAGACCTAGTCATTTCAGCCTGACTTAAGACATCCTGACGGGCAAGCACTATGCAGTTTGGCCAGTGCTTCATTGGACCTACGTTGCAATTGCCTCCTCCTTGTTTCTTCTCTCTTCCTTTTTCAGGTGTTGATCTCTAACAAACATCTGCACCCCAAACTCCAGCACCTTGCTTTTGGAGAACCAATGCCAACCCCACGAAGCGCCACTTGTAAAGACAGAGCAGCAGTGGTTTTTCTGCAGGGATATTAGTGGGGAGAAAATGATCACAGATATGGAGCTTCCTACACTGTGGCTGGCACAGTGGCATGCTTGTGAAAGTTCCTGTCCCTTCTTTTCTTTCTTTTGAGACCGGTGCTGACTCTGTCACCCAGGCTGGAGAGCAGTGGTGTCCTCATAGCTCACTGCAACCTTGAACTCCTGAGCTCAAGTGATCCTCTTGCCTCAGCCTCCCAAGTAACTAGGACCACAGGTGCATACAACCATGCTCAGCTAATTTTTAATTTTTTTTAAAAAAGAGAGAGTCTTACTATGTTGCCCAGGTTGGTCTTAAACTCCTGGGATCAAGCAATCCTCCTACCTCAGCCTCCCAAAGTGCTGTGAATATAGGTGTGAGCTACTGCACCCAGTCTCCTTTCTTTTTTCCCCTCTGAAAAGCCCTGATGTTGTTGGGCATAAACATGTTGACCCTTAGGCTTCTCCGCCTCACTGGTGCCCCCTGGACAGCAATGGGGCAGGCAGGTGGTGGCACTGTGGAGTAGGCTTGATGCTGCCATCACCTCTGCCAGGAGATGAGAAGTGGGTTATTCAAAGAAAAGAAAGACAAGACAGACTCATGTGTTCACAATGCAGGAACACAAAAGCCTCTGCCACATAGGCTGCAAAGAAACCTGTTGCAAACTCTGTCTTCTGAGTTCAGCACAGCAGCTGCTTATTTTTCAAAATAATTGATGAAATTCAGCACAATTAAAATGCAGTCTCTTAAAGGTGTGATCAGAATCTCTCTCCAAATTTGACTTAAGACTCAAGATGCTTTCTCTATCAAATGATTTGCTGGAGGATTTGGGAACCAGCCTGGTGGGCTGCCTTTCCTGGGAATGCCCCTATTAAAACTGGGTCCGAGATGGGGAAAAGGAGTCAACCAACAAGATGAATCCAGGATAGAAAATCCCACCACACAGTACAGTAGTTCTCTGGGTGACATCCAGCCTAGTTTAATAAACAAACCAGTTTCCATCTGATAGTTATTAAAGCAAGGGAATTAAAAGAATTATTGGTCGTATTGTACTCCCACATGTCCTCAGAACCAGTACAAAGATGAGAAGTTGAATGAATGTCAGCATCCATGCCTTGGAATCTCAGAGATGGAGCCAAAGCTCCACTGGCTGGAGAAGCCACAGCACCCCTCTCTCCTACCCAGTGGATCCTCTGAGAAAGGTTAGTCTCAGACCTCAGCTGAGATGAGGTTGCCAGTAATGCAAGGATGTTAAGTCTGGAGAAAATGTGCTCAAGCCCATTTCCAAGGCTTGAGAATTGTGTTTTGAACTGGAACCCAGCCTTAATGAAGTTCCACCAAAGGACAGAGGCCTTAACAGAAGGCCAGATAGAAGAGTAAATCCTTGAAGTCCTTGGAAAATAAGGTTAAGTGGTTCTTTATATTAGGAGGCACTCAATGAAGAAGGATTGTCAGAACAGCAAAGTGGAACAGAGAGAAGCTAGGTTAGGTAGCTGGAAGATAAAGAAAGTTGAGAGGGAGTTAACTTTGGTAACAAGAAAAAAATTTCCAACCAGTAACCCAGAATTGGAAATCTTGCCTGGGAAGGGTCAAGGCTCAGTCATCAAATTTGGCCTCATCAGGTGCAAGGAGCAAAGCAGTTTTGGGGGTGGGGTTGGAAAATGAGCGGTGAGGAAGAGGTTCACTAGCAGAGCAAGCCTTCCTTAGTGCTGAAGGGGGAAATGCTCCAGTGGGGAAAAAAATTCAGCAGGAACTCAGCCATGAGACCCCTGTCAACATAAAGAGGATCATCTGAGACCACAGGACCTGAAACAAGGCCCCTCACAGGCATCCACCATTCTTTAGGGAGAATAGTCTGCAAGGAGAGATGCAAAACATGGGCAACGTGGAGTGGGAATGAAGTGAGGAGGAAAGAGGTGGGGAAGAGAACAGGCAGGGCTCTATAAATAACCCAGGAAACCACAAAATCAGTATGTAAACAGATGTATGCAGTGGTTTCCTCACATCTCCCAAGAAATACCAATGTCAGGGCAGCCGCAGCAGCCCCTGGACCCCACACTCTTATCCAAGGTAAAGGTCTGGAAGGTGGCAGAACTGGTTCCTACCCCAGTCCTGACTCTCCTGTGGACTTTCCAGGACAAGGGAAAGGGTCCCAGAACAGAATGGGACCCTATGGCAAAACAGTCTCCCCACACACCAAGACAGCAGTATGATGGAAAACTGTTTTCGTCCTGGTGTCCAACCCTAGTACAGAAAGGTGTGTAGAGAAGTTTCCTCTCCCCACTGGGAGAAGAGATAGGGAGGGGAATTTGCTGAAACAACTGGCTCATGAAACCAGAGTTCTAAAGGAAATTCCAGCTGTCAAGGAGCCCCTGAGTGAATGGCAGAAAAGGATCCAAGCATCTTTGTTTTGCTTGCATGGTTTGCCCAGGGCTGCCCAGTGACCTAGGTCCCTAGAAGGATGGGTTTGGCAGGGGGTGTAAATATCCAAGTCAGGGGAAGCAATTAGGCAAACGACAGCTCCGGGTACCTATACTGATGGAAGATAGCTGCACCGAGAAACCAGCTGAACAAAGATGCTCCCCAGGGGAGCCAAGGAGACTGGGCATCAGGGAGGCAACGCTGGGGTGACCCTGAGAGCCCCCCTCATGGAGGCGGGGAGACATCACTCACTGTCAGGGTGTTTCCAGGGGGCAGAAGCGCAGACCTGCGGGCTGTGCCAGCCCATGATTACCCACTCCCACTCCTGCACTTTTAAACTCCTGTGGTAGGTGTTCATCAGTAACTCATTTTAAACTCCTGTGGTAGGTGTTCATCAGTAACTCATTTCCTGACTTTTCAAAATTAATATGTGCTTGTTAGCGCTGCCCTAAGTCAATGCATCATGTTAATTACACTTGGCAAATGAGAAATCGTGTGTTTGGGAAAGCAAGTTGGTGCAGGGAGCTGGTTATGACTGATGAGTGTTGGAAATGTTTCGGGGAGGCAGCTGTGGGGCAACTGTGGGGCAACTGTGGAGCATCTTCTGGACCCAGAGTCCAAGAGCTTGGCAGTGAGCACCTTGCTGCCACTCACCTCCCTGGAAAGGCTCTGTGTGCACTCACCCGCTCTGAGGCTCGGGTGGCCATCTGTAGCATGAAGACCCCTGTCCTCACCTTCCAGGGCCATCCTGAGATGGCAAGCTAGGCACTCAAAACATGTGAGCATACAAGGTATCTTTGTTTTGCCCCCGGATCCATGCCACACCATCCTTCCACCCTGTTCTATGCTCCAGAAGCCTGACCTGCAGCAAGGGCTTCCCCTGCCCATGACTCTCAGCTGTGTTGGCCAAAGGTGAACAAATGGCCAAGTGTGAGCAGGTGATGGGAGGCAGGGAAGAGAGTAAGGCTGAGATATCCATTTCCCTGAGACTCCCTCCCTGTGGGGTCCCACAGATTAACTGCACCCAACAGAGGAGATCACCACTCCTGCTGGGCCTTTCCACACAGACCTCTCTGTTTCTACCTCCTGGTGATGGTGACTTCCCTTTGTGACTTCTCTATTCCCTGCCCACACCTTTGAAATAGTCTTCTTATTCACCTCTCCCTAGATAATCCCACCTTCAGGGTACTGCTTCCCACCACCCTGCCAGGACACTGACAAATATTGGAAGTTTTGCCATTCACAGGTTGGCTGGACAGACTTGGGGCAGAAAGGGCTGTCACTGTTATTCGCATTGTGGTCTGTGAGTGCCTGGGTGAGAGGTCTGCCAAGGCTGCCCCCACAGCCTTCTGCAGACAGAACCACCATGAGCAGCCCCCACAAGGCCTGGGAGTGAAAGAGGAAAGATGTAGTGCTCATAGGGTAGTCACACTGCTGCATCAGAAGAGGGTGAAGCAAAAGGAGAAAGAAGAGTGAGAAAGGCTGGTGATAGTGGAGGGAAAAACTTAAAAAGTGAAATCTGAAATTTAAAAAGGGGTCTGAGAGAAGGTAGTATGGAAGGCAACTGGTGTGGGTTTGTACAATGCTGGCCCCATCTGTGGCCAGGATGTGCCCTGGCCTGAATAGCATGAATTGAGGAGACACCAGAACGATCCTCTTGGGCTTCTCAAGGTGCCTGGATTTACACCTGCAGACAGCTTTCCCCCATGGGAGTATTTATTTATTTATTTATTTATTTATTTATTTATTTATTTAAGATGGAGTCTTACTCTGTTGCCCCGGCGGGAGTGTGCTGGCACGATCTCAGATCACTGCAATCTCTACCTCCCGTGTTCAAGTGATTCTCCTGCCTCAGCTTCCCGAGTAGCTAGGATTATAGGCATGTGCCACCATGCCCAGCTAATTTTTTGTATTTTTAGTAGAGACGGGGTTTCACCATGTTGGCCAGGCTGGTCTCAAACTCCTGACCTCAAGTGATCCACCCACCTCCGCCTCCCAAAGTGCTGGGATTACAGGCGTGAGCCACCGCGCCTGGCCAGGGAGTGTTTATTAAAGGCAAACAGCAATTTAAAAGAGTAAATTGGCAACCTTACTCCTTGGATCCTGTAGCATTCCAAGAAAGGGCCCTAGAGACTGGTTTTAGGGGGGCAAAGAAGCTATAAGAGGGCGGCCTGGTGGGCAGGGGCCCTTACCTACCATGGCACCAGCTCTTCTTTCATTAGAGAAAAAGAAATTTTAAAATATCACTGACGTTAAAGATACCATTAAGATCTTGGACTAATACATTTATAAGAGCCTATACCAGAGTTAAAAGACTGGGTCTCAGGACCTGTAGGTTTTACTAGGTGTGACAGTTTTAAAACATGACTACAAGTTCTTTGGCACCCTCCCATGGAGAGACAGGTCTACGTTGCCCCTCTCGATCCCCCTGGGGCTGTGATGAGCTTGACCAATGGCATATGACAGAATGTCTCTCTGATTTTCTTTCTTTTTTTTTTCTGAGGCAGAGTGTCGCTCAGTTGCCCACATTGGAGTGCAGTGGTGTGATCTCGGCTTACTGCAACCTCCGCCTCCCGGGTTCAAGTGATTCTCCCGCCTCAGCTTCCTGAGTAGCTGGGATTACAGGCATGTATCACCACGCCCAGATAATTTTTGTACTTTTAGTAGAGACGGGGTTTCACCATATTGGCCAGGCTGGTCTCGAACTCCTGACCTCAAATGATCCACCCACTTCAGCCTCTCAAAGTGCTGGGATTACAGGCATGAGCCACCACACCCAGCCTCTGTGATTTTCAAGAGTGCGTAAGAAAAGGACTTGCAGTGTCCTGGTTAATTACTGGACCACTCCTTCTTAAAGGCACGAGCCCCTGTGTAGGAAGACCAGGGACTTAACTGAGCTCCATGCTAGAGGGATGCTGGAAATCTTCTGATCAGCAGTCCCAGGTGAACCAGCCGTCAGCCATCCTGGCCAGGAGCTACCTGGAGTGAGGAGATCATCTCAGATGTGCCTCCTCTACTGCAGTGGCACACCAGCCTTGGCTGCCTGTGGTGTCCTCGACACTCCAACACAGTCCCTGCCTCTCCCCTTTCCTCGACCCACAATGCCCTTCCCCACCCTGCATTCACCTGAAATCTGTCCATTCTCCACAACTCAACTCCCAAGTCCCATGGCACCTCCTCCAGGCGTCTTCTCGGAAATCCCTGCCTCTGTGCTGCTGCTGCTGCTGCTGCAACCTATGCTTGCCCCTGTTGTAATACTTACCACCCATCCATCTTCTCTGCGAGCCTATGACCACCAAAGCAGACCTATCTTTTTCATCTTTGTCCCTCTCCCATCCAGTACCCGGGGCATAGTCACTCTTATTCCCTATTTGTTGAATAAATGAATGAGTATAGAACTTCAAACTCCACCCTCCCAACTGTGTGACCCTTAGGCAAATTCCTTTACCTCCCTAATCCCAATCATGCAGAGTTGATGTAATAGAGATAAAGTCAAAGTGGTAGCAATCATTATTATTACCTGAGTCCTATTTGCCAAAAATTATGTATGGCAGTGATCATGCAGCTTAGAAAAGTAGAAAGCAAAGGCCAGGATGCCCCAGGTTCTAAGGGGGGCCTGAGTATTGCATGCAGCCCTAAGGCTCACAAAGAAGCTGGAGAAAAAGGAGGCAGAGAAAGGGGAAGCAGAGGACACCTCTCTTCAAGGGCCAGCCTGCACCACTCTGTCAGCTGACTTCAGGAAGTTCAGCTGGCCTGACTGGCAAGGGGTGCAGGGGCCAAGAACATGGCCTTCACCTTCCAGCTAGAAGTCATGGGCCTCTTGGCATCTTCAGGCATCAGCATCATTCCCCACGATCAACTCCGGGGTCTTAATTTCTCACTATTTGCCTTTTGTACTCAGGTGTTGCTTCACATTCTTTGAGGAAATCCTTCTAATCCCACTCAGCTTTCTGCCTTCACAGAGCCTGCAGAGGGAAGTTGTGCAAAGTCAACAGGATGGTGGAGGGCGGTGACACAGCATCGAAGGTAATGGAAGGCACCTGCTGAGTGCTCCCTCCTCAGTGCCACTGCACTTGGGACAGGCCTGTCTTCTAGCGGGCAACAGGTTAAATTGTGTCATATGATTTTCACAAACACCTTGAAAATCCCCATTTTACAGATGAGCAAACTGAGGCACAGAGCCCTGAAAAAATGTTTTCAAAGTCACCCAGAGACTAGCAGTTGTCAGATCTAGGACTCAGACCCTGATGTGTCTTCTTCAGGGTGTGTTTGACACACTGAGCCACCTTGTCTCCCCAAATAAGTCAATGATATATGTGCAATGTTCTGCAGGCCCAGCTACACAAGGGCAGCACAAAATCCAAAAATCCAGTAAGATGAGGTTGGGGTAAGCCAGGCGTGGTGGCTCACTCCTGTAATCCCAACACTTTGGGATGCCGAGGCGGGTGGATCACGAGGTCAGGAGATCGAGACCATCCTGACTAATACGGTGAAACTCCATCTCTACTAAACATACAAAAAATTAGCCAGGGGCGTGGTGTCGGGCGCCTGTAGTACCAGCTACTCAGGAGGCTGAGGCAGAAGAATGGCGTGAACCCAGGAGGCGTAGCTTGCAGTGAGCCGAGATCGCACCAATGCACTCCAGCCTGGGTGACAGAGCGAGCGAGACTCTATCTCAAAAAAAAAAAAAAAAAAAAGATGAGGTTGGGGTAGAGATGCAACTTAGCAGAGAAACCCAAGGGACTAGGTCTGGCCATGAGCCTGAATGGAAGGCCCAAGCTATTGGCCCATTACCCTGTTTCTCTGTTCTTTGCAGGCACAGGTGTCTCTGGGCTCATGGGGGTTACCAAAGCCAGAGGAAGATTAAAGGTCCATAGGCCACCCTGTTCCAGGATGAGGCAGGGTTAGAGAGTGAGGATTACTACATTACTTTTCTGTAAAGAATCTATTCTTTAACCAAGAATGTGATTATTTCCTTCCATGGAATATTCCAGCAGCATGATATGAAGATAAGTGGGTATCTAGAATTTCACAAGTGTTTAACCTCTCTGTGCCTCTCTTCCCACATCTGTAAAAAGGGGCTCATCATGGTATCCATCTCACAGAGTTGTTACAAGAACTAATCTAGTTGATAGGTGCAAAGTGTTTGGAATAATGCTTACTACACAGTAAGCACAATATATGTATACTGTTATTATATTTTCTTCTAATGCTTTCATTTTTATGAATTTTAAAAATAATTACATATTAGTGATTGTAGTCTTCTCAAAATACAGACTAATTTTGATGGATGTGGTTGTAACCTATTTTTCAAATAATTGCTGCTTTAAATTGAATACTATCTCCCAATAACTTGACAAGTGGCATATTTATTGATGTCCTAAATTTTGTGTGTTTTTTTCTCAGTCATGTCTAACTTAATTATTTTATTCAGACAGTGAAAAATACTCCATCTGACAGACTGCTAACTACATAATTGCTTTAAAGTAAATCTTAGCAGGTGAATTTTTTTTTCCAGTGGTAACATGCGTTTTCTGATGTACAAGAGGAAAAAACCCAGGCTTTAATAGCTGCAACATCATTTCACATCTATACAAAATTTAAAACTCAGAGAGGGAGTATGAATTCTTGGTTGAAGTAAAGGAGACCCAAGATTCTAATCTTAGTATAAAAAAAGTCCAGACTGGCAGCTTTGAAATGATTATATCTGCTACCTTCTAAATTGCTGTGAGCCAGACAATGGAGTAACAAAGGACAAGAGTTACTTTCCTATTAGCATATATGTCATGTTTAATCAATCAGAAGAGAACTGTAACTACTTTGCTCTCTTTTTAGCAAACTTTAAAGTACGAAATTCATGAACTTATAAAGTAAATGTCATCCTGTTTGGATAGTAATAGTTTTATAGGCAATTTGTTGCAAATTTTATTCAGATAACTTGTAATTATTTCCTTTCCTGCTCATCTTCAATTCTATAGGCCATTTCAGACACAAACATAAGGGCTATAGATACAAAAATGGCTCAGTGTTACAATCTAATTATTATAATATTTTTTGTATTGTTACTAAGGTCTAATTATTGTAATGCAATGCCTTAGACCCACTCCTCCAAACAAGTGTCACATGGGTGGAAGAGAGAAATGGTCAAGTAACACAACTTCTTGAACCTCCATCATCCATCAGGAGACACAGCATGGTTTGAAGGACGGTAGATGAGAAATAAGGACTTTGGAACCAAATAACCTGGCATTCATATCCTAGAGTCCACCCTTGGCCAAGATATTTAATGTTGTAGAAGCTTTATTTCCTTTACTGTAAAATGGGGATATTCACACCATCCTCAATGGATTTATTTGAAATTAAATTGAGATTACATATATCTATAGTATATATAGAGAAAGTCACTTGAGGTAAGCACTTAAGACGTGACATATTTTGCTAGGTGGATCATCCTGTATGCCTTTCCATTCATGTTCTAGCATTGTGACTACCCAGCTATTAGAGTTCTCTGCCTCTAAACTGAGAGAACTGTCTCTGGAACATAGTTTCCTGAGCTTGTCTTCCCTCCCCAAGGGGAAGCAACAGCCTGGTGGTAATTTTTCAGGCTGGGCTCAGAGAGGCAAAGTGAGCTGCTCAAAGTTGACTTGAAAAACTGGGGCTAAAAGAGAGAAGCTAACTGCCTTTGAGATTTGTCTCATCAAATCCTGCTGCATTTTCTTAGGTGCTTGGCATAAACTGTATCCATTCCATCAACTTCTCTGGGGTTTAGGAACATAGGATGTTTCTAGCAAAGACTTCCACCCAATCATGACACTTACAACCTCACATGGTGGGAAATGAGCCAGGCCAAATGACTTCTCTCAAACTTCTCAACCAAGGCGTGCCCTGTATTGAAAAATGAGAACCCATTCCCTAGGTGATGACACAGTTTGGGTGTGTCCATTCCTGAACTGCTCCCCTCTTTGATGAATTATTCTTGGCAGGGTGATTTTTACATATTGAAATCATCATTTAACCACAGTCTCTGGACCCCATGAGCCCTTTTTGCCTTCAGTAGAATCTACCCCAAGACATGGGCTTGCTTTTCTGGATGCTCTCTGTCTACTAGATTTAAAGACCACTGGATGGGAATGCAGAGGCCTGACTTCCACTTCTTCCTAGATGGGAGACTCAGTCAAGTCACCGCTTGGCTTCAGTATCTTCCTTAATAAATTATAGGGACTAATGAGTGCCCTGTCTCTTTCACTAGGGCTCATCAAAGCAACCACTGTGTAGGAAAAGGCTTTGAAAAGGTGCAATGTTATATGAGTATAAATGAATTTGTACTGTTAATTGCTCCTTTCTCTGAAGTATCTTTTGCTCCCACCATCTACCTTCTTGCGTGGGACTCGGTGCATCCCACATCTACAACCCACCTCCTGATGAGGGACACTACATGCTCTTGGCAAGAGAGACTATGTCAAAAAATTATTTTGTATCTTCCACAGAACCTGATTTTAATAGGTACCTGATTTTAAAATAATAATAACCACCTAGTACCAGGCACAGAACAAATGCCTGATTAAAATTTCAAATGAATTAAACTGAATTGACCTAAGTCAGGCATGTCAAAAAGCCTAGGGAGGCAAGTCTGGCAATGCAAATTAGTGTAACAGACCAGGTCAGAAGGGCAATAGGGCGGAGGCAAATTGAGGGGCATACACCCTATTTAGAGGAGCAGCCACTGTTTAGCATTAGTCACTTGCAGACAAGCTGGAATGTGGCTCGGGCTTGCCAGGTAAACTGATTTTTCAAGACAGCCAGCATCCTGTTTTCATGTGAAAATATTAAAATCTGATTCAAATTTTTCAAAACACCATGGGAACCAACAATTGCACGCTAAGCAAGAAGGTTCAAGGGCCACAGTTGGCCTGTGGGCCCCAAGTTTACAACCTGTGACTTAACAATTCAGAGTCAACCATCCATGCCTCACTATAGCAAATAAAAGCAAAGACAAAGATTTCCCATCACACCCAATCCTAATTCTCCTAGCAGCACACTGGAACAACAAGACTCAACCCAATCCCTGATAGTCCCATAGGCCCTACAACCTCCCAGCCACCTGTGGTGAATGACCAATATGCTCCTCCGTATGCCATGTGCAACTTATGCTATGTGCAACTCAGCCACTTAGCACAGAATTTCACAATACCTAAATTGGTCAATGCCCCATTCAATAAGATAAGCCCACTAACCACATGCTTGGATGCCACAGCAGAATGAAATTGCTCTACGTTTCCAGACACTTGCTCTTCAGTTCTACATTTAGCTCATGGTGCCTGGTGCCAAGCTGCAGGTCATGCTGAGAGGTCTGGGCCACACCTCCCCATGGAGCTGTGCTCAAGGTGCACCATCTTTATCCTCTCCCTATTTCTCCCACTGGAGGAGAAGCTCAAGGCTGGTGCTGAAAACAGCTCAGTACACTAAATTGGCCTCATCACTTGAGCCCAGGAGTTCAAGACCAGCCTG
This sequence comes from Homo sapiens, assembly GCF_000001405.40. Classification (NCBI taxonomy): domain Eukaryota; kingdom Metazoa; phylum Chordata; class Mammalia; order Primates; family Hominidae; genus Homo; species Homo sapiens. The sequence goes on from NC_000002.12 coordinate 118,688,177, forward strand.
GGAAACATGGCAAATCCCTGTCTCTACTAAAAACACAAAAATTAGCCAGGTGTGGTGGTGTGCGCCTGTAGTCCCAGCTACTCAGGAGGCTGAGGTGGGAGGATCACTTGAACCTGGGAGGTCGAAGCTGCACCAAGCCATATTCATGCCACTGCACTCCAGCCTGGGTGACAGAGTGAGACCCTGTCTCAAAAACAAACAAAAAACTCAGATTCAGATTTCTGGGCCCCAACCCAGGGATTCTGATTCTGTAGTTCTGGGGATGGAGCATTTAAACATGAGCAGTTGTTAGTTTTAAGTGTCTCTGGCTTGAGAGTCTGGAGGTCCCTGTCGTTATAGACTACATAAATGAGGGCAATGCCAACAAGGCAAAGTCTAAGGGATCCCCAGACCAGAATTCATGGCTGATGGTGGTGCCGGGGACTCACTCACAGGGCAGGTCTTTGAACTCCATCCCTAGAACTACAGAATCAGAATCTCTGGGTTGAAGCCCAGCAATCTGGATTTTTATAAAGTTACTTGACCAAGGTTCTACACGGAGATAGAATTATGTGATATGTAGGTGGCTGCAAAGTTTGAATGAAAGCTTAGTGGGAAAGATAAAGTAGAGAGAATCAACAGGGCTGAAACAGAGGATGTCTGAGCTTCCTTCTGGTGCTGACATTCTGGGACTTTAGTATTCTTATTTACGGGAGCTCATTCTTCAAGGTGCAGCCCTTTACATTCTAATTCTAGGACAGTATGCAGCAAGATTCAACACTCAGTCTTCAGAGTGAGCCCTCATCCTGTCACTCACTAGCCGGGGAACCTTGGAGAAGTGACTTAACTTCTCTGGGCGTCAGTTCCCTGACCTGTAAAATGGAGGTATAAACGTCCCTATGTCCTGGTGCTATGAATATTAAACACAATAATGTGTGGAAAACCCTTAGCACGCTGCCTGCACATAAGGGTCTTCATAATATTAGTTTAGTTAGCTGCTGTTGAAGGAATGAAGGGGCGGGGCCTCCTGTGACTACCTTTTTCTTGCTGGAGTCCAGAGTCAGATACAGGCAGATGCATAAACCACCCCACCCCACCTCCTCCCTGTTAACACCCACCCCAGCTGCCTGTGTACCCTGGGTTACCGGAGGCCACCCACCACTTGCCCCGCCCAGTAATGCCCCACTCTTCCTAGTCAGCTCCCTTTTCTACCCAAGAAACTCTGATTCTCAAGTTGTGTGATAAGGCACCAGTGAAAAGAAGCTTCCGTGATCAAAAACAGTTTTGAAAATGTAAGTTAACATAGTCCCTTCTGGGAGATTCACCCACATTCACTAACACTCCAAAATGGACACTGTGGAAGGTTTCTGCGCCACTCTCATTAAGCCTTTCTCTTGAGCAACCCCCTTTCCACTTCAGAGGGAAGGAAGTGGCACTGCCACGCAATAGGTGGTGCCTGATTGGACCACAAGAGGCATGTGACCTGACAAGACCCAATCAGATTCTCCCCGTGCAACCCTGCCCCAGGCCCCCTCGTGTTCACTCAGCCTCTCCCTCTACTTTGCTTTTAGAGCAACTCCCTCTAAGTTGCTTTTTTTTTTTTTTCAATCTAACTGCATGGAGTTTCTGTTATATTGAGCCAAAAGGACCTCATTAGTACACATATTTAAAACTCTGAGGAGCCCTACAGTAAAGAATCCTATTTAACTTTTCTTTCACCCAGTTCTGCCCAGGGTTACTTGACCAGGAAACTCTTTTCTTAGTAGGTCTAATAGCCTCACATGCAACTCGTGCTGGAGGATCAGGGGTGATGCTGACCTGGTGCCAGCCCTTGGGAGCCAGCCATCAGAAAGGGTGATCAGAAAGGTGACAGGCAGTGTGGCCTCTGGAAAATTACCACTCTGCCTCAACCTCAGTTTTCTCATCTGTAAAACGGGAAGAATAATAATTACCCAACAGAATTAAATACGACATATATGGAAACTGACTAGCTCTGGTAAGTGCACAGCACACGTTAGTTCTCAGCCCCTAAGAACAGGTTAACAATGAAACTTACATGTATCCATGTTTTCATTCACCTACTATTAGCATGGAGGCCACCTAGGGTTCTTTACATTTCTTGAGCACCAAACCCACTCAACTGTAAGCTTCTTAGAGGGAGAGACTTTGTCTGAGTCAAATTACCACCACAGGGACTGGCATAAGACTGGCATGTAGAATGCCCTCAATAAATACCTAGTGGAAGGAAGGAAGGGAGGGAAAGAAGGAGGGAGGGAGGGAATAAGGAAGAAGAGTAGGAGGGAAGGAATATCCTAGTGAGACAGCAAGGCATATAGAATGCCCTCAATAAATACCTAGTGGAAGGAAGGAAGGGAGGGAAAGAGGGAGGGAAAGAGGGAGGGAAAGAAGGAGGGAAAGAGGGAGGGAGGGAGGGAGTAAGAAAGAAGGAAGAGTAGGAGGGAAGGAATATCCTAGTGAGACAGCAATTCCTTAACACAAAGAAGTGGCTCTGTAATGGATCCAATTCCCAGCACTCCCAAAGGACCAAGGAGAGAGATTCCTACCCATTGGAGAGGGTTTCCCAGGATTTTCCCATTCCAATATACACCAACTTCTCCTCAATCCCCCTGAGAGGACACCTCCCACCTAAAACACATGGAAGGAGAGTCGCTGATATGCAGAACTTGAGATGCTGGTGGGAACTCTGGGAATACCATCTGTTTTTATTTTTACATTAGTTCTATTACAGGGTTAACAGGATGAGGTCTTCATTCTCCAAGAGCAGTTAGGAAACTCTAGAGTCCATTTCTAGCTGTCCTTCAGGCAGAGGTTCTGCTGACCAAGGGAAAATGTCAGCCAGCCTCACATAGAGCATGCTCACCCAGGCATCGTTAGGGGTGACTATTCAACTCTTTATTTCATTGTGTGCAATACCACCCAAGAGGCCCTTCCTTTTTCTGAGCTAATTTGAGATAGGTTCTTGACATTTGCAACCAAAGAGACCTAGCTAGCACCCCAAGATGCTAAAGATGTATATGTGTGTGTACATGCATGTAGTGTGTATGTGTGTGTATATGTGTGTATATGTATGCATGCATGTGTGTTTGTGTATGTGAAAAAGAGTAAGCCCCCACCCTTCAGGAGCTACAGTCCAGTGAGGAAGAAATGCAGGTGCATAGGTAGCAACTGGAGGTTACAACAAGGTTACACTACTCAGTGCCCACAAACAGACGCTACCTGTGCTCAAGGATAAGTAGGAGGAGTGTTACCTACAGAAGGAACAGAATTTGCAAAGTCAAAAAGTGAGAACTCACAGGGCACTGTCAGGGAACAAAAAAATAATTCCAGTTGGGTGCAGATGAGTAGAAGGAGGGGAGGAGGAGAGACAAGACTGGGGATGTGGGCAGGGACCAGGCTATGGGGGTCTTGCAAGCCTGTACATGTGTCTCAACTTCCTTCTACTAGCAATGGGAGCCATAGAGAGATTAGGCAAGGAAATGGCATGATAATGATTTTATTTCAAAAGGTGACTCTAGCTGCAGAGTGGAAGGTGGGCCCACAGGCAAAGTCCAGAGTCAGGGAAACCACCCCTGAGGCCGGGGCTCTAATCCATCTGAGAAAAGTGATTACCAAAACCACATCAGGGAAGTGGAAGTCCAGAAAAGGGACCAGTTGGAGGGAGGTGAAGGTACAGGGCCTGAAGACAGATTGGATGGGGGCCCTGATGGAGAGAACTGGTAAAGAATGACTCCCAGGTCCTCTCCTGGGTGGACCCCTGGCCGGCCAACGGTGCCATTCACAGGGGTGAAAGGTCAGGTCTCAGGGAGCCAGTGATGAGCTCAGCATTGTAGCTCCAAATTTCCCCTGGGAGTTGAGTTTGGCTGGAGCTTAAATTAGTATAAGGGAGTTGTAGAAGCTAATATTCCCACAACAAACATTTAAGACAATTTCAAATATATATATCTACACACACAGACACACACACACACACACACACACACACCTCCATCCCCAGAGACTTTCATTACCATCTATATATGGATCACACATATACAGAATTCTTGGATGTTTGAGTGCAAGTGATAGAGTATCTGCCTAAGAATAGCTTAAACAAAAAAGGACTTTAGGACATTTTAATCATATCTGGGATGAGACACATTGCATTTGTGGTACCAGGCTGGATCAGTAGCTCAATAAAGGACCCCACTCATCCCATCTCTCTGCTATGCATCCTCAAGAGCTTGTCTCCCCTCATGTCAATTGTATCTTATCTCAGAACTCCATGCATGTCTTTCAAGGCACATAGACTCAACTCACAGTCAGAATAGAGCCCTGACTTCTGGAGCCCACAGGCATCCATTCCTATCCTGGCTCTGCCTCTATGATGTTGGCACACCGGGGCCTCAGTTTTCTCGTAGAGCAAATGGAGAGCAAAATTGGATACCAATGGAGGGCTCAATATCTTGAAAGCATTAGGATGCATTTTTCTTCAAAATTCCGAACCCACTGGTCAGATGGATTCATCAAGTATGTGTGCAAAGGGTCTCCAGGCTTCCTGAAGCAAACAGCCTTCAGTTCTTTGGGCCTCTTCTCAAAGGATCCACTTCCACTCACTGTTCTCAGCTCCTCTCAGGATTCTGGCTCTGGTAACAAGGTAGAAGGCACATCCCCCTACACGACCCCACTTTCAAGACCTGCCAGGCAACAGGCTCAGGGATGCCTTTTGCCCTTCCCTCTTCTCCACCTAACAAAGCACTGTGCGGAAACCACAACCATACCACCCGACGTGTGAGTCCAGGGGCTTTCCCCTCAGCCTGCAGGGAGAGGAGCGGGGGCAGGAGAAGGAAGGAGAAGGTACAAGGGCCTGCCACTCGCACCTCACTTATTTGTAAGTAGGCCATGTGGTTTCACTTTGCACCCACTTCTCCAGGGAAAGTCTGCATGTTAGCACCTGGGGACACCTGTCTCCAATTAGCCCAAACATTTCCCTAAGAAATGATACCCCCAAAGAGATGGGCCCATCGGTCTCCCCCAAGCTACAGAGAGAGCCATGGCTTTGTCCAAACTTTTGAACCAGCTTCATGCGGAAATAGGAGAGGGTTGGAGGTGGGAGGCGTGGGGAAAGCTTCCATGAGCAGCAGGGCAAAAAAGCAGAAGAAACACCTCCCTACCCCTAAACCTTTGTGCTGGCCCTAGACACCTGGTGGCCTTGTGGCTGCCAGGCATGGAGATGTTTGGCATTCCTCAGTGGCCAGGCTGGGCCTGAAATGGAAGCCAGCCTATCCAGAGAGCTTCAGAGGGCGCTGGGGACTGCGGGGTCACCATTTTGGGGTCTGGCTGGATTTCATGGTTCCAACAGTCAGGATGATTTGCTGAGGATTCCAGCCCACTGGGCTGCCTGCTGTGAGGCCTCACCCAGCTGGCAAAAGGCAGCCAGTTGCTCTGCGGGGCCTTCAATAACACTAGAAAAACAAAATAATCCCTCCTCCTCTTGGCTGCCTCGAGAGTTCCGTTTTAACACATTTGATTGACTGAAAGTAAATTACTTATTCTCACATCTTCACCAGGAGATTAGACTTCCATTATGGAGCTAATAGGCCTCAGTCCTAACACAGAGATTGAGAAGGGATGCATTGTTAGAACCACAAGCACACGCTCACTGTAATTGGCTTCCTGGGTCTCCTGGCAAGCAGGCCAGGTAAAATCCTCATGGCTTTGCCATTTGGGTTTTTTTGAGTTTTTAAAATTCACATACCATAAAATTGACATATAATTCACAAACCATAAAATCCACCCATTGAATTAAAAGTGTACAAGTCAATGCTGTTAGTATATTCACACAGTTGTGTAACCATCACCACAATCTAATTTTAGAACATTTCCATCACTCCAAAGAGAAACTCCTTGGCAGTCACCCCTTATTCTCCCGTCCCCGCAGCTCCTGGGAAGACCTCATCTACTTTCTTTCTTTATGTATTTTCCTATTCTAGATATTTCATAGAAATAAAATCAAATAATATTTGTCATTTTATGTCTGCCTTTCACTTCACATAATGTTTTCAAGATTCATTCATGTTATATAGCATGTATCAATACTTCATCCCATTTTAAGGCTGAATACTATTCCATTGCATGGATAAACCACATTTTATTTATCCATTTGTCAGCTGATGGACGTTTGGGTTGTTTCCACTTTTTTGGCTATTATGTATAATGCTACTGTTCATGAATGGTTTTGTTTGTTTATTTGTTTGTTTGTTTGTTTGTTTTTGAAACAGAGCCTCTCTCTGTCGCCAGGCTGGAGTGCAGTGGTACAATCTCAGCTCACTGCAACCTCTGCCTCCTGGTTTCAAGCGATTCTCCTGCCTCAGCCTCCTGAGTAGCTGGGACTGCAGGCGTGTGCCACCACGCCTGGCTAATTTTTGTATTTCTAGTAGAGACGAGGTTTCACCATGTTGGTCAGAATGGTCTTGATCTCTTGACCTCATGATCCGCCTGCCTTGGCCTCCCAAAGTGCTGGGATTACAGGTGTGATTTGGGTTCTTTTCTTTGATTTCTTTCTGGAAGACAAGGCTCAAACTGTCCACCTGTGTTTCTCAACAGCTACTATTAATTTTTCCTCTGTTGTTTCTTAGAGATAACATGCACAATGTGGATAGCCCTGTGCTTGGCACTGAGGTGGACCTCAATCAGCAAAAGTTGGTATTGAGGTGATTCTAAACTGAAGCCAACCATGATCCTTAGCCTTGGTGAACAAGATCAGCCAGAGGGGTGATTTAAGGGAGGCAGTTCTGGCTGTAGGAGATCAGACGACCTGAGTTTGAGTTCTGACTTCACAACTAAGTAACCATAAGGTCTTATGTCAGATGCTTCACCTTTCTGAGTTTTCATTTTTTCCATTTATATATCAGAGACCCAGCAAATACATATACCCGAAACAATTATGATGCTCCATCACCTTGTTAGTGACTGATTTAGATATGTGCTGCCCTCCCTTGCCATGGCAAAAAATAGAAAAAATATAGATATACACACAGACAAACACATACATACGTACATACATATAATAAATCTTAGGGGGAGATCTTGGGTTACTAGAGAATGTTAGGGCCATATTGAAGTGGGTTCTCAGACAGGTGCTGTGGCTCAAGCCTGTAATCTTAACACTTTGGGCAGCCAAGACAGGAGGGTACCTTGAGCCCAGGAGTTCATGACCAGCCTGGGCAACATGGTGAAACCCTGTCTCTATAAAAGAAAATGCAAAAATTAACCAGTCATGGTGGCACACCCCTGTAGTCCCAGCTACTCAGGAGGCTGAGGTGGGAGGACGATTTGAGCCTGGGAGGCGAAGGTTTCAATGAGCTGAGATTCCACCACTGCACTGCAGCCTGGGTAACAGAGTGAGACCTGGTACCAGAAAAGGAAGGAAGGAAGGAAGGAAGGAAGGAAGGAAGGAGAAAGAGAGAGAAGGAAGGAAGGAAGGAAGGAAAAGGAAGGAAAGAAGGAAAAGGAAGGAAGGAAGGAAAAGGAAGAAAGGACGGAAAAGGAAGGAAGGAGGGAAGGAGGGAGGGAGGGAAAGAAAGAAAGAAAAAAGAAAGAGAGAGAGAAAGGAAGGCAGGAAGGAAGGCAGGAAGGAAGGAAGGGAGAGAGAGAGAAGGAAGGAAGGAAGGAAGGGAGGGAGGGAAAGAAAGAAGGAAGGAAAGAAGAGAGAAAGAGAAAGAAAGAAAGATGGAAAGAAAGAAAGAAGAGAAGAGAAGAGAAGAGAAAGGGAGGGAGGGAGAGAAAGAAGGAAGGAAGGGAGGGAGGGAAAGAAAGAAGGAAGGAAAGAAGAAAGAAAGAGAAAGAAAGAGAAAGAAAGAAAGAAAGAAAAGAAAGAAAGGAAGGAAGGAAGGAAGGAAGGAAGAAAGAAAGAAAGAAAGAAAGAAAGAAAGAAAGAAAGAAAGAAAGAAAGAAAGAAAGAAAGAAAGGAGAAGAGAAGAGAAGAGAAAGGGAGGGAGGGAAGGAGGGAGAGAAAGAAGGAAGGAAGGAAGAAAGGAAGGAAGGAAGGAAGCAAGGAAGGAAGGAAGGAAAGAAGGAAGGAAGGAAGGAAGATCATCCCAAGAGTTTCGCCTTGTGGAGATGTGAGAGCAGCCACTTGAAGAAGCTAGGGGGATGTTTAGAGGGGCCCAGCAAGGGAGTCCCTCAAGAAATCTCAAAATGCCCACCAAAGCCAGAGGCAGCTACAGACATCTGCCAAATACAAAAAGCCTGAAGTCAGTAGGCTTCAGGAAACTAAAAAACTTCATAGCCTGTTTCCTCTTCTTCCTGCTCCCACACCCAGGATCCATGGAGACAAGAGCTAATGGCTGGAGAAGGAGCTGCAGGGGAGATGTGGAGAGAAGCAGCCCCTCCCCTGTCCTTGAGCAGGAAGAGAAGACTCAATGCCTCAACTGTGACTGGGCTTGTGATCACAGTGGGGGAGTACTTCGTCAACTAAAATTGAGGACAAAAGTTGAGGGTCTGCCGAGTTGACCTCAGGGGCAAAGGGAAAGGCTACCCTCACTGAGCAAGATGCAAGTGACAGTGGGAAACAAAGTGGCTTTGACGTTTGCAATACTGAGTCCTGGGTTTCCAATGTCCTGGTTTTCCCTTGGAGTGATGTTCTTTATGAACTGAAGACCCCATCCAGGCTTGGGCTTAGAGCTGAAGGGCCAGTGCAGAAGGCTCGGGCGCCAGCGTTAGATTGATCAAATCAGCCTTCCTGGCCTGGCTGTGATCATCAGTGTGAGGGGGGGCGCTCCGCTCTCCTTGAGCCTCTGCTTCCTTATTGGACAATGGGCACGATCAGATCTGCCTCAGGGGGTTATAGCACTCCACATCTACATGCCTGTGGAAATGCAGAGGAACCATGTTTTGGAAGGATAAATAAACAAAGCTGTTTCCTGTGGTTTCTTCTGCAGACAGGAGTGGGATTGTGAGTGTGGAGAGGGAGGGGCACAGATGGGGAAGGGGAGCCCACTTTTCACCCCTTGATTCTGCATACTTTGGGTGGGATTTGGGTAAGTGGAGAAAAGGAGGAGGAGCTCTGTATGTGTGGCTTTCCCAGGGGTTAAGACACTCTTAGTGTGCCCTGGGCACCATGCCAAGCTCTATCACACATTTGTTTAATCCCTACAAGCACAGGATGATAAAGGTACTGGTACCATCCTTTATTTTATTCTTAAGGAAAGTGAGGCACAGGGGGAGGAAGGACCTGAGCATTAGAACCAGGATTAAATTCCAGTGATCTGTTTTCAGAACCTTCAACCATAAGCAGAATGTTTGTAGAGTTATTATTATGATTACTGTTAGTGCCTAGAAGAGTTACAGTAAGCACTCAACCAATCTGTTGAATGAATGAATGAGTGAATAAATGAATGAGTGGATAAATTACAAATATGCTCATTGTAGAAAGTCTGAAAAATTTAGAAAATGAGTAGAAGAAAACTAAAATTACCCAAAGTCTCATGATCCAGAGATAACCACTGTATTTTTGTATTTTTCTTCCATTTTTTCCCAAAAATAGAATTTAAATGGGAGCATTATTTACATAATTGAATTTACAATGTACAGATAGTTTTCTATCCATATTCTTTCACCTAAAATTATCTTATGAGTATTTTCCCATGTCATTTGAAATTCTTCAAAGGCATTATTTTAATGATTGCATGATATTTCTCTGTGTAGTTATATTACAGTTTACTTAGCCACTCTGCTATGGTGGGACATTTGAGGTCCTTCCAAATAACTTTGCAGATAAACATCTTTGTACATAAATCTTTGTCCCAGTTTCTATTTCTTTGGCAGACACTTCTAGAAGAGAAATTATGAGTCAAGCATTAGGAATGTTTTGAAGTCTCTAGGTACCTACTGCAAAATTGTTTTCCAGAAAGGTAATGCCAGTTTGCACTCCAAAAATAATGTGTAATCATGTTATTCCACTATCACCAAAACTAAGGATAATTATTTAAAGCTTTTTGCCAGTTTGATAGGTGAAAATTAAGATTTTCTAATTTCTGTATGTGTATTTATTAGCAAAGCTGAACATGTTTCTATGTTTATTGTTCATTTATAATTCTTCCTCCATAAAGTTATTTATGTCTTTAGTTCTTTTTTCCATTGTAGTATTGCTTTCTTATTGGTTTGTAAGAACTTTTTATATATGAAGGCTATAATCCTTTGTCAGATTTGTTTCACTGAAATTTGCTTTTGATTACAGACTCTCCAATGTTTACATCTTAACCCTTTTCTCTGGCTGTTCACAAATCAGGTGTGACTACTCTTCTGGTGACATCCTTAAAACCTTGTCACTTTACACAGCCTGTCAGAGTGTAAGTTGGCAACAAAGACACATGGTGTCAGGAGATAGCCTCATGTATCACTCAAAACTTAAGAGAATGAGGAGCCCTGCTCATCACACTGGACGTAGATTTGACCTCCGTCAACTGTATCAGCTGCCTGCCTGTTCACGTGCCCTGGGGCCAGACCATGCAGCAGACATTGAGTGGTCTGACAGGCATAGACTTGAAGTGGCATTTTACCAATCACCAACCTCAGATCACAGAACTCTGGGCTCAGCTGCAGGTGTCAGCAGCCAGGATGGAAACCGTGAGAATGATTCGTGACAGAGAGTACCAACAGATGTTTCTTTCCCTTACAGTTGCTGATCTAACCAGTCATCTTACAGCTGGTACAGCTCTCTTGGGCCCCATGGTTTCAGAGCTGAGAGGAAGGAGCTGGAGAAGTAGCCTTTTCAATTTTCTGAAGCCTAACGGTGGAGATAAGGGCCAGACAGGTAACTTCAGAGAGCTTTAACCAATAGGGTAAAGATGATGTTAAGCTTGGGTGTGGCAGGTGGCATGACTGCCTACAAACACAAAGTTCCCGGGGTCCACATGTCATAGACTGATCCATTTATTCACTCATTCAAAACATGCTTATAGGACATGTATGAAGGGTTAAGAGAAGCCTTCCCAAAGAACATCTAGCTGGAGCTTAGTCAGAAAGGATAATTAGAAACTCAATAGGAAGGGCATTCCAGAGAAGGGAAATGGCACGTACAAAGGCCCAGAGAACAAGATAGAACTACAAGTTGTATTGTCTCAATAAAATAAATCTCTTGAATGCAGCTGAGGGATAACTGTTGACAAGCGTGGGGAACTGCACCTCTTCAAATGAGGTATTAACATCATATCCAGATGAATGAATATGAAATCCAGAGAGAGAAGCATCATGCTAAAGCCATCCAAGTCCTCTTCACTCTTTGAGATACATCTCAGGGTACCCCCATCCTCTGGCATGCTTTCCCCCCATCACTGGTCAGATGCTCCTCCCTGGGGGCACATATTCCCCCAGAATTCCCCCTTCCAGCCCATCACATGTAAGTGTTGTAATTTTTCGTTTATTTGATTGATTCGGCCTCAAGCCTAGGAGTCCCTTGAGAGAAAGCCTGTGTCATGTTCTTTATAAATACCCAGGGCTGACAGAGGCCTGGACTTGAAAAAGGCCTTAGAAATCCATTTGCTACTAAAAAAACCTAGGTTCAGAGAAAGTTATCCAATGTGCTTACAGCAAAAGGCAGGGCCTAGTTTCAGATCCATGTCTCTAGGTTCACCACCTAGGGAGCCCCTGTTTATCTTCAGTAGGGAGGGGAAGGGGACAAGGTTCCACTCTTGAGATGGAACAGCCACAAAGGCAGGGGAGTTGGCGAACTTGGGTAAACATAGATCCTGCATTGGTGAGGTGTGACACCTCCAGACGCGTTCCCTGCCCTCCCGCCCTCCCCAAGTCTCCCTGGGCTACTGGGTTAAAGACAGGTTGGACGACAGCAGCGTCAGCGTCCGTTTTCTGTAAGGAGCACCCAGGGAGCTGTTGTGAATGAGTCTGCTGTCACCGGGCAGACAGCCCCCGCTTCAAGGGCAAGGCCAAGCCACACCTTTTCACACGGAAACTTGATGAGGGCACAAGTTACAGGGCAAAAGAGCCAATTATAATACTGTTTTATGGACTCACTTTAAAATCCTCCTCAGAGAAAAGAGATGTTTTACCTCCAAATTTACTTAATGACAAGTGAGTGACTAAGTATTGAGATCATGGGAGCTGTGAAGGCCACACTATGAATTTAGCCTATTTGGGGAAACACTGAAGACAATGAATGACCTTTTGGGGCTCTTAGCACCTTTGCTCTGAGCAGGGTTTTTAGGTGAGTCCATAAGAAAGTAATTATAATTGGCCAGTTTTCCCTTCATTGAAAAATCCACAGGTTACATCTTTCTCATTCATGACTCCTGGCATCTCCAGGAGGCCACATCCTGGTGAATAATCAAAGGGCTTTTCTGACCTGTGACTTGCTATCTGCATTCTGATTTCGATTTTTTTTCTCCTGCTCTGGAAAATTCTAGGATTCCATCTTGATGCACAATGTTCTAAAAATTCACGTTTCTTGGTATGTGCATGTATGTGTGCATGTGGATATATGTGTGCATGTGTGTGTGTGTGTGGTGCATGATGTGTGCTGTATGTGGTGTGTGTGTGTGTGGTCTGTGTGGTGTTGTGTGGTGTGTGTATATGTGTACTGGGCATTCTATGGACCCTTTCAATCAGGAAACTTATGTCCTTTAGTTCTAGAAAAACTTCCAGTGTTGATTCTTTGAAGATTCCCTTCCCTTTACTACATTTTCCTTTTTAAAAAAATGTTTTGGAAACCTATTAATAAAATGTTGGACATCCTGACTGATTATCTTTATCCTATTTTTCATCTCCTTGTATATTTCTTCTTCTATCATGGAAATTTCATCAATATATATTCCAAACTTTCTATTACATTTTTGACATTACGATTCCATTTTTAATTCCCAGCAGCTCCTTATTGTTTTCTGGATGTTCTTTTTTATAGTCTCCTGTTCTTGTTTTATAGATACAATCTACTTTATTACACTGATTGTATTAATTTTTATAATTTTGCTGCTCCTGCATTTTCTTTTATCCAGCATTCATATTAGAGGTTTACATGTGTGGTGATCCTTGGCTTGCTATCCACATTTATGTGACTGGTATTAGAAGCCAACTGGAAGCTCTGTATGCATGAGTGAGGTATATTGGGGAAGACTTCACTATAGGTGAAAATGTGTTGAACCAACTTTTTATTAGGATCCCTCGATAATTGGTCAGTTGTTTTAGTTAGCAAAACCAAACTCCCGCTGGGTAGCGCAAATTCTGGAGGCCAGTTTTCAGGAAGCTCAGTGGCACAAGAGGGATGGGTAAGAATGGAGTCTCATTGTTCAAAACGTACACTTGCCCTCAATTCCCTATTCTTAACATGGCAACCCCTTCATATTGCTGGTGTCCTCAGGTTAGAGGTCCTTCCACTCTTTGTTTCAGCGTTGACCTCCACTGCACTGCTGGAGAAGGGCAGGGCTGGTTGCCTGCTGCATGGAATGGGAGAAGAAATTACAAGGTCTACCTGATCTTTATAAAGACTTTTGAACTGTGTTACTACTTTTTAAAATTATATATATATAGTACTTTAAGTTCTAGAGTACATGTGCACAGCATGCAGGTTTCTTACATATGTATACTTGTGCCATATTGGTGTGCTGCACCCATTAACTCATCATTTAGCATTAGGTATATCTCCTAATGCTATCCCCCCACTTCCCCCCACCTCACAACAGGCCCCAGTGTGTGATGTTCCTCTTCCTGTGTCCAAGTGTTCTCATTGTTCAATTTCCACCTATGAGTGAGAACATGCGCTGTTTGGTTTTTTGTCCTTGCTATAGTTTGCTGAGAATGATGGTTTCCAGCTTCATCCATGTCCCTACAAAGGACATGAACTCATCATTTTTTATGGCTGCATAGTATTCCATGGTGTATATGTGCCACATTTTCTTAATCCAGTCTATCATTGTTGTTGGACATTTAGGTTGGTTCCAAGTCCTTTCTATTGTGAGTAGTGCCGCAATAAACATACATGTGCATGTGTCTTTATAGCAGCATGATTTATAATCCTCTGGGTATATACCCAGTAATGGGATGGCTGGGTCAAATGGTATTTCTAGTTCTAGATCCCTGAGGAATCGCCACACTGTCTTCCACAATGGTTGCACTAGTTTACTGTCCCACCAACAGTGTAAAAGTGTTCCTATTTCTCCACATCCTCTCCAGCACCTGTTGTTTCCTGATTTTTTAATGATTGCCATTCTAACTGGTGTGAGATGGTATCTCATTGTGGTTTTGATTTGCATTTCTCTGATGGCCAGTGATGATGAGCATTTTTTCATGTATCTGTTAGCTGCATAAATGTCTTCTTTTGAGAAGTGTCTGTTCATTTCCTTCACCCACTTTTTGATGGGGTTGTTTGTTTTTTCTTGTAAATTTGTTTGAGTTCTTTGTAGATTCTTTGTCAGATGAGTAGATTGCAAAAATTTTCTCCCACTCTGTAGGTTGCCTGTTCACTCTGATGGTAGTTTCTTTTGCTGTGCAGAAGCTCTTTAGTTTAATTAGATCCCATTTGTCAATTTTGGCTTTTGTTGCCGTTGCTTTTGATGTTTTAGACATGAAGTCCTTCTCTCAATAAATTAGGTATTGGTGGGATGTATCTAAAAATAATAAGAGCTATTTATGACAAACCCACAGCCAATATCATACTGAATGGGCAAAAACTGGAAGCATTCCCTTTGAAAACTGGCACAAGACAGGGATGCCCTCTCTCACCACTCCTATTCAACATAGTGTTGGAAGTTCTGGCCAGGGCAATCAGGCAGGAGAAAGAAATAAAGGGTATTCAACTAGGAAAAGATGAAGTCAAATTGTCCCTGTTTGCAGATGACATGATTGTATACCTAGAAAACCCGATCGTCTCAGCCCAAAATCTCCTTAAGCTGATAAGCAACTTCAGCAAAGTCTCAGGATACAAAATCAATGTGCAAAAATCACAAGCATTCTTATACACCAATAACAGACAAACAGAGAGCCAAATCATAAGTGAACTCCTATTCACAATTGCTTCAAAGAGAATAAAATACCTAGGAACCCAACTTACAAAGGATATGAAGGACCTCTTCAAGGAGAACTACAAACCACTGCTCAACAAAATAAAAGAGGACACAAACAAATGGAAGAACATTCCATGCTCATGGATACGAAGAATCAATATTGTGAAAATGGCCATACTGCCCAAGGTAAGTTATAGATTCAATGCCATCCCCATCAAGCTACCAATGACTTTCTTCACAGACTTGGAAAAAACCACTTTAAAGTTCATATGGAACCGAAAAAGAGCCTGCATTGCCAAGTCAATCCTAAGCCAAAAGAACAAAGCTGGAGGCATCATGCTACCTGGCTTCAAACTATACTACAAGGCTACAGTAGCCAAAATAGCATGGTACAGGTACCAAAACAGAGATATAGACCAATGGAACAGAACAGAGCCCTCATAAATAATACCACACATCTACAACTATCTGATCTTTGACAAACCTGACAAAAACAAGAAAGGGGCAAAGGATTCCCTATTTAACAAATGGTGCTGGGAAAACTGGCTAGCCATATGTAGAAAGCTGAAACTGGATCCCTTCCTTACACCTTATACAAAAATTAATTCAAGATGGATTAAGGACTTAAATATTAGACCTAAAACCATAAAAACCCTAGAAGAAAACCTAGGCAATACCATTCAGGACATAGGCATGGGCAAGGACTTCATGTCTTACTACTTAAAGCTCCTCACTTTTACCTTCAGAGGAACCCGCCGCCTACAATTTCGAAGAATTCCTGAGGTTCTACTGTGGGAATAATGTTGCTTCATGATAGCTTCCCCAAACTCTATCCCTATCCTGACAGGGCAGTTTTCAACTTTCTCTTCTCTACTAAGTCAATTCCTATTTACCTGTTCACTCTGCATCTTCAAAATAATTGTTGCCATCTTTCAACTGCTATGATCTACTCTCTTTTTCTCTTTGTCCTTAGGAGTGTTTACTTTTTTAATTCCTTTAGTTTAGAGTTTTAGAAGGGAAAATATTTAAATAAGGGTGTGTTCAAGTCTGCCTTGTTTACCACTAAGTACTTAAGTCTTTAAATCCCTATGTTTCAGGTTATTAGTCATAGTAAAGTGGCCAGAGAAGCCATTTGGAATATTTTTCTAGTTTTTTAGAGAGTGTTTTTCTTTCCTAAGTAGAGACAGGGGTCTCACTCCATTGTCCATGCTAGTCTTGAACTCCTGGACCCAAATGATTCTCCCACCTTGATTTCCCAAATTGCTACGATTACAGGCATGAACCACTGCACCCACGCTGGAATATTTTTCTTGCTATGGAATTCAAAGAATAGTACAGAAATGAAGAAATTCTGGTCTCTTTATTAAGAACTTTAAGTCATCAATTTTTAACCACGTGTTACATACCAGCTACAGAGCTGGATGCTGGGATACAGATATGTTTGCTCTCAGCAAATTCATGGTTGTGCTGGGGAGGCCGGCATGTCAAAGATCCAGGGTGAGCATCAATCTGTGCAGGGATGTGAATGTGTGGTGATGGCAGAGAATGTACAAGTCTGTGTGGTAGGAGGCACAGGCAAGCCCCTTCTTCCTACAATGCTCTGAGATCTGGAGCCACACTCCTTCCTGCTCACACATGAAAACATGTATGCTTATACCAACATCAACAGACAGCATCCCACAGGAGCAAGATAAGGCACACGGATCCTAGATGTGCTCAATAAATATTTATCGAGCAAGTAAAAGACCTAGGTCTAAATGCAAGCTCCACAACACGTTGACTGTGTAACTACAGAGGTGTGCATTTGAAAAGCATGTTAGAGGGAATGATTTACTTCATATATGGTGGATTAGGGCGGTGTGTGACAGAGTTGTGCCTTTTATTTCTATTAAGCTCTGAGATAATGCTTTTACATGTATCCACACACTAATGTTTAAGTTCTATCTATCTATGTCTCTCTGTGTATCTCTCTCCTTCTTATAGACACACACACACAGACACACACACACACACACACACACATTACATCACAAGGCTCCTGCCCAGAAATTCTGAGTCATATGAATTTGTAGTACAGAAGTCTGCAAATTACAATGTGAGAAACCCCACTGTCTATAACGGAGTCCACAACAAAGGACAAGTCAGTAGAAGGAAAGAGAATGCCAAGAAGACAGGATATTTTTGGGCACACATCAGCCAGGAACCAGCCCCAGCAGCAGCAGAAAATGAAAAATCCCACCTGGGGAATTCTTACAACACACAAGCTAGAGAAGGAAGTGGGGGACCAAGGGGTGGGGAAGGTTGTGGGGCAACGGGGACAATGTACAACCTTCTTGGAAAAACCAACAGGTTGCTCTCAACAAAGCAAAAGGTGCCAGTGGAGAAACAGATTTGAAGGGGCACGTATGCTTGAAAGGGATAACTCGGAGTTTTTGAGGAAGAATTGGAGTGACAAAGAGAGGAGAGTGTGGAGACTTCTGATAGAGGACCAGGCAGCCAGGGACTCCCAGGCCGCCGAGTGCCAAGAACGGAGAGTGTGTTAAAGCCTGCTGTGACAAAGGGGAAGCTTAATATCAAGCTGCTATCAGTGACAGCAGAGAGGGCGTCCCCAGTGCCACCAGGGCAAAAGGAACGGGAGGAGTGAGGCTTAGGGCAGCCATGGGAAAAGCAAGCATTATGCACACACCATGACCTGTTTCCCAGCCTGCTATGAAGAGAGACTCTTTGGTCAATCCAACAAGAAACTGAGAGGGAAAAAGAAGGTCTTAGAATCTTAGGGGACATTAGAGGCACAGAGCAGCTTTTCTTACATTACTCTCCTTGTCAGGAAGTGGTATACACCATTGAAGAGATGAAGTCCAGAGAGGCGAAGAACCTTGCACAAAGTTGCACAGCAAATTAGAGGCAAAGTTAGGATCAGAATCCAGGTTTCCTGACTCTTAGTCCAGAGTTTATTCTCCCAGTATTTTCCTTAGCAACCAATCCATCACTTTAGTAGATCTTACAGTTCCCATGACACCATGGGGTCCTGGTCAAATCCTATCCCCAGGCCCTAATTCCGTTTCACACCCAGGGCAGCACAGCATTCAGAGCAGACAGGTCACAGGTTTTAATGGTGGGCTCACCTTTTGCCTACCTTTATTTTCCCAGTCACTCTCTTCTACCTCATTCCCATTTATCTCCTTTATAGGTGTATTAGGCTGTTCTTGCATGGTTATAAAGAAGTGCCTGAGACTGGGTAATTTATAAAGTTAAAAGGTTTAATTGGTTCACAGTTCTACAGGCTTTACAGGATGCATAGCAGTATCTGCTTCTGGGGAGGCCCCAGGAGGCTTCTAATCATGATAGAAGGTAAACAGGGAGCAGGCACGTCACATGGCCAGAGTAGGAGCAAGAGAGAGAGGGAGGAGGTGCCACACCCTTTTAAACAACCAGATCTTGTGACAACTCATTCACTAATGCAAGGACAGCACCAAGCGAATGATGCTAAACCATTCATGAGAAATCTGCCCCCCTGAACCAGTCACCTCCCGCCAGGACCCACCTTCAACATTGGAGATTACGTTCAACATGAGATTTGGGCAGGGACACACATCCAAACTCTATCAACAGGGCTTATCTGCATCGGGAATCACTCTGCTAGTTTGCTGGCATGTCTCTGGGTTTGTTGTCTCTCTTTCCCCAACTAGAATACAAGGCCAGAGATTTTTTTTTTTTTTTGAGACAGCAGAGATTTTACATGTTTTCACTGTGCTAGAATAGTGCCTGGAATATGCACACTAAGAACCCAATAAACACAGACTGAGTGAACAAATCAATGAAAACCCAATTCTGAATGTTAGCTTCATCACTTACTAGCTGTGTGATCTTAGCCATGTGACTTAACCTCTCTGAGCCTCAGTTTTCTTAGCTGTAAAATAGGGATAGTAAGAGCCACTTTGCAGGTTAAGTCAAGATAATTTATTACTATTGGTACAGCTTATCTGGCACATCATATTCATAAGCACGATACATGGTTGCTGGCTGTCACTGCTGATATCTGCACAATTGCCCAACTTGGTCTTAAAAACAAATGTCCTGTATTGTCAGTAATTAGAAAGATGTCAGTGAGCTGGGATGTGAACTTTCATCCACACTCCACCAAGAGCCTACCTCATGAGCCACTCTAAAACTAGACTCCCTGTCCCCTTGACTAGTGCAATATCAGGCATGGCCATCCCCTGCCCTGGCCACGGGCTGCTGCCCCTGCCTCAAAGGCAGTCTGCTGTAGCTGTCTCTGCTCTCCAACCCAGGCCAGTGAGGTTTTACTTTAGAGTTTTAGGAGAATCTGAGCCTCAGTTTCCCACTCCCTGAGGGAGGGGAGAATGAGAGGCTGTGTAAATGACTCCCCTCTGGGTAGCCAGGGAGGGAGACAATGGGGAGAAGCCACCCGACAAGGACCCAGTGTAGCAGGAGGCCTCTCTTCCAGAACCAGCAGTTCTGCAAACAGAGATGATAAGGAGAAGGGTGCTGTCTCCACAGCATGATTTAAATGGCCTGAGAGAGTCCCTCTATTCAGAGACATGACCCAAAAGAAGACTCTAGTATTAGGAAATCTCAACACTCAAATAATAGCATTAACTTATCCACACTACAGAGTGGGAGAAAATATTTCTAAACTATGCATCCGACAAAGGTCTAATATCCAGAATCTATAAGGAACTTAAACAAATTTACAAGCAAAAAACAAACAACCCCTTAAAAAGTGGGCAAAGAACATGAACAGACACTTTGCAAAAGAAGACATACACATGGCCAACAAGCAAATGAAAAAATACTCCACATCACTAATCATTAGAGGAATGCAAATCAAAACCAAAGTGAGATACCATCTCACACCAGTCAGAATGGTGATTATTAGAAAGTCAAAAAATAACAGATGCTGGCAATGCTGTGGAGAAAGGGAACACTTATGCACTGTTTTTGGGAACATACATTAGCTCAGCTATGGTAAAAAGTAGTTTGGTGATTTCTCAGAGAACTTAAAATAGAATTACCCTTCAACCCAGCAATCTCATTATTGGGTATACATACAAAGAAAAATAAATCATTCTACCATAAAGACACATGCATGTGTATGTTTATCACAGCACTATTCACAATAGCAAAGACATGGAATCAACCTAAATGCCCATCAACAGTAGACTGGATTTTTTAAATGTGATACATAACAGTGGAATGCTATGCAGCCATAAAAAAAGAATGCGATCATGTTTTCTGCAGCAGCATGGATGGAGTTAGAGGCCATTATCCTAAGCAAACTAACAAAAACAGAAAACCAAATACTACATGCTCTCACTTATAAGTGGGAGCTAAACATAGAGTACACATGGACACATAGACAGAAACAACAGACACCGAGGCCTACTTGAGGGTGGAGGGAGGAGGAGGGTAAGGATTGAAAAACTACCTATCACATACTACGTTTATTACCTGGGTAACAAAATAATCTGTACAGCAAACCTCCATGACACACAGTTTACTAACATAATTAACCTGCACATGTACCCCTGAACCTAAAAGTCTTTTTAAAAGGTAGTACCTAGAAAATGCTTCTCAAATTTAAAAACTCCTTCCATTCACCGACTCATGCATTCACAAATATTTATTGAGCACTCACTCTGTGCCAAGCACTGTTCATCCTTAACACAGTGATACAGGCACATTGCCCTCTCATTAGTAAAGGGCCTTGTATTTGAAGCAAAATAAAAAATGATTTAATGAAATCTCCACCTTCCAGAAATGTATCCTAAGAGATTCACCCAGAAAGAATACAAGGTTTATTCAATTAAACTGAGATTCAAACGAACTAAAACTTACAATCATGCCTATAGCCTAAAACCAAAGGACTAAAATAGTGCCTACAACACACATAACGGAAAGAACAAAACGTTAAGTAAAAAATAAATAATGCAGAGATAATATTAAGTATTTTTAGGTAATCTTTGGCAGGTAAGCAGCATTTTTGCAGCAGTCTTCCAGGGTGCTTGCCTTAAAAAGAACTGGGTCCACAGTATTATGTCCTAAAAATGACAAAATAACTTTGGAGTTCAGATAGCTCTGGGTTTGAATCCCAGTCCTGTTACGTATTAGCTGTGTGACCTTGGTTTAGTCAATTAGCCTCTGTGAATTTCAGCTTTCTCACCTGGAAAATGGGAAGCATAATTCTTATTTTATAGTGTTGTTAATAGAATCAAATGAAATACATATGTAAAGTGCTT
The DNA here is from genome assembly GCF_000001405.40 of Homo sapiens. Lineage (NCBI taxonomy): Eukaryota > Metazoa > Chordata > Mammalia > Primates > Hominidae > Homo > Homo sapiens. The sequence continues at coordinate 118,709,427 of NC_000002.12, forward strand.
CACACAATGCCTAGCACATAGTAAGTGCAAAATAAATGTACACTATAGTTTCAGTTACTATTGCTAAGTAAAAAAAAAGTCCTCAAAAATCAGTAGCCTAAAACAATAACCATTTTAATTTGCTCGTGAGTTTATAAATCAGAAACTTGAGAAAGTCTTAACCTACACGTGGCCTCTGCAGCACGGAGTTCTCAGGTTAGCTGGAATTCCTACATGGCATCTGACTTTTCCCAGAGTAAATATCACAAGAGGACCAGGAGGAAGTTGCAAGACTTTTTCTTGCCCTTCTTTGAAAGTCAATAGCATCACTTCTGACAAAGTCGATTGATCAAAGCTGTCACAAGTCAATCCATACTTAAGAAGAGAGGACACAGACCTCACTTTTCAATAAGGAGAGCATCAAAGAATGTGGGCACCATGTTGAAAACAGCCACAATGACTATTTTTATCTGGTAGATCCAATAAATGCACCATTTATCCCACATGTCACCCCTTTAAGTAGACATAGGGCTCAAGGGAAGTGTGAATCATGACTTGTTAGGAAACCCTTGTTTCTTACTGTTCTAAAACATAATGTACTAATAGAAAATGTGAACTGTATTAAGGTCAACAGGCCAGGAGACGACTGCCATTGAAAAGATAGTTTGTTACTCACAGTTCCCAAGAGGAAGAAGCATGCCATGCAAGGCCATCCGGGAAACACTGGGGTAGACAGGAGGCAGGGGAAAAGACAACTCGGGAGTAAGAGCCTTTTTGTGGTGCCTCTGAGAAGGAACAGGCAAGGCAGGGTCAGCAGGCTTAGAGTTGGCCAGTTTGCATAATTTCGGCAGATTCTGGGGTGCAGGGACTGTCCCTAGTTGTCTGGTATCTGGCCCTGGAGTGATTAGGGGAGGTGGATAGTGGTGTGGATTGTGAGAGTGATTAGAGGAGGTGGCTGGGAGTGTGGAGTCTGGATTGGTTGGTGTGTATCTGAAAAACATGCCCTTGATGAGTTATTTATCTCTAGAAATTGGCTCACCCTGAGAGGGGCAATGCCTCCAAAGTCAGCAATACCTCAAAATGTCAGAGCACCATAGTACAGAAGATAAAATCCATGGTGAATACACACATGAAGGATACACCTGCTACGGTCTAGTGGGCCCTGGTGTGGCCTATGCTGCTCAGTTCAGGAATGCCCTCTACCACAACCCTGAGAGGCAGCCCTGCACTCCTTTCTGCAACTCCTCCAGTGAGTGACTACTCCCTACTCTGTCTCCCTGTCCACCCGTGCTCAGAGAAGGGCTGTTTCTACCCACCCTGAGGATATGACATTTCCATGAATGCAGTCCTGCCACCCCCTGCTGCTGCTGCAGTCATAACAAAGATAAGAATGGAAGGGAAGCCCTTCTCTTAAGAAACTCAATGGCATGTGACAAGAAGCTTTCTAAACATCATCTCATGTGGCCAACACTTCAAAACCCCCAGCCCTCCCCCAAATCATTCTGGCCCTTGATCCAGTTTTAAATGAGCCTTTTGGTGCCAGGAGCTTGTTAGACATCTGGTTCCACTTGACTTTGCAGGGGGGTTGCTAAGGGTGGGAATGCATCTACCTCAACTCAAACCAAATCCTCCAACTTAGAAGCACAGATCAACTCAGATCCCACAGAACTGCATTTCAAAGCCATATGGGAAGGCCAGACAATGGAGATGGAGAGAGATAAACACCAAGTCAGACCCACATCCATAGAGCCTAGCAATGGTGGGCACTTGGCCCTGCTCTCAGCCAGACCAACCCACCCACTGTATCAGGAGGTGCCCAGACCAGAAGCCCTGGAGTCAGCCAAGCCCCCACCACCCCCCCACCAACCTCCTCTTCTCCCTGCCAACAGTCATCAAGTCTACATACATGCCCCTCTGGCATCCATTTATTCCTGACATATCCACCACCCCCAGCCTAACCCAAGCTGCTTTTGTCTCCCTCTGAACCCCAGAAGAACCCTCCTGACTGGCCTCTCTGCACCCACACTTGCCCCTTCTACTACGTTTCCAACAAAACAGCTAGGGAGAACGTTTCACAACACAAATCTGATCAATACCATCCAATGGTCTTAGGATAAAACCAAAGTCATTAGTGGAGCCTACAGGACCCACATGTCTGGACACCATCTGCTGCTCCAGCTTCTCATACAAAATGTCCCCTCTGGGCTGTGGGCTGCAGCCCCCGGTCTCTCGCCCACAGTGGCCAGCTCTCTGCTCCTCCTCATGAGGCGCCTTCACCTTGCTCAGTGTTATCCATCCTCTAGTCTTAGCTAAGTTCCCACAGCTTACTCCTTCATAGTCTAGCTCACCCACTCACTCACAAAACAGATTCCTTTGTTCCAGGCTCTGATAGAACTGTGGGCCTTCTCTGGTAGCTCGTGTCCCCCACACTTTCTGGGGGTGGTTATGTGTCTGATGCTTGTCTTCCCTACAAGATGGAAAGCTTTGTAAGAGCAAAGAGTGTGGCTGCTATTCTCACTGCCTAACATAGTACTGGGACATGCTACGCTGTCAACTTGTTGAATGAAAAAAATGAAAATGAATAACAAATAAATGAAAACTCCTTACAGGTGTCCATAGGGTAAACTGTACATACCCACTGGCACCTTATGGGTCCCCATTTTGGCTCAGCGATAGATGTGGGCGGTCACAAGATGTTCATTTTATCCAATATGCAGCCTCTGGTGATGTTACTGTCAGAGGACATAAATATGGGTCTTGTGCATTTGGTAGGATCAGTACGCTGCAATTTTTTGTTTTCTGTGATATTCCTAGAACTTTGATGTAGGGGGAAAATACCATAGTGGTAAGAAAGGAAAAAAAGCAGAGGAGAGGAGAGGGGAGGAGGGGAGGGGAGGGAAGGGGAGGGGAGGGGAGGAGGTGGGAGGGGAGAGGGGGGGGAGGTGAAGGGAGGATGGGGGAGGGGAGGGGAGGAAGGAGGAATAAAGGGAAGGAGAGAGAGAAAGAAAAAACCACAAATATAATTATGAAGTATTTTTAAATAGTGAAAATGAATACTTTATATCAAAACAGAATCCAAACAAAGTTATCCTCAGAGGTTAAGGCACTGCGTTTGAAAAGAACAGAGAAGTCACTCTAGGAAGTTAGGAAAACAACAAAATACAACCCTAAGATAGCGGAAGGAGAAAACTACTATAAGAGGGAAAGGGAGAATTTAATAAATTTTAAAATGGAGATTTGGCCATGAAACAAACTATGTCTCCACCATGGACGACTGCCAATGGCGTAATATCCTCAGGGAGTTGGGGGCGCTTCCAGCCCCCAGATGCCCACTCCCTTCTCCCCACATCCTCCTGCCATCAACAAGTGCCCAGTATCTTCTGGATCTTCTGTCTTAGGTCCTTAGAAATGACTTAATAACACTCATGCCAAGGAATGAGTGACTAGTGGCATTCTACAATGTTACCCAAAAGAAAGGACATTGAGATGGGGGACAAACTAGAGACATGTATTAAGATAAAAAGTCAAACTTCCTATGCTAAAATGTCAGGCTCCACCAAGCAGGCAGAAGAGATTCTGGAAAAGGACCAAGAACCTGGACGCACAAGGTCACAGCCTCTGTGTTGTGAGTTGTTGGGCTATTCCCAATGGATAAAGGAGATGGCAAGTGGGTTGGCTGAGTGAGTTCTGCAAAGGGAAAGAGAAGCTAACATTTACTAAGCCGCTGTTCTGTCGAGCACAGTGCTAGGAAGGATGCATACATGTAATTAATCTGCAGCCTAACCCTAGGGAGAAGGCAGGGTTATTACCATTTTGCAAGTGAGGAAAACGAGCCTCCTCAAGCTGAGGCAGCTCGTCCGGGATCACACAGTTCTAAGTGAGGGTGAGAGAGCTGGGATGCAAGTCTTTGGGGAAACTGTTATTTTTCTCCTTGACTCCTCACTGAAGATCCAAAGAAGCCTGCTGAAACCAGGAACTGGGATGAGGCCACTTGGAATAGGGTTGAGAGACGGCCCGAGAAAAATAAATTGAGGCAGGTAAAGACAGCAAGATGGCAGAACGGACTCCAGTACCCAGACTCTCTCATTAGGTTTCATCTCCAGAATCCACCCCAAGTGGACACTGCTTCCTTTCTCTATGCCAATATTTACCAGGTACCAAACAGAAAAACGCGTTTTACTGGCTTTAAGACCTGCTTTTTCCCCCACGATGTGATCCGTCTAAAATCAGAGTGCATCTTACCTGCCATTCATCCCAGAGCGGCTCAACCAGGCGGCGGTCCTGGCTCAGTCTGAGCATGCGCTCAAAGGGCCCAGAAGTTCAAGTTGCTGTCGCATCCCCTGTGCTGTGTGCACCCTGGGTTCCCTGCACGTGGAGTTTCATTGCTGTTTATAATGTCCTCCTAAAATCACACTGTGAATCAACATTGAAACAAAAACTTCACGGTCACACAGAAATGCATGGAAACAGAGCTTGGGTAAAATTTTGGCATCAGTGAAGCAAACATGAGTCCTTGAACAATGACTGACTGTGGCTGTTGCAAAACAAAGGAGATCAGGTGGCTGGTGAAACAATTCAAGAGACTACCCACCCCTGGGCTTCTTTTATGTGAGAAATTAATCCCCAAATGAGTCTCTCTTGTCACCAGTACTAAATGCTCCAAATGGGGCTGCAAAGTGGTGGTCTGAGGGTAACGTACAGCCTGCTGGGAGTGGACCTGGACCACAGGCCTGCATTGTAATTTACTATTATTATTCAATCCATCGTCAATATTTGAAAACTAAGATATTGGAAATAAAAGTCTTACTCTCTGGCTTCATTTGGAAAATGAGATGTGCTGACCTGAGCCCCCATTCTTTCAGTCTGAGGGCCTGGAGAGGAGGCACCCTCCTCAGGCAAGGTGGGTGCTCTCCAGGTGCTGAAGTCCGGAGCGGCACCCCCACACTCCCTTACAACACCTGCCCAATGCCTGGGGACATTCGAGTTTGTGACCCCCACCCTAGATAATCTTTACTATCCCTTCGAATGCCAAAAGACTAGCAAGGAAGGTCTGGAAAAGAGTTTAGAGCAAATTGCAAGATAGTTGGATTAGGGTGTGTTTCCACTGCATCGCAATAAGTTGTTTTTGTTTCTTACCTCTCACTAACCTTATTCAGAGAGCTAATTTTCTCTCTTTCCCCTGCAGCAAGCCCTCCAGTCTCGAATCCCAGGTATGCTAAAGGACTCTAGGTTTCAGAATTTCTGATTTCTCTGCATTTATCCTGGTCCTCCCTGTACCTGTTCCATGTCTGATGGAATAAAGATCCTGTTTCTCAGGCCACGCATGGAGATACTTGTGTTCATTCACTTAACCATTTCTAAAACACACAGTTTCCATTTCCTGCAGATGCACTAGCTGCTCCATCCCCATTCCATCTCCCGTTCTAACATCGCAGCTCCATTTCTTTATTCCCTAGGCTAGGGTTTCTCAGCCTAAACCCTAGTAACATTATAGGTCAGGTAACCTGGGGAGGTGGGGGTGAGGGGGTGAGAGGGAGCTGTCCTGTGCATTATAGGATGTTTGGCAGCATCCCTTGCCTCTACCCATTAGAAGCTAGTAGTACCTATCCCTGAGTTGTGATACCCTAACAATCTCTCCAGACATTGCCAAATGTCCTCTGGGACCAAAACCAGACTAGCTGAGAACATCTGCCCTATGTCCCACTTCTCTTCCCATGAAAAGTGAATGCACTCTCCCAAGAGGAAGACAGCCCCCTTATGACAAAGTCCTTTTGGATACTAACAAAAGAGGCTGGGGAAGGGAATGTGGTGGACAAAATTCCAGGATGGCCTCCAAGATTCTCGCCCTCTCCTCCGCATATGCACCCTGCATAATACCCTCCCCTTGGGCGTGAATGGGACTTGTGAATATGATGGATATCCCTCCCATGATTATATTCTATTACATGGCAGACAAGATTTTGCAAAGCAAATAAGACCCCCTAATCAGTTGATTTTGAATTAATCAAAAGGGATATTATCCCTCGTGGGCCTGACCTAATCAGTTGAGCCCTTAAAAGAGAATCAGAGTAATTCCAAGTGAGAGGGATTCTCCTGCTGACCTTAAAGAAATAAACTGCCTCATGGCAGAGAGAGTCATGGTGCAACTGGTGTCAGGCAGCCTCTGAAAGCTAAAAGCAGCCCCTAATTGACAACCAGCAAGAAAGCAGGGGTCTTAGTCCTACAACTTCAAGAAACTAAATTCTGCCAACTACCAGTGGGCTTGGAAGAAAATCCACAGCCTCAGATGGGACCACAGACACAGAGGACACCTTGATTTCAGCCTGGAGAGATCCTAAGTAGAAAACCTAACTTTGTTGAACCCAGGCTACTAACATAAACAAACTGTGAAATAATAGATCCACTGAGTTTATGGTATACAGCAATAGAATGCTAACACAGGAGGAAAAAGTTCCAGGGTCTCGAGTGCTCAGAATGTTATTGTTAAATGAAAGAAGGAAGGAAATGAGAAAGGAAAAGAGGGATGGAAGGAGAAAGAAAAGGAAGAGAGAGGGAGGGTAGTAAGGGAGGGAGGAAGCGAGGGACGAATGGACAAAAAAAATAATGTTAGTGATTTAGATGACTAAACTAAAGGATAGAGATGTTGAGTGACTTCTTCAATGTGACCCCCTTAGTACAAGGTTATGCTTAGCATCTAGTTTCTTGATATATAGTCTATTGTTTTTCATTTTCTCCAGAACTCCTTTCCAATATTTCTTGAACACCCCACATCACTTAATCATAGTTAAATACCTACTAGGTACGCAACAACAACAAAGAACAACCTGGAAACTACTTAAATTTGTAGCGTCTCTTCATGATCTGTTTACACCTCAGTGTCTGAGTCATACTTCTTGAGCGAGTTAAAATCTTTACCCACGATGGTCACTTAACTGAAAGTCATTGCTTGTAGCAGAAACGCCTGAACCTTATGCTTCTCGACTCTCAGTGGTTACATTACCTCTAGCTGACCCAAAAAGCTTTAGGGTCTCCCCATTCTCCCTCCCTTTCATCTGTTTCTTCAGAAAGCCCTATTGGATGAAGTAACTCTACAAAGGGCCATTCAGAAAAGTCTCCATTTGACAGCCCAATCCAGCATCCCTAGGCCCCAGCATGGTTCTCTGGCCCCAAGGATATTAAATATAACCATGAAGAGGGGTGCTAATTAGCAGTGGGGAGCCCTGCAGCATCCAGCAGCCTCCAGAAAAGTGCTCTTCTGACAACCAATGAAAGGATGACCAGAAAAGTAATGGCATGTTTCCTCATCCATTCAACAAATACCAACATCCAAGTGCCAGACTGTTCTAGGCACTCGGACAGTTGCAATGTAAGTACAAACATAGACTTAATCACATGTCATTGTTGGATAACTGAGGAAGGCAACATCCCTCAGCTCTAGGGTGACAGAGACTTTCTGAGTAATTGATACTGCAGATATGGATCCTGTCGTGCAAATGATGTATTCCAGTTCTTAGCCTCTTTACCTCTCTGTCTCTCTCCCCTCCCCACCTTCTCCTAATGCTCTGCTCTCCAGTGTATTGGCTTTACCTCAAACATGGTAGAAAAATATCACCATCAATTCAAACTTAAGTGACCCCTAATGCCCCAAATTCTAGAAAACAGTCTCTCTTCATATATTCATGCAAATTCCCCCCAAAAAATGATTCTGGTTGGTTAACCTGAGTTATTACGGAAGGCCATACAATAGAAAGCCTTCTACCAAGCCAGAGAGGACAGTCTCAAGAGGAAAGAAGAATTCTGCTATGAGAGGAGCAAGCAAAGAGAGCAGGCCAAAACTACAGAGACCCACGAGTCCCTCTCTGGGCCCCCGCAGCCCAATCTATGGAGTCACCTGTCTGGTTTTCAAAGCATCTCATGGAGCCTACAGCTCTTCTCATTTTATTTGAGTCATTGTAGTCACTGTTGATACCCTGCCCGGTAACCCCTCAACCACTACTGGCCGCTGTGGTACTCAGTTACAGTTGCCCCTTCTCTCTCTCTTTTTTTTTTTTTTTTTTTTGAGACAGTCTCTCACTGTCACCCAGGCTGGAGTGCAGTGGCTGGATCTCGGCTCACTACAAGCTCCACCTCCCGGGTTCATGCCATTCTCCTGGCTCAGCCTCCCGAGTAGCTGGGACTGCAGGCGCCTGCCACCACGCCCAGCTAATTTTTTGTATTTTTAGTAGAGACGGGGTTTCACCGTGTTGGCCAGGATGGTCTCGATCTCCTGACCTCATGATCCACCCGCCTCGGCCTCCCAAAGTGCTAGGATTACAGGCGTGAGCCACAGCGCCCGGCTGCCCCTCCTCTTGACTCTGCCGCTTTTCTTCTCCCTCCTTCCCACAGGGCTTTCTCTGGCACCATAGAGTTTGCTCAGTTGCCCCAAGCATAACTCAAAAGAACAGGGGCTACACTTCACCGCGAAGGGATGGGGTTGGGGGGATAAACGTCTCAGACTCCCAACGTCCTCTGGGTTCCCAGGCAAGATCCCCATGGTGCTAGGGGGTTATCCCATGGACTTGAGCCCCCATCTCTAAAACATTGGTTTTATCTTTTCCCTACTCACTTCTTCCACTTCCTCACTTAAGCTTCCTAAATAACTACATACAACCAAGACATTTTCCTTGGACCTGCTGTTCAGGAAAACTGGTGAGACTAAGAACCTAGACAAACGTCAAAATGCAATAGGAATGTCCCGTTCCAGACCACACTGATGCAGATCCCCTAAATGAAAGAGGGTTTCTTGAGGCATCAGGTGTGTGTCCCATTTCTCTTTAGTTGTTTCCGGTGCCCAGAAAAATAGACATTTAGCAAATACATATTAAAGAGAATCAACTTGCCCAGTGTATGTGTGTCCAGGAGATGTGTCCTCTGGTCTGTGTAGCTATGCTCTGGGTGACAGGAGGTAATTGCTCCTGTCAACAGGGAAAATATTAGAGTATTTTTAACCAAGGATCTTAAAACAGAAACCGAGTTAGGCATGCTTCTCACAGCAAGAAGAAAGATAAAAGGGTATTTAACAGTGATTCAGAGAACATGAGTGGTGGTATCCCACCCCTGCATTCTCCTGAACAAATTAGTGTGGTACCTTTACCACACCATGGGCCAGATTCCTGTTGGGGGGAGCCTAGATAATTAAGTGACCACCAATTTGCAAATATCAGCTTTCACACTGATTCTGAGACCCATGGGTGGTCCATGGCACCATTTGTTTAAGCTAACAATTGTGAGACCATTAAGTTTTCTTGGTTGAGACATTACGAAGCTTAAAGGATTATCGCAAGGAACCTCAGCATTTTAAGGCTGTGGTTTAGGTACCCCCTTTTCACAGAGGGAAGTGGAATCATATTGTTCTTATAGATTTCCCCTCAGGTAAAAATGCCAGAGTACCAGCCAATAAGAGGAGAATGGCTGTTCCTAGACTTGTCACAGTACAGATTGATTATTTGGGAGATTGGGCTTTGTTGAATCCCAGACCCAGAACATTCATGAATCTTCCCTCCCAGTTGGAGGGGTTGTCTTCTCCCCTGAATTCAGAAGGAGAGGACTCCTGTAAGATAAATAGGTGCATGCCTCCACACAATATTTCATACAGGTACATGATTTGGAAAATTAGGTCAGAAGAGGGAGGGAAAATGGTGATTCATTACCAGGGCTGGAGAGAGGCAGGATTACCTCATCAGAAATTCAAAGGTAATCAGTTTTTTCCCAATTGTCATGGTAATGAATCACCAGTGTTAATAAATTGGGAAGTCAGTTACACCTTTGAGTAGCTGGATAAACCAGAGTTACCTGGCATCTGTCTTCATTAGAAAAGAACCAATGAAATGGAGAAGAAAAGGAGGGCACATATAACCCTGATTCCCTTCTTTCCCCCACGGTGAAGAAATTCAACTTTTTACTTAGTATTACCATCATGCCCAAGTCACCGCAAAGTTAAACTAACCCAAATAAGACTTTAAACCTGAAGTCACCCATTCGAGATCTGTCAAAATCCTCTGATGAACAATCAAAGCCAGCTGCAATTTATTTATTTAATGGAGAAACAATAGCAGGAAATAATCCCTGAGCATCGCTTAGCACAGGAGGAGGTCTTTATTAGAATAGATTTTTTTTCTTTCCCAAGCAAATGGAAACCAAGAATGGAAAAAGATCCGGTCCCCTCTCCTCCCCCACCCCTCTGAATCTTGAAGGTTTAGCCTCAGCTGGTCACGTCAGAAAATCCAAGCTCAATGGTTCAAAGTGGTCAGGGGCAGAGCTCACTGTGACATTTTACGACTCAATGAGGCATCCATGGGGTCTCCAGCTCCAGGAGATAAATCAGCTCAAACTCCATCTGCCTTCAAGACAGACAAATCTTCAGTCATGGAGTCGTCAGTAATCCAAACATAACTTGGAATGCGGTTACAACTCTTTATTGCTTTTAGGCACCCCCCGCCCAAAAAAAACTGAGACGAATTCTGATCTATATGATTTGATAATGGCATTTGACAAGTTCTCATTTATTCGAGGGGTGGGGGCTAAAAAGTTTTTTGTCTGATCATTTTGTCAAAATCCTGCAAGTCATTTTCATTTCTCTCTCTTGGGCAAGATTAAAAAGCAAACCCTCATGCGTTCTGTCATATGATCTTGGAGCTGAGAGTTCGAAACATTTCAACAGTAATTTAATATAGGGGATTTAAGGAGTGTGTATGAAAGACAGAGAGAGAGAGAGAGAGAGAGAATGAGCCCTGGGATGACGGGAAGGGTTACCTAATAGGAGATAAGATGAATAGCAAACCTGTTACTGCCAAGCAGCTCATTTCCACAGGGGAGAGGAGCTGTGTTTGACATCTTCCACAGCCTCACAAGAAAAACCTGCAGTAGGAGGCCAGACCTGGAAGAAGGGTCCCAAGCCCCTCCCTGCTCCAGCTATTCTGCTCCCCCTTCCCACAGGCACGCTGCACAGATGGGGCCTCAAGAGGCTCCTCTGACCTGAGAGGCTCAAGGCAAATTCATCATTCACTCAAGTGCCAGTCCCCAGTTTAAGATCAAGAGGGGAGATACTGACTTCAGGCCTCTGTGGCAACTTTAATTCTAGCCCTCTCCGCTAACCTTTCCTCCAGGACACAGGCACCCATGTACGCACACACACACATACACACACACACATACACACACACACATGTCTTCCTGCCCTACCCTTTCTCATGCCACCATCCCTTCTACTTCCTTCCTGGGCTCTTCTTTTCTTTCTGCTACCCCAGACCCAAACCTGAGGATAGGTGAGAAGATCTGTAGGGTGATGGGCCATTCCAATTCCTTTCCGTCACCCTACAACAGCTCCTGTCAGAGCCCTGAGAGGTCCCTGCAGGTTTTGTGGGTTTTGTTTCAGGAAGAGGAAACTGAGGGAAGGAGTAAGTGCCAGGCTATTGGGCAGCAAGAAGTCCAGCCCCAGTAAAGATTATACTCTGGGCCAGGAGAGAAGGCATACACCCTTTTCAATTACCTAAGTCAAAGAAAAAAGGACTGATCCATGGCTCCTTCCTCTATCTCTAGGTCAGAAGGCATTCAAGCCATTCTAAAAATGCCTCCACCCTCATCATTTTTCTGAGGGTTAAACACATGGCCAGACAAACATCAAGACATGTTTGCACACATGCACGCACTCACACACAAGGCTCAGCGACCTTTTTTCTGTTTCTTTTAAGTCTTCCCATCTGAAAACTATTCCCGTTGTCCAACCCATTGCTAGGCATTATACCATTCCCCTTCATTTTGTCTCTAGCAAGAAAACCACGATTATGCATTATGCAAAAATCTTTTAGCTCATTGGTGAGTGTGGCTGGGATATGGGATCTCAGCACAGGAAATACTGATTCCCACTCAGAGAGATAAGGGCTCGGGGCACACTTGGGCCACTCTGCCCTATTGAGCCACTAGAATCAACCTTTTCCAACTTCTTTGTGAAAATCTCTATGTCTACAAAAATGGTCACCTTATCCTCCTTCAGTTTTCTCTTCTTCATGAGTTTCTCACAGATATTTAACAATTCAACTTACCCAATATTTATCTGAAACTTTCAGGCATTGGTTTTGGCCTGCCAATACCTCTCTTCTCTGCACACTTCTTAGGTTTCCTCTGTTTTTCTCAAGGAGTCACCCTGCCCAGGCTGGCAGTTTGGAATGGAATACCCACCCCAGTTTCCAGGAAAGGAGCACATGACCCAGACAGAAGCCAATCAATGGATTCTGTTTCCTGGAGGTAGTAACTGATGCAGGGACGGGACCAGTGCCCCTCCTGCTGGTCCTGAAGTTGGGGAGATGTGATGTCCGGAGCCCAGTCAGCCACCTCTGAAGCCAAGGGAGAGCCCAGCCTGGGTGGGAATGGAGCCGACAGGGATGAGAGGGGAACTGAGAGATGGGGATGAGAAAGCCAGGTTCTGGCGACATTATTTGAGCTCCCATAGGCAGCAACTATAAGTGTTCTTTATACCTCAAGGATATGTGCCAATACATTCCCTTTTGGCTTACACACATCTGAGTCAGATCTTCTGTTCCTGACACAAACCCCTAAGCCCACCTATTGCACATAGGTAAAAATGAGTCACCCTCGCACAGCCCCAAACTCCTCCCAAAGTTCCACCCTCTCCAGTATCTTTCTGTGAGGCCCCAAGGAAATTACTAGTGTTCTGGTGTTTCTACTTTAGTCCAGCACACTTCCTGGACCTCCACCACCAGTCCCTCCAGGATACCAACTTGAAGGCTCCCGGCGGGCCCAGGCCCTCTGCTGCCCAACAGAGGCTCCCTGAGCTGGTGTCCTGATGTCCTGCTTCCCCTTCCACTGCACTCATTTCTGTCCTGCAGGTAGAGAAATGCCTACCCTTATCTGCCTTCTGCTTTTCTGGAAAAGTCCCTCAACAGAGTTCCATGAACCCCGGGTGCTTCTCAGTTGTACTTATCACCTTGTTCCTCACTGGCTCGGCGCACTCCCTGACTGATAGATAAGGTTCCAACTGTGGGTTCGGGCCAAAACCACTTCCCAGACCTACAATGTGTCCCGAACGTAGGAAAGTACCAAGATCCCTTGAGGTTGCAAGGCTCTTGGCAAGATCTTGGGAAATACTGGCAGATTAAACTGAAGATAACTAAGTATAATTTTGCAGTAACTTTGAAATCATTTGGGGTTAGAGCCTAGTTAGTCCAAATGGTGGTAGAGCCAATGTTTTAATAAAAAGTCATGGCAGAAAGTCAAAGTGCTAAAAATTATACTTATTTAACTTTCTGCAAACTGAACCAATGACGATTATTACTGGATGTCAACAATTCAGCATCTTGGTTCAACTTAAGGAAACCCAATGTCCTGCAGAAGTATGCTTTGGAACTTCTGGCCTAGAATAAAGCAGGGGAACTGAGGTCCACCAAAATACAAATTATACAACATGAAAAAATGAAGTGAAAAAAGCAAGTTGCAGAGTGAGGCAGGGAATAATCCCAGGTCTACAGTAAAAAAAAAAAAAATCTTTGTGTGTTTGCATATGTCTCTGAGCTTTGAGAAAGATACAAAAGGATATATGCAAAAAGGTAACGCTGCCTGCTTCAAAACAGTCATTGAATTTTATTTTTATTTACTGTTTCTTTTATATTTACTCAAGTTTCTTTTGTGTGACCTCATTCCATAATAATGTATTACTTTAAGTGTTTAGGAGAGCAATAAAATGGAAAAGTACAAAAATAAAGTATATCCTGCAGGTTAAAACAACCCATCAAACTTGTGAGTCACTGTTCCTTAAACAAGTGAACTTTTACAGTAATAGGCAATAGCAGCGAGAAGGAGAAAAGGAGGACCCCCGGGAGCCAGGGAGACTATCTGTGCACTGAGGTGGGGTGTGGGGGTGCAGAGGAGACAACTGCAGGTCAGAAGCAGCTAAGAGAGGACTACTTGGGGCTTCAGAAAGGAGATGCCTTACAGGGACAGTGGTCCCTGAGGACCAGGGCAGTTGCCTGCTTATAGACAGCTAGGCTTAAAGCTGGGGGTGATGACCTGGGACCAGAGCAAAAAGAAGATAAAGAAATCATCCAGGAGAAAGAATGCCACCAAGCCTCTGCCGTGGCCAAGCCAACTCAGGATGGAGGGAGGGAGGCTCTTCGGGCAGCATGCCTGGAATTCGTGCCAGCCAAGCCATTCTGTGGGAGGAATTAGAATAAGGAATTTAAGTTTGCCGAAGTCAGTCATTTTGTGCTGCTATGACTTCTTTGTTTGTTTCCTTTTTGTTTTGCTATTGCATCTTAGTAAAGCTTCTTTTGGACAATTCCAGCCTTCCTCAGAGCTAAGCTGAGAAGCAATGGATTTCTATTCACACAAAGCTGAGTAGCTGGAGATAGAACAAGGTGTCTTATTTGAGACCACCAGATTTGGAGAGTGGCAGGTGTAAGAAAGAACAAAGCATCTAAAATCAAGCCAGGGAAAGCAAGTTCAATGTTCAAGGTCAGACGGCTAAGGCCCAGGTACAGTTGGCATCGCGCAGAGGCAGGTCCATCCATATGGAAAGGGATGGAGCTGGGGGAATATCTGGGGTTGCCTCTAGTGGCCACCAGGCTTGCGGTTTGTCAGGAGTATAAGAACCTTAAAGAAATAAAGTGGGGAAAAATGCCAGAGAAGAGGAAGTAATTTCCCTTACAGATCAGTGCAGGGCCCTTGCACACATCCAGCCTGGATGTCCCCCAGCCCCGCCCTCCAGCTCACACTCCCTTGGATGGCCTAGCATAGTGCTGAGTGCAGAGTCCTGTCTGTAGAACGCAGAGTCCTGTGTTCACTGTGGCAGTGACTGCAAAGGACTCTGTTGAGGCCTAAAGGTCCATGAGCCTCGTCAGGGCCTGCTGTTTGGAAGAGGGGAGAGTGGGAAGGAAGTAGGAACAGGCCACACTCCAGGTCCTCAGCTCACTCCTACCTGAATGAATTGTCATATTTTCCCATTTCACATGCTGAGCTTCCATGTCGGCTTCCATTTGGATGAAGGTCTCTGGATAAAATACATTTGGAAACCTCTGCTCTTCAGCTGTGATCTGGACAGTTGGCCCTCTGAGGCTCAGCTGAGAAAGGACATCAGATTTAGGCTTTACCCTAATGTGGAAGTGGAGGTGAAGGAGCCAGGAGGAAGAAAGCAAGATGTCAGGAAGGCGTGTCAAGCTGAAAGCAGGATGTTTAAGCTAGAAGAGGAAGCAGGAACCTTCATAAATTTTGGGAGGCCCAGAAGAAAGTGATCAGAGACCAATATAAGGAGCCCATGAATTGAAGGCCAAATGATCAGCAATCGAGCCTGGGAATCTGGCCCTGGTTCCTTTTTGCATGCTGTCATGTGTGTGGTTGAACCTGCAACATACTCTCTGTGAGATGAGCATCATGGGACTTAGGTTCAAATCCTGATTCTGCCATGTACTGGCTATGCTACCTTTGATAAGTCACAACCTCTCTGAACCTCTATTACCATCTGTGAAAATAGACATAATAAGAGAAATCATGCAGAGCTATTGTGAAGACAAAACTCAACAGCATGCAAGGAACTACCTAGAGGAGTGCTCAGTCAATAAATGTTAGTTTCTCTTTTCTTCCCCTCCCATTTTTATGATGTAGACAAGAGACCAGTCCACCAGGCCATCTCTGGCTTCAGCAGATCATTGAGTTCTTCTGTTCAGAATCTCATTTTGGAAAACCGAGAAATGTCCTGGGGTTATATCAGATTTTACCAAAGCAGATCCCAAAGACAGGACTGCAGGCCAGAACACAGGATACCGGGGGCTCCAGGAAGCAGGGGTCAGGCTAGGGAAAGCCACCCTGGCCCAGCCTCTCCAGCAGTCCCTTCAGAGAGACCTCCCCTTCAAGAGCAGGAAACCCAGAGCTGGGATCTGGACTCAACCCCTGAACCCCAGGGACACCCATACACAACCAGGCAGCTCAGCCCCATCTGAAATCTGCTTGCTTTTCAGTGTCATGCTTCCCATTCATCCTCATAAAAGACTCCAAACAGCTTCCGGTGACTGGGTCCAAAGCAGCCCAGGTGTTCCATGAACATCTAATCAAGTTCACCATCTTTCCAAGATGACAAATGGGATTTTCATGTTGGAGTCTCCATCTGTGATCTTCTCTAGGTGTTGGATTATGAACGGGTTTTTGTTTTCTTCTTTAGCTATGTCTGTACTTTGCACATTGTTGTTGTTGCTGTTGTTGTTGTTGTTGTTGTTAATAAGTGAGTGCTTTTTGAGATTGGTAGCAGGGGTGGTAGGGAGAGTTAAAAAAATTGGACTTATCCTTAAGATTCTCTTGAGAGGTCTTCATCCTCTGGTTCACTTCTCTCACTTGACTATTTCTCCAGGCTCTAAGTCCTCAAGGGCAGTAACTGTGTCTTTTCAGTCAAGAAATATTTAGTGAGCACCAACCATTCTGAGACCAGCTCAAAATATGAAGATGCACTGGGCATTCCAGTAGCCCACAATGGTTTCCCTGTGGCCAAGCCCTGTAAGCTCCTGGATGTCAGAGCTTGCATCTAATACATCTCTGAGCCCCAGGTACCACACACAGCACCTGGTGAACAGTGAATCATCTATAAACTTCACCGAATGAATGGGTGAGTGAGTGGATAAACAAATGAATTACAAATAGACTGGAATCCCCCACAATATCAACAGCACTTACACAGTGGGGAAAAATCAAGAACTTGAATATTTATTGGGAAAGGGCATCCTTTTTTTTTTTTCTAGACAGTATCTGGAAAGGATTTTACATGTCATTCTTCTCTTTTCTTATCATAGTCATTCACCTCCTGGTGAAACCAAGTAACAGAAGAGCTTGTCCCAGCCACAGAGATATCCCTAAATCTGAAAAGACTTTGGAATTCTGGGGCAGCAGATGAGACCTATATCCACAGAATATAAGGGCTGATGATGCTCTGATGGCATTGATTTCTTTGCTGTGGCTGGTGGGCTGGGTTCACACTGACCCCACAGGGGCACTAAGGAAGCTAGTCCTTTGCTTACTTTGATTTATATATGCCCTGAAGATTTTGCTGGTACTATGTCTACAAGGAAGTAGACATAACCTGGACCAAGTGTTATCTCAATAGTTCAACCTCACTTCTGCCCCCACAGAGGTAAAAAAGAGGGAAAGAGAGAGAGAAAGAGGGAGAGAGAGGGGAAGGAAAGAAGGAAGGAAATCATAGTCTGATTAATAAGATAATGATGGATGTCACGTCCATCTCCTCTAAGGCTGTTGGTAAGGTCAACAGGAGAAAGTAGAGTGTTGATAATTAGAAATAGGTTTGTCTCCATTTCTGCAGAAACCGTAGAGAAAATGAAGTTGTCAGTTGATGCAATACAACAACAAAAAACCCAAATGATGGGGGATCACTATGCTTAACCTCCAGATGAACCCCCTGGAATACAAGAAGGATGTTTGAACATGATAGAGAAAACCCAGCTTTCAGATAGTCAGTGGTCAAGTGAAGGGAAAGCAATTTGAAAAAGTGAAAATCTAGAACACAATGAGTGAAAACATGAGTCCTCATGTCTTAGAAATTGAGCCATCTGGATTTGGGTCCTGGCCCTGACACATGGAAACTATAAAGTCTTGGGTAATTATGAAATCTCTCAAAGCCTCAGTGTTGTCTATGAAATACAGTTGAGGCAGTTCACTTTTCTTCTTATTCTTCCCCTTGTTATCTCTTCCTTTCTTTTCCTGAATAATTCACTTGAAAAACCCTAAATAGAACTGAACAAGGCCCATGGTAGGCTGAATAACAACTCCCACAAAGATGTTCACACTCTAATCCTCACACCAGTGAATATGTTACCTTACTCCATGTACAATAGACTGTGCAGATGTGATCAAGCTAAGGAACATGAAATGGAGAGACTATGGTGGATTATTTGGGTGGGCCCGGTGTAATCACAAAGGTCTTTATAAAAGGGAGGCAGAAGAATCAGATACATAGACAGAAGATATGAGGACAGAAGTAGTGGTCAGAAAAGAGAGAAAGTGCCACACTACCAGCTCTGAAAATGGAGAAAGAAACCATGAACCAAGGAATGGGTACAGCCTCTAAAAGCTAGAAAAGCAAATAAATGGGTTCTCACCTAGAACCTACAGGACTGCAACCCTGCAGGCCCATTCTAGACTTCTGACTTTCAGGCTGTAGGATCATAAATGTGTGTTGTTTTAGTCCACTAAGCTTGTGGTAGTTAGTTACAACAATCACAGAAAACTAATTTATTGTCCTTAAAGGAGGGGCTTGAGCTGTGTGAAGAAGACATTCTCATGAAGGGGAGGCGGCTTCAGTGGCCCCCTATGAAGTGTTGGAGTCTGAGAGGGCTGAGGATGGCATCAGTGCAGGGGAAGCGCACGGTGCAGAAGCCAGAGCTCAAGTGTGGATGAGAGTGTCCATACTCTGGGGTGAAAACAAGGAAACAGCAATGACAGGAGATAGGTTGCATAGAGAAGGATGTATTTAATACTTTAAGGGTAACTGGAGAGAGATTTCCCACTGTCCAAGAAGGTGTTAAATGCAAATTGGAGGTGAACTCATGGTCTGCAAAAATAAATATACATATATTCTCAAAGTTCTGTCTACTTAGAGGCCAGAAGAGCACAATAATAATGAGCACACATACACCCTCAATCTTGGCTTCTAAATACCATTCTCTATTGAAAACAAGCAGTGCTCCTTAGAGAAATTACTGACTTCAGTACTGGGGCAGGAAAAAAATGAGCCTGGAACATCCCTTTCTGCCATAAACTAAAAAATTACTCAGAGATTGATGTGGTCTGCCATGATCTGAATGTGTCCCCCCAAAATTTATATGTTGAAACTTAATCCTCACTGTGGTGGTATTAAGAGGTGGGGCATCTGGGGGGTAATTTGGGGGCCTTTAGGAACAATAACCTTATAAAATAGGCCCGATGGAGCTTGTTTTCCCCTTCCACCATGTGAGGGTACAGATAGAAGACGCCATCTGAGGAGCCAACAGCAAGCTCTCACCAGACACCAAATCTGCTGGTACCTTGATCTTGGACTTCCCAGCCTTCAGAACTGTGAGCAATAAATTTCTATTTTTTATAAACTACCCAGTCTAAAGTATTTTGTTATAGCAACCCTAACAGACCAAGACAGGTCACATCAAAGGACACAGAAGGCAGATTGAAGGTGTTCCCAATAGCCAAATTTAGGATAATTTGAGCATAGGGGGAAAAATGAAAGGAAACTATTCGATAAAATAAAAATGTATGAGTTTATACTCTATAAATAAATGAATGAATACATCAAAATTTTGATGAGGAATGGAATAATTATATACACTTAATGTCTCCACAAAATACATATTAACCACAAAAGGCAAACATGTAAAGTGGAGAAATTTGGCAGATACTGTCTCAATCAAGTGATCAAAGTTAACATCACCAGTGACAGGATTATTTTATATTGTACCTCTCTGATAGGATGTCATGAAAATTATGCAAGCAGCATTACTTCTGTGATATTCCTGCCAAAGCAGTATAACTAAAGAAGCATCCAGCAAGCCCAAATTGTAGGTCATTCCACAAAATAATGGACTGCACACTTCAAAAGGATCAAGACCATGAAAGTCAAGGGAAGACTGAGGACTAAAAAGACATGACAACTCAATGCCACTGTGCTTCTGGGCTGAGTCCTTTTGCCATAAGACAGCTGTCAAACTTAAATGGGGTTTGAGGATTCAATAGCAATGACACAATAATGTGAGTTCTTTCATCTGGATTGTTGTCCCACTGGAATGGGGCTGCCACCATGAACAGTCATTGACTGGGAACAGCATGGCCTCTACAAAAACAAGATGGGAGATTCCAAAGGGTAGCATTTAGGGCCTGTCCTCAATTATTTTCTCAGCAGCAGGAGAGTCAAGGGTACATTTTCAAGGCCTTCACACACCAACATGCAAAAACTTTCCCCTCCCTCCCCAAAAATGACTGGAAGTTTAAATGATTATTTTAACATTATAAAATGTATGTTAAAATCTCAAGTCAAAATTACTCTTTAAGTAATGAGAGCTGTATATGTCATTATGTATGTGTGTGTATACACATATATATATACACATACAAAAGTTGTACAGAGATCATCTAATTAGCACAGCAATGCTAAGCATTTCTCCCAAAAGTTGGAGCCATGAGTAAACCCAAGCATACCACCATTTATTGGAAAAATTAGAAAAAAAAGTTAAAAATTTAACTTCAGAAAATTAACTTTACCCTGTCTTCAGCTCTTTTGCCTTTTCCTCTTGCATATTTGGGAAGCATGATGTCACCTCCAGCTCTCACTGGTTCTGCTGGTGACATCAGTTGCCCTTCCAGACTTGTCCTCAGAAGCAGGTTCTTCATCTTGAAAGAGATTCACTCTGCAACCAAGACCATGTCCATTGCTCTGGCTTCTTTCCAAGGAGGCATCTGTACTGTCTGAGGGCTCCACCATCTCTCACCTTGAGTGTTGTTGCATCAGCTTTCTACCTAGTCCTTTTAGCTCCAGTCTTACTTTCATTCCAATCTGTTCTCTACTTTACAGGTAGGATAGTGCTCTGAAATGCAAGTCTAATCATGCCATTTTCCTGCTTAACACTTGTCAGTGACTCCCTATTGCCTAAGCAAGTGTTCTTAGCCCGGGCTTCAGAAGATAGGAGAGTCCCATCAGATTACAGTCATAATTTTGTGTGCATAAGGAAACATGCAGTTTTCTTAAGAGAAGGTCCATAAATTTCATCAGATTTGAAGAGTCCGTTGGGAAAAGGCTGAGAACTCCTGGCCTCTGGATTAAGTCCAAGCTCACCATTTACTTCCTCCTTGTAATTTTTTGCTCTAATAATTCCAAAGTACTTACAATCCCCCACTTCCACCATGCTGTTTCTAAATCTCCATGCTTCTTGTTCTTTCTGCCTGGAATGCCCTTCCCTCATTTCTTTTCCTGGTGATCTCTTATTCATCCTAAAGACTGTGGCAGGTAACTTCTCCCCCAAAAAGTTCCCAGAATTCCCAGGCTGGGCTAAGTGCCTCTACTATGTTCCTCTCGAATACTCTATGCATGCCTTAGTGATATTAACCACATCTGTTCTAGTTATTCATTCATGCATATATCTCCCCATTGGGCCATGTGTCTCTTGAGGGTTGAGGCCACATGCTATTCACGACTGCATTTCCTGGACTTCTTACAAGGCCAAGCATAGGGTGAGCCCTCAAGATACATTTGTAAGACTCAGCAGAACACCAGACAAACCTCTGGTACTGTTGTTTCATTTTCTAGCATTTTATTTGCCTGGGCCAGCCGTTCTGGGAGGCTCTTCCTTCTACCTGGTGTGAATAAAGGACCCAGGGTTGGTTTTATCTGGGTCTATGAAGGAAATAGCCTGGTTCCAGTACGTACCTAATCACCTCACCTCTTCCTGACCCTTCTTTTCTCCTGTGTGAAAGGAAGCTAATAGTCCCAGCCTGCCCTGCCTCACCCTGACAGTGCAGAAGACAGGAAAGTGGCTCTGAAAAGTTTGGGGGAAGGAAAACTATACATAGGTAGAATGTGAGAAGAGAGGAGTGTGTCTGAGTGAGTCCAAAGCTAGGCATTGCAGGGATAATGTCTCCCAGTTTTGGTGTTCATAGGGAACAAAAAAAAAAGTCAATAAAATCTGAAACCAAAATGTTCTGCTCTTTGGACCCCACCCTAAATTCCCCCAGTTCTCTTGACTAAGGTGGTGGGGGACAATGCAGGGACCGTGTTTTGTCTTCTTGACCTAGCCGGGGGCAAAGAAGACTGAGAAGGCTGGGCAGAAGGAGGGAGTGCTACTAATCAGCCTCCAAATCACAGCACAGCTGAATATGAATTTGACTTTCCACTGGCAGATTGCAATAATACCATCCTTTGGAATGCCCTTGGAGCTTCCAATTGCTGTCTTTTGGTTTAGATTAAACCTTGACTTAGCTTGCCAAGTGTGAAACCCACCCGACCCTCATGCAGTGTATGTTTTGAGCTCAAATTGAACTTTATAAGGTGCAAGTTAATTTGCATTTGGCAAAATGCAATTTCCTGTTTCTAAGAAAAAGGGACTTTAAAGATTTATTTAAGAGATGCAAATGGCTTCCTGGACATCAAATAGCTCTTACAAAGCAATATTTTAATAAGTTAAGTGTAAATGAATTAAAAACACATGAATCTGATTTCCCTTGAACTGCAGATGGGTTTAACAAATAGAGGAGGGAAATGGCTTGGCCCTGGGACTTGGGGGTTTTCTCCTTCCAAAATGTTTAGAAAAGTAGATCAAGATGTTAGACAAACCCCTGCACACACCAGGGTTCCCCAGCTCAGATTGTGTATCTCCAGAATTCATGCTCCGTAAACAAAGGGAAGGTTCCAAATCAGCTCCACTGGGCAAGTCTCTCTTACCCACTCTGCTTTCTGCCTGTGCATTGCCAAATCTTCCCTTCTGCCTCTTTCTCCTCCCTCACTCAGAAATGCTGAGGCCATAGTTTCCTCACACCCTCCCCAAAGCCTTGTGCTCCATTGCTGAGACAACACAGGCATTGGAGCCGGGGGGCCGGCAGTGTGGTCTTTCTCTCCAGTCTCATCCTCTAGTGTCTGAAGAACTCCTAGCCCAGGACTTCACTCCAATCTCAGAAACCATAAAAACACTCCCAGTCAACTGCCCTCCACACCATCTGAACAGCTTTCCTCTAGCCCATCCCTCTGAAAAACTGAAGCCTGCCAATGGACTTGAGGCTGACTACAAGGTTACAACCCCTGCCTTTCTACTAGATGAGACTTCTTCTTAAGGGGTTGGTGGATTCTGTGGGGAAATGGTTATGCCATGCAGGCTGAAAAGACAGCTGCCCATCAATGTATGGGAAGTGGTATCTATCCTTTGGGTAGGGCTGGTGGGGGGCATTCATGGAATCACAGAAAAAGGCAGTGGCTCTTGGGTAGAAAACCAAGTAATAAAAATGGGCCGTAAGTCAGCAAGATTCGGGATATAGGAATCAGCCCTCCTGTCTTGACCTGGATGCCAAGGTGTCTAGGGCCGTGTGTGTGCTCACAGAGAGTGGGCAGAAATTCTAGGATTGATCACAAATTGCAGAAGAGTGACATGCCTTTGACTCAGAGGAACTGTATGCATGGTTCTGTCTGTGATTATTTCCTTGTTGCTATCTCCTAATACTTGGAGCAGATTTGTTCAAATGTTCCATTGCATCTAATCTAGGCTATGAGCTGGAGAGGGAAGACTGGCTTGCTCTTTCTTTGGCCAGAATGACAATGGAGTAACAGTGCTCCCTGAGGTCTTCAGGATGTTGATTCCAAAACAAAACTAGAGCTGCAGATTAGTTAGAGAGGTCACCTTGAAGGTGATGAGGCATGATTTTCTTAAGGAAGTGGCACTTCCTCACAAGTAGGGAAAAAATCAACAGTTTTTAAGGATTCTAGAAGAGGCCATTGCCCTGTTTTCTTCAACACAATTTTGCTGGCCATCAGTCACTATAGGATATCATGCTAGGCCCTGCCGGTGAGGAGCTGGGATGCTGTAGATTCAAGAAAAGAATAAGACCCAACCCCTGCCCTGGTGGACCTTATTTCTGACCAGGCATGTGCAGAATCAGGTAACCTCCAGAGCCTTGGGTGGGACCAACAGCAAATAAATAAACAAGAAAGTCACAAAAGGCTGAGATCAGAAGGCTGCTGCTCCCCAACAGAAGAGGTGCACAGCTTTGGCCTTAAAAGAGACTACTTTTAGACTCCTCATTTTTTCTTGCAACCATCTCCTGTAGTCTCATTGGATTTATAAGTAAAGTCCATTACCCAAATCGTCAGCTAGCCATGAAGTTATTCAAAAGTGCTGTGTGGTACGGAAGAAGGGGTTATTGGCACACACAGGTCTGGGTTCCAACACCATCTCGCACTCACCGTGACATGCACTAGCTGTGTTATCACGGGGAAGTAAACTCCGTGGCTCAGTTTCCTCATCTGGAAAATGGGGCTAGTAATAGACTAAATGGAGCTATTAAACAAAGAAATATATGTAAAGTGCTTCTGCAAAGAACTTGGCAGACAAATGAGATAACTGACCCATAAAATCAGAATAGCCCAATGTGAAATCTAAGATTGAAGAACTAGCTATGCATAACACACACACACACACACACACACACACACTTTATAAACACAAATCCTGTACATTCCTGTATTTGTTTCCTATTATGGATAACAAGTTACTAGAAACTTCATGGCTTAAAACATTCCCCATTGCCTAGTTCAGAGTTTTGCGGGTCAGAAGTTCAGCACACGGTGGACTTTCTGCTCAGGCCATCGCCAAGACTGAAATCAAGGTGTCAGCTGGATGAGTTCTCTCCGGAGGTTCTGGGGCTCATTTCCAAGCTCATTCAAGTTATTCAAGTTCAAGTCATTGTGGTTGTACGACTGCGGTCTGAATGTCTTTGCTGGCTGTCAACTGGGGGCTGCTCTTAGCTCCTCAAAGCTGCCTGCATTCTTTACCACACAGCCTCCCCTTCGCCGCATGACCCCTCCTTTGTCTTTAAACCAGCAATGAAGTACTTCCCTTGAGTCAAATTTCCTCTGTGCTTCAGATCTCTGACTGCGCCCATCTCAGACTTCTAGACCCAGATTTAAAGGGTCATATGACTAGGTCAGGCCCACCCAGACGATCTCCCTATTAGGGTAACTGATTTGGGATCTTAATTATATTTGCAAAAATCTCTCCTCAGTAAGACCTAGATTGGTGTTTGGTTGAATAACTGAAAATGATTTGCACCCAAAAGTTAGAAATTTTGAGTACTCTGTTAGAATTCTATCTGCCAGAATCCCCAGAAAGAGAAAAAAAATAGAAGAATAAAGGAAGGAAGGGAGGGAGGAAGGGAGGGTAGGAGAGGAGAATCTTGTAATTTACTTAAGAGATTTAAAAATATTTACATCCTCTGCCCCAGTAATTCCATACTGGAGAAGCCAAACCAAGGAATTAATATGAAATGCAGGGGGAAATGTCTTATAAACAAAGATGTCCATTGTAGAGTTATTTATAGTAGTTAAAAAATAGAAATAACAAACGCTGAACAACAAAATATAGGTGAAAACATTTATAAAGCAGTCATGATGGAATGAAAGGGAACCACTTTAAATTGTGCTTACAAAGGTGTTTTTATTGACACTAGTAAATACTAAGCATAACAATGCTTTCTAAATATATAAAGTCATATATATTTAGTATGAATTCAACTATATAATATTAAAATATATGTAGAGAGATATATATATAACATCTATCTATATAATTAGCTAGCTAGGTATGAATACAGATAGATGCAGAAAAGATAAGAAGGGAAAATATCGCAATGTTAATAGAGGTTATCTCCAGAAAGTGGAAAAACACAGGGTTTTTTTTGCTTGTTTTGGTTTTTTTAGAGACAGGGTCTCACTCTGTCACTCTGTTGCTCAGGCTGCAGTGCAGTGGTGTAATCATAGCTCACTGTAACCTCAAACTCCTGGGCTCAAGTGATCTTCCTGCCTCAGCCTCCTGAGTAGCTAGGACTACAGATTTGCACCACCATGCCTGGCTAATTTGTTTTATCTGTTGTAGAGATGGGGTCTCACTATGTTGACCAGGCCACCAGTCTTGAACTCCTGGCCTCAAGGGATCCTCCCACCTTGGCCTCCCAAAGCACTGGGATTCCAGGCACAAGCCACTGTGCCTAGCCAGGTGATTTTTATTGGCCTTAATTTTTTTTTTTGAATTGTGGTAACATATGCAAAACATAGAATGTACCATGTATTCGTCCATTCTCCTGCTGCTATGAAGAAATACCCAAGACGGGGTAATTTATAAAGAAAAGAGGTTTAATTGACTCATAGTTCTGCATGGCTGGGGAGGCCTCAGGCAACTTACAATCATGGAGAAAAGTCATCTTAATTTGCAGCCATCTCCTACCTCTTCACAGGGCAGAGGAGAGAGAATGAATGCAAGCAGGGAAAATGTCAGACGCTTATAAAACCATCAGATCTCTTGAGACTCACTCATTATCACAAGAACAGCATGGGGGAAACCGCCTCCATGATTCAATTACTTCCACCTGGTCCCACCCTTTACACGTGGGGATTATGGAGATTACCATTCAAGGTGAGATGTGGGTGGGGGCACAGAGCCAAACCATATCATACCACTTTGACCATTTTTAAATGTACAGTTCAGTGGCATTAAGTACATTTGCTTTGCGCAATCATCACCACCATCCATCTCCAGAACTTTTTCGTCTTCCCAAACTGAAACTCTGTACTCATTAAATACTAGCGCTCCATTCCTCCCTTTTCCAAACCCTGGCAACCACCATTCTACTTTCTTTATATAAATTTAACTACTCTCCCTACTTCATATAAGTGGAATCATACAGTCAATGTCCTTTTGTGACTGGCTTTACTTCACTTAGCATAATGTTCTCAAAGTTATTCCATGTTGTAACAAGTGTCAGAATAATATTCCATCATGCCTGTAACCCCAGCACTTTGGGAGGCCAAGGCAGGTGGATCACTTGAGCCTAGGAGTTCAAGGCCAGCCTAGGCAACAGAGTGAGACTGCATCGCTACAGCAAAAACAGAAAAAATTAGCCAGGTGTCGTGGTGCGCTGAGATGGGATGAGTGCTTGAGCCTTTGAGGAGGTCAAGGCTGCAGGGAGCTGTGATTACACCACCACACTCCAGCCTGGGCAACAGAGAGAGGCCCTATCTCAAAAAAAAAAAATTCATATATATATCATGTTTTCTTTGTCCATTCTTCTGTTGACAAACATTTGGACTGCCTCCACCTTTTGGCTATTGTAAATAATGCTACCATGAACATAGATATGCAAATATCTCTTGAAGACTCTGCTTTCAATTCTTGTAGATATGGACCTAGAAATGGAATTCCTGGATCATATGGTAATTCTATCTTTAAATGTCTTGAGGAACTGCCACCCAGTTTTCTACAGCAGGTATACCATTTTACACTCCTACTAGCTATGCACAAGGGTTCTAATTTCTTCTATCCTCACCAACACTTGTAATTTTTTGCTTTTTGAATAATAGCCATCCTAATGAATATGAAGCAGTATCTCATTGTGGTTTTATTTGCATTTCCCTAATGATTAGTGATACTGAGCGTCTTTTCATGTACTTACTGACCATTTATCTGTCTTCTTTGAAGAAATGCCTATTCGGGTCCTCTGCCCATTTTTCTAATTGGATTGCTTTTTGTTGTTGTTGAATTGTAGGAGTTCTTTCATATATTCTGGATTTTAATCCCTTATTGGATATATGATTTCCAAATATTTTCTTCCACTCTGTGGGCTGTCTGTTCACTCTGTTTATAGTATCCTTTAGTCCATAAAATAAGTTTTTTGCATATTTCAAAGTTTCCACAATAAACCTGTAGTGTTTTCAAAATAGGAGGAAACATTTTTTAAACTCTGTGATGCTTATGGAGATGTTTTTATGATATGAAGATATACATATGTAATATAGTATTGTTAATTAAAACATGGGAAATTCAGTTATAAATGCAATCAGATATCAACAATGAAAAAAGATCAGAAGGAAAAACAATTTTGTTGTTTTCTCTGGCTGGTGAGATTGTAAGTGAAAATTTTTTCTCTGTCTACTTTTCTGTGTTTTCTAACTTCCTATAGTAAATGTGTGTTGATTTTAAATGTAGAAGATGAAAAACAAGTATTTAAAGGGAGAAGAAGAAAACATCATGGGCATCTATCTGTGCTCTCAAGCATCAAATAAATCTTTAAACGTGCAAAGAAACACAAAGATGTGTTTAGGCCCCTTCCCCTGTCCTAAGGGTCTCACTGCCCCTACTTTTTGGGAACAGCTCTCATTCAGGCAGGAGTGGGGCGTGGGGACCTTGTCAACACTCATCTCCTCAGAGGCCACCTCCTCAATACACTTTTCCAGCTTATGCATCTGGTAAGGCAGAACAAAGAACAAATTTTCACAAGGGACAAAAGTTTCTAGTTCTATTTCTGAAGACAATTTCGATTGAAAACTGCTATTGCTTTTATTTAAAAAAGAATTTTCAGATGATAAACATTTTCTTTTATTAAGCTTTGCATTCTCTCAAGGTAGGAAACTCAGCAAACACCTTCATATGCTAATTTCCAGAATGAAAGAGCAGAGATAAATGACTCCTCTTACGAAAAGAACTGTAAACAAACAGGGTCTTCACTTATGGTTTCATTACCTCTATTTAGTCTGTTCTGTGCAGCAGCCAACGTGCACCTGTCTACATATCTGAGGCGTGCATTCATGCATTCATGCGCACTTAGCTGTGGGATTCATCACATGCTCTTCCTGGAGTCCTCAGTTGGCTCTAGGCTGTATTTGATGATCCAAGTGCAGGCTTCCTTGAAGGCAGGGAGCAGTATTTTTAAAACTGGTTGGTACAGGTTACCATCTTGAGGCCAGAGCAGTACTGCAGCTGGGTAGCCACCTGGTTGTGTGATCCTGGAAAAGTCATTTCATTTTTCTGTGGTATCGTTTTCAGAGAAAAGTCCAGAGATGTCCTTTGTCCTCCACTGAAGGACCCAGCCATTCTCGCTCTTTGTTCAGGTCTCTCTGCTCAAAACCACCTTCTGTCTAGCAATATCTCTCTAGCTCCCATCTCCAGCCCGACTTCATTGTTCATGACACCCATCACTTCCTGACATTATGCTACGTAATTATGTGCTTCCTTACTTATGTTCGTCTCTCCCATAGAATGTAAGGCTTTTGTCTTATTATCAACTTCTCAGCATCTAGCACAGCACCTGGCACCTTGTAGGTGCTCAGTAAGTATTTTGGATGATGTAATACATGAATCAATCAATCAACAAATCCATTATTAACTGAAGGTAGCTACTACCTCCTTCATGAGTTGGTCTGAGAATAACATGAGATTATTTTTGTGAACTTTTCAGATATTGTTCATCTTAGTATCTCCAGTGCCTCAGTCCTTGCATATAGTTAGTGGTTAGCAAATTTGGTGAATAGGTGCATAAAATAATACATAATGTATTTATTGTCAGTCAACTTCCAATCATCTTTATTAATAAATGGAAAGTGGGCAATGAATAATGTGAAACAGAAGCGAATCTAAAAATAATTTCTGTTGGCGGGAACATATACCGTATTATTCATAGCTTGATCTCCCAGTAGCTATCAGCCCAGTCTGTGAGCCAGGAGCTGTGTACGCATTCAGCATACCTGATGACTCACTCCAGACGCTTCAAGTCCTTTTGGCCCTGTGTTCCAACAAATGTATTCATTTCCTGCTGCCTTTTGAATCATGGCCTGGCCTGAATTTCTCCATCCCTTCCCTTCAGCTCTGATTTACATGGCCTTTTCTGAGAGCCAGAGGCATCCACAAGCAGCCAGGGCCAGGGGCAGGCTCCGAGCACCAAGTCCTCTGGTGGAAAAGGCTGGAGCACCAAATGGGGGGAGACCTGGAGGGTGACTCCAGCACAGTATATTCTCCTCTGCTCAAATGTGGCTTTTCCCCAGGACCTCCAAGTCTCCTGCAGAGCAGAAAACTTCCTGGAACTCTTGGCTTTCTTCTCTTGTGACTTATTACAAGTACTGCCAACAGCCATCATTTATTTCTTGTGCCTGATTTTGCACTGTTCATGGATTATCTCATTTAAGGCTCAATGTGACCCTTTGAGGTCAGTATAGTTATTCTCCTCCTACAGATGAAAAAATGAGGTTCAGAGAGATAAGGTTTTTGCCAGGAATGCGCAGCCAGACAGTGGCCCTGGATTGACCCACTTCACCATTCCTGCCCCTCATTCATTCCCTCAAAAAGCAAATATTACCCTTAGGTGGGTGTTTTGCTCAATGTCACTGGATTCTTACAGGAGGCTTTATTAGCACTTATGAGGATATTTTCAATGTAATACTGAATAGGATTCAGTACACCAAAATTTGGGAAGAAGTTAAACAACAGACTTACCTCTGATTATGTTTTGCTCAGAACAATATTCATGTAAATTTGTGCATCTAGTCAATAAATATTTATTGATTGCCTGCTCTATTTTAGGCACTAGGAATACAGCAGTGGACAAAACTGATAAATCTCCACCGAAATGTATCTTATGTCCTAGTGGAGAAACACA